>NC_000023.11:141628626-142327871 GCF_000001405.40 Homo sapiens
ATGTTCCCACCTACAGGAGACGGTAACTCCTCTGTCCTCAGTCCCTCACTAGATTCCACAGTTCTGTAAGACGACATTGCTCTCTCAGACTCCTTGGATAACCAGGGAGTCCCTTAGAATCAACAGAGTGACTACCGAAGGATTATCATTCACTATTACCAATGGCATTACCACCCTCACCCCTAATAGAGGTTGCTTGGGAACTGCTGCTTTTCATATCTTAACCAAGATTTCCCTGATAAAGGACAAAACCCAAGATTCAGTTGGCCAAACTAAACAATCATCTTAACACTGGATGTCCTGGCCATTAATTGACCTCATCTGAACATTTTTAGAGACCTTTGAGCTATTGTCAATTGTCTGACTATTTGGTCTGGTGTTGTGGGAAGTCAGGGACCCCAAATGGACGGAACGGCTGAAGCCATGGCAGAAGAACGTGAATTGTGAAGATTTCATGGACATTTATTAGTTCCCCAAATTAATACTTTTGTAATTTCTTATGCCTGTCTTTACTGCAGTCTCTAAACATAACTTGTAAAGATTTCATGGACACTTATCACTTCCCCAATCAATACCCTTGTGGTTTCCTATGCCGTCTTTACTTTAATCTCTTAATCCTGTCAGCTGATGAGGATGTATATCGCCTCAGGGCCCTGTAATAATTGCATTAACTGCACAAATTGTACAGCATGTGTGTTTGAGCAATATGAAATGTGGGCACCTTGAAAAAAGAACAGGATAACAGCAGTTGTTCAGGGAATAAGAGAGATAACCTTAAACTCTGACCGCTGGTAAGCCGGTTGAAACAGAGCCATATTTCTCTTCTTTCAAAAGCAAATGGGAGAAATATTGCTGAATTCTTTTTCTCAGCATGGAACATCCCTGAGAAAGAGAATGCGTACCTGGGGGTGGGTTTCTGAACTGCCCCCCCGGGCGTGGTTGTCTCTTTTGGTCGAGACTGCAGAGGTGAAATAGAGTCCAGTCTCCCATAGTGCTCCCAGGCTGATTAGGAAGAGGAAATTCCCACCTAATAAATTTTGGTCAGACCGGTTGATCTCAAAACGCTGTCTCCTGATAAGATGTTATCAATGACAATGGTGCCCGAAACTTCATTAGCAATTTTAATTCTGCCTCGGTCCTGTGGTCCTATCATCTCACCCTGCCTCCACTTGCCTTGTGATATTCTATTACCTTGTAAAGTACTTGATGTCTGTGATCCACACCTATTTGCACACTCCCTCCCCTTTTGAAACTCCCTAATAAAAACTTGCTGGTTTTTGTGGCTTGTGGGGCATCACGGAACCTACGGACACGTGATGTCTCCCCCGGACGCCCAGCTTTAAAATTTCTCTCTTTTGTACTCTGTCCCTTTATTTCTCAAGCTGGCCGACGCTTGAGGAAAATAGAAAAGAACCTACGTGAATATTGGGGCAGATTACCCAATAGTCTGGCCATTGAGAAAACAATTCTTTATCCAAGTTTGCCCCATTTGGGTTAAAGAACTCTTGAATTATTTTGACTCATAGATGCCCCAAATGTAAATTAAGATTATGCATTTCTCTGTACATATGAAAACCTCAATACCATGTTCTTACCAAGGCATTCCTTTGTGTTTGGTGTTGTAGACTTTTGAGTTCCAGACATCATTGATAGTGACCAAGATACTCATTTCACTTCTTAAAATAAACAACATTCAGCTCTTGAATAAGGCAATGGAACTTTTACCTTCCTTGTTGATTTTAGGTAGGAGGCCTCATAGAATGTTATTTAAACTAGTTCAAAATAAATACAACATGGCAAATTTCAGTTGTCAGTCAAGCATCAGGGCCGAAGTTTCATACAGTCTTACTCCATTTTTGTTGTTTGACTCATGTAAATAATAATCCTTATTGTACCCTCTTGGTGCATGTGTGGCACCATTAGTCTTGACTTTGAAACCAAATTTTGAGTGTTGGGTATAAATTCCACTTCTTCAGGATGACTATAAGAAGCTCATATACTGCATACTATATATATATATATGCATATATATTTATGCATATTATGCATTTATCTAATATATGCATTAGTGGTCATATGAATATGACATTTTATTGTACCAATGTCTCAGCAAACAAATATTTTATGGAGTGCCTGATATGTGTCAGACCTGTTCTAGGTCCTGGGCTTACAGTTAAGAATGTATAGTCTGTAGTTATGCAGTTGTTTAATTTATATTTACATGGTCAAAGGGAAGGGTGAGAATGGTGGTAGTGGGACAGAGGCCAACATTTTACTTAGGAGATGTGGGAAAATCTCTGAGGAGTTGACTTTTGAATTCAGAACTAAACAGTGAGATAGAATCTGCTGTGTGAAGACTTTATAAACAACATCTTAGATATAAAGAAGAGCAAGTAGCAATGTCATGAAGTAAGAATAAGGACAAAGTGTTGAGGAGCAGCAAATAGGCAAGTATGCCTGGAGTAGAGTGAGAGGAGGAAGAATGGAAATAGACAACTGAGACTAGAGAGCTTGGCAAAGATAAAGACACGTAGAGACTCATAGTGTTAAGAACTTGGGTTTTATTTTACATGTAGTGGAAGCCATTTTGGCTTTGATGCATGACAGTGATGTAGATTGATTTAATTTTTAGAAAGATCACTGGATGTTGCAGATTTGATAAGACCACAGATGTGACAGATTGTAGCAACAATGCATGTATAAGATAATATTAGCTAAGACTAGGCTTGTAGCAGGAAGAATGTAACTTAGTATCTAACATAGCAGTTTAGGGGATAGGCTTTGAAGTTTGACCTCATTTTAAAGTATCACCACCTAAAGGCTATTTGTCCCTGAGCAAGTTCCTTAACCTCTGTAAGGATTAATTCCCTGATGTATAAAATGAGATGATAATGGTACGCCTCTATGTCCTAGGGTCACTCTGGAATTGAATGAAGTAATTTATGTAAAAAACTTGGTACTATATTAGACACATAATAGGCATTTGATAAAATGGCTACTGTTATTAACAACCATAATATAAATAAATACATAAATAAAAGCAAGCTACTTCTTGCTTTTCTTTGCCAACTCTCCAAGTGCTAGCATGTCATGTATAAGCTGCTGTTAACTCATGATTACTGAGCCCTTATTTGTTTTTATTGAAGACACAATTATCTTTGGTCACCTGTGCTCAATAGCTAGGCATTCTGGTACCCTTATGTATTAGTTCATTCTCACGCTGCTATGAAGAAATACCCAAGACTGGGTAATTTGTAAAGAAACAAGTGTTAATTGACTCACAGTTCTGCATGGCTGGGAAAGTCTCAGGAAATTTTCAATCGTGGTGGAAGGGAAAGCAAACACATCCTTCTTCACAAGGCAACAAGAGAGAGGTACTGAGCAAAAGGGAAAAAAGTCCCTTATAAAACCATCAGATCTCCTGAGAACTCACTATCATGAGAACAGCATGAGGATAACTGACCCCATGATTCAATTACTTCCAAACAGGTCCCTCCCACAACATGTGGGGATTATGGGAACTACAATTTAAAAAGAGACTTGGATGGGGACACAGCCAATCCATATCACCTTAGATACTTCATAATAACTGGTCATATATGGCTTATGATTAATTTATAAAATGAAGTTGTGGTAGTGGCTGATCTATGACATTTTCTCTTTGTACCTGATGAGTCATCATTTGAACATCTCTCCTCTCCAACCTCCTTCCACAGGTGTAAATGAGCAGCAACCCATGTTTCTAACCTAACTGCAGACAAGTTGCTTAACTTAGCCAGATTTCTTTGGTGTTTTTTTTTTCTGTTAAATGCATATTTGTGTGTTTCTTCATCCAGAAAACAATGTTTGCATTTTTTTGAAGCCAGTTCTCATTTTATTACTTTCAAACCAGAACTTTCTCTAAATATCTTTGTCCCTTGGTGCTTTTAGTTGTTTGCCCCATGCTTTTATCCTGGACATCTGATACCTCATGAGATATGATGGTTTTATAAATGGGAGTTCCCCTGCATAAGATTTCTTGCCTGCCTCCATGTAAGATGTGATTTTGCTCCTCATTTGCCTTCTGCCATGATTGTGAGGCATCTCCAGCAATGTGGAACTGTGAGTCAATTAAACTCTTTCCTTTATAAATTACCCAGTCTTGGGTTTGTCTTTATTAGCAGCAAACTAATACAGCAACAGACTAATACAGCAAATTGGTACCGCAGAGAGTGGAGCACTGCTGTAAAGATATCCAAACATGTGGAAGCGTCTTTGGACCTGGGTAACAGCCACAGGTTGGAACAGAGGTTTGGAGGTCTCAGGAGAGGACAGGAAGATATGGAGAACTTTGGAACTTCCTAGAGACTTGTTGAATGGCCTTGACCAAAAGGCAGATAGTGATATAGACAATAAAGTCCAGGCTGAGGTGGTCTCAGATGGAGATGAGGAACTTGGGAACTGGAGTAAAGGTCATTCTTGCCATAGAAAGAGACTTATGGCATTTTGCCTCTGCCCTAGAGATCTGTGGAACTTTGAACTTGAGAGAGATAATTTAGGGTATCTGGCAGAAGAAATTTCTAAGCAGCAAAGTGTTCAAGAGGAAACAGAGCATAAAACTTGGAAAAGTTTACAGCCTGATAATGCAATAGAAAAGAAAAACCTATTTTCTGGGGAGAACTTCAAGCCAGCTCCAAAAATTTGCATAAGTAATGAGGAACCAAATACTAATTGTTAAAACAATGGGGAAAATGACTCCAGGGCATGTCAGAGACCTTCATTGCAGCCCCTTCCATCACAGGCCTGGAGGCCTAGAAGAGAAAAATGGTTTCTTGTGCCAGATCCAGGGACCCTCTGCTGTGTGTAGCCTCTTGACTTGGTGCCTGCTTCCTAGGCACTTCAGTCCAAGGTTAAAAGTGGCCAAGGTGCATCTCAGGCCATTGCTTCAGAGGATTCAAGTCCTAAGCCTTGGTAGCTTCCACATGATGTTGGTCCCGTGGGTATGTGGAAGACAAAAATTGAGATTTGGGAACCTCTTACTACTAGATTTCAGAGGATATATAGAAACACATGGCTGTCCAGGCAGAGGTGTGCTGCAGGGGTGGACCCCTCATGGAGAACCTCTGCTTGGCCTGTGTGGAAGGGAAATGTGGGGTCAGAACCCCCACACAGAGTCCCCACTGGGGCACTGCCTAGTGTAGCTGTGGGAAGAGGGCCACTGTCCTCCAGACCCCAGAATGGTAGATCCACTGACAGCTTGCACCGTGCACCTAAAAAAGCTGCAGACACTCAATGCCAGCCTGTGAAAACAGCTGGGAGAGGGGCTGTACCCTGCAAAGCCACAGGGGCAGAGCTGCCCAAGGCCATGGGAGTCCACTACTTGCATCAGCGTGAACTGGATGTGATACATGGAGTCAAAGGAGATCATGTTGGAACTTTAAGGTTTAATGACTGCCCTGTTGGATTTTGGACTTGAATGGGGCCTGTAGCCCCTTTGTTTTGGCCAATTTCTCCCATGTGGAATGGGCGTCTTTACCCAGTGCCTATACTTGCATTGTGTCTCGGAAGTAACTAACTTGCTTTTGATTTTACAGGCTCATAGGCAGAAGGGACTTACCTTGTCTCAGATGAGACCTTGGCCTGTGGACTTTTGAGTTAATGCTGAAATGATTTAAGCCTTTGGGGGACTTTTGGGAAGGCATGATTGGTTTTGAAATGTGAGGACATGAGATTTGGGAGGGGCCGGTGGCAGAATGATATGGTTGGCTGTGTCCCCATCCAAATCTCACCTCGAATTGTAATAATTCCCATGTCAAGGGTTGGGCCAGGTGGAGATAATTGAATCATGGTGGTGACTTCTGCCCTACTGTTGCCATGGTAGTGAATACATCTCAGGAGATCTGATGGTTTTATAAATGGGAGTTAACCTGCACAAGCTCTCTTGCCTGCTGCCACGTAAGATGTGACTTTGCTGCTCATTTGCCTTCTGCGATGATTGTGAGGCTTCCCCAGTCATGTGGAATTGTGAGTCCATTAAACCTCTTTCCTTTATAAATTACCCAGTCTCAGTTATGTCTTTATTAGTAGTATAAGAACAGACTAATACACTGTCTTTCCACATTATTGTCATTTAGAACTATAATTAACAAGCTGTAGGCTGGGCATGGTGGCTCACGCCTATTATCCCAGCACTTTGGAAGGTGTGGTGGGCAGATCACGAGGTCAGGAGTTCGAGACCAGCCTGGCCAATATGGTGACACCGAATCTCTAATAAAAATACGAAAATTAGGGGGCCGTGGTGGCATGCACCTGTAGTTTCAGCTATTCGGGAGGCTGAGGCAGAAGAACTCTTTTGAATCCAGGAGGCGGAGATTGCAGTGAGCCGAGACCATGCCACTGCACTCCAGCCTGGGCGACAGAGTGAGACTCCATCTCAAAAACACACACACAGACACAAATAAACAAACAAAAAACCAAGCTGTTTACTGCTCCTTACATGTCACTGATGAGCAAGTAAAATAGTGCTACGTGTTTTTCCTTCCTCTTTGAATTAATTGCTTTCTCTTCCCCACCTATGTCTGATGAGTGATGAAAGCTTAATCATTCTTCAAGGCTAAGATCAAATGTTGCTCCCACTCTGATGTCTCCCCACCACCAACCCCAGCAGAGTTAGTGGCTCCTGTTGTCCTACTACTACTTGTATTAGAGCACTTACCATGTTGTATTAAAATCATTGATTTACAACTTTGTCTCCCTCATTATACAATATACACCAGGAAGAAGCATATTTCATTCATTTTTGTAATTGCAACCACCTTAATACACTTATCACAACATCATGGTGGCTGCTCAATGTATGTTTGATGAATAAATGGAAGACAAAACAATCATCAATTTTATACATGTTAGGTTATTTTCTGAATCTGCTGTATAATGTTTTATTTAGAAATGTTGCTGTGGTTTGAATGTGTCCCCAAAATTGCATGTATTGAAAATATAATCCTCAGATTCATATGTCAATAGGAGGTGAGGTATTTGGGAAGTAATTTGGATTGGATAAGTTCATCAGGATGGAGCCCCTATGATATGGGAATAGTAGCTTTATAGGAAGAGGTTAGAGATACCTGGGCTGACTCCAATGCTGTTGCCCTCTCACCATGTGATGCCATCTCTCATCTTATGATGTAGGAAGAAGGCCCTCACCAGATGCTAACACCATGCCCTTGGACTTCCCAGTTCTAGAAAAATGAGCTAAATAAACTTTTTGTTCTGTTTTGGTTTTTTTTTTTTTGAGATGGATTCTCGCTCTGTCACCCAGGCTGTAGTGCAGTGGTGTGATCTTGGCTGACTGCAACCTCCGCCTGGGGTTCAAGCAATTTTTCTGCCTCAGTCTCCTGAGGAGCTGGGACTACAGGCTCCTGCCACAATGCCCAGCAATTTTTTTTTTTTTTGTATTTTTAGTAGAGATGGGGTTTCACCATGTTAGCGAGGATGGTCTCAATCTCCTGACCTTGTGATCTGCCCACCTTGGTCTCCCAAAGTGGTGGGATTACAGGCGTGAGCCACCACGCCCAGCCATAAAGTCCTATTGTTTTTAATTTAGCCGGTATGTAGTATTACATTTTAGTAAGATAAAATGGATTAAGACAAAGGTTAAAGCTTAAAATCATTTAAAAATTTTATTTAAAAAAAATTCAGGGTGGGGCATGGTGGCTCACGCCCGTAATCCTAGCATTGTGGCAGGCTGAGGCGAATGGATCACAAGATCAGGAGTTCAAGACCAGCCTGACCAATATGGTGAAACCCCATCTCTACTAAAAATACAAAAATTACCTGGATGTGGTGGTGCATGCTTGTAGTCCCAACTACTTGGGAGGCTGAGGCAGGAGAATCGCTTGAACTCGGGAGGTGGAGGTTGCAGTGAACCGAGATCACACCACTGCACTCCAGCCTGGGTGACAGAGCAAGCCTCCATCTAAAAAAAAAAAAAAAAAAAAAATTCAAGTTACAAGAAAGTTTAAAAATACATAAAACACTGAAAACCAAAAATATCCAGCAATATGCACAATATTGGCAACTATCTTTTCATATATACATAGCTTTATACATATAAACGCTCATATGTGAATTTATGTAAGAGTTATGTATACACGTATATACATATATGTATATATTGTTTAGAAAGACCATCTCTATAAAATTTTGCATTTCTTTACTCTCTCCTCCAATTGGATAACCAATGTTAAAAGGTGATTGTGCATTTTTCCATATCTTTGCCAATTTCATATAGTAATATAGCATATATACATATACGTACACCTGTATAGAAGCACTATTTTACTCTTTAATGCATCTTGGTTATATAACTTAGAAACACTACATAAAAATCTATCCACATTTTCTGGTATAGAATTATCATACTTTTAAATGTAGTCATGTGAATGAGGATGGCTTAAATGAAACTTATTAAGCCATTTCTCTATTGCAGGCATTCAGGTTGATTCCAGTTTTTGGCCACTGCACTTTATTGGTCTTTTTTGGCTGCTATAACACAATACCACAGAATGGGTTGTTCAAACAACAGAAATTTATTTCTCATTGTCTGGAGACCAGAAATCTGAGATTAGCGTGCCAGTATGATGCGTTCTGGTGATGATTTTTTTCCTAGTTATAGACAGTGGCCTTCTCATTGCATCCTCACATGGAAGGGAGAGCAAGCTCTCTAGTGTCTGTTACAAGGGCACTAATTCTATCAGATAAAGGCCCCACCCTTACGAACTCATCTAATCTTAATTACTTCCTTAGAGGCCCCATCTCCAAATACAACCATGGAGGGTGTATTAGTTTTCATACTGCTATAAAGATACCACCTGAGAGTACATAATTCATAAACTAAGGAGATTTAAGTGACTCACATTTCCTCATGGCTGGGGAGGCTTTAGGAAAATTACAATCATGGCAGAAGTGGAAGCAGGCACATCTTACGTGGCGGCAGGCGAGAGAGCCAGAGAGCGAAGAAGGAACTTGCTAATAACTTACAAAACCATCAGATCTCATGAGAACTCACTCACAATCGTGAGAACAGCATGGGTGAAACTGCCCCCCTGATTTAATCATCTCTCACCAGCTTCCTCCCTCAACACCTGGGAATTACCATATGAGATGAGATTTGGGTGGAGACATAGAGACAAACCATTTCATTCTGCCACTGGCCCCTCCCAAATCTCATGTCTTGTCACATTTCAAAACAAATTATGCCTTTCCAACAGCCCCCCAAAGTCTTAACTCATTTCAACAGTAACTCAAAAGTCCACAGTCCAAACTCACATCTGAGACAAGGCAAGTCCCTTCTACCTATGAGCCTGCAAAATCAAAAGCAAGCTAGTTACTTCCAAGACACAAAGGGGGTAAAGCCATTGATAAATGTTCTAATTGCAAATTGGAGAAATTGGCCAAAACAAAGTGGCTACAGGCCCCACGCAAGTCCGGAATCCAACAGGGCAGTCATGATATTTTAAAGCTCCAAAATGATCTCCTTTGAATCCATGTTTCACATCCAGGTCACTCTGGCACAAGAGGTGGGTTCCCATGATCTTGGGCAGCTCTGCCCCTGTGGCTTTGCAGGGTATAGCCCCACTCTCAGCTGCTTTCACAGGCTAGCATTGAGTATCTGTGGCTTTTCCAGGTGCACAGTGCAAGCTGTCTGTGGATCTATCATTTTTGGGTCTGGAGGATGGTAGCTGCCTTCTTACATTCTAGTAGACAGTGCCTCAGTGAGGACTCTGTGTGGGGGCTCCAACCCCACATTTCCCTTCTGCACTGCCCTAGCAGAGGTTCTCCACGTGGGCTCCACCCGTGCAGCAAATTTCTGCCTGGACAATCAGTTATTTCCATAAATCCTCTGTAATCTAGGCAGAGGTCCCTAAACCTCAATTTTTGAGTTCTGTGCTCCCACAGACCCAACACCACATGGAAGCCACCAAAGCTTGGGTCTTGCACCCTCTGAAACAACAGCCCAAGCTGTACCTTGGCCCCTTTTAGCCAAGGCTGGAGCTGGAGCAGCTGGGACACAGGGCATCAATTCTTGATGCTGCACACAGCAGGGGGCCATGGGCCCTGCCCAGTGAACCAGTTTTTTCTTCTTGGCCTCTGGGCCTATGATGGGAGGGGCTGCCAGCAAGATCTCTGAAATGCCACGGAGACATTTTCCCCATTGTCTTGGTGATTAACAATAGGCTTTTCATTACTTATGCAAATTTCTGCAACTGGCTTAAATTTCTCCCAGGAAAATGGGTTTTTCTTTTCTATTGCATTGTCAGGTTGCAAATAATCTAAACTTCTATGCTCTGCTTCCTCTGGAACACTTTGCCACTTAGAAATTTCTTCTGGCAGATACCATCAATCATCTCTGTCAAGTTAAAAGTTCCACAGATCTCCAGGGCAGGGGCAAAATGCTACCAGTCTCTTTGCTAAACATAGCAAGAGTGATTTTTACTCTAGTTCCCAATAAGTTTCTCATCTCCACCCGAGACCACCTCAGCCTGGACTTCACTGTTCACATCACTATCCACATTTTGGTCAAAACCATACGAGTCTCTAGGAAGCTCCGAACTTTCTCACATCTTCCTGCCTTCTTCTGAGCCCTCCAAACTGTTCCAACCTCTGCCCATTACCCAGTTCCAAAGTCACTTTCACATTTTCAAGTATCTTTATAGCAGCGCCCCACTCTGTGCTATCAATTTACTGAATTAGTCCATTTTCACACTGCTATAAAGATATTCTCAAGACGAGGTAATTCATGAACAAAGGAAGTTTAATCAACTCACAGTTCTGCATGTCTCGGGACACCTCAGGAAACTTACAATCATGGTGGAAGGGAAAGCAGGCACATCTTACATGGTGGCAGTTGAGAGAGCCAGCAAGCGGATGAGAAACTTACCAAACACTTACAATACCATCGGATCTCGTGAGAATTCACTTATTATCATGATAACAGCATGAGAGAAACCACCCCCATTATCCAGATCATCCCCCACCAGATTCCCCTCTCAACACCTGCGGATTACAATTCGAGATGGTATTTGGGTGGGGATACAGAGCCAAACCATATCAGGGGGATTAGGGCTTCCACATATGGATTTTGGGAAGGCATAAATATGTAGTCTGTATCTCTCGTGCTGCATACTGAGTCATGTGCTGCATACCAATATTTCAGTCAATGATGCACTGCATATACTATGGTGTTTTCCTAAGATTATAATAGAGCTGAAAAGTTCCTTTTGCCTAGTAACATTGTAGCAGAATGCAATACTCATATGTTTGTGATAATTCTGGTATAAACAAACCTACTCTACTACCAGTAATATAAATGTGTAGCTCATACAATTATGTGTAGTAAATAATATTTGATGATGACAACAAACAAATATGTTGCTGGTTGTATATTGTGAAAGGAAAATAAATCTTGGGACCCCAAAATTACTAAGCTAAAGAAAAAAGTTAAGCTGGGAACTGCTTAGGGCAAAACTGCCTCCCATTCGATTCAAAGTCATTTTTCTGCTCACTGAGATAAATGTGTATCTGATTGCCTCCTTTGGAAAGGCTAATCAGAAACTCAAAAGAATGCAACAATTTGTCTCATCTACCTGTGACATGGAAGCCCCTTCCTTTGCTTTGAGTTGTCCCGCCTTTCTGAACTGAACCATTGTTCATCTTACATATATTGATGGATGTTTTGTGTTTCCCTAAAATGTATAAAACCAGCTGTACCCCGACCACCTCAGGCACATGTCATCAGGACCTCCTGAGGCTGTGTCATGGGTGTGCATCCTTAACTTTGGCAAAATAAACTTCCTAATTGTCTGAGACCTGTTTCAGATATTTGGGGTTCACAGTATTCACCATGCTATCCGTAATTTTCATCACGATTTTAGAATGTACTTCTTCTGGAATAATGTTAACTATAAAACAGTCTGAGGTCAGTCCTTCAGGAGGTATTTCAGAAGAAGTCATTGTTATCATAAAAGATGACAGCTCCATTCCTGTTATTGCCACTGAAAAACTTACAGTGGGACAAGTTGTGGAGGTGGACAACAGTGATATTGACAATCCTGACCCTGTGTAGCCCTAGGCAAATGTGTGTTTATGTCTTTAAAGAAAAAGTTTAAAAAGTGCAATAAATTTAAAAATAGAGGAAAGCTTATAGAATAAGGATATGAATAATTAAGATATGTTTGTACAGCTGTGTAATGTGTTTAGTTTTTAAGCTAAATGTTATTATGAAGGATTTAAAAAGTTGAAAGTGTATAACGTAAAAAAGTTACAGGAAGATAAGGTTAATTTATTATTGAAGGAAGAAAACTGTTTTAATATATTTAGTGTAGTCTAAGTGTTCAATTTTTATAAAGTCTGTAGTAGTTCACAGTAAGGCCTTCACATCCATTCACCACTCATTCACAGACTCACCCAGACTAATTTCCAGTCCTGTAAGCTCCATTCATGGTAAGTGCCCTATACAAGTGTGCCATATTTATCTTTTATACCATACATTTACTTTAAGTTTTCTATGTTTAGGTACACAAATACTTTCCATTGTCTTACAATTGCCTAAGTATTTAGTACAGTAAAATGCTGTACACGTCGTGGCCTGGGAGAAATAGGCTGTACCGTATAGCTTAGGTGTATGGTATGCTATACCATCTAGGTTTGTGTATGTACACTCTATGATGTTTACCCAATGATGAAAGCTGCCTAACAACACATTTCTCAAAACACATTCCCATAGTTAAGTGATGCATCATTGTATATGTACAGATTCCTACAAATCGAGATGAAAACAGAAACAGAAACGAGCTAATAAAAAATCATGCAAGTGTTTAATAACTTTAATAAGAAATGATTCAGAGGATAAGCATACGAATAACTAGTAAACACATAGAAAGGTTAATTGCGTTTGTATCCTGGAAAATGCAAAGTTTTTCTTATTCGTGTTTGTAAATATACAAATGATTCTCATGCAAGAAATATTAGCGGTAAATGACACTCCTGACTTGTTTGGTGCTAGATACTATGCTAAACACTTTACCTGAATTATTTCATGTTATTGTGAAACAGCATTTTGAGATACACATCCTTAACCCCAAGCTACAGATGGGGAATCTGAGAAACAGTGAGGTTAGGTAGGATGTACTGCTTAAAGTCATATAGGTTACAAATAGTAAATCTGAGCCAGAACCTGGATCTAGATCACACACTTCTGTGGCCTCTCATTAGTGACAGCAACAGCAAATACATTCAGTAGGTAGTAGACTCTGTTCTAAACACTTAACATGAATTAATGAATTTAATTCTACAACAGGCTTATTACGTAGTTGATATGTGACTATTATCTCCATTTTGCAGATGAGAAAATAGAGGCAGAGAGCGCATAAATAGCAGTCAGTAGAATCAAAATTTCAATCCTGGAAGACTGACTCCAAAGTCCACAGCCATAATCCACACTAAAATGCAAAAAGCTAAAACCTGCTGCTTGGGGAGATTCAGAGTCTAAAATAGAAATTTGTCTTTGACCTTTAAAAAAATATTTTTTCAGGCATAGGCACAGACAAGTATGTTATTCTGCACTGTCACATATTAGGGTGTGTTATCATTGGGAGAAAACAACAGCTCTTATTGACAGGATTAAAAAACAAATGATAAGTGATCCTACTGTAGGGAAATGCCAGAAACTGTTTTTTTTTTTTTTTTTTTTTTTTTTTTTTTGACAGAGTTTCGCTCTTGTTGCCCAGGCTGGAGCGCAATGGCGTGATTTCGGCTCACTGCAACTTTTGCCTCCCGGGTTCAAGTGATTCTCCTGCCTCACCCTCCCTGAGTAGCTGGGATTACAGGCATGCACCACCACGCCTGGCTAATTTTGTATTTTTAGTAGAGACGGGGTTTCTCCATGTTGCTCAGGCTGGTCTCGAACTCCCAACCTCAGATAATCCGCCCGCCTTGGCCTCCCAAAGTGCTGGGATTACAGGCGTGAGCCACTGTGCCTGGCAACCAGCAACTGTTAATAAGAACTGCTTTTAATTTCCATTGAGTAAAACAAGAAAAAAGTGGAATTTCATCATTTTCATTTCAACTCGAATACATTCTCAGTGACTTCCCTGCAACTTTCTGCATTAACTCAGTGGTAGTAAATAGTTTGTCAGCTATTGACAAACGTTAATAAATTGTTCTACATCAAGAGCGACAAATGTTCCTCACCTGCGTATTACACAGTGGTGGCAAAAGTGAAGAAATAAAACCATGTAATCCTTGTGCTCTCTAATCAGTTGAGGATGAAGTTAATTTGAGACCTTTTGGAATGAGAAGCCAGGTTTTTGCCAAACAGCAATCAAAAAAGCATTACCCTTTTGCTGCTGACAGGAAAGTTCAAAAATTCCATCATGTTCCAGTTTCTCAGCAGTTGATAAAGGTTAATAAAACAAGGTTTTAGGAGGGTAGCGTTTGTACATTTTTTATGCTCTTAAAGGACAGTTCTCATTAGCTCCACATGGCTGAGTTCTCATACTCTTCTCATATTTCAACTGCAGCGTGTCCCTACTTCCTGCTTTGCATGGACCAATAAACTGTGGATAGAGCTCCCAATTCTGATAGCTGAGAAGAGAGATGAAGCCCTTTAAGTAATCTTAGCCAGTGACAGTAAATGGGTAAGAGGAGTTAAGGTTTGCACTAAAGTCTCATGGGAAGAGAACGTCTGTTTTGTGGAATTATAAACATCAAATTAGAATGGGCAATTGATTATTTTGTAGAATTCCCGAGGTAGTTGGGTAGCAAATTTTTTATGGGATTTTACAAATGGCAAGTAATTTCTTCCCGGATGAGGAAATGTTATATCTCATATTTAACAATGTCTGTATGTTTCATTCTCTTATACCTCAGCAATTTGATATTTAAATGTGATTAATACTGTTGTTTCAGAAAGTATTATATTAATTTTCAAATTATTTTGAGAATATGCTACATGGCAAAATACTATACCTTGAAGAAAATAAGTGCACTCTTCGCTTACAAAAAAATAAAAACTATGAGTGTACAAAAATAACTTATTTCTGAGTAATTATATTTTTTTCTAACTTAATTTCTCTGGACTTCAGTTTTTCATCTTCAGAATGTGAACATAGTGCATATATTTCTGGTTTCATAGGGAGGATTAGAGGAACTCTTTCATATAAAATTCTTATACTGTATAGTGCGTAATAAGCACTCAAATATTAACTGTTAGTACTGTCATTTTGGTATATTTATTATTATTAGGTAGTTTAGTAGCTTATTAGATAAGGTTTATGCAGGTAACAAAATACATATGGACCTCGGCAGCTCATTTGGAAACTATTTCTCATAATATATTGTAGACAATATGAAGAAATATAAGCATGATTGTGTTTCTAACTGGCCGCATTATAGCTGATTGTACTGTAATACAACTAGAGAGAGATTTATAATTGTATACCACAGGACACTAGCCCAAACCTTGTCTTGATTATGGTTATTTTCAGTGAGTTAGATAAAGCAGTTAAGTGTTTGCTCATCAAATTCATGGATAAAGTTGTAAGGGAGAACAAATAGTTTTGGTGAGGGAATTAGAATCTAAAAACATATTGACAAGCTGGGATGATAGACAAAATATATCAGAATGAAATTTAATAAAAATTGATATAAATCTACACCCTTGAGATCAAAAATCTAATACACATATTCATGTTTGGGGGCATCATTTCATAGCAGCACTTGCAGAAGACGGTTTAGTGTCAGTGGTAAACTCAGTGTGAATCACAGTATAATTTGTGTCATTTTCCAAAAGAATGTATGCTATCTTAGACTGCATGAATGAATGCTATCTTAGACTGCATAAATGAAAGTATAGTGACTAAAATGAGAGAGACACTTCACTTCACTTTGTCCAATAGTAATTAACAGTCTATTCAGTTTGGAGAGGTGTTAAAATGTTTAAAGTGAATAATAAGAAATGAAGACTATTCAGAGTAGAATGATTTTCCAACATGATGGAAGGAACTGAGGCTATCTAACCTTGAGAGGGACGACTAAGGAGGGACAGGGCACCTGCACTCTGAAGATCAGTTATGTGTGTGATTGTTGGACATTTAAAACATAAGAATAATGTTCTGCCATTCTGTTGTCTTCCACTGAGGGGTAAAACATAAAAAAACACAATCGTTAAGAGTCTTAAGTGTGAGTGCTGTAAAGGCAGAAAAACAAAGGGCTAGAAAATGATAGCAGTAAGAGAGTTGTTACTTTATTTTAGGTTACCAGGAAAGACCTTCTGAGGAGGTGAGTTTTGAGATAAGAGCTGAAAGATGAGTAAATGAAATAAAGATATTCCAGGAAACAAGAATAACAAAAATGGTTTTATTGGTTTGTTTAAGGAATACATTTAGGCCAGTGTGGATGATGATTAGGAAGAGAAGGACAAAGTTGTTACACACAAACACACAATGTAAAAAGTACATAATGTTTTATTTTTTGTGGGTTCTTTTTACGGAAAACCCACAATATATTATATGTCTCCTAAATCTTGAGTAACAAACCATGTTAGTATATATGACTTTATTCTTGAACAACTTTCTGCCTATTCTTCCACGTTATGGATATATTATTTTATTATTGGATATATCATTTTATTATTCATAGCCCTTTGCTAATTTCTATTTTTTGTTAAAAATTTCACCCGTTTTCTCATTTATTGAGTAGTCTATCATTTTCTTAATGATTTATTGAAGATTTTTATATGCTGGATAGTAATCCTTTGTCTAGTATATGCATTGAAAATATATTTTCCTAGTTAGTGATTTGCCTCTTCACTTTATTAAGTCTTTTCAAGAAAAGAAGTTCTTATATGTAATGTAGTAAAATTTATTATTGTTTTCTTTTAGCAATTGTTTTGAATGTATGGAAAATGTGATTATAGACAAGATCATATAGGGAGAAAATGTACAGAGAAAAGAGAGGGAAGCTAAGACCAGGTCTTGAAATCATGATTTACAGTCTCCATTTTGTGTTCCAGATGAAACATTTGAGAAAAGCCCAATTTATTTTCCTTCGAAGATAACTTGTATTCCTGCTCAGATGGTTGTAAATTTTTGTGCTTGTACCTCAAAAACAGTTTGCCAGTTTATGGCCAACCCCGGTTGTCTTTTCACTGACTTTTCTTATCACATGATGATACTCTTCAAAGTATTTATTCAGCTTTTCCACCAGTTCAGAAACAATGATGCCTTGGATTAGATAGCTTCAGTTCCATGACTTCTTGTTTCTTCTTCTAGACACTGCATACCTGGATCTGTCCATATCTACAATCCTCTCTCATCATTTTCATTTCTTCATTCTCTATCTCTACATTGTGGTGAAGTTTCTTAAGCTTGTCATTCTCATTGCTAGCTTGACTGGTGATGTTTTTATTTTGTCTCTTTATTGCTTCAAGCAAAGGTTTTCATTTTGCCATTAAAATTTGATGTTGTTTTTAAATAGTTTTTGTTCATTTTTTCATTTAACCAGCTGGAGGCTCCTTGTACTTCTCAGTGTTTTGACTTATCTTTACTTCTTATTTCATAGTCTTTTCAAAAAATTGTATTAATAAAGCAAAACTTTACCCTCTTATTTCTGCCAATAAGTAATGCCCTTGTATAAAATAAGTATATTAATGTCTCTTTAGTCTATTTTCTGTTTTATCACCATAACTGTCACTTGTCTTAATTCCTAGTAATGGATGCAGACTAACTTCAAGCTAAACTACTAATTATAGCTTTTATCATTAGCTAAAATGCTTCGAGTTTATGTTTCTTTAATATGTTTATCAACATAGTTTTATACTATATACATAGAATCTGAATGTACTGTTTAATTTTTTGTTTCTTCCAACCCTCAAGAAATGATAATATTATGTTATAGGGTAGAAGAAACTGAATTTAGGTGTAGGAATATACCATTTTTCAAGGGATTATCTTAGTGCTAAATAGGCAGAGTGAGTGGGAAATCCACGATATTCAGACCCAGGCTGTTCAGATAAATCTCCGCAAGGGGAAAGCCTCAGTGGTGTGGATCAAACCCAGATGAATAATTACACTTTAACAAATTAGATAATATTTTTCTCATAGGAAATTGTGGAGAAAACAGTAGTGTATATCTGCAAGATTAAGAATGGGAGGCCACCTGATAAAGAGTCTAGATAATCAATAGTCCCTTTATTAAAAGACTTTGACTTCTCACAATTAATATAATAGCCAGGGCAAAAATTCTCAGATTATCATTCTTTGCACAGCATATAGTACGGTACTTTCACACGCACTCATTAAATCCTTTTTTGACAATTAGTGATAATGGTAGGGATGATCCAGACAAAATGAAATATCACCAAGTGACCAGTTAAAGACAGAAACAGCCAATCAAATTCCACTAATATTGACTGAATACATACTGGGCTGCAAGCTCTGTGCTGAATGGGAGGGTGCAAGACTTGGTGAGAACACATTTTTGCCCCCCTGGGAAGATCTCATAAAAGACGTTCTTGGTGCCCTTCACTTTTACGTTTTCATCTTCATGCATGCTTCTCTCTTTTCTTTTTTTCAGGAGGAAACATTAAAAATCTGATGTAGCACAGAAAGAAATAAAATATATCTTTTACTTATAGCATTGGTTAGCAAACCATAGCCTATGGGCTAAATCTTGTCTGCTACCAGCTTTTGTCAATAAAGCTTTTTTGAGCATGAAGATACGCCCATTAATTTATGTATTTTCTGTGGTTGCTTTTGTGCTATGATAGTGGAAATGAGTAGTTGGCACAGAGACTATATGGCCCACAAAGCTAAAAAAAATTACTATCTGGCTTTTTACAAAAAAGTTTGGTGATCCCCTCAAAAAACTGTTAGTCTACATTGTCCGATAGAATTCCATCCACCTTCAGTGGCCAGTATTCATATCTTGTTAAATTTTATGTGTATCTTCCAAACTCACTTGTATATCCCCTCTTTTATTATTCTCATTTGTGCCCATAAATAAGGTAGTTCAAATGAACACATTAATTGATTGAAATTATCACATGTCCACATTACTGGGTAAAATTGCCTGTATGTGCCAATGGAATATATCATTACCAAGAAGAGCATTGTTTTAGCTTTGCCATGTATATTCTGACTCTGTCGCCTTTTACTTTGCCCGCTACCCCTGTGCTTTAGCTACACTGGCCTTTTCTTGGAACTTGAGAAGCATGATCATTTTGGATGTACATTTTGCAGTGTATATTTTGGGACTGTACACTTGCCCTTCTCTGTGCCTGGGATGCTTTTAACTCCCTTGTTTGTTCAACTCTCTCTTATGTTCAAATATTACTTTCACTGAAAGGCTTTCCTTGACCACCTAATCTATAATAGCCCCTCTCTTTCCCAGAACTCTCACTTTAAAACACTCAGTGACCCCTATTATTTGCTGATATTATATGGAATAATAATTTCTTGTGTCTCCCTACCCAAGTGTTGTCTCCATTAGAATAGAGACATTTTATTTGACTCGATGTTATATTCCCACAGCTTATAACAGTGCTAGGAATTTCATAGGTACTCAACCAATATTTATAGAATGAATGAGTAGTTGGATCTAATAAATACATTAAAGAGATAGTATATCTAAGTGGTTAGGTAATTATAGCTGACATAAATTTAACTTCTAAGTGACCTTGAACAAGTTACTTTTCTGAACCTCAGTTTCCTCATTTGAAAAATTGGGATAATAACAGTACTTATCCTCTCAGAGTTTCTGTATGAATTAAAGAGTATATGGAAAAGTTCAAACATATTGTATAGTGTTATAAGTGCTTAAAGAAGAAAATTATTACCATTAATGTGGTAATTCTTGGCATTACCAAAATGCCAAGGATAATCAGGAAAGCTTTAACACAGAAAGCTTAATGCTAGCTATTGGAAAATGCATTTTTTATCATAAATAAGATTATGTTACATCAGCCAATCTGTGATCTTGCAAGTTAGTGTTGTCACAAATTGAATCCTTGGAAGTGGGAATATTAAGTTATTGTATTCAAAAATATTTATTGAGAGCCTAAACTCTGTGTTAGGTACTGTTGAGCAAATTTTTGACGATAATTTTCTCTGTGTATTTTTTTTTTTTTTTTGCCAGTCTCTTCTGATATGTTCACCAAAGAAAGCGATCCCTTAGCCCAGATCTTGGCAAGAACCAGTGTCAAAGGGATGTTCATCCAGTAATCCTGAATTGTTGGACACCCAAGAAGAGAATCAAGATGAAAATCTGTGCAGTTCTGTGAGATTTCTGTAGTACTTTGTTCTGCTTACACTTCAAAAGCAAGCTAGACTTTCAACTTAGTATAGCATTGTCATTTCCACTGATGTATTTCCTGAGTATAGATACCAACTCTCCTGATTTCCTCAGGACTAAAGGAGTTTCTGGGACAAGAAAATTATAGTTTTAAAAACAGGACAGCCCCAGCAAACTGGGACAAGTTGGTCACACTATGCATGAGGATGTGTATATATGCATATTTTTATGTATGCTAATTCATATTATAATTTACATACCATATTTATACTAGGAATCAGGTGTGTTAAATCCCATGATACACATATGTTTATACTCCAAAATCTATGTAATTACCATCTATTTCTAAAAAACATTCTAGAAACAAAAGTAATTATGAAAGGCTATTTTACTATATTTTGGACCATATATCATCATACCATATTTAGGACCTCATTTGTTAAGGCTAACTACCTGAATATCTTGAGCAGCCACAAGTTTAGCCCATTTCATGGGACTCATTATAGCAAGTGTTCATTTCTCCCACCCTCTGTTCATGTCCCCAGTTATATGAACAGGAATTTTTTGTTAGAATAGAACAAATTCTTTATTTTTGCTATGTTACAGATAATGGAAAAGCTTGCATACATGGCCACTTTGGAGGATAGACACTTTTCCTCATTTAACAAAATAGTGTGAATACATAAGACCATGCCATCATTTTTATTAATCAAAGCTGTTACCTTTTCTGAAAGAATTGTTCTATTTCCTTGAGCTCATTGTGATGAATCTTGAGTCTCCCCTCAAGAATTAAGCTGTGTTCTGGAAGATGAAAAGCAGCCCTCCCCAAAGTTATACCAAGACATATTGGAATATGCTTTTCTATTATATCTAGATATCTGGATGGAAAAATTAGACTGGGGATTTATTTTAAAAAGAGAGACATTTCATACTTGGTATTTGAAAATACGCTAGCACAGCTCTTGGAAATAAACAGTAATCTAACAATTCTGGTATGATATCCTACTGCCCAATGTTGTTTCTTCTTTTTATTGGATTGGTGCAATTACTTTTGCACCAACATAATATATTTTGATTACACTTTTCTGCCACTGTTTTCTTGATGTGAGCGATGCCATTTGAGAATTGCAAGCTTCTTGAAGACAGATAACTAGTTTATGCTTGTGTTCCCAGCGGTTAGCATGACGTCTGGTAAAGGAAGGTATTCAAGAAATGTTAGTTAAATCTATAAAGAAGAAAATATAGGGTAAAATGATTCCCCAAGAATGTGTATATTTTATCCAGAAAATTTCAAATCCAACAGTAGCTATGTAGATTTACATACACAAAGCATTGAACATCCCCAATGATCTCATTGAATCTCAAGATTTTACCAAGGCCAATTTTAGTAGCTTTGTTTCTGGGTGATTTTGTCTGGTCAATATACAGAAATAAGAATGATAATGAAAGTGATAATGATAGGAATAATAATAGGAAGAGTAGTGACTTTTTGTCTTTGTGTATCAATTCATTCAACAAATTTGACCAAGTGCCTGCTACATGCCAAAGCCCTTTTGGTGCTGTGAGTAAAATGGTGAGTACGACAAAGTTCCTCCTCTCAAGGAGGTTACAGTCTTTAGCTTTCTTTTGAGCTCCATTTCCATCATCCTATGTGCCAAATGAATATTTATGCCTCAATGTTCCATAGTGATCTCAAACTCAAAGTGTTTAAAACTGACTTCTCTCCCCCTACCAAACCAAATCCTCCCGTATTTTTTACTTTAGAGTAAATCCCATGAGGGCAGGGATAATGTATATCTTACTCTTACTGTGTATAATTGGTGCCTCCTATGGAGTCTGACCTATAGAAGATTTTCAATAAATGTTTGTTCTGAGGCAACGTCTTACCACCACCCCCCTCACTGCCCAATAGAGACAAATCCTATGGCTTCTAAATTCTTATAATCTCCTCTCCACATCTAATATAGCAGCCTTCACAGACAATTCTGTACCAAATTGTCCACGCGTGCATTTATATTTACTCTTAAATTGGAAGCTCTTTGGGAATAAAACCTGTCTAAATTATCTGTCATTACCACAGATCCCTGAATATTGTAAAATAACAGTAGATGCTTATTGAGTTAAGTAATGTTCAAAATACCTCAGTTCAAAAAACTTCAGTATATGGTGACTGAGTACTTATTTTTAAGGAATTCTAGTGGCCTTAGTATTGATGATTCTGTAGGATCACTCTAGAGAAATAATAGCAATAATAATAATATGTATTATCTATGATGACACAGGCAAAGTGTCAAGCATAGTGTTAAGTGCTTTACTTAACTACTGTACAAAATATTCCCCAAATTTATTATAACATCCATTTTATAGATGAGAAGACTGAAACAAAGATAAGGCAAGTGACTTACTTAAGTTCATGCAAATGGGAATTAAATCGCCACTGGTTACCTGGTTACATAGTCCCATAATATTTTTTCATATATAATTTTTCACTGGAGAAGCACATTCATTCCTACATAGGTTAGTTAAACAAAAAATGTGTCCATTTGCATTCCAAGACATTCTTACTGGCTATTCAGAGCCCCAAAGTTACATAATAATGTGCTGATCATCATTTTGGCAGGCAATTTCTGTAGTGTGTAAGGTGAACCAGAAATTCTTCTGGTGTTAATTTGAATTTCCCTTCAAATGTAAGCCACTGGAGATGAGCCATACTTTTGGTTGTGTGAAGTCAGAGTGCAGGCCACTGATAACCTAATGCTGGGGAGGAGTCAATAGGCACCTCCTTATCACTGTAATACCTTTTTAGGAGGAATTTGGGATAGAGGGTTATTAAAAAATTCAGGAAAGGAAAAATATGGCATGCTTCTGTGATTGACTTTGACATGGATATTTGAGGGACTAAAAGGTCATTTTTATTTGAAATAAAAATAAACATTTGTGTGATTAAGCAAGTTTTTCCACAATAGCAACTACGACAGCCTTTTGTTCAGCTTTGTGTGGTGAGAGGAAGCCCTTATATTTTAACTGACTGAAAGGTGTCGGAGCATAAGTGCTTCTAACCATGCTTAGGCTCCTTTAAAATGTCCTTGTTTAAGGTCAATAAAGCAAAACTTTTATCTATTTTACTATGAAAAGATTTCAGTGGGAAATCTCTAAATTCTTGCTGGAAATCTGAGTGTTTAATGCCTAAACAACAAAAGGACTTGGCATTTTAGATAATTACTTTGATAAAGAATGTACTTGCTTAGTGCACAGTTTCAGGTGGACATGGGAAAGCCGTTGCAGTATACCTAATGACAACTGAAGATAAATGGCTCTGAGTTTACTGTCTTGAAACAGTGTTGTGCTGTGCTTTGATTAATGGTTTTATTTTGCATTGTCTTCTCCCACCGCTTACCATGTCCTAGCCACCAGAATACCACACTTTAGTGCCCTGCCCTGCTCCTTTATGCTTTAGCTATATGATACAGTTCTTCATTCCCTAGGCGTATTCCTGCCTCTTTTTGTTTCCTGAGGGTAGCGTGCCTTCTTTCCCATGATTAATGCTTACTCATTCATCAAGGCTCCATTCAAATGTCACCTCTTTTAGGAAATCTCCAATGGACACCCCCTAATTCCAAAGTGAGTTAAACCTCCTCTATATGCTTTATGGCACACATCTCAATTGCACGATGTATCACATTATGTTGCAATTGTTAATGGGTGTGTCTTCCTAAAAGCGTTCTACAAGGGTAAGGACTGGTTTATGTGTGTATGTATGTATAAATGAACTAAATACTTTCCTTATTTTTTTTATGCTGGACCTTATTTTGGCAAGAACTTAAGACAACTAAAAGGCTATACAACAAAATAACAAGAAATAGGTGAGAAGAAGGTAGGAAATATGTTAATTAGGATGAAAATAGGGATGTGAATGAGGCAGATGAGGCCTGTGATTTTATTTTATCCATCTTCATATTTCTATAATGCTGCAAAGTGACTAGCATTTAGAAGACAGCTAGCATGCATAATTTTAAATTCACTTATTTATTGAATTAATAATTAATTACTATTACCCTTGAATGTCACTCAGCAATATTTTACTAAAGCATTAAACCTTTTCCTGTTTATAGACTATTCAGTCACCAACCCCACGACATGACCTGTCAAGCACTGCAATTTGTCACTTTTATTTTTCCCAAAAGTTCTCCCCATTTATAGATGTGGAACCAGAGTCCTAGAGAGATTAAATTATTTGATCAGGATCACACAACTCAAACTTTGGTGAAATCACCACTCAAGACCTCATCTGCAAAATGACAAAAATGAAAGGGAACTCAGCATTCATTTAGCCCAAGCTTTCACAATATATGACTCTAAAGTAATCCTGAGTGCAATTTATTAAAAGTCATTTCTCATTTTGACTCACTGTAATTCCCTGGTGTTCTTTTATTTTCAGTCTCTTCATAATTGGGCTGATTCCTGTAGAAATTTCATGCATTATTAAATTATTTGATTTATCTTGCTTCCCATATTTGTGAGCGGCTCTGTGTCGTGTAACTGCTTACTTGCAGGCTATTAAATTGGTCTCTTCTGATACGGACTTGCCTTTGCAGTTGTGGTAAGAGGTGAGCCCCATGAGCCAAGTGCATGAGTTTCGGATGTCTACATTACACGGGCACGTTACAGGAGCAAGTGTGCTACTGTCCCTTACTGCCCTTCAGAGCACGATTATTTCATCTACGCCTGGAGAACGAGTAGTGACTCTTTTCAAAGCCCAAGGAAGTTTGGTTGACATGAGAAAAGCAACAGTGGCTAGAGGGAAGAGCAAGGAGAGGAAAATGAGACAAACTTGAAGAGGTAGAAGGAAAGGACCGCTGATACTGATAGATTGCTAAAGGCAGAACAGAGTCATTTGTTTGGACGTCATTTTGAAATCACAATTATCAAAACCACAAACGGAACACTGGAAGGAGACAAGCCTCTATGTGTCCCATAACACATCCCTCGGGATGTGAAAATTGAAGAGAAGACAGATGAAAATGACTTTCTATGAGGTGATGACCAATTTCCTTATTTATATTTTGTTCTCAGGAAGTAATCAGGACTGGTTAGGAATGCAGTCTTATAATGTTTTGGCCCAATCAGCATGCTTATCAGAGAACGTTTTTTAGAGTTCCCACAGTGTCTAAGTTTTTTTTTTTTTTTCCACAGAAAAATTGTTCGAGTAGTTGACAGAGTTTTGTTTGTGTAGCTTCTTTAAAGAGGGAAAGTGAATTTTAACCAGCCTCAGCATGAATCTTACAAAAGGATATCTTCCCTAGTCTACAATTATAATCCTGGGCTAGCTTATTATTTGCTCAATGGCTTCCAAAATGCAATACTACATCTATTACAACTTGTATTTTAAAAATGAAGCAAAATCATTATGCTAAATGAAATTAGCCAGTTACAGAAGAAGAAATACTGCATGATTCTACTTACATGAGAAATATAAAATGGTCACACTCATAGAAACAGATTGTAGAATGGTGGTTGCCAGCGGGTAGGGGAAGGGGAAAATGTGGAGCTGCTAATCAATGGGTGTAAAGTTTCAGTTACTGAGGATGAATACATTTAGAGATCCACTGTGCAACATTGTGCCTATAGTTGACAATTCTGTATTTTACACATACAAACTTGTTAAGAGGGTAGATCTCATGCTAATTTTTCTTATCACAAAGAAATTCTATTTACAAAGCAGAGTTTCCAAATTGATCTTACAGAGTGCTTTAAAGTGCAAGTCTTGTGTTAAAGCTTTTGGATATTTAATGTTTCTAAACAAGATATCTCTAGGTAGAGTTGGGTGCCCTGGTTCGCAGTGAATTTAAGTGGTTTAATATTAAGTAACCAGAGATTGTGTACTTAAAACAGAAGGATGCTTCACCTCATTACTCTGGTTGATTGATGGTAAATTTCATTCAAAGTAGGTAAATAAATTTTGAATAATAACCCTTAAAACAGGAACTATAAGATAAAGTATGCTGTCTTTTCTACACAGCTAAGTTCTGGTGATTTTATTTTAAAAAGAGAACTAGTAGCTCTTGAGAGGGAAAAGTATAAAGACTCACTTTACAGCTGTGATAAAGCATCCAAGATAATAAAAAACAAGCAAGATTGTTAAGAGAAAGATAGATAACCCCCTAAGTAAAAACCAGCTTTCTATAGACAATGTCAATGAATCAAATCTCGGTATACCTAATTATCTGGTCACCTTAATTTAGATAAAATTGTTTCTGAAAATAGGTGAATATACATAATATTTTTTAAATGATAAAGAAAAAAGTATTTGTTTCCTTTCATAATGCAATGTCTCTGTAACTGGAAATTGTTCATCTAATTTACTAAAACAGGGAGCACTCAGTAGCTTTAGAATATTTTTAAAATTATCTTTTTTATATTAAAATTTAAAAAATTGTAGCAGAGATTGAACAATTAAGCCGCACTTGTTAAAAAGTACATGGTTGTCCAAGTCACCATGTCAGCAATTAAAATGCCTTTCTGGCATTTAATGAACATGTAACAAGAGGCTTTTACAACTGCTCATTATTTACCTATAGGATTTTAGTTTCCCCACATGATCCATTAAGTTTATCATGTAGATACACTTTTTGGGTCATTTTAAGCATAAAAGTGTGTTTGAAAGTTTCTAACAGTATCTGAGGAGCCATTAACAACTATTATGCAAATATGTATTAGGAACCTTTAAAAGTTTCTTCTTTTTTCTGCCATTTCATCTTGCTAATGTAGTCTAATTAGATCCAGCACATCTCCTAGATTAAGAGAGCAGTTATTCAGAATAGCAATTTTGCTTCTCTGGAATAACAGTTTTATAAGGTATCATAATGGTTTTCTTGGCTGAATCCCCAACTTGCAATGTTAGTGTGAAGATTCCATATTCATTAAATTTGCTTCTACATTCGTTTTATTGAGCTGAATGTGAGACAGGATGCTCACCAGAAGTGATTTTATGTGTTTTTTATGTGATTTTTATAGTTTAAGTCTAGAGCCAATGTGTAGAAATCAAAATCCATGGGAGATTTCTTAGAGGGACTGCTTTGATTCAATCAGTTCTCATTAACATGCATTTCATATGTGTCAATCACTGAGTTAGGAGATCTGCCAGGCAGATATGCAGAAAAAATTAGCTACATACTCTGGTCTCAAGGAAGATGGCTTCAGTGTTAGACTGTCTACATAGTATTGGTCTAAAGTGTTATCTACACAGTAATGATATAAGTTAGAACTGGACATGGTAGATACATTAGATCTATTTGTTAAATAGACCTAAGAAACACTTTCTGAAGAAATGAACAAATGTACTTCATATAATAGAGGAATATGCAAATGTATTGAGAAGTCAAAAAAATAAGAACTTGCATCTAACTTAGAGAGCTTGTGGCTTGAATTTTGTGGAAAGCTTATCTTCTTTAGTGTAATGTTGAAACAACATGCAAAATAATAACAGCCATATACGACAAACCCCCAGCCAACACCATACTGAATAGGCAAAAATGGAACCATTGCTCTTGGGAACTGGCACAAGACAAGGATGCCCTCTCTTACCACTCCTATTATAGGTAGTTCTGGAAATCCTTGCCAGAGCAATCAATGCAAAGGAAGAAAAATAAAGGCATTCAAATAGGAAGATAAGAAGTCAAACTATCTCTCTTTAGTGGTGATAATGATTCTATACATAGAAAACTCTAAAGACTCCACCAAAAGGCTCCTGGAACTATTAAACAACTTCAGTAAAGCTTCAGAAAACAAAGTCAATGTATAAAAATCAGTAGCATTTCTATACACCAATAATGTTCATGCTGAGAACCAAATCAAGAACACAGTCCCATTTACAATAACCTGAAAAAAAAAGAAAAAACAAAACACCTAGGAATTCATCTGACCAAAAAGGTGGATAGTTCTTCTACAAGGAGAACTACAAAACACTGCTGAAAGAAATGAGAGATGACATAAATGAAAGAAAAAAAATTCTATGCTCTTGGATTGGAAAAATCATTATTGTTAAAATGGCCACACAGCCTAAAGTAATTTACAGATTCAATGTTATCCCTGTCAAAATACCAACAATATTTTTCATAGAATTAGAAAAATCTATTCTAAAATTCATATGTAACCACAAAAGAGCCCAGATAGCCAAAGCAATCCTAAGCAAAAAGAACAAAGTCAGAGGCATCACATTACATGACTTCAAACTATACTATAAGGCTACAGTAAGAAAAACAGCATGGTACTGGTACAAAAAGAGACATATACACTAACAGAATAGGTTAGAGAACCCAGAAATAAAGCTACAAAGCTACAAGCATCAGATCTTTGACAAAATCTATCTATCTATCTATATACACACACATGTATATACACGTGTATATATATATGTGTATATATATACGTGTGTATATATATATGCATATGTGTGTGTGTGTATATATATATATATATATATGCAATGAGGAAATCACTTCCTATTCAATAAATTGTGCTGAGATAAACTGGTGAGCAATATTCAGAAGAGTAAAACTGGATTCCTTTCTTATACACAAAACGTAACTAAAGATGGATTAAAGATTTAAATGTAAGACCTCAAACTATAAAAATTCTAGAAAACCTAGAAAATACCCTTCTCGACATCAGCTTTGGCAAATAATTTTTGGCTAGGTCCCCAAAAGCAATTGCAACAAAACCAAAAATGGACAAGAGGGACATGATTAAACTAATGAGCCTCTGTACAGCAAAATAAACTGTCAATAGCATAAACAAACACTATACATCTGAGAAGGGTCTAATATCCAGAAACTAAAAGAAACAAGTCAAAAAGTAAAAAAATAAAACATCCAGTTAAAAATAGGCAATAGACATGAACAAACACTTCTCAAAGGAGACATACAAGTGGCCAACAAACATAAGAAAAAATGCTCAAGATCACTAAGCATTAGAGAAATAGAAATCAAAATCACAATGAGATACTATCTCACACCAGTCAGAATGGCTGTTATTAAAAAATCAAAAGATAACACATGCTGGCGAGGTTGTAGTAAAAAAGGGAACGCTTATGCAATGTTGGTAGGAATACAAATTAGTTAAGTCACTGTGGAAAGCAGTTTTGAGATTTTTCAAAGTACTTAAAACAAAACTGCCATTCAACTCAGCAGTTTCATACAGAGTATATACCTAAAAGAAACCAAATTGTTCTACCAAAAAGACACATGCACTGGCATGTTGATTGCAGCACTATTCACAATAGAAAAAGACATGGAATCAACCTAGGTGCCCACTAATGGTGGAGTGGATAAAGAAAATGTGGTACACATACACGATGGAATAATACACAGCCATAACAAAGAACAAAATCGTATCATTTTCAGCAACATGGATGCGACTGAAGGCCATTTTCTTAAGGCCATTATCTTAAGCAAATTAATGCAAGAACAGGAGACCAAATACCACGCATTCTATCTGATTAAGCATCTGATCTTTGAAAAAATCGATAAATATAAGCAAGGAGGAAATGACTTCCTATTCAATAAATGGTGTTGGGATAAACGGGTGATCCATATGCAGAAGAGTGAAACTGGACCCATCTAGTAGTGTCCACTGTCTATTCTTCCCATCTGTATGTCTGTGTGTATAATAGTGTGTATACATTGTAAACATCGTATACACATAGACATAAAGATGGGAACCATAGACAGTGGGGACTACTAGATGGGGAAAGGAGGGAGGGGGGCATAAGCTATAAAAACATCTGTTGGATATTATACTCACTACCTGGGTGACAGGATCACTTGTACCCCAATCCTCAGCATCACACAATGTACCCATGTAAGTACACCGCTGCACGTACACCATTTTATCTATGGTAAAATTGTGCACACACACCATTTTATCTATAATAAAAGTTGAAATTATAAAAAATAAAATAAATAAAAATTTAATATGACTCAATTCATTAAAAATATTGATGTAAAGTATAACTCTTTAAAGTCTTAGACTCGACAGTTATTTTGAAATAAGCATGTTCTTTGCTGTGGATGTAAATATTTAAGGGTATATGTCAGGAATTATGGAAAATTGAAAAGAAAAATAGCAAATATAATAAGAGTATGAGATCTTAAATAAACATCCGTTTCTGCCTGGGTCAGACCCATGGAGAACTAAAAGAATGATGTTTAAGGGTATGACTGTCTCAATAATACAGACCTCAGAGGCTACAATGTCATTCCAAACATCTTAGTTTTCATTAATAACACATCATAGTGACTTATCCTTGAACTTAGTTAAGCATCTTTTCAGTATCCATTACCTCTTAAAGTAATGTAGTTTTGTAAGGTGGAAAATTTCCTTCTTCTTTTGTATTTCTCTCTTCAAGGTTAATTTATGTGAAATGCTATTCCTAATGCATGAATACATAGAAATATAGTGTGAATTATGCTGTCTTTCCTAAGTAGCTGAAAAATTCGACCTCATTTTTGTAGAAGTTATCATATGCATGTATTTGTTTTTTAATTCCAATTTATGAAGTTCTATGTACAAGGTACTGGAACTGTATATTGGAGACACAAAGACAAGCAAGACAGATATGGTATCTGCCCCAGTGAACCTTTATAGACCAAATACAAATAGATAAACATGTAGATTGTTTTGAGAACAATGAAGGAAGGAAATAGTATTTGGTAATAGAGCCCATGGGGCAGGACAGTAGTTTAGATTAGTGGACAGAGAAGTCTTCTTCGAAGAGGTGAAACTTAAGCTGAGATCTGAAGGATGAGAAGGAGCTAGTCACTCAAAAAGCACACACAAGAATATGCCAGATAAAAAGAAACAACGGCCCGGCGCGGTGGCTCACCCTGTAATCCCAGCCCTTTGGGAGGCCGAGGTGGGCAGATCACGAGGTCAAGAGATCGAGACCATCCTATCCAACATGGTGAAACCCCGTCTCTATGAAAAATACAAAAATTGGCTGGGCGTGGTGGTGCACGCTTGTAGTCCCAGCTACTCGGAAGGCTGAGGCTGGAGAATTGTCTGAGCCTGGGAGGCAGAGATTGCAGTGAGCCAAGATCACATCACTCCACTCCAGCCTGGTGACAGAGCGAGCCTCCATCTCAAAAAACAAACAAAACCAAACAAACAAGCATGTGGAAATTACTTATTGGTATGTTACAGGAACAGATAAGAAGGTCAATGTCAGGACAGAAAGGGGATATTGGTATGGGCGTGAGATGAAGTTTGAGAGAAATAGCCCAGCTCATGCAGGTTGTTATAGTTCAGGACATAGAAGTGGAATGATAGTGAAAGCTTTTATGCAGAAGTGTGTAATGATATGATTTGATTCTTAAAATTATTCTCAATATTGTAAGGAGAATGAATTCAAGAGAAGGAGTTGGAGAAGGAAGATGTTTTTAAATATAAAAATATATTTAAGTAGTTCAAGCAAGAAATGTGGAGGTGGCTTAGAGTAGTGGTGGTAGAAATTTAAATGAAGTAATTGAGATATTTTCAGGTATATCTGGTTGGGTAATATTATAATTATATGTTTACTTGTCTTTCTTCCCTTTCAGTCTGGCGCCCATGTAGGGATAATCTATGTTATATTAATCACTGAATTTTCATTCCCATCTACGCATATTCAATGAAAAATATTTTTCCATAATTTGGAGTATCTGGTGCATGGAAGGCACTCATGAAATCTGCAAATAGATGAATAGCTTTGCTATCTATAGTGGAATTCCCCTCTTTGTGCCCTCAAATTACTTTTTTTCATACTTCAAGAGAGGTCTACTGGTTTTGATATAATACAATGTGGTGGACATGGCTACATCCTGTTTCTCCACCCCCCTTTAAGATCTTTCAGACTTCAATAACATATGTTCAGTATTTTTATCTTTCAGGTTGAAGACACACAGTCTTTTGATTCTTAGAAGGCACTTCTTTCTTTTCACTGATCATTTCTGTTGCCTTCCTCTGAATTTTCATCTCATTTATATCTTATTTGAGATGTGATAACACTATGCTCCTGGTGTGCACTCACCACAATCCTGTATGTCAATTGGATGCTGCATTTTGGCTTATTCCAGTATATTTTCTAATAAAGCTTAATATTTTCTAGAACTTTTTGTTTCTAAAAAACAGGGCCCAAAGACATATAAGTTTTCTTAGAGTAAAAATGTAATAGCTCATAGCTTGAAATAGAATCGTGAGAATTTTTTTCTTGCCCTTGTCAGTAATGAAACTTATCTATAATTTTGTTTCTTTTTGATGTAGCCTTATGTAATTTTCTTGCATTCTGTCCCTGGCAGTTTGGCATCTCACTGTCTCCAGAAGAGCTTAGTGTCAATTGCATTCTTTCCTTCAAATCACTTATAAAAACTGTCGGCTTAGGCTGAACCCTGGGAGATTTCTCCATTTGTACTTTCTGTCCAGAGCAATTTTCCCTTAGTCTTTGTTTCTTATTTTATAAGGCAATTCTCTATTCATGGCAAAAACAGCTTCTCAACTTCGTGGTAACTCCAGTTGAAGATTATGTAAAGGTACTTTGAAAATGAAAATAACGTATCTGCTTGTTATATATTGTTGATATTATTAATTATTCACATTTATGAAGAGCTCAATCATGTTAATCAGCTGAACGTAAAGCAAATTCTCTTTTCATGAATATATTATGTCTTCTTGAATAAAGCAGTTAACTTATATATAGTGGGATGTCAATGTCACAGTAACTTGCCCCATATGCGGGTAAAATTTGTCATTCTTTGGCTTTAGAATCTCCATGAAAACTCTTCTTATAGATGCCAACTATCATCCTTTCAGCATTTTTAATGACTATTTACATTTTTTGACTAATAGCTCCACAATGCCACCCTTGGATTCTTTTAAAATTTTTGATGCATTTAATTTAATTTATTATTTAAATCTTTAAGATACTATAACTTTATTATTATTATTATTTGAGACGGAGTCTCACTCTGTTGCCCAGGCTGGAGTATAGTGGCGTGATCTCAGCTCACTGCAGCCTCCACTCCCGAGTTCAAGCGATTCTCCTGCCTCAGCCTCCCGAGTAGCTGGGAGTACAGGTGACAACAACCACGCCCATCTAATTTTTGTAATTTTTGTATACACTAGGTTTCACCATGTAGGCCAGGCTGTTCTCGAACTCCTGACCTCAGGGAATTCACCCACCTCAGCCTCCCGCCCTGCTTTATTATTTATTTAAATCCTTTTCTGAAGCTATTTTCTGACTTATAAGGTGTCTTATTTGACCTTTTAATGATTACTTACACATTTATTTAATTAACATTTATTGAATGGCTGCTAAGGATTGGGAACCTAGCAGTGAACAAGGTAGGTAGAAATGTCTGCCTTCATGCAGTTTACATTCTTTTAGAGTTGACAGACAATAAACAAGCAAAAAAAAATACTAGATTGGGTGGCCATAAATGCTATGAAATAAAAATAAAGCAGTTAAGAAGATAGAAGGTGGGTGGGATACTATTTAATACAAAGGGATTAGGAAAAGTTTTTCTAAAAATATAACATTTTAGCAGGCACCTGAATGATGGGAGGGCCTGAGTGATGTGAGGAAGTCAGGTAGTTATCTGGAGAAAAGGGAGTTGCAGGCAGAGGGAACAGCAAGTGCATAGTCTCTGATATAGGCATGTGCTTGGCTTGTTCAATGAACAGCAGGGAGTCTATTGCTACAGAAACAAAGTAAGTGAGTAGGAGAGTGGTAGGAAATGAGAACTAGGGATTTATCCAGAGTCCGGATGATGCAAGACCTTATAGACCATATTGAGGACTTTGAGTTTTATTCTTAGTAAGATAAGAAATCGTTTGATGGTTTTAAGCACTGGGGGAATCATAATGGCACTTGTTTAAAAATAAAAGTCTCATTACAGTGTGTATAGAATATATTGAGGCGTGGGGCGGTGGAAGCCAAAAGACAAATTTGGCAGCTCTTAGAGTAGGCAATTCAGATAAGAAACAATGATGACGTGAACGTGGGTGTCAGTGGAAGTCATCGAATTATGAATGTGTTTTGACAATGTGCCAGACTGCATATGCTGATGGACTAATTGTGTAGTGTATGAGAAAGCTAAAAAATGATTCCAAGTTTTAAGCCTAGGCATTTGCAAGCATGGAGTTGAAGTTTAATGGGATAAGGAAGATGATGGGAAGAGCAGGATATTCCTGGGGAGTTGCAAAAGGATCATGCTTGGATTATGTTAGAATTTAGAAGCCTATTAGACATCCAAATAGAGATTTGTATCATCTCGATATACATGTCCAGATTTGGGAGAAAATTCTGGGCTAAAATTGTACATTTGCAAGTTGAAAGCTACTAGTATGCAGATGGTATTTAAAACTATGTGACTTGTTGAGATAGTCTAAAGAGTGCATATAAACTGAAAAGAGAAGAGGATTCCTTCTGGGAGGAGTCCTGGGGCACCCAGTTGTTTTGAGGTTTATGAAAGAAACCAACAAGAGTCTTAGAAGGAGTTGCCAGTGAGGTAGGAGGAAAATCAACAGAGTAGTGGCCCAGAAGACAAATGATGGAAGTGTTTCAAGAAAGAGTGTGTGATCTGTGATGTCAAATGTGACTGGCAGTTGAATAAAATGAGGAAAGAAACTTGACCATTGGACATGGCAAGATGGAGGTTATGGTCTCCCTGAAAAAAACTGTTTAAAAATGGAATAATGAGATCCACAGTCTAACTGGAGTAGACTAAAAAGGTAATTTGAAACCAAAAATATAGACAGCACTTTTGAAGGGTTTTTTTCTAAAGAGCAACAGGTTGAATGAAGGAATAGAGTAAAAAAAGAGTTGGAGTTGAATGCATGGGAGTGAGGGACATTCATGATGAGCAATTAATAGAAAAAGTCAATGTGTTGGTAGTCCCAATGTGGTCAAAGAATTGTTTTAAAGGCACTAGAGGGAGTGACTTAGAAGAATACGAGGTGGCAGATAATGACATATAAAATTGATACTTGGGAGAAGGTAAAATTTTAAGTAATGACAACGTCTAAGAAATAGCCATAGGCACATATCACTAAGGTAAGATGGATGACATTTGGACTGAAATTAGATCAGAGAAATCATATTCTTTGAGGAATTGTCTAAGATATGGGTGTTGAAGCCACTAAAAGTGGTGACAGGCATAAAAATCATTTAGGGGACAAATAGTTCAATAAATGGTAAGTAGAATAGAGAAGTCTCCATAATTAAAACAAGAATTGGAATTGGTGTGATTTGATGGCTTGTACTACACAGGAGCTGCGGATTTTGAAGCCAGAGATGAATGGTTTGCGAATGGCAATAGAAATAGGAAGACGTCCACTCCAACCTTTGAGCCTACTGATATGAGGAGTGTAAGAAAGTAAACAACTTTCACTTAAGTGGTAATGGGGAATCAGGGTTCTGAAGGGTTATCTAAAATCAAGTTAGAGCATATATGTAAGATAAACATTATGAAAGGAGATTTAGAATAAAGTAGATATGGTTCATAATAGACAGTGAGTTCCAAGGTATACAGTGAAAGATTCTTTGGGCTTAGAACACTGTGGAGATGGGGGGATGAGCTGGGAGTCTTGGCCTGTTGTGGTGCAAGTTTCAGGATGTATTATAATCAGTAAGCATTTATATGTATTTGATAACATTTCATAAAGGCCTTTATTAAAAAAAATTCAACTTTTATTTAGATATATTGGGTACATGTGCAGATTTGTTACATGGGTATATTGTGTGATGCTGAAGTTTGAGGTATAGATCCTCTCACCCAGGTAGTGAGGATAGTACCGAATAGTTAGTTTTTCAACCCATCCTGCCTCTCTCCCGCATCTAGTAGTCTGCAGTGTCTATTGTTTCCATCTTTATGTCTGTGTATTGAATGTTTAGCTCCCAATTACATGTGAGAACATGTGGTATTTGATTTTCTCTTCCTGCATTCATCTGCTTATGATTATGGCCTCCAGCTGCATCTATGTCAATGCAAAGGGAATGATTTTGTTGTTCCTTATGGCTGTGTAGCATTCCATGGTGTTTATGTACCACGGTTTCTTTATCCAATCTACCATTGATGGGCACCTAGGTTGATTCTATGTCTTTGCTATTGCGAATAGTGCTGTGATGAAAAAACAAGTACATGTATCTTTTTTGTAGAATGATTTATTTTCTTTGAGTTATATACTCAGTAATGGGATTGCTGGATCAAATGATAGTTTTGTTATAAGTACTTTGAGAAATCTCCAAACTACTTTCAATAGTGGATGAACTAATTTACATTCCCACCAATGGTGTATAAGTGTTCTCTTTTCTCAGTAACTTAACCTGCATCTGTTGTTTTTTGACTTTTTAATAACAGCCATTCTAACTGGTGTGAGATATTTTGTTGTGGTTTTTATTTGCATTTCTCTGCTGATTAGTGATGATGAACATTTTTTTCATATGTTTGTTGGCCACTTGTACATATCTTTTGAGAAGTGTTTGTTCATGTCTTTTGCTCATTATTTAATGGGGTTATTTGTTTCGTGCTTATTGATTTGTTTAATTTCCTTGTAGATTTTGTATATTAGACCTATTAGTCCTTTGTCTGATGCATAGCTTGAGAATATATTCTCCCATTTTGTAGGTTTTCTGTTTACTCTATTGATAGTTTTGTTTGCTGTGCAGAAGCTTTTTAGTTTCATTAAGTCTCATTTATCAATTTTTGTTTTTGTTGCAATTGCTTTGGGGGACTTAGCCAGAAATTCTTTGCCAAAGCTAATGTTCCAGAAGGGTATTTCCTAGGTTTTCTTCTAGGAGTTTTATAATTTGAAATAGTACGTTTAAATCTTTAATTCAGGTTGAGTTAATTTTTGTATGTGGTCAAAGGGAGGGGTCCAGTTTAATTCTTCTGCATATGGCTAGCCAGGTATGTAAACACTGTTTTAAAATTAGATATTATGTCTTAAAATTGATGATGCCTTAGAATCAAGGAAGTATAGACATTACCATCAATAAAACAAGTTTGAAATGATTTAGATGAGAGGTCAGAAAACTATAGCCCAAAGTCTAAATGCAGCCTGATGCCTGCTTTTATAAATAATATTTTATTGGAATCTAGCCACATCTCTTAATTGGTATTATCTCTGACTGCCTTGCAGTGATATGACAGAGTTGATTAGTGTAATAGAGTTTGTATGGCCTGCAAAGGTGAAAATATTTACTATCTGTCCCTTTACAGAAAAAGTTTATCAAATTTTGATCCATCGAATTTTATTGGGGAAATATTGTTTTAATGTAAATTTATTTTATGTACCCCTCCCAGGGACTCTGATTTAGTCAGCCTGGGGTATATCCTAGGACACTGTGCACTTCACAATTGCCCCAGGTAATTCTCATGCAGAATAACTAAGGAACAGACTTAAAGGTACTTTGCTATAGATCGGGCTTGCTCAAATTTTCTTGCTGCTAAGAATATTCTTGGGTGATTGACAAATCAGTGAGTTGTAGGCCTGGCAAGTGTACTTTGGTAAATATCCATGGGTGATTTTTATCTTCAGAAAAGTTTAGGAAACTTTGGACTGGATACTCAGTTTAACCGGGAGCTATGCCTGCAATTCAAATAATCAGCACTCGATGATTGTATACCCTTTCTTTAAGCATTGTTAGGCACTGAACTATTTTCTAAGGGGAGTACCAGTCAATCATCCACTGTCAGTTCGAGAAGATAGCCCAGGCAGAGGTTGCAGTGAGTTGAGATCGTGCCCTTGTACTCCAGCCTGGGTGACAGAGTGAGACTCCATCTCAGGAAAAAAAAAAAAAAAAAAAAAGAAAGAAAAATTTCCCAGATCTGTTAGACGTAAGTTTCACAAGGCACAGCACAATGTGCAGAAAGACATCAACCTACAGCATATTCTGAGAAGTTTTATAAGAAGGGTAAAGAGAAAATCCTAAAGTCTTTCAAGAAAGGAAAGAAAACAGAAATAGAAACCAAAATAGCATTGAGCTTCTTAACACCAACACCAGAAGCTAAAAGTGGAAAAAAATCTACCAAAATTCTGAGAGGAAATTATCGAGCCAAATCAAATATGAAGAGAGAATAAAGACATGCAAAGACTTAAAAAAAAAAAAAAAGAAAGATAGCCCTTGCTCATCGCTTGATATTTTATTTTTTATATTACTCCATTTATTCATCTAGCATGCTCTATAGTTCCTGCCTTCTAAAGAGCTTATAGGTTAATGGGGAAAGAGGGCAGATATTAAATAAATAGTTACATGAAAATATCATTACAACTCATTGACAATATGAAGAAATACTAAAGGCTGCAAGGAAAGATTATAAGGGAACCTGATTGGTTGGGAGTGAGAATTCAGGAAATACTTTTCTAAGGAAGTGTTATAAATGATTTTTAGTTAATTGGATACTGCATCTTGCTTCTGACCCTATCATATTGAATTACTAGTGTAGATCTATTCCAGGGATCTTGATACTGGGCTCAGTTGTGAATAGATTGATAACTCTGGATCTATTGGTCTTTTTGTACTGATCAATGAAAATGTCACATATTCTTTGACTTATAGCTTCTCATAGATCTTAGCTTTCTTCCTTCTTGTTAGGTTGAACCGGTTGGTATGCAGATTGTAGATACAATTTTATACCTCTATAAATTTGGTTAGTAGGAATCCTTTCCCCTCACTCCATTGCTTTGATCCCTTCATAGGGATCAAACTTCCTGAATTCTCTCACCAACTTTTCTAATCTCCTCAGTAAGCAACACAATTGTCAACCTGAGTATCTCAGTATCTGCTCCATGTTTCAGCTCTTCTCTTAACCTCTCTTGGCATTCAAGGACAGAAGTTTTACTGAGCAATCCTCCAAATACAAATTTAACCACTCCACTACTGAATTTATGGAACCCAACATTAAAGAAATAATCCAAACAATTAATTTTAGCTCTTCTTTAAATATTACTGCATATAAAAGGAAAACAAAGACTTCTAACTATTATGAGAAAAAATCAACGGACCAAATGTAAGTAAGGATCAAGTGTTTTCATTGGCATGTTAACATACTTTAAACTTTCTAAAGGGTTTTACCACACATTTTCATTTGTGCCTGACAATTATCCTATATAGGGGAGGTGTTATTATCATTTTACTGATAATGAAACCAAGGCCCAGAGATGGGAATGTGTAGCCTGAGGTCAAAACCTCACCTAGTACAATCTGTTTCTATTTCTGATTATAATGACAAGGTAGCTCCCTCAATTTCGTGGCTTGTCTTATCTTGTGTTCTCTTTTCTGGTCCCTGGGAGCCTGTTTATTTGCAGTTCAACAAGGCTCCTGAAATTTTGATTTGCTTTTTCCAACTGTTCCTGCTGTTTGAGAGCTGGGACTTCAAAGCTCTGCTTGAATCTTGACACTTTAGCCATGGAAACCTTTGTAATTTTCACTGTTCTACTTGGAACCTTAACTATACTGAAGTCCCTTTGTTTTTCAGTAGAGAAAGTGCTGGAGCAAGAACCCCACGTGGTTCACGTGGTTTTACCGAAGATATCTTACATGCCCACAGGACGTGACCTGTGGGAGAAACTCTCTAGCCAACTAACAGCACATGCTGGATCACTGCCTCTTAAAAACCCCTCTCCTGCCCTGCCATCTGTAGCTATGGTTGTTATAAGGATTACTCTGTGTGCAAGTTTCCATATAATTCAGAAAGCCAGCTTTTAAATCTAGGTTATCATTCAGAATTATTTCCATTATGACTATTTTTAAAAGAACAATGTAAGAACAGGATCACATGCTTTTCAAATGTACAGAGTGGGATTTTCTTCCCAACTGTAATCTGGGCACTACCAAAGACAGGGAACTGGGTCCTTCCTGATGTCTTATGTCTACCTCCCTGAACGCTGAGGCAGAAAGGAATCTGGCCTCACCAGACTCTTTTTCATCCTCAATTCTACCATTTGCTCTTTATCTTTCAATAGTTTTCTCTGGTTCTCAAGGCGTCATCAAAAAGAAACTGCAATTGCTCAAGTGCTCTTTACAAATGTTTTCTGAAGTTCACTTTGGACCCAGATGTAAGATATCATACTCAGGCACATGTCTGCTTTTTGCCTGTGGGTGATCTGACTATATTTGAAAACATGTTTCCTTCTGCACTGGCCTTTGTACTTTAGTTCCGATTCACCACTTTATCCTCCCTATCACCTTCTGACCCTTCTTACCACGTACATAGCAATCGTTAAAATAGCAGTATTTAAACTTCTGATTCCATTGTCTTTAAGTGCTCAATATGGTTGAGAGTCAAAATGTCTGGATTTAAACCCTGGCTCCACTGCTCATGAGCAGGTTGCCACATCTCTCTGGATCTTAGTCTCCTCATCTGTAGAATGAGAGAATTGAAAGCATCTACCAACTCTGAGTTGCAATGAGAATGAAAAATGATAAGGCATGCAAAGTGCGCAGAATAGGGTTGAGCAGGTAATAAGAATGCAATAAATGTGAGCTATATTATTATCACCCCAATGTATGTTTCTGTTAGAGTCAAGCTTATTGATTTCACAGGGCTGCCATGAAAACTAGATCATGTAGGCAGAATGCCTAGCAAAGGGTCTGGCATAAAACAGACATTTAGTAAATAGTCCCATTCTGCACCAAATCACTCCTCCCTTTCCATGCCTCCTTGCTTCATTTGAAGAGTCCTTTTCCTCATATATTTTTCCTTTTCTGTATTGACTACTATACTACAATTCTAAAACTAACTTTAAAGTGCTGGTTTTGAATTAAGTCCCAAAAAATGAAAAAAAAAATGTAAAAAGGAAAATTGTCAAGTAGCAGCTGTGTTCTCAGGCAAAAAGACATTGGAGTGGTGACTCATTTTTAAGAAGTTTCTTTTAACTCCACAGTGAAGTGGATATTGTAATAGCCCTTGCCTTCTGGCCGTAAGATGCTTGAGGACTGCCAGAAAAACTGAAACCTGGCTGTTCTGCCTGAAGTCATTCTTTTTAATTGCATGAGGTCAAGTGTAAAGTGTAATCACCTTACTTCTGTTCAATTGGTGCCACTTTTCATTTTGTTCTTTTTAATAGTCTCACAGATTGCTGGGCCTGGGAGAGGATAGGAAATGCCATATTCTCCTACTTGAGTTCTAGTGTTTGAATGGCCTCTAGATCACTCCTGCCAGGTGGTCATCCAGTCTCAGTTGATGTCTTTCAGGGTGAGGAAGCCCACAATATCCAGAGAGCTGCCTAGACCAGTTTGAGACAGACGTATCTGTGAGAAAACTTTTTCTTTGATGAGCCAACATCTGTCTTCACATCTTCTTTGCTAATGTCCTAACCTTGCCTCTTGAGGCCTTATAGAACTAGTGTCCTCTTTCTTGTGAAATAAGAGTCAGTCTATTACTGGAAGGAAGTTCTCACATCCCATCCTCCACAGATGTTTTTCTTTCTCCACCTGGCGACAATTATAAGCTAATTAATATTTTTAAATTGAGGTAAGTATCCAGATAATGTGGACTCACTGATGCATTTGTTTTTGGTATTTACTATACCCTTAAAGAACTTTCAGATTTGGGAACCCATTGCATGTCTGCAGAAGCCACTCCATAATGTATTGTTTGAGGGAATCACAGTTGATGTTTGTCTTAGTTCATTCAGGCTGTTATAACAAAATGCCATAAACCGGTGGCTTATAATAAAACAGAAACGTATTTCTCCTAGCTCTGGAGTCTGGGAAGTTCAAGAATAAGGTGACAGTGGAGTAGATGTCTGGTGAGGGCCCACTTTCTGGTTCATACATGGTGTCTTCTATCTGTGTCCTCAGATGAACAGGGAAAGGCAGTTCTCTGGGGCTTCTTCTATAAGGGCACTTATCTCATTTATGAGGGCTCCACCTCCACGACCTAATCACCCTCTACAGACTTTACATCCTGATACCACCACATAAGTGATTAGTTTTTTAACATATAAATTTGTGAGGGGGTGGAATAGAAACAATCAGATCATAACAGTTTTAGAAAAATATAAGATCTGTGTACAAATGTTCATTCATTCATTCATCCATTCACTCCAAGTTGTAAATATTTGATATAATTTTTATGACACAAGAAGTATTTCAGCATAATATTTTACAATATTCTCTTCATATCAGCCCTCTCCCAACTGTATACTTAAATAATCCATGTTTAAAAAATGGGGGTAGAGGAGAAAATTATTTTAAAAGATCGAAATAACACTTTTGCCATTACAACTATCCTTCTTTGTCCTTTGAACCACACTCTCCCTGTTCCATCAATTTTCCTCTTCTTTGCCCTTCTTAGTTTATGATCTTCAGCATTTCCCATGGGCATTGAAGGCTCCTGGCTCACAAGACAGCTTGATGCTTGGATCTTTTTTTCATATCCAGAATCAGTATGTCAGCTGGCACATACCGTGGCTTAGAGATTCACGTATCAACCACAGGAAAGTTGAAAAATCCTCCTAAGACAATGGAAAGGATCGTTGTCATTAATTTGCTTTATTCACTAGATAAGGAAATGTAATCTGCAAGGCAGGAGAGCTCTAACATTGCTTTGTGCACAAAAGCATAAAGTTGGAACTTTGCATATATCTGGAGTAGCCATAACTTTAAACCACTGGTGTTTAGGCGGGATATCCAGAATACTGATTCAATGATTTGTCTACCCACTTCCCATTCCCTCCAGTCAAAGACCACCAGAAACACTTCTGTGGTTGAACCACTTGGGTTTATTGCTCACTGAAACAAGAAAGGAGAATGCACACCATGAGATGTCTTAGTAAGATAAAAGAAAATATAGGATTTGGGTTTATATTAGGAGATTTGGGGGAAGGTTTAAGGAAGCAAGGCAGTGTCGGAAAGCAGGAGATATTTTATGACTGGGTATTTCAATAAGTCTTATGCAGAAGGAGGGGAAAATAGAGCAACGTTAAAGTGGCAGTTGGTGAAGAAGAAGTGATCATTCACATTAGCCAGGATAGGTGGATATTTGGTCATTTTTTTCTGACTTGAACAATGTTTCCATTATGTACGGGTTTAGATGTGATTATGGAGTGGTCTTGTTTTTGTCTTGATCCATCATCGTAACAGAGTGGCCTTATTTGATGTTGATACTGTGTGAAATTGTTCATGTTCAACAGGAGAACACCAAGACCTTGCCATGAGCGACAGGCCAGCTCCTAGCAACACCCAGGCCAAGCTGATGGGACCAGGTCAGCTCTCTGATGTCAGGGCTGCTCTTCTCCTTCTCACTGCTGGACAATTGTGGTGCGTCAGTGGAAGCATTAGAGAACAAAGCAGATGGCAGTATATCCATTCTCATTGGGAGAAGGGGATATAAAAAAATTAATAAACTTAGTAAATTATATAGTGTATTAAAATGCTATGGGAAAGGATAAAAGATAATGGAACACTGCAAAAGGATAGGAAGTGGAGAATGTATAGGGGAGGAAAATTGCAGTTTTATATAGGGCAGTCAGGGCAGGCCTCACTAAGGAGGTGACATTTGAGTTAATGCTTGGAACGGAGGTGAGAAAGTGAGCCATGAGAATAGCTGAGGGCATTCTGGTCCAGATTCAGAAAAATCACCCTAATAATGAATATAGATGGCTGACAGTCATCTGCTTACTCTATAGGCAATTGAACCCATCCTTTGCTTCATGTCCAGTTCTTTGTTTTCCCATTGACTTCTCTGAGGCCTTTCTGCCCTTGAATAGAGAGAAAGGGGTTGAATAGAAGGCACAGACAAGCTGGGAGATGGTTTCCTTTCCCTTAGAACTTCTGCTTTATAACATCGAGGCAATGAGTAATCTTCTTACCCATCTTCCTCCCCAAAGCTGCTGACATCAGAGGTCTGTCCTTCATGGGAGGCAACTGCCCATTTGACTATTACTGTTACAAGATGATTCTTGCTGCATCTTCGCTCTAGCCAGGATTCTGCATTTTCTGTTCTTACGCAAGGTAAATGTTGTTCAAGTTCTATCCCTACCCATTAGAACTGCAATCAGAGACAGGACTCTGAGCTGTCTCCTATGGGATTTATTCCATTGCTTCTGTTTCTTCAGAGCATATTTATGGCTATTAGACTTTTTTTTTCTAGCAAAATCTCCGATTTCTCTTCAGTATGCATTATCATCAGTTGTCAAATTTAAAAGTGTATACACGAGCTGATAATTTATCTGTACTTTGATCAAGATCACAGCTTATAAGTGATATAACTAAGTGCGCTCAGGCTTCAAATTTTCTTAGCAATGATCTTGCTTCTAGGTCCTAATGCATTCTAACCTGGTAGCGATAGTGAACTAAAAAATTGTGCAACAAAAATGTTGAAGGTGAAAATAATTGACACTAAGTGACATAATATAGTACCCTTCTGTGATAAATTTAATAACACTAATTTAAATTTGTACATATCACTGAAATGAAAGTAATGGAATGGGAGTCCCTTATTGATAACCAACATGGCAGTATGAGAAAAGGTATACTCTATAAATGTCTGGTTTTTGAAATTGAATTTGTAGCTGAATAGTTAAGACATCCATACAATAATAAATGTCAGTATTAAGATACAATTCTTGATTTGATATGTTTAATAATCACAATGTGGAACCCATTTTTATTACTGAATTATAATAATTATAGTAACTTACATTTATGTGGGGCATTATGCCTTACTTTTATATTCACTTTCCCATTTGAGTCTCTTAATATCTCTGGAAGGTAGAGAATGTGTGGAGTTACTGTCTTCATTTTACTTTGAAGAAAGTAGGGCTCAAAGAAAATAGACTTGCAAATTTAATAAGAGCTGGATGCAGGGATGGAATCCAATTCTCCTTAATATGAATATATCTTTCAAATAAAGGTCAATAAGTTATTATTTCAATATTCTATCTGTTGCTTACTACATATGTGACCTTGGACAAGTCCTATAATCTCTGAGTTTCCATTTCCTTAAGGCTAATGACAGTGCCTACCTCAATATATTATTTGATAATGAATATATAAACGTGTATATCAATCTTAGTATAATGCCTGGAAAACTCTATGTGCTCAATAAGTGATAGCCTTGTTATTATTATGAGCAACAGCAACATTTATGAAATTATTTGTTAATGTGTAAAACAGGAAGACTAGAATTTGACTCATAGGGTTGTCATCGGTATTAAATGAAATATTAAAAGCAAAGTATTCAGCATAGTATGTGTCACATATGCAGACAATCAGTGGTAGCTTATATTGTAATTATTTTCAATTGCATCTTAGGATTCACTTTTCCTAAGAGTGACTGAAATCTGGTCTCAAATTTAAGTAAAGATGAGGACTTATTGGCTCAAGTAATTTAACAATGAAGGGATATATCTTGCTTCTGGTGTGCCTAAATAAAGGCTATTAAATGATATCTTCAGAATCACTCCCACCACGTGCCCTGCTTCTCTTTGTTGACTCCATTATCAAGGAGTTTCAAGGTAGCTTTCATCAGTTCCCACATCTACATACTCCAACATGTTTATCTGGTGGGAAAAAACAAAAATGTTTATTCAAGCATTCCCATCTTAATGTCGCAAGATTCATGTGATTGTATCAAGTTAGGTTAGGTGCTCACCTCTGTATTAATCACTTTGGCCAGAGAAAAATGATGCACATATAGACATGCATCCTGAGTAACATGCAAATATCTAGTATGTCACTAGTAAGCTGTACACACTTATTCCCAAGGAGATAGTTCCTTGTTATTGATCTATGTAATTTGGTTCTTCCATTGTAGTTCCCATACCCACAGTTCACCTTCATCCATGCAGTCTCTCATTTTTCTGTCGATAGCACAGCAAAGTGGAATTTAGCACAAAGGAATTGAACAAAACTGTTACTTAACATACTAAGAAGATCACACTATTCATTGTAATTAGCATTTCTGTGATACATCCTTACATTGTGTAATCATCTGTCTTGAACACCGAAAGAAGATGAAAGAATGATTCTTGCGTTCAAGAGGATCCCAAGCTCATAACATACAGGCGAATGTGAGCAATAAGATAGAGCCATCCCGAAGTGCTCTGGAAATGCAGAAGATATTAATTCTGAATGAGACTGAACAAAGGCAAAAACTTGAGATGGTTAAAAATTTGATGAGAACAGTTGAGAAAACTGTTGGTTTAAGGCATTAACACCATAGTTTTCCAAAGTAGGCCTGGGTGTATGATGGGGAAGTTATTCTAGAGTCAGGGGGCATATAGTTTGCAGGTGAATGAGTGTATGCTTTCTTTTTGTTTTTTTCAAGACACTTTTTTCCTTCCCTTTTCTGCCTCTTGATAAATGAAATCCCATCATGTTTGTAAATTTCCAGAGACAATTCCTCATTTGGCCCCACCCCCAGGACCTACTCTCAGGATTCAAGTGGGTTATGTAACAGCAGTTATTCATTCAGTCTGTCAGTTAGTGTTCTCCTATTTGGTGTCAGTTGTGTGCCAGCCACATTAGGGAATCAAAATATAGCTAAGATATATTTTTGCCTGAAATTTAAGGTGCATACATTTTGCTTGAAGAGACAGATATGCTAACAACTTAAAAGTACAATTTGAGCAATGCAGTGCTGAGACATGTGGAAAGTACTTAGAGACATCAGAAGGAAAAATAACTAGTACTGCCTGTTGCAAAGTGTAGGTGGATAGTTGGTTAGGAAGGTTTTCGCTGAGGAGATAACATTTGAACTGGATCTCTAAGCAGAAGAGAAAGTTTATGCAAATGAAGGGAGGCATGAAAAAAAAACACTTGGGAAGTACCTAAGGATTGGGCAGTAGCTTGGTTTGGCTGGTATGTGTATAGCTTCAAGGGAGAAAGTGGCACGAGATAAGGCCATAAAAGTGTGCAAGCACGAGGTCAGGAATGATCGTAGGGATTTGGTATTACCTCATAAGTGAAGGTAATGCAGGGGATCGGGGGAGGGAAACGAAGAGATTCAATCAGGGCTGTTGCATAATTGCTTAAACGTAACTATCAAGCATAATTACAAGTTGTGGAATGGAAGGCTGTAACATTCTATCGAGGCCTTGTTTCAGAAAATTCTAATGAACCCAATGCAAACAAAAATTAAATACAAAAAACAAGTCAATAATATTTCATTTTAAGGAAACAGATTTCCTTGAAATTGAGATCTCTTCTGGTACAATATGATATGGAATTCTATTTATAATAAACCATCATTATATTTTCCTCAGAAGTATTTCCATTTGTCTCCACCAAGGGCTACTTGCTTGTTTGGGCCAAACGTGTAAATCTGACGACAGCTGAGTACGTAGCTGAAATGCATTGCTGGACATGTTCAATATTTGAAGAGAAACCCAAAGATGACACAGCTATGTTCTCATAATATACCAGAGTCTAACTTTAGCAGTAACTTTGGGATTCCTGTTGAAATATCATCACACAGGTGGAAGAAAACAACAAGTAAAAGGCCTTGTAATGCTTGAAAAAGTAAATCCTCTTAGATTAAATCCAAGAGCCCATCTTATTCTGAATTCTATGGCATGACAGAGAGTATTAGCAAATATCAGGTTTATAATAAAATTGTGACGACCTTGTGCTTTTTCTTTAGAAAGTTTACATTTTTCTTTAGAAAGCAAAATCATGTAAGGGTAGATTCAGGAAGGGGTAAAATAATATGGCCATCATTGCTATCTACCATAGGAAGGCATTGCATAAATGCATAGGAATTAGCAATCATTGCATAAAAAGATATAACGGTGGCTCACGCCTGTAATCCTAGCACTTTGGGATGCCGAGGCGGGTGGATCACCTGAGGTCAAGAGTTTGGGACCAACCTGGCCAACATGCTGAAACCCTGTCTCTACTAAAAATACAAAAATGAGCTGGGCGTGGTGGCATGTGCCTGTAATCCCAGCTACTCGGGAGGCTGAGGCAGGAGAATTGCTTGAACCTGGGAGGCAGAGGTTGCAGTGAGCTGAGATCGCGCCACTGCGCTCCAGCCTGGTGACAGAGCGAGCATTCGTCTCAAAAAGATAAAAAAAAAAAAAAAAAAGGAAAGAAGAAAAAGACACAAAGTTGGTAGAAGAAAAAGAAAGTGAACTAAAAAAGAAATCTTTCCTATATAGTTATTAGTTTTGATAGCTCTTTTATGCATACTTTAAAAATTATACATTTTCCTAGTTTGCCTACAGTTTGTTGTGGAAATGGTTAAAATAGTTTTCCATTTAGCGAATAGCACATTCTCTTTCTACTAGTTTATTTTTAACAGTAGATAAATACTAATATCTTTTTATTGGCGTTTGTATTCGTAAGAGTAATGCTAGGCCGTGCTGACTCCACGACAATCACAAAATAAAATCTCAGTGATTTAACATAACAAAGGTTTGTTTTCTGATGAATGAAACTTCTATCTGGGTGAGCAGAGACTCTTGCATCCAATACCTTATGGAGCCAGGCTTCCTCCGTCTTGTTCATTTCCTTGTCAACTCATGGTTGTCAAGGTCACTGTGACAGAAGAAAAGAATGAAGAAGCCACATGGGGGCATAACTGCCTCAACCTTAAAATGATGTGTATGTTTTCTGCACCCGGTTCACTGCCCAGAGCTAGTCAATTTTGAGACCATCTCAATCTGATTATAAAACAGGCTATAAAATATAGGGAAACACATAGAATCTTTGTGAGCACTCCCTATGGCACATCTTTACATCTACATATACTTGTGTAATTACCTCGTTAAATACATGATTATAAGGTTTTAATATCTGGTAGGATATAACTTCCTCTCATTAATCTTCTTCTAAAATTATCTTAGGCTGGAGATGGTGGCACACACCTGTAATCCCAGCACTTTGGGAGGCTGAGGCAAGAGGATCTCTTGAGCTAAGAAGTTCCAGAAGAACCTAGGCAACATAGTGAGACCTTGTTTCTACAAAAATAATAATAATAATAATAATAATAATAATAATAATAATAATAACAACCACTACACATAATTAGCTGGGCATGGTGGCATGCACCTGTAGCCTCAGCTGCTCAGAGACTGAGGTGGAAGGATTTCATAAGCCCTGGAGGTGAGGCCGCAGTGAGCTGAGATCGCACCACTGCACGCCAGCGTGAGCAACAGAGGGAGACCTTGTTTAAAAAAAAATGATATTGGACATTATTTGATTTGAAAATGTATTCTGGGCTGGGCGTGGTGGCTCACGTCTGTAATCCCAGCACTTTGGGAGGCTGAGGCGGGTGGATCACCTGAGGTCAGGAGTTGAGACCAGCCTGACCAACATGGAAAAACCTCATCTCTACTAAAAATACAAAATTAGCCGGCCATGGTGGCACATGCCTGTAATCCCAGCTACTCAGGGGGCTGAGGCAGGAGAAACACGTGAACCCGGGAGGCAGAAGTTGCGGTGAGCCAAGATTGCGCCATTGCACTCCAGCCTGGGCAACAGGAGCGAAACTCCGTCTCAAAAAAAAAAAAAGGAAATGTGTTTTGAAGGTATTAACAACTAGTATTTGTTTTTTACTTTTTCTTTTTGTGTGTGTGTGTTTGTGTCTTCCTCTAATTATTATTATTATTTTCTTATACTTTAAGTTCTAGGGTACATGTGCACAACGTGCAAGTGTGTTACACATGTATACATGTGCCATGTTGGTGTGCTGTACCCATTAACTCGTCATTTACATTAGATATATCTGCTAATGCTATCCCTTCCCACTCTCCCCACCCCCTGACAGGCCCCAGTGTGTGATGTTCCCCATCCTGTGTCCAAGTGTTCTCATTGTTCAGTTCCTACCTATGAGTGAGAACATGTGGTGTTTGGTTTTCTGTCCTTTCGACAGTTTGCTGAGAATGATGGTTTCCAGCTTCATCCATGTCCCTACAAAGGACATGAACGCATCGTTTTTTATGGCTGCATAGTATTCCATGGTGTATATGTGCCACATTTTCTTAATCCAGTCTATCATCGATGGACATTTGGGTTGGTTCCAAGTCTTTGCTATTGTGAATAATGCCGCAATAAACATACGTGTGCATGTGTCTTTATAGCATGATTTATAATCCTTTGGGTATGTACCCAGTAATGGGATGGCTGGGTCAAATGGTATTTCTAGTTCTAGATCCTTGAGGAATAGCCACACTGTCTTCCACAATGGTTGAACTAGTTTACAGTCCCACCAACAGTGTAAAAGTGTTCCTATTTCTCCACATCCTCTCCAGCACCTGTTGTTTCCTGACTTTTGAATGATCGCCATTCTAACTGGTGTGAGATGGTATCTCATTGTGGTTTTGATTTGCATTTCTCTGATGGCCAGTGATGATGAGCATTTTTTCGTGTGTCTTTTGGCTGCATAAATGTCTTCTTTTGAGAAGTGTCTGTTCATATCCATTGCCCCCTTTTTGATGGGGTTGTTTGATTTTTTTTATTGTAAATTTGTTTAAGTTCTTTGTAGATTCTGGATATTAGCCCTTTGTCAGATGGGTAGAGTGTAAAAATTTTCTCCCATTCTGTAGGTTGCCTGTTCACGCTGATGGTAGTTTCTTCTGTTGTGCAGAAGAGAAGCTCTTTAGGTTAATTAGATCCCATTTGTCAAGGTTTGGCTTTTGTTGCCATTGCTTTTGGTATTTTAGTCATGAAGTCCTTGCCCATACCTATGTCCTGAATGGTATTGCCTAGGTTTTCTTCTAGGGTTTTTATGGTTTTGGGTCTAACATTTAAGTCTAATCCATCTTGAATTAATTTTCATATTAGGTGTAAGAAAGGGATCCAGTTTCAGCTTTCTCCACATGGCTAGCCAGTTTTCCCAGCACCATTTATTAAATAGGGAATCCTTTCCCCATTTCTTGTTTTGTGTCAGGTTTGTCAAAGATCAGATGGTTGTAGATGTGTGGTATTATTTCTGAGGGCTCTGTTCTGTTCCATTGGTCTGTATCTCTGTTTTGGTACCTGTACCATGCTATTTTGGTTACTGTAATCTTGTAGTATAGTTTGAAGTCAGGTAGCGTGATGCCTCCAGCTTTGTTCTTTTGACTTAGGATTGACTTGGCAATGCGGGCTCTTTTTTGGTTCCATGTGAACTTTAAAGTAGTTTTTTCCAATTCTGTGAAGAAAGTCATTGGTAGCTTGATGGGGATGGCATTGAATCTATAAATTACCTTGGGCAGTATGGCCATTTTCTCGATGTTGATTCTTCCTATCCATGAGCCTGTAATGTTTTTCCATTTGTTTGTGTCCTCTTTTATTTCATTGAACAGTGGTTTGTAGTTCTCCTTGAAGAGGTCCTTCACATCCCTTGTAAGTTGGATTTCTAGGTATTTTATTCTCTTTGAAGCAGTTTTGAATGGGAGTTCACTCATGATTTGGATCTCTGTTTGTCTGTTATTGGTGTTATAAGAGTGCTTGTGGTTTTTGCACATTGATTTTGTATCCTCAGACTTTGCTGAAGTTGCCTATCAGCTTCAGGAGATTTTGGGCTGAGACGATGGGGTTTTCTAGATATACAATCATGTCATCTGCAAACAGGGACGATTTGGCTTCCTCTTTTCCGAATTGAATACCCTTTATTTCTTTCTCCTGCCCGATTGCCCTGGCCAGAACTTCCAACACTATATTGAATAGGAGTGGTGAGAGAGGGCATCCCTGTCTTGTGCCAGTTTTCAAAGGGAATGCTTCCCGTTTTTGCCCATTCAGTATGATATTGGCTGTGGGTTCGTCATAGATAGCTCTTACTATTTTGAGATATGTCCCATCAATACCTAATTTATTGAGAGTTTTTAGCATGCAGGGTTGTTGAGTTTTGTCAAAGGCCTTTTCTGCATCTATTGAGATAATCATATGGTTTTTGTCTTTGGTTCTGTTTATATGCTGGATTACATTTCTTGATTTGCGTATGTTGAAGCAGCCTTGCATCTGTGGGATGAAGCCCGCTTGATCATGGTGGATAAGGTTTTTGATGTGCTGTTGGATTCGGTTTGCTAGTATTTTATCGAGGATTTTTGCATCGATGTTCATCAGGGATACTGATCTAAAATTCTCTTTTTTTGTTGTGTCTCTGCCCGGCTTTGGTATCAGGATGATGCTGCCCTCATCAAATGGGTTAGGGAGGATTCCTTCTTTTTCTGTTGATTGGGATCGTTTCAGAAGGAATGGTACCGGCTCCTTCTTGTACCTCTGGTAGAATTCGGTTGTGAATCCATCTGGTCCTGGACTTTTTTTGGTTGGTAAGCTATTAATTATTGCCTCAATTTCAGATCCTTTTATTTGTCTATTCAGAGATTCAACTTCCTGGTTTAGTCTTGGGTTGCTGTATGTGTCGAATAATTTATCCATTTCTTCTAGATTTTCTAGTTTATTTGCATAGAGGTGTTTATAGTATTCTCTGATGGTAGTTTGTATTTCTGTGGGATCGGTGGTGATATCCCCTTTATTATTTTTTATTGTGTCTATTTGATTCTTCTTTCTTTTGTTCCTTATTTGTCTTGCTAGCGGTCTATTAATTTTGTTGATCTTTTCAAAAAACCAGCTCCTGGATTCATTGGTTTTTTTGAAGCGTTTTTTTGTATGTCTATTTCCTTCAGTTCTGCTCTGATCTTAGTTATTTCTTGCCTTCTGCTAGCTTTTGAATGTGTTTGCTGTTGCTTCTCTAGTGCTTTTAATTGTGATGTTAGGGTGTCTATTTTAGATCTTTCCTGCGTTCTCTTGTGGGCATTTAGTGCTATAAATTTCCCTCTACACACTGCTTTGAATGTGTTCCAGAGATTCTGGTATGTTGTGTCTTTGTTCTCGTTGATTTCAAAGAACATCTTTTTTTCTGACTTCATTTCGTTATGTACCCAGTAGTCATTCAGGAGCAGGTTGTTCAGTTTCCATGTAGTTGAGTGGTTTTGAGTGAGTTTCTGAATCCTGAGTTCTAGTTTGATTGCACTGTGGTCTGAGAGACAGTTTGTTATAATTTCTGTTCTTTTCCATTTGCTGAGGAGTGCTTGACTTCCAACTATGTGGTCAGTTTTGGAATAAGAGCGATGTGGTGCTGAGAAGAATGTATATCCTGTTGATTTGGGGTGGAGAGTTCTGTAGATGTCTATTCGGTCCGCTTGGTGCAGAGCTGAGTTCAATTCCAGAAGGAGAACTAACAAACAGAAAGGACATCCCCCGCAAACACCTTCTGTTCGTCACCGTCATCAAAGACCAAAGGTAGATAAAACCACAAAGATGGGGAAAAAACAGAGCAGAAAAACTGGAATCTCTGAAAATCAGAGTGCCTCTCCTCCTCCAAAGGAACGCTGCTCCTCACCAGCAACAGAACAAAGCTGCACGGAGAATGACTTTGACGAGTTGAAGGAAGAATGCTTCAGACGATCAAACTACTCTGAGCTAAAGGAGGAAGTTCGAACCAATGGCAGAGAAGTTAAAATCCTTGAAAAAAAAATTGATGAATCGCTAACTAGAATAAGCAATGCAGAGAAGTCCTTAAAGGACCTGATGGAGCTGAAAACCAAGGCACGAGAACTACATGATGAATGCAGAAGCCTCAGTAGCCAATGTGATCAACTGGAAGAAAGGGTATCAGTGATGGAAGATCACATGAGTGAAATGAAGCGAGAAGAGCAGTTTAGAGAAAAAGAATAAAAAGAAATGAACAAAGCCTCCTTGAAATACGGGATTATGTGAAAAGAGCAAATCTACGTCTGATTGGTGTACCTGAAAGTGATGGGGAGAATGGAACCAAGCTGGAAACCACTCTGCAGGATATTATCCAGGAGAACTTCCCCAATCTAGCAAGGCAGGCCAACATTCAGATTCAGGAAATGCAGAGAACGCCACAAAGATACTCCTCGAGAAGAGCAACTCCAAGACATATAATTGTCAGATTCACCAAAGTTGAAATGAAGGAAAAAATATTAAGGGCAGCCAGAGAGAAAGGTCGGGTTACCCAGTAAGGGAAGCCGGTCAGACTAACAGCTGATCTCTCGGCAGGAGCTCTACAAGCCAGAAGAGAGTGGGGGCCAATATTCAACATTCTTAAAGAAAAGAATTTTCACCAGAAATTCATATCCAGCCAAACTAAGCTTCATAAGTGAAGGAGACATAAAATCCTTTATAGACAAGCAAATGCTGAGAGATTTTGTCACCACCAGGCCTGCCCTGAAAGAGCTCTTGAAGGAAGCACTGAACATGGAAAGGAACAACCAGTAGAGCCACTGCAAAAACATGCCAAAGTGTAAAGACCATCGAGGCTAGGAAGAAACTGCATCAACTAAGGAGCACAATAACCAGCTAACATCATAATGACAGGATCAAATTCACACATAACAATATTAACCTTAAATGTAAATGGGCTAAATGCTCCAATTAAAAGACACAGACTGGCAAATTGGATAAAGAGTCACGACCCATCAGTGTGCTGTATTCAGGAAACCCATCTCACGTGCAGAGACACACATAGGCTGAAAATAAAGGGATGGAGGAAGATCTCCCAAGCCAATGGAAAACAAAACAAGGCAGGGGTTGCAATCCTAGTGTCTGATAAAACAGACTTTAAACCAATAAAGATCAAAAGAGACAAAGAAGGCCATTCCATAATGGTAAAGGGATCAATTCAACAAGAAGAGCTAACTATCCTAAATATATACGCAGCCAATACAGGAGCACCCAGATTCATAAAGGAAGTCCTTAGAGACCTACAAAGGGACCTAGACTCCCACACAATAATAATGGGAGACTTTAACAACCCACTGTCAACATTAGACAGATCAGCGAGACAGAAAATTAACAATAAGTTTCAAAGAATGAAAATGAATCAAGCAGAGATTGTAGAGCTGAAAAATGCAAGTGATAGGCTGCAGAATCTCTCAAATTCTGTTAATAGCAGAATCAATCAACAGAAGATGGAATTAATAAGCTTGAAGAAAGGCTATTTGAAAATAGTCTTTTGTCAGAAAAGACAAAAGAAAAACCGAGTAGAAAGCAATGAAGCATGTCTACAGGATCTAGAAAATAGCTTCAAAAGGACAAATCTAAGAGTTATTGGCCTTAAGGAGGAGGTACAGAAACACATAGGAGTAGAAAGTTTCTCCAAAGAGATTATAATAGAGAACTTCCCAAACCTAGAGAAAGAGACACATATCCAAGTACAAGAATGTTATAGAACACCAAGGAGACTTAACTGAAAGAAGGGTGCTTCAAGTTATTCAGTAATGAAACTCCCAAAAATCAAGGATAAAGAATTTTTCTTAAAGCAGCAAGAGAAGAGAAACAAATAACATCCAATGGAGCTCCAATATGTCTGGCAGCAGACTTTTCAGTGGAAACCTTACAGGCCCGGAGAGAGTGGCATGACATATTTAAAGTGCTGAAAGAAAAAAATTTTAACCTTAGAATAATATATCTGCAACAACTATCCTTCAAACATGAAGGAGAAATAAAAATGGGCCCAGAGAATCAAAACCTGAGGGATTTCATCATCACTAGCCCTGTCCTGCAAGAAATGTTACAAGGAGTATTTCAATCAGAAAGAAAAGGACAGTACTGAACAATAAGTTATCAACGGAAGGTACAAAACTCAGTGGTCATTGTAAGTACACAGAAAGACAGAATATTATAAAAAAGTAACTGTAGTGTGTAAACCGCTCTTATTCTAAGTAGAAAGACTAAGGATAAACCAGTCAAAATGGAAAAGCACAACTTTTCAAGACATAGTCAACACAATGAGATACAAAAGGAAATGACAAAAAATTAGAAAGCGGTGGGACAAAGTTAAGATGCAGCTTTATTAGTTTTATTTTTGTTTGCTGTTTGTTTGTCAAGATCGTCTTAAGTAAATATCAGATTAAAAATAATGGTTTATAAGATATTATTTGCAAGCCTCAAGGTAACCTGAAACTAAAGAACATGCAATATATACACAAAAATTCAAAGGCAAGGAACTAAATCATCTACCCACAGAAAAATCATCCTCACTAAGAAAAGACAGAAAGGAACGAAAGAAGGAAGATAAGATCACAAAAACATCTGAACATAAAAATGAAAATGACAGGAGTAAGTTCCTACTTATCAATAGTAACATTGAATGTAAATGGGCTAAACTCTTCCATGAAAAGACATAGACTGGCTGAATGTATGAAAAAACAAGACACATTGATCTGTTGCCTGCCAGAAACACACTTCACTTCTAAAGACACACGTAGACTGAAAATAAAGCGATAGAAAAAGATGCTCCATGCGAATGGAACCAAAAAGAAGCAGGATTAGCTATATTCCTTGGAAACAAAATAGATTTCAAGACACAAAATGTAAGAGGAAAAAAAGTCACTATATAATAATGAAGGGATCAGTTCAACAAAAGCCTATAAGAACTTTACATATATTTGCACCCAACCCTGTAGCACCAAGGTATATAAAGGAAACACTATTACAACTAATGGGAGAGATAGGTCCCAATAGCATAATGGCTGGGGGCTTCAACACCCTACTTTCAGCATTGGACAGTTCTTCCAGACATAAAATCAACACAGAAACATCACACTTAATGTACATTACAGACCAAATGGATGTAACAGACATTTACAAAACACTTCTTCCAAGGACTGCAAAATACACCTTTTACCCAGCACGTGGATCATTCTCAAGGTTAGAATATATGTTAGGTCATAAAACAAGTCTTAAAACATCAACATTCAAAGAAATTGAAATAATATCAAGCTTCTTCTCTGACCACCAAAAAACAAAAAAAGAAAATCCCGAAAATAACAAGGGGAACTTTGAAAATTATACAAATCCATAGAATTAAAAAAAAATATGCTCCTGAATGACCCACAGGTCAATGAAGAAATTAAAAACTAAATTGTAAAATTTCTCAAAATAAATGATCATGGAAACACAACATACCAAAACCCATGGGATACAGCAAAAGCAGTATTAAGAGGGAAGTTTATAGCTATAAGTGCCTACATTGAAAAAGAGGAACACCTGCAAATAATTCATGACGCATCTTAAAAAAACAGAAAAATAAGCTCAAACTGAACCCCAAATCAGTAGAAGAAAAGAAATAATAAAAGACCAGAGCAGAAATAAATGAAAGTAAAATGAAGAAAGTCAAAACACTATCAAGGAAACAAAAAGTTGGGTTTTTTTTTAAAGCTGTACAAAATTGAGAAACCTGTAGCCAATCTAAGGAAGAAAAAGGAGAGAAGATCGAGATAAATAAACTCCAAAATTGAAAGGAGACATTACAGGCTAAAGCTGCAAAAATTCAAAGGGCTCTTGTGGTGACCGTGGGAAACTGTATGTGAATAAATTGGAAGATCTCCCTGAAATGAAAATTACTTCCTGCTGACGAGGGGACGGAGAGTTTTTTGGGTTGACAGTAGGAGCAATGCCGTCTGTAGATGTTTTTGGGTAGTTGTCTGTGAAATGGCCGTGATCCTGTTAGTTAAAATTTTCCGAGAAAGGTTAATTAGGCAGGGTAAGAAAATTAGTCCCAGGCATATTATTAGGAGAGGGCCCAGAAATACGATGACCCATGCTATGATTGTGTTCCCAAACCAAGAACTTATTTGGTTGTTTTGGTACTCCCTTAGCTTTTTAGCCTTTTCTTTATGTTTGTTTTAGCAGCGTTTTTTAACTAGGCCTGATTGGTTGATAAAGAAACAATATTCCTTACCTAATGAGAGGTAGAAGCACATGTTTGGAAAGGCCCATGTGTTAGTTTCTGTTAGTAAGCGTTATTCCTGCTAAGATGCTAATAATTAAGCAAAATGCTACAGTAATTGAGATTGTTTTTGTCTGACATTTTACCCTGAGGGTGCTACAGTATATAGTTTTACTGCAAATAGTAGAGTGAGTAAAGCAGTTTCCACAAGGGTGGTGTAGTCAATAATTTCCATTAAAAAGTTGTAATATTTGGCTTGAAAGGAGAGGTAGGAATGACAAAAGTGTATGGTGAGGTAGGGGTGAGACTGAGTAAGACGAGCAATTCTTTCTCGGTTATTTATTTTTTATGATTTTTAGCTTACGATTTCCTATTTCTTTATTTGCTCCTGTGAGGGTTAGGGGGCTTAGAGGCAGTGCCTGCTGAAACATCTAGTTTCCAGTTTATAGGGCTTTAAGAAAGCACAGCTTATTTTGAAGTCTTGTAGTCAGAAAAATTAGAACTTAATTTAAACAGTAGCAAATAATAACTGAAAAACATCAGGCAACTCTAGAATTTAACAAGAGGGATGTCATAGTTTTGGAAACATAATTTCCTCTCTCCACTTTCCCATTTTTATTAAAAGACAAATTATGGTAGGTTTGCTTTAGGATACTTGGCTTACTTATTTGCATACAGTGCTGCAAGAATAATTATTTGTTACATAGGCCTTTTAAATGGGCTTTGATGGAATTTGGTTTTGTAGAAGCAATCTGAGATAAAAGACTTTTGAAAGCCAAGCCCAGCCATGGATTTGTACCATTAAATACCTATGAGTTGGGTGAATTCCTCTCCTCTTGATGTTTCAAGATAACTTAGGGTTCCTGGCCTGGTAGAAAGTGACATGTTTTATTTACCACAGATCACAACCCCTGTACGGGGACTGTGTACACAAAATATGAGGCCAGTTTTTCAAGGGCTTTATTGGCTTTATAAGTTAAAGCTGGATTCCTTAAAGGAAAAGCACACCATTCCAGTTAAAGCCTTGGTAAGAATAACCAGTTTTTCCAATCGTGTCCCGTTACAAAAGAAAACAGATTCTTGTTGTATTTATGCAAATAACTATATTGCCATAACTTAAGAATACTCATAGATAGTTTCCAAATTTTGGAGAGAATCAGGTAGAGAGAAACAAGTATCCTCCAAATTTTGTTGATGGGAGTTAACAGTTAAAAGTTAAACAGTTAAAAGTGAACAGTTAACTCCCATACATATGGGAGTTAGCAGTTAACAGTTAACAGTTAAAAGCTGTTAATCGCTTAAAAAGAGTTTCTTTGACTTTGAAAGGCAAAACAAAGGGTTAGCAATATTTTAAGCAAAACGTTAAACAGATTAGTTTCCTATTAGTTTGGTTTATGCAGTTAATTCCTGTCCTGCTTTTTATCAGAAACCTGCAATCAGAGCTGTATAGCTGATTAGAAAACCACCCTTTGAAGAGGACTAAAACAAGACAACAATTGTTTATGGATGACAAAAAGTTTTAGGGTAGCCATAGTTAAAGACACAGTTGACAAAGATATCCGTTACCTCTGTGGCACACAATAATTTTAACAAAACAATTATAATTATTAGTGATAACGTACACTAAGATATATTAGAATGATAGGAATCTGCCATAACTTTGGAACACATCCCAATAGCATATTTATACAACTATAGCCCAAAGAAAGCCAAATACCATTTTATATTTGACAATGCTTCCTGTATGATTTTATATCAAATAAGCCGAATTTTACCATTGTATTAGTGTGCTATTAATGTTAAGCTCCATTTTTCATAAAACCTTGTAGACGCATTTACCCAATGTTCATGTTTGACCGGAAGGTAAGGTTTTTATAGACCCTTTTTAACCGTTTATACTTTTTGTTAAAGAGCAGGTTAGTGCTTTAACAGAAACCCATTGTGCTTTTATTTTAATGCTCGATTTACAGAAAACCTGAATGATACCCCTTTAACTTTAGCCAGTATGTACACACACGAAACTTTCTTTACAATTAACCTTCCAAAAGTTGCTTAAACCTTTAAAACAATTTTTTAACCTTTTAATGTAGGCAAAAATCCACATTCTTAGGCCTCCTTATAATCTTTTTACCAAAAGTATATTTTACTTTCCTTACACACCTTGCTCATAAACTATTTCTTCGGTAGTTTTAAATACGTGTTACACTGCTAACTTTTAGCAACCTTTACTTTTGATGAAAACCTTGGTAAGTCTGGGAATCTAATTACGCACTAGGTGTAGGGCCTAGGACCCAGACGGAAGTGCGGAGAAGATCTGGCTTATTCCAGCATTTAACTCCATGTGTCCTAGGGTTTATTCAGCTGCAAAGCAGGCAAGCTGTACAGCTAAGAGTTAGAGTGAAATTGTATACAGCATTGAGGAGGCCGAATTACTTTTAAATTGTGCGACATTTCTTGCACAAATTCCCTTTTATAAAATTCTTCAGGACTTTCACAGACAATTTCTGACATGCCTTACCTTTCTGACTTGTTGTAAAGTCATCCCTTTTTCTAAACAACAGTTAATTTACTTTAGGACAAAAATTTACCATGTGAGATTCTTTCTTATACCAATTATCTTTTCTTTAATATTAAAGATGATAACAGTTCTTTCCCAAAACAAATTTCCTTCATGTCTGTGGACTAGACTGCCTAAGGCCACAAGGTTAGAAGTTAGCATATTTTACTAAATAGTTTAAGATATAGCTATCTTCGTTAAACCAATATTCATGCTTTATTTATTGAAAAAATTACACAAGCAAAGATTATTTTGTTTGGGCTGAGTTGTCGTTTTGTAGCCTCTGTGCCAAATGTTGACACCTTATAGTATTTTGCAGCCATAAGTATGAAATTGCTTGATTAATAAATGCAAATAAAAACGTACGCTGGCACCTCTTAACGACTTTCAACTCAACTTTTAACTTTGCTGTACCGGTAAGTTCTAAAGATTAAAATTACGAGAACTGAAAGGTCCCACAGCTTTTACTTTTCCCTTAAAAATATTTGATTTAAGTGCTTATTTTTTTGGCCAGTTAATTAGAGTTCTTTTAATAGACATCGCACACATAAAACATATATAGCCACACAGACAATCAGAAGAAGATTGAGTAGTTATGAGATTTTTTTTCTGCTAATTTTCCAATTGGATTATTGGCCTTCGGGTGAGGCCTTTTAAGAACAGGGCTAAGAAAGCAGTTTCTAGGGCCTAATGAACAAGTACAGTTGGAAGACAAAGACAGAACTTTGAGAGGTACTTATTTATCTTTAAGTCTAGGGGTTTCATAAGGAAAACAGAGGTTTTTCCCAAAACGGGATTTGTGGCACCTTTTTTGTTTTCCCAAGGAGTCCCAGGCCACCAGGAGTCATTTCAGGGTCTTTCATACATGCACCAAGAGTGGCAAGACAGAGTGGAGAAAAGTAATTTAGTCGACCAGGAAAAAACCTTTTCCAGGAAAACAAAATTTATGAAGAGAAAAACATAAACGCGGCTGGGCACGGTGGCTCACGCCTGTAATCCCAGCACTTTGGGAGGCCGAGGTGGGCGGATCTTGAGGTCAGGAGTTCCGAGACCAGCTGGGCCAACATAGTGAAACCCTGTCTCTACTAAAAATACAAAAATTAGCCAGCTGCGGAGGCAAACGCCTGTAGTCCCAGCTACTTGGCAGGCTGAGACAGGAGAATGGCTTGAACCCAGGAGGCAGAGGTTGCAGTGAGCCGAGACCACGCCTCTGGGTGGAGGGGAGGAGGTTATCTTGGGGCTGGCATCTTCCTGGCCAGGGTGGGGTTATCTTGGGGCTAGTTTGTTTCTGGTCAGGGAGGAGTCTGGAATGTTTCTGGTTGGAGATGTTATTTGTGGTTTATGGTCATGCTGACCTTAGCCATTAGGCTGATGCCCTTTGGCTTTTGGTGGTTTTTGATTAAGGTGAATTTTAAAATGACAGAGCTTGTTCAAGATGGCAATACTCCTGCTTTGTCGGTGATGTCCTAAGCCTCTAGCCCCTGATGCCTTGGTATCGTCACTGATTGCAAAAGCTATGCCATGCCTAATGTGCATTTTCAGGAAGGAACAATCAGCATGTTTCTGAGTTTGGAGACCTGGATTCTTGCAAGAGACTGTGGGTTCCTATGATCCTATGGTCTCTTCCAGCTTTAATATTCTATGATAAAATGATGTCCAATGCTTTCTCTATTGCAAAAATCTGGCCAGGCATGGTGGCTCACACTGTAATCCCAGCACTTTGGGAGGGTGAGGCAGGTGGATCACATGGTCAGGAGATCAAGACCGTCCTGGCGAACATGGTGAAACCCCATCTCTACTAAAAATACAAAAAATTACCCGGGCATGGTGGCACGCGCCTGTAGTCCCAGATGCTCAGGAGGCTGAGGTAGAAGAATTGCTTGAACCCGGCAGACAGAGGTTGCAGTGAGCCGAGATCAAGCCACTGCACTCTAGCCTGGGCAACAGAGCTAGACTCTTGCAAAAAAAAATATGTGTGTGTGTGTGTGTGTGTGTACATATGTCTGCGTGTGTGTGTGTGTGTGTGTGTGTGTGTGTATAAATCTCGGTTCTAGTTGTTTGATGTCATGAATTTTCACATCCTATTATACTCACTAGTAATAGTTTGTAATTACTGCACACACAGTATGTACTAGGCTCTGTGCTAAAAGCTTAAATATATTAATTAATTTGTTTTTCAAAACAATCCTGAGAAGTAGGTGCTAGCATTTTTTCCATTTTTCATACGAAGAATCTAAGACTCAGAGGAGTTAAGAAACTTGACCTGGATCACCCAACTAGGGCGTAGCAGAATTTCAGATTTGAACCAGGCCCATGATCTTACTTTTATTCCATATTTCCTCTGAACATAACAAGAGTAATACTAATGAGTACAACATTAATATAAGTTTAGTACTACAGCTGGCAATTTAATAACCCTTGCCACAACTGTGAGAACATGTAGCATGAATAGTACTCTATCCATTTTATGGATAGGGAATTAATCACTTACCAGTGTTGCTCCCTGACAGTTAAAACATGTAAATGCTTTCTAGTAATGAAGACTGCAATACTAAATTCAGATTAACGTGCATTCATTCACCAAATATTTCTTGCATGTTTACATGTTCCAGGTACTGTAGTAAAATAACTGATAAAAGTATCATTTTTTTGGAAAGAAGTACAAGTGCCATTTAACGTCTTCACCATTAAATGGAGGATAGCCTTTCCAATAAAGTGACTTCTGACTAGTGACCTTAAGAAAATTCGGATACACAGGCTGGGCGTGGTGGCTCACGATTGTAATCTCAGCACTTTGGGAGGGGAAGGCAGGCAGATCACGAGGTCAGGTGTTCAAGACCAGCCTGGCCAACCAATGAAACCCCATCTATACTAAAACTACAAACATTAGCCAGGCGTGGTAGCAGGCGCCTGTAATCTCAGCTACTCAGGAGGCTGAGGCAGGAGAATTGCTTGAAACCAGGAGGTGGAGGTTGCAGAGAGCCGAGAGTGCACCACTGCACTCCAGGCTAGCCGACAAAGCAAGGCTCCATCTCAAAAAAAAAAAAAAAAAAAAAAAAGAAAGAAAAAGAAAGAAGGAAAGAAAAAGAAAAGAAAAGAAAATTAGGATACATAGTGGATATTTTAGAGAAGAACCTTCCAGGCAGTAGTAGTATGCAAAGACCCTGATATGGATGGCAGGTTAGAGGAATCACATGCGTGGTGAGTTACAAGAGTCACAGATTGGGGAGTGTGATAGAAGCAGAGTGATTCATGAGAAGAATAAGTATTAATGTCAGAGAGGTAATAGGTGCCCACATCATGTACGGCCTTATTAGGAATTTGGATTTTATTTTAATCAAGATGAAAACTCTGTGGAGCTTTCATCAAAGGAAAAACATGATGTGGCTTAAAATATATTGTAGGAGATCAAGGATAGAAGAAATAACCCATTGTCATTATTACATTACCAAATATTTTTCAGAATCATTTTTTGTTTGCTCAGATGATTTTCAAAAACATCTTTAGCTACTTAATTTAACTTGTTAAGTATTCAGACTTGTGAAGCTTTCTACCAATTTAGGTTTAAGCTCGTCTCCTCTCTTCTCTCCTCTTCTCCTTTCCTCCCTCCCTCCCTCCCTCCCTCCCTCCCTTCCTTCCTTTCTTTCTTCCTTACTTCCTTGTCTTTTAGATTCCTCCCAGAGCATAAGATAACACAGGACGAGGTTTGCTGTCTGAAATGAGTTGAAGTCCCCTGTTATTACAAGAGTTCAAAAACGTGATGACCTCCAAAGGATGATTAAGAAATAGAATCAGTCTTAAGTTGTAGTGTGGTGCATGGGGATCACTCTCTAGGATCTATATTTAGTCAATGACAAAATATTTGCTGACTTTCAAATGGATCGGTGATTTCTTGTTTTTGTTTTTGTTGTTTTGAGATAGAGTCTGGCTCTGTCACCCAAGCCGGAGTGCAGTGGCACGATCTCGGCTCACTGCAACCTCCACTGCCTGGATTCAAGCAATTCTCCTGCCTCAGCCTCCCTAGTAGCTGGGATTACAGGCGCCCGCCACCACGCCCAGCTGATTTTTTTTCGTATTTTAGCAGAGACAGGGTTTCACCATGTTGGCCAGGCTCGTCTCAAACTCCTGACCTCAGGTGATCAACCCGCGTCGGCCTCCCAAAGTGCTGGGATTACAGGCATGAGCCACTGCACCTGGCCAGATCAGTGATTCTTGATTTTCTTGGCTATGAAGAAAATGATGCAATATGCTCTTCAAGGGCCTTTCTGCAGAATAGAGAAGATGAGATGCAAACTATTCTCATTGATTAACACCTTGCTTGTAACTATATCTGTTTCTCTTACATTCAGAAAATTGTATTGGAATGCAAATGGTTGTGAGAGATACCACTTTTTATTGAAATAGCTGGCACATGAATATACCTGGTTACAATGCTTGGCCGAATGAGAAATGCAATGCCATTTTATGTAATTGCACTTAATATGCGTGAGTCTCACACTTAATCAATTCAGAATCTCAGAATTTCCCAATGTTGTATCCATCGAACATCTCCTGAGATGCGTATCATCCCATCTGGCCCTAAATGGCTGATTCATGCAGAACATTTTCATGTCATCCCTCAAGCCCAACCACAGGGCACCTTCAGATCCAACTCTCTTTAAAACACTTTAGTGTCCTTCTTAGGGGCATGAGAAACATTAAACTGGTTTCTTTCACCATTCTGATTCTTCAAGAAAGGAAGTAGAGCTGTTATAGGCCATTTACTGACTATGTGCTGCTCTCGGGTAGCCCCACTCCCTCTGCTGTCCTGCACAGAAAAACATAGTACGTGATTAACTATGTAAGACTCTCTCAGGCCCATCTTCCCAGGCAGAACACTTGGACATGTCTTTCTTCTTTATTTTTATTATTTTAAACTGAACAGATAAAATGGAATGTGTCTATCATGTATCTAATGTTTGAAGTATATACATTGTAGAATGAATAAATATAGCTAATTAACATATGCATCATCCCACAAAGTTATCATTTTGTATTGAGAACACTTACCATCTACTCTCTTAGCATTCATCAATAATACAACATATTATGATCACCTGTAGTCACCGTGTGGTACAATGTATCTCTGCAGCTTATTCCTTCAGTCTAACAGAAATTTGGTATCCTTTGAGCAATGTCTTTCCAGCCACCACCACCGAGCCCCTAGTCACCACCATTCTATGCTCTACCTCTGTGAGACTTCTTAATTTTTTATTATTTTATTTTTAAATTTTTGTTAACTTTTATGTTAGGTTCAGGGGTACATGTGCAGGCTCGTTATATAGGGAAGTTGCGTGTCACACGGGTTTGGTGTACACATTATTTCATCACCCAGGTAATCAGCATAATAGATGATAGGTAGCTTTTCAACCCTCACCCTCCTCCCCATCCTTTACCCCCAAGTAGACACGGGTGTCTGTTGTTCCCTTCTTTGTGTCCATGCGTACCGATGTTTAGCTCTTGCTTATAAATGGAAAAAGGTGGTATTCCATTTTCTGTTCCCACGTGAGTTCGCTTAGAGTAATGGCCTCCAGCTCCATCCATGTTGCTGCAAAAGACATGATCTCGTTTTTTTATGGCTGCATAGTATTCCGTGCTGTTTATGTACCACATTGTCTTTATCCAGTCTGCTGCTGATGGGCCTTTAGGTTGATTCAAAATCTTTGCTATTGCGAATAGTGCTGTCAAGACCATAGGCATGCGTATGTCTTAATGGTAGAATGATATATATCGTTTGGGTATATATCCAGTAATGTGATTGCTGAGATGAATGGTAATTCTAAGTTCTTGCAGAAATCACCAAACTGCTTTCTACAATGGCTGAACTAAGTTACATTCCCATAAACAGTGTATAGGTGTTCTCTTTTCATTTCTTTCAAGGCAGCAGGTTTCTTTCTGGCCTAGGGTGTGTCTAGAAATGTTATCCAGGAGCTAGTGCCTGGAGCAGGGGCTTCACAACCCCGACCGGTGCCCTGTCCCGCTGTAGTTGAGCTGGTATTCAAGATGCAAGAAAAAAAACGCTCCTCACTATTCCATCTCCTCAAGTGGAAGGAGGGGGTCTTTTATGGAGCCGCTAGCTGGGGCAGTCTGGGGCTAGGGCAGGGGTGACACCAGCACTCACTTGGCTGCCCCAGCTGGTATCTCAGGAGGTCATGTGCACCCCTCCACATACCCGCCACAATCCACTGCCTCTGGGCCCAATTCTATGCTAGAACTCACCTACGAGTTAGAGATCTTATGGCCTAGACTGCCTTTAAGGTTGTCTGAGAAACCTGGAACCGTTTCTTAGCCCTTGGTGGCAAGGTTTGCAGAAACTCAAGTTCTGATTCCTGGGATGGGTAATTTCCCTCTTTCTAGAGGTGGTTTCAATGCTCCCTTCCCAGATGGGAGTCAGCTAAGTTTGGTCTGGTTTTCCTTTCTCCTGTAAGAGACAGCACCGAGTTCAGTGACCCACAACTGCTCTGCTCTTGCTCTTCCAGCTTCCAGAGATGCTCTTTACACCACACTGCCACTGCCTAGGATAGGGAAGGGGTGGGGTCAGCGATTTAAGACTGTTTCTTCTAACTCTTCAGTGCCTCTTTCAGTGATACCGCCAGGTACTATGAGAGTTCCCCTGATTTTGGGTTCTTATGGAGGTGTTTTCTACTGTGTGGATAGTTGCTAAATTTGTGTCCTTGCGAGGGGGCTGATCTGGGCAGCCTTCTATTCTGCTTTTCTTGCTCCGCCTCTCTCAGCTTAGTTTTGGTTTGTTTTTGTTTGTTTGCTTTTCCTCTGCAATGCCTAAGGCTAAAGAATGTGATCCCGTATTACTATCCTAAATATGAAAAATTCTTTAATGTCTCGTGCTGGGTGGAAATACTAGTTTGCAATGAGGAATACCTTCAATTGTACATATCAAAGAGTAAGAAAAAAAGCACTGGGATTTTTTGTTTTTACCTTGTGGTCCGACAACTTGAAAGAATATTCTTTTATTCCAAAGATGGTACGTGGGGATTTTGTTCTGGAAATCAGTGCTAGGTATTTAGGTATTTGGTTGGAGAAAAGCAAACTGGTTTTTGTCTATTGATATTTAGTATATTTTATTTTTTCATGTTATCCATGACAGTGTTATGACTTAGCAAACAACAGTTACAAATAACTAAAATTGTAATTGCTCCTGCATTTCTATTTAACTCCCTCATGTATCCTGAGAAGACCTTCTTGTTTTACCTAATGATCTCTCCAACATCCCCTGAACTCTCAAGAGGTAGACACTATGTGAAGGTCAATTCAAAGACAGAAACTAAAACCCCATCCACGGGTGACTCCATGGTGAATCCCTGTGGTGTCTTTTCCCGCTAACCGATGTGTATCCACCAAGCAGTTTTATTTTTCAGTATAAATATTATACTGTTTGACATTTTAAGACACATTGTAATCAAAATCTATAGCCTTAATTAAATGATGAATTTCAGGAAATTATCATGCAAAATGGAAGTGTTAGGAAGCCGATAATAGACACACTCTCCTAAAAATGATCTCACCACATCACACCTAACCCTTCTCACCACCTTGCAGTTCACATTCCATGGGAAAAAGTTCCTCATACTTAAGAGTGTTTTACTTTCCTTTTCCCAAGTCATGGCGATTTTGAATATTCACACTTCGCGGATATCAACACATTTCTAAAGTATACTTATCTTGATTAAAGACTGCTGAGGTCATTAAAACACTAACAAATATTTCAGATGCATTGAACATTTTGTTTTAGAATTGGCTTTTCAATCATTTCATCACAAGCAATGCTTTCCTGCCGTTTACTTACTCCTACATCTACTATCTTCTTTTGTATTGTGCTTTGTGTTTTACAGAACATTTACTCTTTATAAAGCATCTATTTCTAGCCTAGGAAAATATCAAATGGAAAGGGGATGGGAATACCTTTGATATGTCCATTCAGCAGAACTATGTGCTGCTGGGTACAGTTGCGTGAACATATACACATCTCCACTTCCTGTGAGATAAAATTTTAAGAAGAAAATTTTCTTTAGGAATCAGTCCTCCCCCAGGCCTTATTTACAATGTCTGGCTTACTGTCAACCTGTGGGTCTGTCCACCAACCCTACAGGACCTCATATCCCTCCCTTCTCAAATGCCTACCTCTTCCCTTCCCTTCACCCCCCACCATCAGAAAACAGGCAGAGATATACACAGCCATCAGCTTCTCAAACTTTATTGTCATTGCCCAAGGTTGAGAGATGTAGCTTCTTGCTACTTTGCAGGTATTTCAACCATTATTTCCATGAATTCCTCCTCCTCCATTTGGAGGGGGTTGATTCTGTTCTTTCGGGCGTGGTCATTCACCAGTTCCTCTGGAGATGTTCTTTTAAAGTTCCTCCTGTAGCGAACCACTAGTATGGTCGAGGACTCAGATGTTTTTAGTTTTTTCGGAGCAGGTTGCGGGTCTGAGTACCCACTCGAGGTCTCCGGCATCTGTTAAGAAAACAGGGAGAGGCCAGGAGGACATTATTTTGGGTGAACAGGATAGAGACTGGATAGCAAGGGGGCTTCATGAGAAGAAGGAATGCGGGTTGAGGAAGGGGTTTGATCCAGAGAAGAAGAAGGTTGAAGCACAGAGTAGGGATCTATGGGGAAGAAGAAGAGGAGCGTGGGTAGGGTCACCTGTGAGTCCAAACTGCACCATTTTGTCAGTTCTTTGCTATTTTGCAGACCTTGGTCAAAGTGAAACATCCCATGGGGGTTCAGGCCGTGAGAAACATCCTGCCTAACCACCTGTCCGCAAGGCGGACAAAGGCCCAACTGAAGAAACATCCCTATCATATCTTGCTTGGCAGCGTTCTAAGGAACACCACAATGATATTCCACCAGAAAAAGGGCCAAACCACCTGATCATAAGAACATCTTATCAATATCCTGCCGGGCAGCAAGCCATACTGCCCAGGCCCCTCCCACCCCTACCTACAAGCACCCCAGCCTGTAAGCGGCGGTGGGCTCTGGCATTAAGCGGGCCCCCCACTTCCACAATGGTCTGCAATATTCCTGTGTTGTTGTTTGAGCCGCCCCCGCTCTGTGTGTCTTTCTTTCACCCTCGCCTTCACTTCAGAACCTAACAGTCTTACCATCTCGTTGGCCTCGTTGGAATCACAGGGGACGCTCCTCTTCACCCCGCCGGCACTGGATTGTTTGTCCATTGTATATATTGGTTCTTCAATGTCAGCGGCAGGCTTTTGTAGGTTTTGAATCTTCTCAGTGGCCCGGAGCTCTTGCCCTCCCTATGTATACCCTCCTGGTGACAAGGCAAAGCCACACCCTTGAGCTTTGTTTGATCATACAGGCAGTGTCCCAGCCAATGGCAGCCCTAGGGTGGCTTCGACGTCACAAAGCCCCACTGCTGACCACTCCCTGGGCTTGCGGGCGAGGGGTGACAGGGGTGTAGAGCAAACCAAATGCTGCTGTTGTTTCAGCATCCCCTGAAGATGCATCCCAAACCGATCTGCCGCCGCTCCTCATTTCTCCATGTTTAATGTTCACGGTTCACATGGAAGTCAGAGGATGATTCCTTCAAGCCCTTCCCCACAGCCATTCCTATTAAGTGATTCATTCTTTTGTCTTCCAGCCCTCACCATGACTTAGTATTTTCGATGTCTCACCTCAAATCCCCCAAGCTAGTGTGGCTACATTTATTTATTGGCGGAGATGTGAATTATCCCATTTCCCTCCTACAGTTCCTTCACATGCACCTCGAAGACCATTTACTTTTGGGCTACTGCCAGGCAAATTTCAACCCATGTTCTTTTACCCAATGTCCGTGTAGTTCAAGTTTCCTATCTCCAATCTGAAATAATGGCCTTCAGTCTGTCAAAACTTTAGTGAATAAACATTCTTTACCGTGTATCCTAGTCTTGTTTCAAATCAGGGGTGTATATTTTTTTCTCTTTTTGAAATGGAGTTTCACTGTTGTTGCCCAGGCTGGAGTGCAATGGCATGATCTCAGCTCACTGCAACCTCTGCCTCCTGGGTTTAAGTGATTCTCTGGCTCAGCCTCCTGAGTAGCTGGGATTACAGGCCTGTGCCACCACGCCCGGCTAATTTTTGTATTTTTAGGAGAGGCGGGGGTCTCACCATCTTGGCCAAGCTGGTCTTGAACTCCTGACCTCGTGATCCACCCGCCTTGGCCTCCAAAGTGCTGGGATTACAGGCGTGAGCCACCACACCCAGCCAGGACGGCCATTATTAAAACCACCATTGACAAGTAAATTTTGGTTACTTCTGTAGCATACAACAATTTAACATAAAGTTTATAATTAATAACATACAGAAGTTATTTCAGAATTATGAGTTTCCCATAATTTTGGAGCACATATCAATAACATTTCTATAAATACAGCCCAAAGAAAGTCAAACACCATTTTATATTTGACGATGCTTCTTGTATGATTTTTATACCAAATAAGACCAATATGTCTCTTTTGGACTTCAGAGGACTCATATCAAAAAATTAATGAGGAATCAAGTTAGAATTTGACTTTGGAAAGTTCGTCAAAGATAAAAAGTTTAAAATGCTTGATATCACGAAATAGGGTCATGGGTCATTGTAAAATAAGTCATTCATTTAACCAAAGCAGTAACTCAAAGATTTCAAAAAAGAAAAAAAAAAAAAGGTGAAAATCTTTATTCTTTGAGAGAGGAGGCTTAATATCCCAAACAATAAGCCCTAATTAAAAACAGGATGGGCAAATGAAATTTGTTTTTTTGAAATTTTATAATAAAAGTTTAATCATCTTGAGTATAAAATATAATTTCTATAAACCTTGTAACCTTTATCATTTTGCATGAAGGAGTGAGTTAATGCTCCAAGAAAGCCTTGTTAAACTGACACAGCAACCTAGATACTGGTTTTGCTTTAGTGTGCCTTTGATATTAATGGTTAATTCCTAGAGAAACTGAGCTACTTTTCTCTTAATATCAGCCCTTACAATCTCACATGCCCACCTCTTCCACGATAGTCCTTGGGCCTTGAGGAGTTGAATAGTTTTAATTTCTGGCCCTGCATCTCATGAACGCAGTTTACTTTGATTAGCATCTTCTACTGGGCCTGAAGATGAGGCTGTAATTGCTGTCAGTGTTTAAGATATAGCAGAACTTGGTGTCCTTTTTAGACCCAGAAGTCAAAGCCCTATAACTCAATGGCACAAGGACTTTAAAAGCACATACAGAAAGTTACACAGATGTAATGACCTTAAGTAAAAAATTTTTTATGTTTTTTTTCTAAGCAATCCAGAAGTTTATAATAATGACATAGGAATTATTTCAATAAAATGTAAAATCTCTTAGGCCAGTTACCAATAAGCAAAATAAAAGACCATCTGCAGTGTACGGAATATTATGTTGGAAGAAAACTCTTTTTTAGACCTTTAAGAAAAAATTTTGGCCCTGTCATTGTGGCTCATGCCTGTTATCCCAGCACTTTGGGAGGCTGAAGCAGGTGGATCACTTGAGGTCAGAAGTTCGAGACCAGCCTGGCCAACACGGTGAAACCCTGTCTCTACTACAAATACAAAAATTAGCCGGGCGTGGTGGCAGGAGAATTGCTTGAACCTGGAAGGGGGAGGTTGCAGTGAGCCAAGATTGTGCCACTGCACTCTCAGCCTGGGTGACAGAGTGAGACCCCACCTCAAAAAAAAAAAAAAAAAGAAAAAATTATGAGACATGTCTCTACCCCCATGTTCTTAGCTTCAGGTCATCCCAGAAAAAAATAACAAACTGTTACAAAATGGGAGCCACTGTACTCAGTTCTTCTTCCTCAGATTGTGTAAGAACAAGCTAACTGAACTCAATTATTTATCATTAATACAAAAGGCAGTACGTGAACCTACTTTCCTTCTACTTTATACAGCACAGAAATGATTTCTCCTCCTGCAGTGATGACAAGAAATATATTTTTGGTCTCTGTAGTTGACATGCAAATGTACTCACTGTATCTCAAGTGAAAACTCATTAAAAGCCAGTGGAATGCAATTGTGTTATCTCCCAGGAACACAGACAATAACATTCGTCATCACTCCCAGTGCATTTCCATTTGCTAACACAGTGAAATCACCAACCTCACCTTCGTTCCCCTGAGGTTTCCATAGAAAGTTTTCACATTTTATTCCAGTTGATCAGACAAAAGCTCTAGGTGTCTGTTTATCACCAAGACATTTTTTAAATTTAAATTGCAAAATGCAGCCACACGATCACCTATAAAACCATGGAAACTTCTGTTTCCTAATCTGTCGAGTAGGTCTGAGTTTGTAGATATTGCTAAAAATTTCCCACCAAGTGTTTGGAATTGTTGCTTAGATAATAAATATTAGGCTAAATTAGACACATAGGAGGGGCTAATACATAAGAAAAATGACATATATCGTTTGAAAATATATACTTTTCTCTAATATTTTACTCATTTTGGGAAAATAATTCCTTTTGCAAAGAGATTTCCAATGCTCTTGGTTTTGTGGGTACTCTGCAATTGTGTGTATAATAGACAGTTGGGCAAATCTTACCCAAGTTTACCTTTCCTGGCTTCCCTATTTCTACTTATGATCACTATCACATCTTGAAGCTGGAAGGAATCGTGGTAGCTATTATTCATTTGGCAATTTTTTACAGGTTTATTGAATGTCTGTTGTGGATCAGGCTCTATTTTAGGCACTGAGGATTTACACATACCCTTGGGAAACCTCAGGGGGCAAATAAAACACAACTAAGTGAGTGAGATAAGGTCAGATGGTAATGGTTGCTATAATGAAAACTGTTCGGGGAGATATTTAAATTAAGCTTTTGATCAGGAACTTCTTCAATGAGGAGATGATATTTAATCTTGAGAAAGAGCTGGCCAAGTGGATTTATGAAGAGAGCATCCCAGATAGAGGAAACAGCATCTGTATACAATGAGGTGCTCGACAATTTTTGATAAATGAGGAATTATCTTTAATTACCTTAAAATTTTAAAGTATTTTCTTATTTAGTGTCCATCTATATTTTAACTGATATTTGCAATTTTCTATGAGGGTAATCATATTTTAGTAGAAAGGGATTTTTTGCCTTCAAGATATTAGCCCTTTGTTACTGGTATTGCAAATACTCTCCCATTTAGTTATTATTTATACATTGACAAATTTTGTTCTTTTTTTAAATAAAGGTTATATATTATATTTAATTCTATTAACCTTTTTTATGTTTCTTAGCTTTCATTATATGCTTAGAAATAACCACTCTACCTAAAGATATTTAGTAGTTAAGTCACTAGTAATTATTTATGTTAACACTTCATCTTTAATGTTTTAAAGTATTTGATATATCCTTGCATTTATTTGAGTTGAGAAACCGTTTTAGTTTTTAACAAATGGTTAACTAGTAATCACAAAGAAATTAAATAATTGACATTCTTGCTGCTTATTTTATTTTATTTTATTTTATTTACTTATTTTTAATAGTTTTTTTAATTATATTTTAAGTTCTAGGGTACATGTGCACAACGTGCAGGTTTGTTACATATGTATACATGTGCCATGTTGCTGTGCTGCACCCATTAACTCGTCATTTACATTAGGTGTATCTCCTAATGCTATCCCTCCCCCCTCCCCCCACCCCACAACAGGCCCCGGTGTGTGATGTTCCCCTTCCTGTGTGCAGGTGTTCTCGTTGTTCAATTCCCACCTATGAGTGAGAACATGCGGTGTTTGGTTGTTTGTCCTTGCGATAGTTTGCTGAGAATGATGGTGTCCAGCTTCATCCATATCCCTACAAAGGACATGAATTCATCAATTTTTATGGCTGCATAGTATTCCGTGGTGTATATGTGCCACATTTTCTTAATCCAGTCTATCACTGTTGGACATTTGGGTTGATTCCAAGTCTTTGCTGTTGTGAATAGTGCCACAATAAACATATGTGTGCATGTGTTTTTATAGCAGCATGATTCATAATCCTTTGCGTATATACCCAGTAATGGGATGGCTGGGTCAAATGGTATTTCCAGTTCTAGATCCCTGAGGAATCACCACACTGTCTTCCACAATGGTTGAACTAGTTTTCAGTCCCACCAACAGTGTGAAAATGTTCCTATTTCTCCACATCCTCTCCAGCACCTGTTGTTTCCTGACTTTTTAATGATCGCCATTCTAACTGGTGTGAGATGGTATCTCATAGTGGTTTTGATTTGCATTTCTCTGATGGCCAGTGATGATGAGCATTTTTTCATGTGTTTTTTGGCTGCATAAATGTCTTCTTTTGAGAAGTGTCTGTTCATATCCTTCACCCACTTGTCGATGGGGTTGTTTTTTTATTGTAAATTTGTTTGAGTTCATTGTAGATTCTGGATATTAGCCCTTTGTCAGAAGGGTAGATTTCAAAAATTTTCTCCCATGTTGTAGGTTGCCTGTTCACTCTGATGGTAGTTTCTTTTGCTGTGCAGAAGCTCTTTAGTTTAATTAGATCCCATTTGTCAATTTTGTCTTTTGTTGCCATTGCTTTTGGTGTTTTAGACATGAAGTCCTTGCCCATGCCTATGTCCTGAATGGTATTGCCTAGGTTTTCTTCTAGGGTTTTTATTGTTTTAGGTGTAACATTTACGTCTTTAATCCATCTTGAATTAATTTTTGTATAAGATGTAAGGAAGGGATCCAGTTTCAGCTTTCTACATATGGCTAGCCAGTTTTCCCGGCACCATTTATTAAATAGGGAATCGTTTCCCCATTTCTTGTTTTTGTCAGATTTGTCAAAGATCAGATAGTTGTAGATGTGTGGTATTATTTCTGAGGGCTCTGTTCTGTTCCATTGGTCTATATCTCTGTTTCGGTACCAGTACCATGCTATATCTGTGTTTTGGTTACTGTAGCCTTGTAGTATAGTTTGAAGTCAGGTAGCGTGATGCCTCCAGCTTTATTCTTTTGGCTTAGGATTGACTTGGCGATGCGGGCTCTTTTTTGGTGTCATTTGAACTTTAAAGTAGTTTTTTCCAATTCTGTGAAGGAAGTCATTGGTAGCTTGATGGGGATGGCATTGAATGTATAAATTACCTTGGGCAGTATGGCCATTTTCACGATATTGATTCTTCCTATCCATGAGTATGGACTGTTCTTCCATTTGTTTGTGTCCTCTTTTATTTCGTTGAGCAGTGGTTTGTAGTTCTTCTTGAAGAGGTCCTTCACATCCCTTGTAAGTTGGATTCCTAGGTATTTTATTCTCTTTGTAGCAATTGTGAATGGGAGTTCAGTCATGATTTGGCTCTCTGTCTGTTATTGGTGTATAGGAATGCTTGTGATTTTTGCACATTGATTTTGTATCCTGAGACTTTGCTGAAGTTGTCTATCAGCTTAAGGAGATTTTGGGCTGAGACAATGGGGTATTCTAGATATACAATCATGTCATCTGCAAACAGAGACGATTTGACTTCCTCTTTTCCGAATTGAATACCCTTTATTTCTTTCTCCTGCCTGATTGCCCTGGCCAGAACTTCCAACAGTATGTTGAATAGGAGTGGTGAGAGAGGGCATCCCTGTCTTGTGCCAGTTTTCAAAGGGAATGCTTCCAGGTTTTGCCCATTCAGCAGGATATTGGCTGTGGGTTTGTCATAGATCGCTCTTATTATTTTGAGATACATCCCAATAGTACCTAATTTATTGAGAGTTTTTAGCATGAAGGGTTGTTGAATTTTGTCAAAGGCCTTTTCTGCATCTATTGAGATAATCATGTGGTTTTTGTCTTTGGTTATGTTTATATGCTGGATTACATTTATTGATTTGTGTATGTTGAAGCAGCCTTGCATTCCAGGGATGAAGCCAACTTGATCATGGTGGATAATCTTTTTGATGTGCTGCTGGATTCCGTTTGCCAGTATTTTATTGAGGATTTTTGCATCGATGTTCATCAGGGATATTGGTCTAAAATTCTGTTTTTTTGTTGTGTCTCTGCTAGGCTTTGGTATCAGGATGATGCTGGCCTCATAAAATGAGTTAGGGAGGATTCCCTGTTTTTCTGTTGATTGGAATAGTTTCAGAAGGAATGGTACCAGCTCCTCCTTATAACTCTGGTAGAAGTTGGCTGTGAATCCTTCTATTCCTGGACTTTTTTTGGTTGGTAAACTATTAATTATTGCCTCAATTTCAGAACCTGTTATTGGTCTATTCAGGGATTCAACTTCTTCCTGGTTTAGTCTTGGTAGGGTGTATGTGTCGAGGAATTTATCCATTTCTTCTAGATTTTCTAGTTCATTTGCATAGAGGTGTTTATAGTATTCTCTGATGGTAGTTTGTATTTCTGTGGCATCAGTGGTGATATCCTCTTTATCATTTTTTATTGCGTGTATTTGATTCTTCTCTCTTTTCTTTTTTATTAGTCTTGCTAGCAGTCTATCAATTGTGTTGATCTTTTAAGAAAACCAGCTCCTGGATTCATTGGTTTTTTGGAGCATTTTTTGTGTCTCTATCTCCTTCAGTTCTGCTCTGATCTTAGTTATTTCTTGTCTTCTGCCAGCTTTTGAACGTGTTTGCTCTTGCTTCTCTAGTTCTTTTAATTGTGATGTTAGGGTGTCAATTTTAGATCTGTCCTGCTTTCTGTTGTAGGCATTTAGTGCTATAAATTTCCCTCTACGCACTGCTTTGAATGTGTCTCAGACATTCTGGTATGTTGTGTCTTTGTTCTTATTGGTTTAGCTACAAAGAAGCTTCTTAAATTTTAAAAAGCCCGCTCTATAATCTGATTGGTCAGTTTTTGTTCCATCATCAGTAGGTGGTTTCTCCGCGTTTAAGCCATTTAGGCGCCAGCTACTTCGGCGTTACTAATCTGCTCGGCATTAATGTAATATGCTATCCACACACAAGCCAAGATAGTAGCAAGTTTCAAGATGGGGTACATTACATGCCAATTTGATACGACCGTGTTTATTTTAAATGCTGCCTTATCATATACTAAATTATATATTCTTGAGTCTAAATCCAGACTTTGTACTGTGTTCCTTTTAGCTATTGCTCTTTGCCAATACCAAGTGTTTTGTTTTTTCTATCTTTATAATGGCATTGATGTTGGGACCGGTCTTCCCTCATTCGTCTTTATCAAAAGTATCTTAGTATCACCTGTTATTCCAGGTATATCTTTGAGTCCTTTTGCCAGTTTATTTTTAAATAATATTTTGATTGGAACAGAATAAAAATTATAATTACATTTACATAAAATAGAAATTTTTACTTTGATTATTCCTAAATACATTCTGTTGTTGTTTACTATAATAAATATGCCCACTTTTTACCATACTGAACCTCTAATTAGTTCTAAAAAGATATAGAATGAATTTTCTCACGTTTTCTCGGTATATAAGAATGTAATCTACAGATAATTACATATCTTATAAGGAATTACACATTGTTATTACACATATGTGTATATTCATTTGTTTATTTATTTATAGGAACTAGAGCTCATATATTTTAATATGGCTTCACCGCTTACCAGCTGTGATACTTTACATCTCTTAACCTCAACTTTCTTTAAAACTGAGAGACAGTTACTTACCACACAAGGTGATTTGGACCATCAAAGAATCACATGAGTTCATTTAGACAAAATGCTTAGAACAATGCCTATCACATAATAAGCACTATAAAGGGTTTTTTGTTGCTGCTGCCATTATTAATATTATTTTATTGGCCGCAACTTCAAAAGAAAAGAGAAATAATAGTGGTGTAAGTAAACATCTTTATTTTGCTCTTTATCTTAGGGATGATAGCCTTTAGAGATTTCTTTTACATGTTTATTTCATCTATATTTTTACATTATGAAGTATTTAAACTTATAGACATTTTGACATTTTGTAACTTAATTTATTGGTATGTGTATTAGTCCGTTCTCATGCTGCTAATAAAGACATACCCAAGACTGAGTTATTTATAAAGGAAAGAGGTTTAATTGACTCCCAGTTCAGCATGGCTGCAGAGGCCCCAGGAAACTTACAAATGATAACAGAAGAGGAAGCAAACACATCCTTCTTCACATGGCAGCAGGGAGAAAAATGAGTGTTGCGTTAGTCCATCTTCATGCTGCTGATAAAGACATACCTGAGACTGCGCAATTTTACTAAAAAAAGAGGTTTATTGGACTTACAGTTCCACATGGCTGGGGAGGCCTCACAATCATGGCAGAGGGCAAGGAGGAGCAAATCACATCTTATGTGAATGGCGGCAGACAAAAAGAGAGCTTGTGCAGGGAAACTCTGCCTTATAAAGCCTTCAAATCTCATGAGACTTATTCACTATCAAAAGAACAGCATGGGAAAGACCTGACCCCATGATTCATTTACCTCCCACCAGGCGCCTCCCACAATATGTGGAAATTCAAGTTGAGATTTGGGTGGGAACACAGCCAAACTGTATCATTATGCCCCTGGCCCTTCCAAATCTCATGTCTTCACATGTCAAAACCAATCATGCCTTCCCAACAGTCCCCCAGAGTCTTAACTCATTTCAACATGAACTCAAAGTCCACAGTCCAAAGTCTCATCTGAGACAAGGCAAGTCTCTTTCACCTATGAGCCTGTAAAATCAAAAGCAAGTTAGTTACTTCCTAGACACAATGGGAGTACAGGAATTGGGTAAATATAGCCACTCTAAAGGGGAGAAATTAGCCAAAACAAGGGGCTACAGGCCCCATGCAAGTCCAAAATCAAGTAGGGGAGTCACATATTAAAGCTTCAAAATGATCTCCTTTGACTCCATGTCTCACGTCTGGGTCACGCTGGTGCAGGAGATGGGTTCCCATGGTCTTGGGCAGCTCCACCCCTGTGGCTTTGCAGTGTACAGCCTCCCTCCCAGCTGCTTTCACAGGCTGGTGTTGGGTGTCTGTGGCTTTTCCAGGCACACGGTGCAAGCTGTCGGTGGATCTGCCATTCTTGGGTCTGGCAGATGGTGCCCCTCCTTTCACGGCTCCACGAAGTGGTGCCCCAGTAGGGACTCTGTGTGGGGGCTCCAACCCCACATTTCTCTTCCACACTGCCCTAGTAGAGGTTCTCCATGAGAGCCCCACCCCTGCAGCAAACTTCTGCCTGGACACCCAGGCATTTCCTTACATCTTCTGAAATCTAGGTATAGGTTCCCAAACCTCTATTCTTGACTTCTGTGCACCCACAGGCTCAACACCATGTGGAAGCTGCCAAGGCTTAGAGCTTGCACCCTCTGAAGCCACAGCCTGAGCTGCATCTTGACCTCTTTTAGTCATGGCTGGAGTAGCTGGGATGCAGGGCACCAAGTCCCTAAACTGCACACAGCACAGGGACCCTGGATCTGGCCCACAAAACCATGTTTTCCTTCTAGGCCTCCAGGTCTGTGTTGGGAGGGGCTGCTGTGAAGACCTCTGACATGTTCTGGAGACATTTTCCCCATTGTCTTGGGGATTAACATTTGGCTCCTGGTTACTCATGCACATTTCTGCAACTGACTTGAATTACTCTTCAGAAAATGGGATTTTCTCTTCTATTGGATTGTCAGGCTACAAATTTTCCAAAATTTTATGCTGTGCTTCCCTTATAAAACTGAATGCCTTTATCAGCACCCAAGTCACCTCTTGAATGTGTTGCTGCTTAGAAATGTCTTCTGCCAGATACCCGAAATCATCTCTCTCAAGTTCAAAGTTCCACAAATCTCTAGGGCAGGGGCAAAATGTCACCAGTCTCTTTGCTAAAACATAACAAGAGTCACCTTTGCTCCATTCCCACCAAGTTCCTCATCTCCATCTGAGACCACCTCAGCCTGGATTTCATTGTCCATATCATTATCAGCATTTTAGTAAAGCCATTCAGGAAGTCTCTGTGGAGTTCCAAACTTTCCCATATTTTCCTGTCTTCTTCTGAGCCCTCCAAACTGTTCCAACCTCTTCCTGTTACTCAGTTCCAAAGTCACTTCCACATTTTTGGGTATAATTTCAGCAATGCCCCTGGCACCAACTTACTGTATTCATTTGTTTTCAGGCAACTGATAAAGACATACCTGAATCTGGGCAATTTTACAAAAGAAAGAGGCCTATTGGACTTACAGTTCCAAGTGGCTGGGGAGGCCTCACAGTCATGGCGGAAGGCAAGGGAGAGTTCGTGACATCTTACATGAATGGTGGCAGGCAAAAAGAGAGCTTGTGCAGGGAAACTCTGCCTTATAAAGCCATCAGATCTCGTGAGACTTATTCACTATTAAGAGAACAGCATGGGAAAAACATGCCCTCATGATTTAATTACTTCTCACAGGGTACCTCCCACAGCATGTGGGAATTTAAGATGAGATTTGGGTGGGGACACAGCCAAACCATATCAGTGTCCAGCAAAGGGGGAAGCCCCTTATAAAACCACCAGATCTTGTGAGAACTAACTCACTATCATGAGAACAATATAGGGGAATCTGTCCCCATAATTCAATTATCTCCACCTATTTTTTCCATGACACATGGGGATTATGGGAACTACAATTCAAGATGAGATTTGGGTGGGAACACATCCAAACCATATTAATATGTATCTCTAAAAAGCAACATTAAAAAAATAAACTGCAATACTATTAAGATAGCAAACAAAAGTAATATCTTCTAAGGCCAGGCACAGTGGCTCATGCCCGTATTCTCAACATTTGCAATACCAAGATGGGCGGATATCTTGATCCCAGGATTCTGAAATTGTGTGCTTATTTACTCGTGGTGTAATTTACTTTCTTTTGATAGCTATTGTATTTTCTATAAACTGGTAGTTCAATCTGAAGGCTTGATTGGATTACAGTTAAAAATATTTTGTGAAAGAGCACCCTACACTACATTATGTGTCATTTCTGGACGTCTGGGAAGCAGATGTCGAGGCATAATTAGAAGTGCAAAAGATTTATTGGGAAAAATGCCTGAGAGGATAGAGGAGAAGGGGAACAAGAGTTTTTATGATCTGCACAAAAATTCTGAAGCTTTTAAAAATATATAAATTATTTAGGATTTGCACCCCATTCTCCTTCATGTCTTCACCTGCTACATTTTCCCCTCAGAAAACCTTAATTGCAAATTTGAATTTCTCTGGGTTTTTGAGTGGGCTATGATCTTTGTCATTTCTAATACTTCCACATGCTATTGGTTCCTTTGCTTGGAATATTCTTTGCATCGTGGTCAATGTGAACTCTTAATTATACTATAAAGATAACTTAAATATCATCTCCTCTAGTAAACTCACCTTCACTTACCTGGAGACTGGTTGACTGATTCTTTCTCTAAATTTCTGTAAATCCTCATATGTATGTGTAGAACAGTGCTTATCTTATGTTTTTTCACGAATTATTTATGTGTTTGTTTCCTCATTTAACTGTGGGTTAGGAAGACTGCAAATATGCCATTTCTTCTGTACATTATTCATGATTAGTACAGAGCTTGATCAATATTAGCTGTTCAAAAGAATGAGTACATAATTCCTCAATGAAGTGTAGTTTCAAAGCCAGTTTCTCTACTCTCTTGCTCTCTGATTAAATATTCATCTTTCAAACTATTACCCAAACTGCATTTTAGGGACAATAAAACACTTAGTTGTTACGCACAAGGGCTGTGAAGCCAAACACCTGCAGTTAAAATCCTCTCTAAGCCACTTACTGTGTGACCCTAACCCCCTTGGCCTTATTTTCTGCATCTGTGAAATAGTAATTAGATTATCAATTTTATATGGTTGCTTCAAGGATTAAATGATATAATAGGTAAGCTTTCAATAAACATTCGTTAGCATTTCCAAAGATCACATCTCATATAAAATCTTTATATTTACTTAGCCCTGTATCACATGCTCCAGCTACATTAACATCACTGTTACCAATATTTCTATTAGCTGGCCGGGCACGGTGGCTCATGCCTGCAATGCCAGCACTTTGGGAGGCCAAGGCGGGCAGATCACGAGGTCAGGAGTTCAAGACCAGCCTGACCAACATGGTGAAACCCCGTCTCTACTAAAAATACAAAAATTAGCTGGGGCATGGTGGTGCATGCTTGTAATCCCAGCTACTTGGGAGGCTGAGGCAGGAGAATCGCTTGAACCCAGGAGGTGGAGGTTGCAGTGAACTGAGATCATGCCACTGCATTCCAGCCTGGGCAACAGAGCGAGACTCCATCTCAGAAAGAAAACCAATCAATTAGCTTATAATTATTTATTATGTTCAATGCATACTTTAATTGATTGTGCACATATTTTGAATCAAGCACTGCTCTAGATATTAGAGATATGGCAGTGAACAAACATTTATTTTTTTTTTCCTTCACGTGGCTTATATTCTGGGGAGAGGGGGCAGGCAATAAGCGAAAATAAATATGCTAAATATATACTATTTGAGATAGTATACATTGAAATGGAGGAAATAATGTAGAACAATGGAGTTCAGGGAATGCTGAGGGGATGTTGTTTTAAATAGGGAGTTCAAGTAAAACCTCACTGAAAAGGTGATATATTTGAGAAAAAACCGCGAGAAAATGAGGGAGCCAGTAATGTAGATATTTGAGGAAAAGCAGTTCAAAACAATAATGAACTGTTTTTCATTCAGAACAAAGGCTGAATTCTTGAAGCAGAAATGTGCTTGGCATATATAGAGAATCATGGGGAGGTCATATTGACCTAAGAAGAATAAGAAACAGGCACAATAATGGAGGCTAAAGTCACAGAGGTAGCAGGTTCCAAATGACATAAAGTGTGTTCTGTTTTTTTTTTGCTTTGAGCGAGCTGGAAAGCCATGGCCAGTTTTGAGTGAAGGAGTGATGTGATAAATTTTTAAAAGATCATTCTAGAAGCTGTGTGCAGAATAAACTATAGATTGATAAGGATGGCGCAGAAATACCAAGTAGGAGTCTATTCCAGTAATCCAGATGAGGGATAATGATGATTTGGTGAGAGTTGTAATGTTAGACATGGTGAGAAGTGGGCCAGTTTGAAAAGTATTTTAAAAGAGCATACAGGATTTGCTGATGAATTGGATTTGGGGTAAAAAAAAAGGAGAGGAGTTGGGCATAATAATAATAGCTAATGCATTTGCACTTAATACATATTCAACACTATTAAATTTTTAAATAAGTATTAGCTAATTTAGTTTTTAGAAACAATGAAGAAATAATTCCTGGAACATATGAGTGCTCAATATTTACTAATTGAGGCACAGAGAGGATAACTAGCTTAGCCCATGCCATGCAGCTAGTAAATAGTGGATCCAAGATTCAAACCGAGACAGTGCAGCTACAGAATTCATGATTTTAAGTACTGCATGATGCATGGATGCTTTGAAAGAATGTTAGGGCCAGGGTCTAGGATCCATGAGAATAAAGGAGGCCAGTGTTTTTGTGAGCTCAGCAGCCAAGAGCAGGAGTGCTGCTAGGAGGCCCAGGGAGATACCTGCTACCCCAAACATTGACTCTTTTCCCTGTGCAGGATGTTAGAAGCCCCCCCAAACTCCAGTAGTGTTCTACAGAGAGATAGTCAATGGACAATTTCTTAATTAGCCATATTTTTTTAAAAATAGGCTTTCAATTTCATCCATACATAGGCATGTGCTTATTTTGCCTAAAAGGGTGTAACACAATTTGTCAACCAAAATGAAATTAATGTGGAAATTTTGTCGTTTGCTGGAATGCCACATTGGGGAATTATTTCATAGTTTTGATGAGTGAGCAGATATTAATTGAGAGACATGGAGTGATCAGAGGAGGTCAGTCAACCTGTCTGTGTTTATCAGCAGCTACTCCTTTATGTTTTATCCGTGTTCTGTAGGGCCAACCACTCAAGAAAGCTCAGGCCTTGGCTTAGCCTCTTCTCAGAAGCTCATAGGAGCTACAGCCATTGCTGAGTGCTCTGGGCATGCTGTATCCATAGTGTACACTCACACCTGGACACAGAGCATGTCCTGGTGCCATGTAAGGGGAGGACAAAAGACCCACTGTCTCACACCAAGCTCTCCTACAATTATGTTTTCTCATCAGTGTAATTATCAAACTGGGAGTGATTTCCACCTCCTTGTTTCTGGGAACATTCTTCAATGTCTGGAGACATTTTTGGTTGCTATAACTGGTGGGAGGTGAGTGCTACTGACAGTGGGTGAAGGCCAGAGATGCTTCTGAATATCCTGCAATGCACAGGAGAGTCTCTGTGCAAAGAATTATCAGGCTTAAAACAATAGTGCTGACGATGAAAACTCTGGTGTAGGATGAAGCCTTCCTTGTCTTAGTTTAGGTTGGGCTATTGGGGTAGGACAGATTACCTCAGAGCTTATAGGACACACAGAAATCTGAATGGGAATAGCTGGGACTATTGGAAAGATGTTAAAGGCCGGGACAGTCAGAAAGTGATTGGCTGAAGAAGAACTCAGCAGAATCCATTTCCCTTGTCTTTTCCATTATTGCTAGGGAAAGAGAGGATGCCAAAACGTGAAGGAATAGTCACCTGGTGCAATAGTAGCCAATGAGAAAATGTTGCTGGTGAGAAAATGATTACAACATATCATAACAATTATTTTTTTAAATAAGAAGCCACAGATGTGTAGCCATTATCTAGCTATCTTCTCTCCTGTTAGCTTCAAGCTCTCTAAACACTTCCCTCCGGGAAAGAGGCAATTAATGGCACCTGCCTTAAAGTTTATTTTTCTTTTACTTCTTTCTCTCTGAGAAACAGGATTTTTTTAACTTGTCCCTTTTCCCTTCCTTCTCTACTAAAATCAAGTTGGTGCTATCTATGTTATAGTTTCAATGTTAAGTGAATATGAAAGTGTCTTATCACTTATACAGTCTTACATCTGTTGAGATCAAGGCATCAGTCATGTTCTTGTGGTGGGAAAGCGCGGTGGCAGGACAAAACAAGCTGCAGATTTCTGATTAACCAGGAAGCTAAAATGCAGTCCGCTGGGAAGTCCGTGCATAGATGCCTGATCTGTCCCAGGAGGTGCAGTAAACCTAACTCTAAAACCACACTCATTTGGCCTCATGAGAAAAATAATGTTAAAAGCTTAATTTCACACAATGAATATCTATTGGTGAAGAGGTCCGAGTCTTCCACGATATAAAAAATGTATTAAAAATGGATGATTACCTAACAGAGACAGGGTTAGTCATCTATGAAATGATTCTCCAAAATAACACTGAAACACGCACGCACGCACACACACACACACACACACACCACATACACATTTTGGGGGAGTAAACCCTTATGAAAGCTTATAAATTAAACTCTGCCAGTCATTTATATACCTACATGAGTGGTTTTATCAGCTCACCTCTGGAAAGCACATTGAATTTGCTATTTGTCACTAAAGGTGGGTTTTAACAGTGTTGATTCAAGACTGCTGGTGACAAGGAAAGATAACTAGTGGTCCTATGACTTAGATGTCTAAAGGATTCAATGAGATGGTTATTAGGGAAGCAAAGTGAAATTGTAGGACAAGCGAGTCTCCTGGCTTCTGGTGAATGAGGAAGTCAGAAGGCAGGCAGTCTGCTGAGAAATGTTCCTGCTTGTTCTGCCAGCCTGACCCGGGTGGTAGAACAAGCAGTGGCCATAAAGACAGTTGGCTAATCTAGGAAAAAAAGCAAAATAATTATGTGATTAAATAATGTTACACAGTTGGGGTTATTTCTCTCCCTCCATAATAGAAATGGGCAAACTATGGCCACTTAAAAGACCAGGGTACAGAGTGACGTCACCAAGATGGCTAACAAGAGTTAAGTGGTGCCCATTTTCTCCACAAAAAGGGACAAAAAACAAATAAACAATTATTTTTTGAGTACAGTGACCGAGGAAGCACTCTGGAGTGGACCAGGGGAGTGGTGAAAACCCCACAGAGCAATGAAATCCAGGACAACACCATAGAGAGGGGAATGAGGAAGCCTGCCTTTGCAACACTGTCTCCCCCATTGGGATCAGCTCAGAGTCAGGAGGAAATTAATCTTACAGTTAAAAGGTAAGCTAGAGATCCACAGTAGTCCTCATTTATGCCACAAACATTAACAATCCTTGCTACAAGAGAGTCCCCCAGTCCTCACAGTCTCTGAATCCAGTTTGGAGAGTAGCTAGGAGTTTGTGTAGCTGCATTGCCTCAGAGTAGGAGCTCAACATGAGCACCCTGCGCACCAGCGACCTAAACTGCTATGACTCAGCACCATCTTGAAATGGACCCACTAATACAGTGCATCCTGCTCTGGGGACCAGTAGCAACGGACTCTCTTCATCTCTGAGGTCCCACCATCGTGCACCAGGTGCATATGGTTGCCTGCAGCATCACGACCCCAGCTGCCCAGAGCCTAGGCCAGACTGAATGACTGAGACCTTGACATCCAAAACTGCATGGCTACCCCACGCCCTCAGGAAACAAGCAGACCTGCACAGCATGCCGGGAGCATGACAAAGCTGAAATGGTGTGTTATTCATTGAACATTGAAAGGTGGTTTCTGATGAAATAAAGAGTCATTTCAATAATTCTGAGCATTTTTTTTGCCACATCTAACTGAAAAGCAACAATGCATTCAGTTGTTGTGGAATCCAGGATGTTTAAAAAATTCAAATTTTATTATCAGTATAAATTGATGCATAATTTATAAGTGTATTGCTGATTAAAGTAAAACAGGTAAGGTATAAACAGGCCTTCCTGACAATCAGCACTTTGTTACTGCTCAAAGTTCCCTGGGTTAATCACACTCTGAATCAAAATCAGATGCTACTATGTGAACTCAAAAGGAAGTGAAATAAAAACACAATTTCCTGAAATAACTACCAGTAAGCATCACAGTAGAAACAGTCCAGGCTCTAAAATCAGAGAAACCTGGATTATAATACTGTTCTCTGCATTTTAGCAATCTTGAGCAGAAAACCTCTCAGAGACTTACTTATTTGTAGTATAGGAATATTATCTTCTAATCCTTTAGTTTATTGTAAAGGTTAAACAATGAGACAATATATGTAAAATGCCTAGCATATAACAGGTACATGCAAATAGTAGCTACTATATAAAATTTATTGATTTGCCTTATTCTCAACTAATTTATCTTCATGTAGAATCTAATGTATAAATTTAAAATAAATTCCCACAGATTGTCTTTTCCTCTTGAGAATTTACGTTTTATTATTTTTGCTATCACAATTATTATTTCTCTTTTATTTTTAAAATTTATTTATTTTTATTATACCTGAAGTTCTAGGGTACATGTGCACAACATGCAGGTTTGTTATATATGTATCCATGTGCCATGTTGGTGTGCTGCACCCATTAACTCATCATTTACATTAGGTATATCTCCTAATGCTATCCCTCCCCTCTCCCCTCACCCCGCAACAGGCCCCGGTGTGTGATGTTCCCCTTCCTGTGTCCAAGTGTTCTCTTTGTTCAATTTCCACCTATGAGTGAGAACATGCGGTGTTTGGTTTTTTGTCCTTGCGATAGTCTGCTGAGAATGATGGTGTCCAGCTTCATCCATGTCCCTACAAAGGACATGAACTCGTCCTTTTTTATGGCTGTATAGTATTCCATGGTGTATATGTGCCACATTTTCTTAATCCAGTCTATCACTGATGGACATTTGGGTTGGTTCCAAGTCTTTGCTATTGTGAATAGTGCCACAGTAGTATTTTAATTGATCAGTTTATGATGATTTGGAGAATTGTCCAGAAACTAAACAATCCTGACATTTCAGAAAGAGTAGCTGTGTTGTGAGCTACTCATTCACAAAGGACATTGCAGGAGACAAGAAGTGTTCATTGTTATTTCCAGCCTCATGTTTTCCTTTTAGTTCATTGCCTTTGTCTGGGCTACCATAACAGAATACCTGAGACGGGGTAATGTATAAAGAACAGAAATTTATTTCTCACAGGTCTGGAGGCTGGGAAATTCCAGATGAAGGCACCAACATCTGATGGGGACCTTCTTGCTGTGTCCTCAATAGTGGAAGGCAGAAGGGCAAGAGAGGAAGAACTTCCTCTGTCAAGCCCCTTTAAAAGGGCACCTAATCCCATTCGTGAGAGAGGAGCCCTCAAGGCCTAATTATATCTTAAAGGCTCCACCTCTTAAAACCATCACACTGGCAACACCAAAATTTTGGAAGGGACATACTCAAATCATAGCAGGTATTGAAACATAGATAGAGAAATGCAACTTAAATTGTTGGGAAAAAGAAGACTACATGCTGTATAATTGTATTTGTGTAAACTGTATAAACAGGTAAAGCTAATATAATCTGTTAGACTCAGAATAATTGTGACCCTAGGTGGAAAAGGCTGTGTATGTGTGCGTGTGTGTGTGTGTGTGTGTGCACGTTCGTGTATGTATTGGGAGGGTTAGTGAGTGAAAACCTCTGGGGTGCATGAAGAGGACCAGTGATGGTGATATCTTATTCTTAATCATGGTGCAAGTTACATGGGGTTCATTCAATTTGTGAAAATTCAGCAAGATAAATCCTCCTAATGTGTTTGATTCTCTGTATATGTACTATATTAAATACAAACTTTTAAATACAGGATCATGGCAAAAACATTATATTTATAATTACATATTTTTTAGAATAGTTGAAAAAAGAAAGAGAACTAAAAATTACCCAAAATTCTATCTCCAAATTATAGCCAGTGCTGACATTTTATTTTATTATTCTGCTATTATTACTCTTTTTAAACAAAACTAGAGTCGTGGTACATGTGGATTGTATCCTACTTTTGATACTATATATTATTTTTTGTAAATTCTGAATGTCATGAAATATGTTTTGAAAATATGATTTATAATACCGATGTAGTATTGCATTATATGGATATGCCATATCTTATTTTACTAGTCTCATCTGCATAGAATTTAAGTTGTTTTCTTGGTTTTGTATTTTTTTTTTTGAGATGGAGTCTGGCTCTGTCGCCCAGGCTGGAGTGCAGTGGCGCCATCTCGGCTCACTGCGACCTCCACCTCCTGGGTTCAAGCGATTCTCCCACCTCAGCCTCTCAAGTAGCTGGGATTACAAATGTGCACCACCATGCCCGACTATTTTTTGTATTTTTAGTAGAGACAGGGTTTCACCATGTTGGCCAGGCTGGTCTCAAACTCCTGACCTCAAGTGATCCGTCCGCCTTGGCATGCCAAAGTGCTGGGATTATAGTCGTGAGCCACCGCACCTGGCTGTTTTCATGGTTTTTTGCTCATAAATAATGCTATTATCAACAATATTGTACATAAGTCTGTGTCTCTCTGAACATTTCCTTAAAATAAATTCTTATTAGTGAAATTACTGAGTCCAGAGGTATAAATTCCTTAAGCTTTTAATAAATATTATCATTTTCCTCTCAAAAAATCCTGTGAAAATTTACCAGCAGTATTCAAAGGTACCAGTTTCTCTGCACCATTATCATCACAAGATGATACAGTTAATATTTATCAACATTTTACTAGCTCTGTCTTCTACCAAGTTCCTTTCCTCATGTAACTCTAGAAATCCCAAAGGAATCTGTCCATGTTTCACTCATCCAGCTTGTTCTCATTTTTTATCTCAACCAGTTGTCTGATTCCAGCTTGTTATCTCCTTACTGCCAGCTCCCAACTTGCTTCCATTGCTCAGCTGCCATTCTTGCCTTTACTGTTTTTCCACAAGTATAGAAAAAGGCCTTTTCTTCAGTTCTCTACAGCGTAAGATGAGGCTGTGTTGAAACAATTTAACCAGACTTTAACAAAGGCTTGGAGAAAACATAAAAGTTTCAAATTCCAGATATGTAAAATTGTGTTGTAGTTATAGATATTCTAATACCCCTAAGCCTCAAACCTTTCAATCAAAGTCACAGGAAGTTCTTAGGTTGATTCTGACACCTTGCAATTATATCTGTAATCTCTTACTGTTATCCAGCTACCATTTTTCAGGGAGCAGTTCAACTCCTCTACAGAAGAATGACCTTGAACATGTGTCCTATAACAGGTAACCACGACTCCAGCTTGTATAGATTTATCGTATGTGTGATGGCAGTGCAGCATTTTAAAAATCTAGTAATATTTCTGCATTTAGTGACATCACGTTGAAATCAACCATGGTGGGAATATTTACACTAGGGAAATTTAAAAATGCTTCAAATAAGGGCTAGTTTATTGTTTTTCTGATCGTCTACACTTAAAAATATGATGGAGAAAATGTTAACAATGCAGATTAAACCTAAAAGGGTGTCATGGCTGTAGGCATTGCATTGTGAATAGTAAAAAACTGAGAAAATATCTTTCCACTATTTGAAAACTACTATCTGATTCAATGAAGAAGCTATTCCTGTCATTGATGAACCAGTGATGTTCCAACATATATCTTTGTTGTTTCACTTTTATCTTACTCATTAAAACACATACAAATATCAACCAACATTTATGTGGAAACTAAACACATGGCTGGGCGTGGTGGCTCACGTCTGTAATCCCAGCACTTTGGGAGGCCGAAGTGGGCGGATCATTTGAGGCCAGGAGTTCGAGACCAGCCTGGTCAACATGGTGAAACCCCATCTCTACTGAAAATACAAAAGTTAGCTGGGCTTGGTGGTGCATGCCTGTAATCCAGTCCCAGCTTATCGGGAGGCTGAGGCAGAAGAATCGCTTGAACCCGGGAGGCACAGGTTGCAGAGAGCGAAGATCCCGCCACCGCACTCCAGCCTGGGCGACAGAGTGAGGAGATTCCATCTCCAAAAATGAAAAAAAAAAAAAAAAAGAAAAGAAAAGAAACTAAACACATTTATCAGCTGCAGCCATAGTTTGGTTATGGAAACAAGAGTTTGGCAAAATTCAATAAAAGCATTTTGTAAGAATCAATAGGTTCTTCGATATTTTCAAAAAAGTGTTATATATTTGAGTAATATTTGTAAATTATATGCTAGTACTTCTTTAAAACAATAAACCTTAAATATAAATATGTGTGCATATGTATACTGGTGGGTGTCACACCACTCACACCCATATGCAGTATTTTTGTTTTAATATAAAACTGGGTGTTAAGGAATTGCTGGTGCACTATTGACATAGAACCTATGTGACATTCTGGATTTTAATTATTGTGAGATACGAAGGCATGGAGGGGGTTTTTAGGAGAGGAAATAACATAATTTAACTTATGATTTAACAGGATGTAACAGGATCACTATAGCTTGCATGTTAAGGACAGACTGAGAGCACAGTTGTAGACATAGGAAAACCTAGGAGGCTACTGGCAATATTCCAGGTCATAGACTATGGTGGCTGAAACCAGGATAGTATGAGTAGGGATAGCGAGAAGTTGTCAGCTCTTGCATATATTTTGAAGTTAGAATCCACAGGATTGTTGATGGATTAAATGTACATTTTGAAAAGAAAAGTGGAATTAAAAATTAGTCCAGGCTGGGCACTGTGACTCAAGTCTGTAATCCCAGCACTTTGGGAGGCCGATGTTGGTGGATCATGAGGTCAGGAGTTCAAGACCAGCCTGATCAACATAGTGAAACCCTGTCTCTACTAAAAATACAAAAAAGTGGCCAGGCATGGTGGTGCACACCTGTAGTCCCAGCTACTCGGGAGGCTGAGGCAGGAGAATCGCTTGAACCTGGGAGGCGGAGGTTGTGGTGAGCCGAGATCACGCCACTGCACTCCAGCTTGGACAACAGAGTGACACTCCATTTCAAAAAAAAAAATAGTCCAAGGTTTTCGGCCTAAGCAACAGGAAATTTGGAATTACCATCCACTGTAGAAAAGACTAAGAGTAGATAGGGAAGACTAACAGACTAAATTTTGATTGATACTTGTATTACATTAATCCTCAGATTAGAGGAGATTGTCAAAAACTCATTTTTGGATGTTTTAAGGTGCCTGTTAAACCTTTAAGTGGTGGTGTTGATTAGGCAGTTGGATATAAGAATGTGCATTTCAGTTTAGACTATAGACATAAATCTGGAAGTCATCAACAGATAAATGTCTAAAGTCATGTGACTGAATACAATCAGCTTGTGAGTAAAACTAGACAGGAAAGCAAAATAATTCAAGTCCTGGAACTGAAATATTCTAACGTGTAGGGGGCAGAGTATGAAGAAGAACTAGGAAAAGAGACATGCAAGACTGGTCGAAAACGCAGGGAAAACAAAATGAGTGTGATGTCTTAGAAGCCAGGTGAGAAGAGTATTTTAAGAAATCAGGAGTCATCAGCTGTGTCATATCCTGCTGATGGCTCAAATAAGACGAAGACAGAAATAATCACTGCATCTAGCAATAGAAATACTATTTGGCAACCTGGGATAAGAGCAGTTTCAGTGGAGTGGTGTGGTAAAAAGCTTATTTGGATAGTTCAACAGAAAACAAGAAGAGATACAATTCTGGCAAGGAATACAGACAGCTGTTTCAAGGAGTTTTTCTGTCAAGAGAAAAAGAAAATGGGACATTTGTTGCAGGTTAAAATGAGGTACAGTTGGAGCTTTTTTGTGAACACAGTGAGAGCAATATTGAAATGTCTGTATGCTAAAGGCAATGATCTAGCAGAGAGGTGTTGTTTTTGGTCTGTTTTATGTTGCCATAATAAATTTCCATAGATTGGAAAATGTATAATAAAAATTTATTTGTGTTACAGTTCTGCAAGCTACGAAGACCAAGACCATGGCCCTGGCATCTAGGCAGGGAGCTTCATGCTGTGTCATCTCCTGGTGAAAGGCAGAAAGGCAAGATAAGGTGAGGTTAAGCCACTCTCATGATAACTAACTGACTCCAGTAATAATGACATTAATTTATTCATAAAAGCAGAGCCCTCCTGACTCAATCACCTCTTATTACACCCCACCGCCCAACACTATTGCACTGGGAACCAAGTTTTCCACGTATGAACTTTGGGAACACATTCAAATGATAGCAGGGAAGAATTTGATGATGCAGACGAGAAAGGGGATATTGCTTGAATAGGCAATAAGGGACAGAACCTAGTGTGTAAATGGCAGTGAGCTCTGTAGTTAGTCAGGATCATGGACAATTACACATAGCAACAAGAAAGAAGGTAGAATACATGGCCATAGTCACAGGTGGGTGTCTAGATGAAGAAGTAAGAGCTTTGGAAAATTTTGGCTGTTTCTATCTTTTGCAGAGGATGAGCATGGGCAAAGAGCTTTTAAAAAATGGAAAAGAGAAAAGAAAGTATAATATGGCCCTCTAGGTGAGTGGAAAAGTATGTTCTAGGGAGATGATATGGTTTGGCTGTGTCCCCACCCAAAATCTCATCTTGAATTGTAATCTCCATAATCCACATGTGTCAAGGGCAGGACCAGGTGGAAGTAATAGGATCATGGGGGAGGTTTCCCTCATACTGTTCTCATGATAGTGAGTGAGTCTTACAGGATCTGATGGTTTTATCGGTGTCTGGCATTTCCCCTATTTGTACTCATTCTTTGTCCTGCCTCCCTGTGAAGAGGTGCCTTCCACCATGATTATAAGTTTCCTGAGGCCTCCCCAGCCATGCGGAACTGTGAGTCAATTACATCTCTTTTCTTTATAAATTACGCTGTCTCAGGTACTTATTCATAGCAGTGTGCGAATGGAATAATACAGGAGGTGGGATTGGATGTCTTTCACATAACTGAAATCTATATACTAAAAATTAAATCCCAACTTGCCTTCACCTGCATTACTATTCAGTGCTAATTAGTATCTAAAATTCTTTGAGTAGGACACTAGGCTAAGCACTGTATCATTATCTTATTTGATCTTCACCATAACTCTTATTTGTCAGAGATAGCTGGTTTTCACATTTTACAGATGAGGCAATTGAACCTGTGAGATTATATATATATATATATATATATATATATATATACACACACACACACATATATATGTGTATATATATATGTATACACATATATATGTGTATATATATATATATGTATACACATATATATGTGTATATATATATGTGTATACATATATATATATATATATATATATGTATATGTATACACATATATATACATTTACCAAACTATTAAGTGGCAGTAACATTACTCAAATTCAGTGTATATTCACGGTCATAGTCCTTAACTACATAGAGAGCCATATAGAACATTATCAGAACTCTAGATTTTACTCAGCATGAAATGTATGTTTTATACTACAATGATATCTCAGTTGCCCAAGTAAGTATTTGAGAAGTCACTCTGGTAGGCAGAAAAGTTGACCCTGCCTGCAGATATCTATGTCCTAATCCCTGTAATCTATAAATCTGTTACATTACATGGCAAAGAGGAATTAGGGTTACAGATGGAATTAATGTTGCTAATCAACAGATAGGAAAATTATCTGGGTATGGCCAAAGTAATCAGACGGGTTCTTAAAAGTGAAATAAGCGTACAGAATAAAAGATAATTAAAGAGATGGCACTGTGAGAGGCCATGGTCTGACATTGCTGGCTTGAAGACGGAAAATGGGGCCATGAGCCAGGAAATGTGGGTGGCCTCTGGAAGTTGGAAAAGGCAAATAATCCAGATTTTCCCCTACAGTCTTCAAAAGGAATATAGCTCTATGTACTTTGATTTTTGTCCAATGGGATCCATTAATACTTCTGACTCCCAGAATTGTATGATAATACGTTTTTGCTATTTTAAGCCACTAAGTTTGTGGTAATTTGTTACAGCAACACTAGGAAACTGATAGTCATCATTAACTTTTCTTTGTACCTCTCCACCATTTCTATCAAAGTCATAATGAAAATTTGTGTGGGTTTTATCTTTAATTTTTGTTGGCTTATCACTCCCTCACCACCATGTTGTCTTAGAAAGGATTTAATGTTCTTACTGGGTTAATATCTTCAAAAAAGTTCATCTTTTCTAGCTTTATTTTCGTTTAATTCAGTACCTCATTTTCTCTCCACTGAATATTTGTGGTATTATCTTTGCTAGTTTTCTTGCCTTCTACACTTATGCCTTGGTCCACATTTGTGCAAAGTGATCTATCATTCTAAAATGCATGCAATGACACAGGGGAGTATGTAGAAGTAGAAGAGAGGTGCTTTAGTGAGAGCCACCAGCGTGAAGGAAGTTGGTTTTTTACCCCGTTTCCATGTGAGATTTGTTTTATTTAGATCATTCATTATGCATTAACTTACTCTTGCTATTGCTTACAGACAGGATACTTTACTTTTAGAAACTACAAGTGCAAAGCACAGGAATGTAGATGCTCACCACAACTTAGAGTTATGTGGGTGCTTCTCTGCTTCCTGTTCTCATCACGGGACATTACAGTGCAAGAGAGAGGACTTTTGACATTCCTAGTTAAGAAACCATTCATAAGCAGCAAAAAGAAAAACCATTAATCCAACTTATTCCTAAATCCTAATAATCTGTATTCAAATTGTTTATTTAGCATTATAGAATGAAGACTGAACTTGGAATCTTAAACATGGAAGGTGAATTCTACCTTTAACTCTTATTGCATATATGTCCTCATTACAAGTCACTCCACCTGTCAAACCTGTTTCCTCATCTGGAAAAATGAATGTAGAAAGGAAATTAACTTGGGTTGGGAGCTGGGCTACAGACGTATGTACATTGTCTCATCTAATCTCCAGAAAAAAGCAAAGAACCATTAGTGCACAGACTTGTCTTTTCACTCTTCTATCTAAAAAACCAAAAACTTTGGTGAATTATAATAATAGAAGAGGCTGAAATATGAACTCTGAATAACTGTGAACCTTAGCTGTAATTCTGGGAGGCAATATCCATTTCTCCCAAAGGACATCAGGAAACCTGGCATCTAGTAACTACTTTGTTGTTGACAAGATGTGTGACTTTAGACAAGCTATGTGCTCCCATTTCTGCCACCTTCTTAAAATGAGAGGATTGGATTATTTCTACAAACCCTTCCCTTTGATATTCTATGCCGGGAATTGGCAACTATCTTCTACAAAGGGCCAGATAGTAAATATTTTAGGCTTTGCAGACCATAATGTCTCTGTCAAAACTACTCAACTCTATCTGTACAGAACAAAGACAGCTGTAGATAATATGTAAATTAATTGGCATGATTACATTAGAGTAAAACTCTACTTACAAAACAGATTGTGGCCTGAATTTAGCCCAGAGAACTTAGTTTGATGAGCCCTGGTCTATGGAGCAATGAAGAATTTTGTGTGTGACCAATTCCACTCTTCCTGTTTCTGTTTGGATCAATATAGTCAGAACTAATTTTGTTCATGCCTCGCCTAAAGATGTCTCTCTGTTGAAGTGGAGTTTACTTATGTGCTTCAATCTTTTTTGTTTCAGTCAGAATTAAGCTGAGAATTTTGAGAAGTAAATAGACAGGTTTTTGGCTGTAGCTTATTAAGAACAGCATTGGCTATCTTAAGCATACATGAATACTATCATGTTCTACATATGAACATGACAGAAATGAAGAAAACATTAATGAATAAAAGTTATATGATAGTTATGAATTTGGATAGATTTAAGATCCTACTCTCACCTATTTGTTCCAATTTTTATGTGTGATTACATTATCACAGCATCCTAGCCAGTATATTGACACCAATCAAAATACACATTGGATTGTGTTTTAAGTTATCAAATGTATTGCTTTTATGAAATGCACAGAGATCTTTAATGAGGCTTCTTAGCTATAGGAGAATGTTTCACAAAGGATGGGGAACAGAGGGGAATTAAGAATTTTCATGTATTTCTGAGGATGGTAGATGGACAAATGGCCTGTTAAAGGTATTTGATTAGGTTAAGCAACCATCACAGGAAAGTGACTTGGAAATCACTGTTGAAGCCAGCATTTGAACAATAATATAACTTTAGGTCTGTGTACTCTAAGTTTTTCTTTATGTATGGCTTGGCCAGTTCAACAATGGCATTACTTTAGTATTACTAAAGCATTAGTATTACTAAAGCATTACTTTAGAACTTTCTTTTCTTTTGCTCTTGTTTAATTCAGCTAGCTCTTTGTGCTAAAGATGAATCTGATGGCAATGTGTATCACCAAAGGTTTTCATCACAGCAAGAAGTACTTCTGAAGCTGGAGGAAGCTTTGGGCACATTGACAAATATCCCCAAAGCAAGACTGCAGTATGGGCTCCTAAATCAGCAAGTGTTTTGATATTTGCGTGTTCTCTTTATTTTCTATTCTCATTGTTTCTTTCTGTTCTGCTATACCTTCAACTTCACTTGCTCAGTGACTTCAGTCATAGAAGATATTCAGAGGGCATGGGCAGATGGTGAATTCACCAGGGAGTTTATGCAATTCTCTGATTCATTTCATCATTCTAGAATTATACAGAAATAAGCCCAGTATGAGCTTAAGCATATTCTGCCTTGAAGAATGAAAAAAAAAACACACCAAAAATGATTAAAACATAAATTTGAGTAGTCTTCTATTTGCCCTGTAGAATATTTCTAATTAGATTTAATTGAATTCTGTCAGTTCCTTACCCCTGATAGCTGCATTTTTCAGTTCTGGATAACATTTTTATCAGTGTTTGTTTTTTTTCTGATAATGACATTTTTCTCATGATTTTTTATCTGATCAACCTTTCATGAATTTTATAAATAAATATGTATTTATTGTATGAGCTTCAACATTATTGTGCTTACTTTTGACATGATCCATTTTGTTATTACAACCTGGTGCCGTGTAAAGAATCTGTCAATTCCACTGGTTCTCAATGAGTTGCAGTTTTATCCCATGTCACACATTTGGAAATGTTTGGAGACATTTGTGGCTCTCACAACCTGGGGTGAGAGGAGACAGGGAGAGATACTAGTTGCATCTAATGGGTACGTGTCAGGGATTTTGCCAGTGGTCTTGCTATGCACAGTCCAGACCCTCACCCCCAGTAAGGAAAAAAAAAATATCCAATTCAAGTTACCAATAGTGTCCAGGTCTAAAAAATTCAGGTCTGGTCTAAAAGCATGTAAAAATTTACACAGATAATTCAAGCAATTCTATATCATAGCACAAATCTTTAACATGCCATAAGTCCTTACAGTACATATGGGAAAGTTTTACAGGAAAGTGCTAGAAGCTTTGTTTCTGATGGTATTCAATCTACTCTTATATTAAGAAAATTGCAAAGTAGAGAGTCTTACAATGCACCCAAATTAATATATTTTTCCTTGAGAAATGACCAGGAGGATTTGATTAAGAATATATATTTTTGTTTGTAGTTATCTTCGTAGTTATATCTGCACAGAACATTTTTTTTCTATTAATTGCTGTCAGTCATTCTATTCCATTTCTTTGCTACCCATACTTGAGTAATAGAGGAGCTGCCATATTAATTCAATATAAGCTTTGACCCTGGAAATTTGGGGAAAGACATTGGGAGTGAGAATCTACTCTCTCTTTCTTTCCCTATGGTGACTAAACCTATAATACACAATGTACCAGATATTTCTAAGGCCGTACTTTTGATTACATGAATTGAAGAAGCACTGAAGATCTAGAGGGAGACAGAGATAAACAAAAAGAGGAAGAAGTTGTGTAATAAGCTCTTCTGTGCATTATGAATGTATTTTCCACTCTGGCACATTTTCAAAAGTAGGAAATGAAAAATAAAGTTGCTTTGTGCATATTGGCAATGATAGACTGTTGTTTCTTTCTTTCTTTCTTTCTTTTTTTTTTTGAGACGGAGTTTCGCTCTTGTTGCCCAGGCTGGAATGCAATGGCGCCATCTCGGCTCACCGCAACCTCCGCCTCCCGGGTTCTAGCGATTCTCGTGCCTCAGTCTCCTACGCCTGGCTTATTTTTGTATTTTTTAGTAAAGACGGGGTTTCACCATGTTGGTCAGGCTGGTATCGAACTCCCGACCTCAGGTGATCCGCCTGCCTCGGCCTCCCAAACTGCTGGGATTACAGGTGTGAGCCAGTGTGCCCAGCCGACTGTTGTTTCTTTGAATGAGAAACACTGGAAATAGACTTTAATGAGAGAACATGAAGGTCAAGATTATTTTAGCCATACATTCATATATGTGCACAGGAGTGCACACACATGCCTTTACACATTTAAATCCATAATGTATATGTTATCTGCGACTTTGCTACTTTTACTCATGAATGTCTCGTAAATGCCTTTTTATTTCCATTTACATCACTATTTTCGTAGCTGATGAACGGTTCATGGCTTTACAGTTCTTTACTAAGCTATGCTTTTCTTGATTGGAATTTAGGTGGTTTGTTAACAGAGGTTCCCCGATAAAACAATGCTGGAGTGATCATGCTTGTGCAAACTCTTTATGCATTTTTTGCTATCATCTTCAGAAATATTTCTGCAAGATCTGTTAAGCCAAATAATGTTTAATTTAAACAGTTTTGAAGAACAATGCTAATTCACCTTCTGGAAAGGCTGGGACAAGTTGCATTCCCACCAGTGCACAGATATGCCCACATCATACACATTTCCTGAAAGCGGGAGACCTCAGGCTCCTCCATCTTTGTTAATATTTTCTTAATTATCACTATGAAGGGTAAAAAAACCTTCATTTTCATCTAAATTGTTGATAAATAGTGAAGGTGAACATCTTTTCATTTTTACTAACAATTTTCAATTCTTATTTTGGCTTATTCAGTTCTTATTTTGGCATTTTCAATTCTTAATTGGCTTTTCATGTTTGTTGCTCAGTTTTAAAAAATGTTACTCATCTTTTTAGTTTTAATTTATACAAGCTCTTTGAATATTAAGAAAATTAATCTGTCAAATGTATTACACGTATGTTTCCCAGATTGCCTTTTAACTCTCATTATGGTATTTTTTAGCTAAAAAAAAACTTACATTTTTATGTCAACATATTTATCATTTTTTAGAAGTTCTTGGTATGCTAGTGAGGTTTAGAAAGCCATGACCTACATCAAGATTATAAAAAGCATTCATACATAACTCCTTCAACTATAATTTAATTTTTAACATTTAAATATTTGATCTATCTGGAATTGATTTGAGAGCTTTGGAGTGAGGTACTGTAATCAAGCTTAGTAACTAGTGGTTAGGCTATATAATAAGAAAGACTTGTATTAAGGTCTGAGCTCCATCACTTAATTGCCAAGTGACCTTGAAAAAAATCACTTAACCTTTTGAAGCCTGTTTTTTTTTTTTATCTGTGAAAAGGGACAATCATACTCCCTAACTCACAGGTTTGTGATGAAAATGACAGTTCACAGAATTTAGAGCAAATGTTGGAACATATTAAGCATATTATTAATGTTAGCTGGACTTTGTCTTGTTATTATTACTATTCCAAGTAAGTAAACAGTTTTCCCCAAATGATTTATTGATTAGTCTACCTTTTACCTAAAGATTGAAAATGTTTTCTTCAATACATACTTAATTACAATATGTGATTAGATATATGTCTAAATGTCTAAACCCTCTAATCTGCTATATTGTTCTGCCTGCGCATCTGGGTAACGTCTTTTCAATTACAATAGCATTTAGGGTAGTTTTTAATGTCTAGTGGGCAAAGTCCCTGCCATTACTCTACTTTACTTGGTCTTTGTATAGATATTCTTCCATATTATTTCCCTCCAGGTACACTTTGGAACTATTGGGTTGAGATTCACACACACACGGAATCCCATTCAGTAATATTTTTAACTTGTTTTTTAAATGAAAGAACGATATTATAATTATATATTAATTTTGCTGTCAGTTGCATTCATTTCTGATGTGTAAAAAAAATGATGTTGTCTTTTCCAAAAACATTAGAGTACTCTCAAAATATTTTTTTTTGTTGTTTTTTGAGATGGAGTCTTGCTCTGTCGCCCAGGCTGGAGAGCTGTGGTGCAATCTTGGCTCACTGCAACCTCTGCCTCCCCGGTTCAAGCGATTCTCCTGCCTCAGCCTCCTGAGTAGCTGAGACTACAGCTAATTTTTTGTATTTTTTGTAGAGATGGGGTTTCACCGTGTTAGCCAGGATGGTCTCGATCTCCTGCCCTCGTGATCCGTCCGCCTCGGCCTCCCAAAGTGCTGGGATTACAGACGTTAGCCACCGCGCCCAACCAAAAGAATTTTCAATAACAGTAAGCATCCTTCACTTGTTTCTGGAAGTAATTTTGAACTTTCTTTTTTTTTTATGATTAAATATGCTGTTTTTAGTTTGAGTCATATTTAAGTTGTTAAGAAAGCACAATGCTAATTGCCCATCCAAAAAGCTAGAAAAATTTGCATTTGCAACAGTGTGCATAAATATGCCCACATTCCATGACATCCCTGACAGCAGATTTCCTTATGTTCTTTCCTTTTTGCTGATGTTTTTGTTATCAACTTGAAAGGTCAAATATCTCATTTTAATCTCTTTATAGACACAGGAAGAACTGATATCTTTAAATCACTGCCTTTTCTATGTTTCTCTACTTTGATTCAGGCCTTTTTCTTTTAATCTCTCCCAGTAAAGTTTTATATGGTAGTTTTCTTCATTTAGTACTCATGCATCCCTTATTTAATTTATTCCTTGTTATTTTTTTTTCATTTTAGTTTTGACTGCTTGTGTAAATGGGCTTTTTCATTTCATTTTAGCTTTTTGTTGGTATGAAAGGAAGATATTAGACATTATATATAAATTTTACAGTCACTTTCATATCAAACATGTAAAATTTTTCTACCCTTTTCTTTTTTTTTTTTTCTTTTTTGAGATACACTCTCACTCTGTTGCCCAGGCTGGAGTGCAGTGGCGTAATCTCAGCTCACTGCAACCTCTACCTCCCAGGTTCAAGTGATCCTTGTGCCTCAGCCTCCCAAGTAGCTGGGATTACAGGCACACATCACCATGCCCAACTAATTTTTGTATTTTTAGTAGAGACGGGATTTCACCGTGTTGGCCAGGCAGGTCTCGAACCCCTGGCCTCGGCTGATCCACCCACCTCGGCCTCCCAAGGTGCTGGGATTACAGGCACGAGCCACTGTGCCTGGGCTTTTTCTTTTCTTTTCTAAATGTATTATGTAGCAATTGTTAAAAAATATTTTTTTGTATATATTCAAGGTATAAAATGTGATGTTATAAGATACACATATACAGCATAAAATCTATCAATTTTAAAGCAATTTTATATAACTGTCAAAAGCCGCATCCTAATCTTGTTCATATATAAATTTTAAATTTTTCAATTATTTTTACAATTAAACATAAGGCTTTTAATTTGAATCATATGTTACACATTTTAAGAAAGCACTTATATTTAAATGAAGGTTTAACTTTATAAATTCCCTCATTGACATCTACCAGAATGACCATATTTCTTCCCTCCTTTGGCTTATTAATATGGTAAATTATATTTATGTAATTCTTTACAGGATTCCTGATTTTGAATGCTTTTCATTCTTAGAATGTCTCCACTTCATCATTATATATTATTTTATTGATATACTGTTGGATTATTTTTACAAATATTTTCAAATACTTTATTTCAGACTTTTGTGTTAAGATATATTTTTCAGTAGATTTCTCTGCATTCATTATTGCTGTTAGGTTCATTTGGGTATTAGTATTATGCTTCTTTAATGAAACAATTAGAAAAGTTTTGTTGTCTTCAACACTCTGAAACAGTTTTAAATATGTAGCAATTATACTGGTTAAAGGAATGACCTCTCTAGCCAGAGAATGGGGGAGAGAGAGAGAGAGAGAGAGAGAGAGAGAGGAGAGGCAAAGATTCAAAATCTGGATTTACCTACTCTTCTACCTACTCTTTGTTTTTACATTTATAAAATGGTTATAATAATTGATACAATTTGGCTGTGTCTCCACCCAGATCTCATCTTGGATTGTAGCCCCCATAATTCCCGTGTCTTGTGGGAGGGTCCTGGTGGGAGACAATTGAAACTTAGGGGTTGTTTCCCCCATACTGTTCCTGTGGTAGTGAATAAGTCTCATGAGATCTGATGGTTTTATAAGGGGAAACCCCTTTCTCTTGGTTCTCATATTCTCTCTTAGGGCTCTTTTTGGGCAATGAAAATGTTCTGTAACTGGATTCTTATGATGATTGCACAACTGCATAAATGAACTAAATATCATTAAATTGCGTAATTTATAATTCATAACCTTTATGGTATGTCAATTATTCCTCAGTAAAGCTGTTAAAGTCAAGAAAGTATAGAAAACAGTTTATGCAAGTAATATTAAGAAACGATAGATTTGGTGATTTCATGTGACAGAATGGGGAATGAAAACACTTTGCCATAATACCCAAGGCTCTGGATTGAGTAACAGGGATTACAGTCTTGAAATTCACTATATTGACGAACACAGGAGGAGAAACCAGATCCATGGGAGAAGATAAATTCGTGTTTAACAGTTGAGTTGGAAGTGCTAGTGAGATTTTCAAGTGGATGTCTGCGAGGCAGTTCAGTATAAGAGTTGGAGATTAAGAAATTGGTCCAAATGGTAATTTGGATTTGGAACTTCTTTTCATTAGTATTATTGTTTTTCACCCTTTCTAAATAAGTAACTCTTGCGCTCTTCCTTAATCTACTTTATTTATCTACTATCTCATATTTTTACTGTTGATATTCAATATTCTATATTAAAAATGATTGCTACTTGTAATATGTGTTTTTCAAACTACGTATTCTCCCCTATCATGCACTTCTAGATACTTTGATAATTACTCTATGGGCTTTTATTGAAACATTTCATCAATAGTAACTGAATCCATTGGAGTGGCTGAGTTTGCTCATAGCACAATGAGAAGTGGCCATAGATCAAAAGACTGAGAAATATAGAAATATTATTAATGAACTTATGAGAATAGTTTCAGAGGACTGGAAGGAACAGAATTCCAATTACAGTGGGAAGTTGTCTGTGAAGCAATTTTCAGCTAAGACAGAGGAAAGATATAGGGCAGTAGCTGGTGGGATTTGGAGAGAAGCAAAGGTTAAGATGAAAAATATGTTAGCATATTTATATGGAGATGTGACAGATCAGTGACATAACTGAAGATAAAAAAGGGTGAATGTCTAAAAAGTTAATTCCCTTAGAAGATGAAAGATGAAAGGAATTCGGTGCATGCTTAAGAAAGGCCGTTTTTTTCTATTATAACCCGAAGAAAAGATGAAAGAATAGCTGCCCTTACACAGATATTCATAGTTGTTCCTCTGTGTTCATACCCAGTCTCCTCATTTTCTATCTGAAATTTTGGGGATATTGGCCCCATTATGCTGTAATGATTCATAACATATTACATTGTAATTATTTATAAACTATTTTGCTCATTTTTCAAGGGTGTGTGTGTGTGTGTGTGTGTACAGATATTCTATAATCATCAATTGCTTTATGGGTCAGTACATTGTTTTCTACACAGTAACCCCTGACTCGTAGCTCTAAAAGAGTTGCCTCAAGACTCTGTTTAGGAAGCTGGGCCAGGAAAAACATGGTGATGCATTTAGTCATGTGGCTGTTCCTCTAGCCCTCCCTTCCCTGTAGAGAGCTGAGGTCAAGGAGTACAAAGCAAGCGGGGTGTGCTATTTCTTATGATTTGCTTTTGCTTCCTGTCCCCAGCCTTCTAAGCTGAGACCTATCACTGGAAATATTAATAACTTCTTCCACTTACTTACTGAAGAAAATCAGTTATATATGGCATTCAAAACCTGCAGAGTCTGAATTGTTGTATCCACTCTCCTTTTGGTCTAACTGTATTGTTCTTGACCAGTAATATTATCTGGAGATTCTAGTATGTCCTTGTGACTTTTCCTGGTCTTTGTGGAGGTATGTTTATTTTGTTTGTTTTGGTGGCTGTTAGAGAGGAAGCATTGTCGGTGTGCAGTTACGCCACTTCCTTTCTCAGAAGTTCTAGAGAAGGTTTTGAGGCCTTGATTAGTCTTTTTCAATTGCCCTGCTAACCAGTACACCATTCAGTCCCAAATAATGGGCAAGATTCAGCTTGGCAGAAGTGACTTTGGGATAGTGTCAACTACATCTATGTAATGACACATTTAAATAAATTCATATTTGTGTGAGTGGTTTCTCATCAATAGAAATTTGGAAGCTAGGTTACTTAGTAAACCAATTAATTAACATTGTGTGTATAAACCTTCTTTATAAGCTGCTACTGTTAAAGAATACAACCCATTAACGAAATACATAAAAGTTAGATTGTTTTAGTAAGAGTAATTTCTTACACTTGTATAGTGGATAGTGTCCTGTTTAAAATGTTCTTTCTCTACTAGCTAAATGAGTTATTACAGGAAGAATGGGTCAGGTGCGGTGACTCACGCCTGTAATCCCAGCACTTTGGGAGGCTGAGGTGGGTGGATCACCTGAGGTCAGGAGTTCAAGACCAGCCTGGTCTTGTCTCTAGTAACCCCCCGTCTCTAGTAAAAATACAAAAAAAAAAAAATTAGCCAAGTGTCATGGCAGGCACCTGTAATCCCAGCTGCTTGGGAGGCTGAGGCATGAGAACCACTTGAACCCGAGAGGTGGAGGATGCAGAGAGCTGAGATCGAGCCACTGCACTCCAGCCTAGGTGACAGAGCAAGACTCTGTCTCAAAAAAAAAAAAAAGAAAAGAATTCATAGAAAAGTGTTAACTAGGCCCTGTCAGAAGCACTTTTACATAAATTATCTAATTTAATTCTTCCACAATCTAGTGGAAGTTTCCATTATTATCCTAATATTAGAGAAAAGGGGACTGAAAGACGTAGGTGGCTGACATTTGCTCAAAGTCACACAATTAGTTCTCCAGGTTGGAAGCCAAGTCCTATTCCATAGAGCTCACAGCTTTAACCATGATAGCAGCGTGTCACCTCATGTGAGATCAACAGCAGCCGTGTAAGGTAAGCATGACATAGCATCCAGGTTCTCCACATGAGGAACCGAAAATTCAGAGAGGTTAGAAAATTGTCCAAAATAACCCCTTAGCAGAAAATGTGATGCACCTGGGAATAAAACTCAGGTCTCAAGGCAAGTTCATTGTTCCATTTTATTACACTGCCTCTGTCTGTGCCCTGCCTTTGAGTTATCTAGAGACTGACACTGTGTTATGGAAGGTTATTTCCTAAGTAGGAAGACTGCAGCTACATAATGCCAGTACATCCCTCATAGGTCAATTGTGAGTTTTAAGTTAGATAGTGGTTGTAAATGCCTCTCACATTCCTTACACCTAACACATATTCTATAATCTCCTTGCACATCCTAGTACTGATCATTTATCTTATTTTATTGACTCTCTGTTCTTTATTTTGATTCACTTTATTACAAAGTAACAAACATCTCTTTTTACCTTCATATCTTTGATCTCATTCCTTAGTCAGTGCTACTTTCCTTAGCTTTCTACTTTCACTGACTGCTAAGCTGAATTTACTGCATGAATTCTACCAGTTGGAAAAAAAAAGCATGGAATAAAGCCCTAATGAAGAGATAAAGCTTGGGAGCCTGGAGGACATAAGACATCAATGACAGGAAGTCTGAGGAGTTCCTATGAGTAGCAATGAGCAGAGTTCAGAGCCAAGGTGAATGCTAAGCAGACCTATAACACTAATATGATAAATGATGTAATAAGAAAGTAATGATCATCTTTTCCAAATTAATACATCCTGCAAAGCACCTACACTATAAAGACAGCAATTCCATTCTTGAGGTTTATACCTGAAGCTTAGATGGGGTCTATGATAGTCCATTTTAATTGCCAACTTGACTGGGCCACTGGCTGTCCATATATTTAGTTAAATATTATGCTGGTTTGTCTGTGAAGGTGTTTTTGGATGGATTTGAGTGGGTAGACTGAGTAAAGCAGATTGCCCTCCCTGATGTGGATGGGCATCATCCAATCAATTGAGGGCCTGAATAAAACAAAAAGAGAATAAGAATTGTTTCTCCACCTTACTGATTGGGCTGGGGCATCAGTCTTCTCCTGCCCTTGTACTGGGACTTACATAGTCAGCACTCCTGGTTCTCAGATCTTAAACATGGACTCGAATTTACACCGTTGGTTCTCCTTGTTTTCTAGCTTGCAGAGAGCAGATTGTGAGACTTCTTACAATAAAATATGGAATTGACTCATGTGACTTTGGAGGCTGATATATAAATATCTTATATTACATATATAAGAATACATATATATTACGTATATAAGAATCTTATATTATTATATATGTTTTTTATTTGTTTTGTTTTTCTGGAGAACTCTGACAAATGCAGGGCCTATGTTATTAGGATTTTAATCATTTGGGAACTATTATTGCAGATTGATTGTACTAGCCATGTATATAAAATGTCAGTTACAAATATATGTACTACTGGCCCACTTTTACATGCATTATCACATTTAAACTTCATAACAAACCAGGAAAACAGCAAAGCTACTATAATCTCCATTTTAACATAGGGAAGAATCAAGGTTCAAAGAGTTCAAATAATTAGCTACAAATCACACACCATCAAGTGGTGGAAGACGATTTGACTCCGTTTGACTCCAAATTCCTTCTTTTTTCATTTTTCCACACTGTCTCACTAAAATGAAACATAATGGTTTGATAATGAATAAATTAATAAATAATTGATAATACGGGTACTCAGAGTTTTTGGCTTCAGTGTTAGTGACTTTGTTGGATGTCCTTCTTATTTGTATGGTGCAAGATTTAGGGTGGAGCTACCTAAGCAGGTTTCGTTCTCATATTAAACATCTTCTTTCCACTGAACCTATTCTATAGTCAGCACAAGGTCTAGAAAATCTGTGGTTTGTTGTGGTTGTGAGTCTTTTCGAGCAGCCTTGCAAATAGACAGATACCTTAAACAAAGCTACTGTTGTAGAGGCACTGCTCTCATTTCCTTTTTCATTTCTCTACACATTATTCTCTAATTCTTCCAGCAGCAAGGATATTTTCCAAATAGTCTGTTAGTTTTTACACTTTGCTGGAAATTTCAACTTCATGGGCTCCTGAAGGGAACAGGCAGGAAATTATTTGGGTGTATGACTAGGAAGAACCACTCATTATTATTTTCTTTCTCTAAAGTAAATTGCCAGAATTTCAATCCATTATTTTGTACCAAATTGTTTTTTTTTGGCATGGTCTCTGTTTGTTCTTCTTCCATCAAAATGTAGAGATGGAAGTATAGTAACTTGAGGAACAGTATCTTCTTGGTCTAAAAGTAGTGTATGTCAACAATACTGGGGGAAGAAGGTTGTTTTTGGTGTGTGTGTGTGTGTGTGTGTGTGTGTGTATATGCATTTATTTAGAAGAGATCCTTTTCATTTAACCATTGAGAGTCCTCTTGTGAACAAGGACCTGGACACAATCTCAATTTTTTCCTTAGAGCACAGGCTCACTAAAAATACAGAGTTGGAGGGCCTCTCAACCCTTTGCTGGCTTCCTTTCTGGAAGTTTGAACACTTCAATGGTGTGGCCTCTACTGGACCTATCATTATATACCTGGCACCTGGCAAAGATATTTGACAAGGTAGGTGCTCAGTAAGTATTTCTAAAATAGATGAGTAAGTAACTGTAAAGGAATGAGTAAATGAATGGGTAAGTTAATAAATAAATGAATGCATACAGTATTAAGAATAGAAGCTGGAATGGCTGGAAAGCAGCAAGGGCCAGATTGGGCTAAGGATGTAACTCCTAAGGAGTCAGGAAAATGAACTCCTTTGATGTCTTCTAAGAGCATACTCAGAAGGTCTGATTTAGTTACCATGAAAAAAAAAAGTTCTATTTCTTATTCATATGGTGGATTAACTTCTCATGTTTACCACCTCTCTTCAAAAACATTGTTTAAATGATTGTAAAGGAATAAAAATTGTGTAAAACCCAAGGATAAAGAAAATAAGAGAAGTCACTGACCCAAAAGAGATTTCAACATCCATTCATTTTTGAAACTGTGTCCAGAATGCCTTGCTATGCGCCAGGTACTCTTCTCAACACTGACAACAAATCAGTAAGCTGAACAGACAAAAATTCCTGCCATCAGGTATCCAATGTTCTAGCGGCCAGAGCACATTTTCAAAAGAAGCCTGAAAGTGATGGAAGGATAGCGATTGATTTAGCAAAGTAGAGGAAGTTAAAAATGTCAACATGGGGCAGACATAAAAGGAGGTGAGACAATTTGCCACACAGAACCCAGGATAGGTCAGGTCTTGAGGCATCAGATACTGCAGAAGACAGGTATGGAAAGCTGGAATTAAAACAGAGAGAGTTGTTGAAAGTCTGTGTTTATAGGTGATAGAGTTCCAGGTCTCCCCCTGCTGCCCTCCACTTTCTGCTCCTCTCAGATAAGAGACTAAATGTTTTCTTTCTGAAAGTTGAACTTGTGAAGTTCTAGACTTTGAGACACCTAACATTGGCTGGCAGTGGCAAGATCCAGAGTGGATAAAAAAAAAAAAAGGATGAAGTGAAGACGTGCATACTGAGATTCCTATGTGTCTATCAATTTATTCTTCCCAGAACACTAGGTTATGGCACCCTGAGATGACATTGGTGGATTTTTCTATTGAGAAACTGACTGACCTCATAAAAATTATTTCCAGATACTGACATTCAGTGGTCCCTCAATAAGAAGAGTCAAACAGAGCTCTCAACGAGTATGTGTTTGATGTAATCTTTTTTTTTTTTTTTTTTTTTGAGACGGAATCTCGCTCTGTCACCCAGGCTGCAGTGCAGTGGCTCAATCTCAGCTCACTGCAACCTCCACCTCTGGAGTTCAAGCAGTTATCCTACCTCAGCCTCCCGAGCAGCTGGGACTACAGGCTTGCGCCACCAGGACCAGCTAATTTTCGTATTTTCAGTAGAGACAGGGTTTCACCATACTGGCCAGGCTGGTCTTGAACTCCTGACCTCATGATCCACCCACCTGGGCCTCCCAAAGTGCTGGGATTACAGGCATGAGCCACCACACCCAGCCTGATTTAATCTTAAATGTGAATAAGCAACCCTGAGATGATCAGACATTTCAGAAATCCCAAGACAGCATAGGAAAAACATTGAAAGAGCAGACAGAGAATATAGGGAGACGGGAATTAATGAAGAGAGAGTAGTACAGAGATTAGGGACTCAGGACTTCAGATTGAAAAGATCCACCAAAAAACTAATGATCAGAGCTTGGTGTCTGTAAATTCAGATACATCGACTGGTAAGGAGTAGGGTCCATACATTAGAATGTTTTATATAGCCCCACAAATGATTTTAATATATAGCTAGGAATGAAAAAAACACCAGTTATAGCTATTAATGTGCACTTTTCCCTTTTTGTATTTAGGCTACTAGGTTGAGTACACACACTGACATGTACATATATTTTCTGGCATGGTGGAACATATGGAAAACCAAGGCCAGAAAGGTGGATCCTCTTTCTCTCAGTCTAGATTTCATATATTGCCTATTTCTTTTTCTCATACTGTATAAAATATATAACAAACAATAAAAATGAAGTTTTCTATGATTGGCCTGTAAAATAGTTAAGAAATCTCTTTTGCCGTAAGCTTGTATCTTTCCTCTTACAAAAGCTTTTATTAAAAAAATTAAAACTTTTCTCTTAAACATTGCCTGTATCTTATGTAGGTTTCTTCATGGAATGTTGAAACTCAGAGGTCATGCCAAACCTGACTACAACTTAGAAGGCAGTTGTGTAGGGGAGGGGGAAGGAACTTTTAGATACCTGTTCTCAAGAGTAAGTTATATAAAATCAGTATAGACACTACAACCTCTGGAGCAAGTAGGGCAGCCTGACAAAGTAGAGAAAAGGTTGCTGGTACTATAGGCCTTCCAAATTTATCTTATGGCTTCTTTTACTTAACCACTAATTTAAAGCTATAGTGCTCTGACCAGAGATGGGGAAGGACAACCCTTATCATAGCTGTATGGTTTGCTTTGTCCATTATTTTTCTCTGTCTTGTGAACTGGGTGTGTTCTCTGGGTTGGTGATAATAAAGTGTTAGAGTTACTAACGTGGAAATTGGTTATGAGAATCTTCTATCATTAAAAGCATCACCCCTCAGTAGAACGAGAATGAACTAGAAAAAAGGCAGAAAGTGCACCAGCAGAACCCAGTGCAAGTCATTCTCTGACGAGAGCTTTCAATGGTTCCCACCATAGATATGAGCTATTACCCCAGTTCTCAGCTGAGCAACATTGTATCTTACCCAAACCCTCCTTTACAATTGAGAATGCTGAAATATATTAATAGAAAGTCATAAGACTTTCTGAATGGTAATCGTGGAACCAGAATTCAAAGCCAGTTCAGTTGTTCCCTACACATGTAGAAACATTTTCCTACATCATTTGGAGGTATAATTAAAGCACACTGGGAGTATAGGGAAAGGAGAACTTCAGTGTCACTAGAGGAGTCAGGGAAAGTTACTCAGAGGATGTAACATTCGACGTATGAAAATAACTAAGGCAGACAGAGAAGGGGAGAGCAAGAAAGACATTGCAGGTGCAGGGAAAAACCTGTTCAAATTCATGATGTCTGGTGAAAGCCAAAGGTGATCTTAAAGATTACATAACTCTTTCACTTTACCCTTAGGAAAAAATAGAACTCTAGTCTGTGCCAGGTATCAGGAATATAGAGATAATAATGTTCCTGTCATTAAAAGCACAGGTAGAGTGTGAAGATAATAATTTTATTTTTCCCACCAGTGTCTACTTTATGTGATGCTCACATCGGCCGGTAAGTTTAGTTCAGTTTCCGTAGTAAGGGTCATATCTCTGTTTCTTGTTATTCATATTGCCAGTGGTGCTAGAATGAGACACCAACTGCAGGTTCCTTCCAACTACAAGAGAAACATAGTTCAGAGTATAGAATACGGAGGGGAGGATCAGTATCTTCATATTTGTACCTTAAGATCAATTTTCCAAAATACATTGATTGCTCACATTACATTTAATTTTTTTTTTATTATACTTTAAGTTTTAGGGTACATGTGCACAAAGTGCAGGTTTGTTACATATGTAGGGATGTGGATGAAGCTGGAAACCATCATTCTCAGCAAACATTTAGATTTTTATTGCCAATTCTTGAGGTCGTTATTCACTAGTTCATTTCACTAATCCCCCTCCATTGAGCACCAGATAGTTGCACAGCATTGAGTCAAGTGTTGTGAGGCAGCAAAGATTAACTAGTTGAAGTTTATGCCCTACAGGAGATAAAGGTTTCACTAAGATAAATACGTATATATTACAAAAGTAAAATATAGCACAGCATACATTTTCTTAGTGTAGTCTAAGGGAGGCCTCATGGTGTAGGGAAAAGAACATTAATTTCACACTAATATGGACACAAGTGTGTGACCTAAATATTTTTTGACCTGGGACAATTTATTAAACTTCAAGTCCCAGTTTTTCCAACTGTAAAGTGGAAATGATGAAAACTCCTACCTCAATAGTTCATATGTGTGTGCATCTGTGCGTGTACTGAGCAAATCAAATAATATACAAAGCAACGTGGAATATACTAGGACTTCAGTATATTTTTACTTAGTCTCTTGTTCCTGCCAAACCATCCCAACACCCTAAGTAGTCCACGTCTGAGAAGTCAGAAGAACATAAAATATTTGGTGGTATTGTACTTCTTTCATGAATTATCCAACTTTAAAAAGTACATGATAACACATACAATTCTCTCAAAATTCAAAATAATGCCCTTACTAAAAAAATTTGGAGTGGTGACTTACTATGTCCTTGCATACTGCTTCAGAGATTTGGCATATATTATCAAGAATAGCATTTTATTTAAAAAGCTCATAAAGCTTCATCCTCAGCTATTAAGGATTTAGGAGTAGCAGATATATGGAAACTTTCACACTCTATTGAACGGGATTATACATTCTTCTCTAGCCCACATAACTCATATTTCCAGGCTCATTCTGAATTTTTCACTTTCTGATTAATGATGTGGATAGCATGGCTCCAGGTAGTGTTCCCTTATCTGACCATGCCACAGACTCACTTTCAATTGTCCTTCAGAAAGCATCAGGCAGCATTTTGGCAAAACTTCCTTTAGTAAGGAATATTGGAAAAGAAGGTTATACTTTGTGATTCTAAAACTACATACAAAGTTCACGCACACATATCCAAGGACTCTGGATTGCACACACACACACACACACGCACACACACACACACATATCACCTTAGATATGAGCTATAATCACTCTTATTATATGGTACTGCTATAAGGATGACTGATGTATGCAAAGTATCTATTGTAAACACTGACACATAGTAGATGCTCAACAAATATTTGCTGAAATGAATTTTTCCATTTAATCATGTGAGGATATTGCAATTCAATTTAAGTAACTTTCTCAAGATCATACAGATTTTAATAACAGTTATATATATATGTGTGTGTGTGTGTGTGTGTGAGCAATCCAGATTCCTTATATATTTTATATATAAAAAAGGGACTTTATATAAATGTGTGTGTGTGTGTGTGTGTGTGTATAAATTAAGCTTATATGGGCTCTCTTTTAGTTAATATTGATTGACATCCATTTCTTTCTGGAGCACAGTATTATTAATTACAAAAATAAATTAACTGGCAAAGTTCTCATTAAGGATAAATGTGAACTGGGAAGACTGTATGGATAAATCGTTGCCTGCCTCATTCAGATTGAAAGAAACATTTAGACTCTGGAGGGAACAGTGAAAAAAGTGTATATTATAGAGTTATATGTTTTAATAACTTCACCTCATTCTATTAAGCTCTAACCCCACTGGAATCATAAAAGGTTAATATTGAGATGAACCCTAAAGGCATAAATTAGGCTTTGCCATTACTTGCCCCCGAATGAGCCTTAAGCTATGTAATACTGGATCAGCAGGACTTTCCTTTATTATTAAAGAAATGAAGATACACTGCATTGGATGATATTATCGAAAATGCCTAAATTTTCTCATTATGCTACAACTGCTTAAAATTGCTATTACAGATTTCTGTAGGCAAAATCCCAGGTCCCAGCAGACCCCTGCAGAATGTTATGGAGTATTAGTAGGGAATGTGTTTCAATTACCCACAAAAATATACTTAAGTAGCCATATTGGGTATTTTCAGGAGAAAATGAGATGTTTTATTTTTATTCTACTATAAAGAAGGGTCAATCTGAAATGGTGTGGTGGAGTTACAGGCCACAAATCAAAACTGAGGCATCATCAAAAATATTTCTCATTTATGAACTTTTTATGATATTAAAAAAGCACCAAGTTATCTATCATTTCTTGCTCCTTGGGTAGCTTCATTTTTCAATATTAGATATTACTACTTCACGTTTGCTATTCATCAAGTTTAAAAGCGACACTTGTCCAGTAAAAATAGTTGGATATCCTTGGCAAAGACATGGAACTTTTGGAATGCCATATATATCATCAACTTCTTCTAAGAAGAAATCCCCAGGTTGTAAATAATGAAAGGGCAGCTCTATCATAGGTAAAACAATTTCACACTAATCTTTCTTAACGTCTTCTGTTTTTAAAAAATAGTTAAATTTAATTTGTAGATTTCAAAAATCCTTTTTTTCTTCAACATTTGTGCTAAAATTAAAAGTTCTTAACATTTTAAAAATATATAACACTTAACCGTTTTAATTTGTGGCACAAAGATTTAGTGGTATATAGTATAAGTTTCTAGAGCAGTGACATTTATCTAATCTAAAACTTATTTTTTAAAGCTTCCTTGTAATATTCAGTTAATAGTCTTAATTATAAGACTGTGATTTTAATTTGATCATTATATCTAACTCTACAAATAATTACCAGTGGTTATGATTATTCAGATTTTTCATCAAAACACAGGGGGAAAGAAGAGACAACAATTTAATTACTGAAATAGTATGCTTTGTCAAAACAAATACATCAAACTTAAAGTAATACTATATTTGGTAAGTACTTTCTAATTTATAAAGCGCTTTCACACTTTTGCCCATTTGATCCCCTTAACCCAAGGAGATAGGCAGGGCCTCAATATTTTTCTGCTACTCAAAAAGAAAAAAGCTGGAGGTATCACTCTATGGGACTTCAAAATATACTACAAGGCTATAGTAAACAAAACAGCATGGTACTGGTAAAAAAACAGACACATTAGATCAATGGAGTAGAATAGAGAACTCACAAATAAGACTGCACACCTACAACCGTCTGATCTTTGACAAACCTGACAAAAACAACCAATGGGGAAAGGATTTAATAAATGTTGCTGGGAGAAGTGGGCAGCCATGTGCAGAAAATTAAAACTGGACTTCTTCCTTATACCTTATGCAAAAATTAAGATGGATTAAAGGCTTAAATGTAAAACTCAAAACTATGACAACCCTACAAGAATAACTAGGTAATACCATTCAGGACATAGGCACGGGCAAAGATTTCATGATGAAAACGCCAAAAGCAACTGCAACAAAAGCAAAAATTGACAAATGGGATCTAATTAAACTAGAGAGCTTCTGCACAGCAAAAGAAACTATCATCAGAGTGAACATACAGCCCACAGAATGAGAGAAAATTTTTGCAACTTATCCATCTGACAGTGGTCTAATATCCAGAGACTGCAAGAAAGTTAAACAAATTTACAAGAAAAAACAAACAACCTCATTAAAAGTGGACAAAAGATATGAATAGACACTTCTTTTTTTTTTATCTATATAGTTTAGATACTGTTTTCTCTTTTTTTACTTTTTTTATTTTATTTTTTTATTTTATTATCATTATACTTTAAGTTTTAGGGTACATGTGCACAATGTGCAGGTTAGTTACATATGTATACATGTGCCATGCTGGTTTGCTGCACCCATTAACTCGTCATTTAGCATTAGGTATATCTCCTAATGCTATCCCTCCCCCCTCCCCCCACCCCACAGCAGTCCCCAGAGTGTGATGTTCCCCTTCCTGTGTCCATGTGTTCTCACTGTTCAATTCCCACCTATGAGTGAGACTATGCGGTGTTTGGGTTTTTGGTCTTGCGATAGTTTACTGAGAATGATGATTTCCAATTTCATCCATGTCCCTACAAAGGACATGAACTCATCATTTTTTATGGCTGCCTAGTATTCCATGGTGTATATGTGCCACATTTTCTTAATCCAGTCTATCATTGGTGGGCGTTTGGGTTGGTTCCAAGTCTTTGCTATTGTGAATAGTGCCGCAATAAACATACGTGTGCCTGTGTCTTTATAGCAGCATGATTTATAGTCCTTTGGGTATATACCCAGTAATGGGATGGCTGGGTCAAATGGTATTTCCAGTTCTAGATCCCTGAGGAATCGCCACACTGACTTCCACAATGGTTGAACTAGTTTACAGTCCCACCAACAGTGTAAAAGTGTTCCTATTTCTCCACATCCTCTCCAGCACCTGTTGCTTCCTGACTTTTGAGTGATCGCCATTCTAACTGGTGTGAGATGGCATCACATTGTGGTTTTGATTTGCAATTCTCTGATGTCCAGTGATGATGAGCATTTTTTCATGTGTTTTTTGGCTGCATAAATGTCTTCTTTTGAGAAGTGTCTGTTCATGTCCTTCACCCACTTTTTGATGGGGTTGTTTTTTTCTTGTAAATTTGTTTGAGTTCATTGTAGATTCTGGATATTAGCCCTTTGTCAGATGAGTAGGTTGCGAAAATTTTCTCCCATTTTGTAGGTTGCCTGTTCACTCTGATGGTAGTTTCTTTTGCTGTGCAGAAGCTCTTTAGTTGAATTAGATCCCATTTGTCAATTTTGTCTGTTGTTGCCATTGCTTTTGGTGTTTTAGACATGAAGTCCTTGCCCATGCCTATGTCCTGAATGGTAATGCCTAGGTTTTCTTCCAGAGTTTTTATGGTTTTAGGTCGAAAGTTTAAGTCTTTAATCCATCTTGAATTAATTTTTGTATAAGGTGTAAGGAAGGGATCCAGTTTCAGCTTTCTACATATGGCTAGCCAGTTTTCCCAGCACCATTTATTAAATAGGGAATCCGTTCCCCATTGCTTGTTTTTCTCAGGTTTGTCAAAGATCAGATAGTTGTAGATATGCGGCGTTATTTCTGAGGGCTCTGTTCTGTTCCATTGATCTATATCTCTGTTTTGGTACCAGTACCATGCTGTTTTGGTTACTGTAGCCTTGTAGTATAGTTTGAAGTCAGGTAGCGTGATGCCTCCAGCTTTGTTCTTTTGGCTTAGGATTGACTTGGCAATGCGGGCTCTTTTTTGGTTCCATATGAACTTTAAAGTATTTTTTTCCAATTCTGTGAAGAAAGTCATTGGTAGCTTGCTGGGGATGGCATTGAATCTATAAATTACCTTGGGCAGCATGGCCATTTTCACGATATTGATTCTTCCTACCCATGAGCATGGAATGTTCTTCCATTTGTTTGTATCCTCTTTTATTTCATTGAGCAGTGGTTTGTAGTTCTCCTTGAAGAGGTCCTTCACGTCCCTTGTAAGTTGGATTCCTAGGTATTTTATTCTCTTTGAAGCAATCGTGAATGGGAGTTCACTCATGATTTGGTTCTCTGTTTGTCTGTTATTGGTGTGTAAGAATGCTTGTGGTTTTTGTACATTGATTTTGTATCCTGAGACTTTGCTGAAGTTGCTTATCAGCTTAAGGAGAATTTGGGCTGAGACAATGGGGTTTTCTAGATATACAATCATGTCATCTGCAAACAGGGAGAATTTGACTTCCTCTTTTCCGAATTGAATACCCTTTATTTCCTTCTCCTGCCTGATTGCCCTGGCCAGAACTTCCAAGGCTATGTTGAATAGGAGTGGTGAGAGAGGGCATCCCTGTCTTGTGCCAGTTTTCAAAGGGAATGCTTCCAGTTTTTGCCCATTCAGTATGATATTGGCTGTGGGTTTGTCATAGATAGCTCTTATTATTTTGAGATATGTCCCATCAATACCTAATTTATTGAGAGTTTTTAGCATGAAGGGTTGTTGAATTTTGTCAAAGGCCTTTTCTTAAAAGAAGACATTCGTGTGGCCAACAAACATACAAAAAAAACCCCGAGCATCACTGATGATTAGAGAAATGCAAATCAAGACCACAGTGAGATGCCATCTCATGCCAGTTAGAATGACAATTATTAAAAAGTCAAGAAACAGATGCTGGAGAGGTTGTGGAGATAAAGGAATGCTTTCACACTGTTGGTGGGAATCTAAATTAGTTCAACCATTGTGGAAGACAGTGTGGTGATTCCCCAAAGATCTAGAACCAGGAATACCATTTGACCCAGCAATCCCATTATTGGGTATATACCCAAAGGAATAGAAATCATTCTGTTGTAAAGATACATGCATGCATATATGCACTGCAGCACTATTCATGATAACAAAGACATGGAATCAACCCAAATGCTCATCAATGTTAGACTGGATAAAGAAAATGTGATACATACACACCATGGGATACTGTGAAGCCATAAAAAGGAACAAGATCATCTCCTTTGCAGGGACATGGATGGAGCTGGAAGCTGTTATCTGCATCAAACTCATGCAGGAACAGAAATCCAAACACCACATGTTCTCACTTATAAGTGGGAGCTGAATAATGAGAACACACGGACACACTGGGGTCTGGGGGTGATGAGAGGGAGAACATCAGGAAGAATAGTTAATGGATGCTGGGCTTAATACCGAGGTTATGGGTTGATCTGTGCAGCAAACCACCATAACATGTTTACCTACCTATGTAATAGACCTGCACATCCTGCACGTGTACCCCAGAACTTAAAATAAATGTTGAAGAAAAACATACATTTTTCTGCTATTAAATTAGGATAATCACTCTTATTACATAGTACTGCTATAAGGATGACTGAGATAATGTTTGCAAATCATCTACTGTAGACACTGACACATATTAGATGCTCAACAAATATTTGCTCAAATGAATTTTTCCATTCAATCATGTGAGGATATTGCAGTGCAATTTAAGTCACATTCTCAAAGTCATACAGATTTTAATAACAGTTGTATTGTTAGAAGTCAAGTCTTAATGATTCAGCTGAATTATTGCTAAATATGAAGATTTACATGTCACTATTAGTTCAGTTTTATTATATTGTATTGATCAATGTGATTTGGACTTATTAAATTTATTTTAGTTAATGTTGTTAACAATATATCCCAAAGAACAAATGAATTAAAGTATGTTTCAAAATTGCTATAACTTAAACACGAAATACATTCAAATCACAGATTTGACCTATGTCACTTAGCCCTGTAGCCTGAAGATAGTAGAAAGAATAAATTGTTAACAACTACAATTTATTTATCACTTATTTTGGCCCAGTTACATCAGTGGTTTACGTGCGTCATCTAAATTAATCCTTTCAACATCTTAATACGGCTATTCTCATTATCATTTTATGATCTGGACAAATAAAGCACAGTGAGAGGTTAAGTAACTTTTCTCAAGGTCATTGAAGTAGGAAGTAGGGGAAGAAGGCATTTTAACCCAAGCACACTGACTCTAGTCTAGAGTTTATACTCTTTATCCCCATAATCCCTAGCTTCTATGGAGGGTATGTAGGTAAGAAAGGCTCCATAGAAGTGCAGAGAAATCCACAGTGAAAAGCAAGAGGATCAAAGCTTGACTGTTAAGACATTATAGAAAAGAGGAAGTAGAATGTTTGGAAGAACAAGGGTAATGTAAATGGACAGCAGAATAGGCATGGGATTTTTCTAAGCAGTCTTGCATGAAAGTATAAAAGCTGAGGGCTATGTGAAGATTGGACTCCTGCATCTGTCACAAGGCTGAGGTGTGTAGAAAGGTTGATAGCGCTACGAAAGAACATTCCAGAACGTTCTGGTATGTTCTACAATAGATAAAGTCATCATCTGACAGGTTAGGGAAAGTGTGCAGCTGTAACCCATTGGGCCAAGGAAGGGAACTGAGGTTGTGTATCAGTGTGTGGTCATGGTGCAGAGCTATGCTGGTGCAAAAATAAAGGAGTGAGGCCTTTTCAGCTCATTCTTCTACATTAATTACAGTTCTGAAGCCACATCAGTAGGACTCAGAAGACGTGAGGTAGCAAGGAGGAGTTCATTAAGTGAGAATTGGCTGGAATGAGAAGGCTACTAAAACATAGTGGTAAACAAACAGGTGTGTGTTGATCTGAATATGTGGTCGATACTTCATATCCACCACACACACACACACACACACACACACACACACACACGCACGCACATTAATCTGCAATGTCAAATCTAGTTTTTCCTTAGGAGTATTTTTAAAATTTTATTATATCATATTGCAAGTTGAAATTATCTAATATTATGTGTGAATTCTTCCATGAAATTTAGGTTTTTTTTTTTTTTGGTAACACTTGTAGATAGCTAATATATAGTTTGATGAATATAATGTTTTGTTCCAAACATATTGTATCATAATCTGCTTGAGCTGCCATAAGAAAATACTGTAGAATGGGTGGTATAAACAACAGAATTTTATTTCTCATAATTATGGAAGCTGGGAAGTCTAAGGTCAAATTACCAGCAAATGGCCAGGTGCGGTGGCTCATGCTTGTAATCCCAGTACTTTGGTGAGGCTGAGGCAGGTGGATCACCTCAGTTCAGGAGTTTGAGACCACCCTGCCCAGCATGGTGAAACCCCATCTCCACTAAAAATACAAAAAATTAGCCAGGAGTGGTGGCGTACGCCTATAATCTCAGCTACTCGGGAGGCTGAGGCAGGAGAATCACTTGAACCCGGGAGGCGGGGGTTGCAGTGAGCCGAGATTGCACCATTGCACTCCAGCCTGGGCAACAGAGTGGGACTCCTTCTCAAAAAAAAAAAAAAACATGTACTAGCAAATAAGGCCTCATTCTGAAGCTTTTTATCTTGGCTCATAAGCAGCTACCATCTCACAGTGCGCTCACACTACCTCTCTGGTGTGGTGTCTCTCTCTCTCTTTTTTTTTTTTTCTTTTGAGACAAAGTCTTTCTCTGTCACTCAGGCTGGAGTGCAGTGGTGTGATCTCAGCTCACTGCAGCCTCTGCCTCCTGGGTTCAAGCAATTCTCCTGCCTCAGCCTCCCGAGTAGCTAGGATTATAGGCAAGCGCCACCATGCCTGGCTAATTTTTTTTTTTTTTTTTTTTAATAGAGACGGGGTTTCACCATGTTGGCCAGGATGGTCTCAAGCTCCTGACCTTGTGGTCCAACGGCCTTGGTCTCCCAAAGTGCTGGGATTACAGGTGTGAGCCACCACACCCAGCTGGTGTCTCTTCTTATAAGGCTCATCATGAGGGCCCTATCCTTATGTCATCTAATCCTAATGACTTCCCAAGTGCTCTATCTGCAAATGCTATTACACTGGGGGTTAGGGCTTCAACATATGCATTTTGGGGGGACACAAACATTCAGTCTGTAAAATATGGGAAATATATGCTAAATGCTGATGAAAAAGTTTCAAATATTTCAAATAATTGAGATAAGAAATTACTTGTTATATTTTTTTCTAACTTTATATCCTCCTATAAAGATGAACAAAAATGTATTCTCCACATCTCTGTAATTTGTCTATGCTGTGCCATTATTTTTTCCTCTACTCACACATTTTGGTCAGGCAGCCAGATTTGTATCTATCAAAAATAGGTGCTGTGGTAGCAAGAGATTTAAACTGGGAGTCAGTGATATAGAGTGGAGAGTGTTAAATTTGGCACTAATTTGCTGTGTAACCTTCACTTGCTCTTTCTTAGCCTTACCTTACTCACTAGAAAAAATAGTATGAACTGAATTATGATAATTTTAATGAATCACTTGAACGACCAAATGACTGGGTTTTCCTGAGACTGTCTTGGTTTTAGCCCCAAAGTTCCCACCTACCAGAAAATCTCTACCCTGGGATGTGAAAAGACCCAGATTCTCTTTATCATTGGAGAGGGATGGGGAGGAAACGGGCAGCCTCCACAATAGGGGCTGAAAGTAATACTATTTTCAGTGTTAAATGGATAAGTCTCAGATTATTTGCCTTCTGTGTTTTCTGTTGTTCCCCCGGCCCACCCCCACCGCCCCCCAACCCTGCCGGCTTATTGCTAATGTTGCAACCCTGATCTGTGGTACACAGACTAGAGTGTGTGCAACTTACGTGTACTGTAATTGTGTTAACAGTTCAGTTTTTATTTTGCCTGTAGGCTAGCTGTTGTGCTTTGTATCAAGATATTGTTAGTATAACTTTTTAACATTGGGAGTCGTGTTACCATGTTTTGTAACAGTTCAGTTAATGACAAAGAGACAACTGCAATAACAACACAGAACTTACCTGGAGATCATTGAAAATGAAGGTTAAATGACTGTGTGATTTTAATACTGACAGAAGGACTCAGATATGAGATAAAGGAAGTAAATAACCCAAACAGAGAATACTGTACAATATGCAGAAAATAATTTGGGATTAAACATAATGGAGAAGGGGATGTGAAAGCACATATGTAGAGTGAATTTCAGAAGTCTTGGGTGAGACAGGTGAGAAAAGTTTTTGTCTCCCCAAAAGACACCAATGCTTAGTTGAAAACCCTTGCCACTGAATTAACCTGGACATACCACCTGAAAGTACATTCATTATCATATCATTCCTTTGGTTGCTCTATAAATCTGAATAAACTTACATTTCCTGATTGAGAGGTTTCAACTAAAACATCTGTGTGAATGAAAAAAGGGATTTGATAATGGATGTGTTTGTTTCTTACACTGTAAAGCTGATTCTGTCCATTTTCTACCAACTATCATGCTTTCTACAGTATATCAATTGATACTTTGAATCATGGCAACAAGTCTCTAGCTTTCAGGTGCTTTGATTTGAAATATGGAGTTTCAAACAGTCTTATTATATGAAGATTTTAATAATGATATAGCAAACATAAAACAAAAGACATAAATTAAATTTTGCTCATTTATCTGCATATTCAGCAGAGAGTACAAAGCTCAATTTTGGCACATTTCTTTCAATGTATACACTTCTTACCAAAGAAGATTAAAAGATCTTATCTAGTAAATGTTCTTTAGGCCTTGCCCACAGCACTTCTGAAACAGGGTGTGATTTGCTTACTTGTGCCATTAAGGCTTTTGTAATTTTTGTAATTGAACGTTTTTGGTTTCCCAAAATGTGCAGCAGCACTTGATGAATTTGTTTTTTTTTTTTTTTTTGAGATGCAGTCTCGCTTTTTCACCCAGACTGGAGTGCAGTGGCACAATCTCAGCTCACTGCAACCTCCATCTCCCAGGTTCAAGCGATCCTCCTGCCTCAGCCTCCCGAGTAGCTGGGACTATAGGGCACGCCACCATGCCCGGCTAATTTTTTTGTATTTTTAGTAGAGACAGGGTTTCACTGTGTTAGCCAGGATGGTCTCGATCTCCTGACCTCATGATCCACCTGCCTCAGCCTCCCAAAGTGCTGGGATTACAGGTGTGAGCCACCACACCCGACCCTTAAATAGTTTTTGAGAGGAAAGTTAGCATGATGCCATCATACTGGACTGACATCAGTAATCATTTTAATGTGGTCTTGATAAGAGCAGAGTTGCAAGTCAAAATAAATGTTATATTTGGCTGCATTCAGTTTTATTATTATATAAAAGAAAAGAAGGATGTCTTAAAGGCTGTAGGCAATTCAGACATTATGTAGTATTGGAAATGCAACAGTAATAGTAGAAACATCATACCACAGAAAAAAAATGTCATATTTATTAAATACAGGTAACTTAAAATCATGTCCTATTCTTTTTAAAATCGTGTCGTGTTCTCTTTTTTAAGAGTCTTTTTTAGACTCAAGTGTTTTCAACTATCCATTGGTGTCTTTTGGGGAGAGTTCTCTTTTCTAAGAGTCTTTCAAATGTCTCAACCTATAAGATGTTAAAGGTAAGCAAAGTGATGGATATGTTAATTAGCTTGACTTAATCATTTCATATTGCATACATACATCAAAATATCACATTGTGCCCCATAAATGTATATAATTAGCATTTATTAATTAAAAATATTAACAAAAATAATAAAGCTACATGGAAAAACAAAAAGGCTATACAACAATATAGCCTACAATGTTTAAATATTCAGTAGTGTTTAAAAAAGAGTTGAATTGCTATATCAGAAGACACAATAATACATTATAAAATATTATTATATTTTTCTCAAACCCATAATTTTAATTTATATAAATTACTACTAATTGCCACTGTTAACTTTTTTGATTTTTAAGTATAAATTATAGGATTTATGTAACAGAAGTAAATACAGAATAATGTATAATTCCAAAAACCTATTCATTTCTCAAAGTTTAAATAATAACACATATAGGTATAACTGTTTATTATAGTTTATGTTAGTATAGATTTTTGTCTGGTATGCTTGTGTCCCAGTTTTCTTCTCTGATAAGTTAGTCACTCACTCCATGTGCCACTCAGCTGTAATGTTCTGTCTGCATGATTGTAGATGGCATCCTTAGCAGTATAAATAAGATGAGTAGCAAAGTTCCTCGAGTTCATGAGAATTACTCAAGTGTTTTGGTAAGAAAACAGTCTAACCTACTTTTCACAGATGATTCTGAGATTGGCCAGAGTGAGTTCAAAAGAAAATATATGGCAACTTTATATTTCTAAGAATTCTCAATACTTTAACATGATTACTTTATGTCTGGTACACATGCTCTCAGTTTGTCAATGAAAATCCCAGTGATTTTAGTTCTTAAGGTAAGGGACTTTAGGGGTACATATGGAGTGGACTAGGGCAAGATGAACAAAGTGTCATAGCATTTGCTAGTGTAGTCATTCCTCAGACACATGATGTGGAGAAAGGTCCCTTGTGGCCAATTGCATAGTTAGGAAGTAAGTGAGCTTTTTTCTTTAAGATAGATAGAGTCTTGCCCTGTTGCCCAGGCTGGAGTGCATTGGGGCGATCTCGGTTCACTGCAACCTCCATCTCCCAGGTTCGTGCAATTCTCCTGCCTCAGCCTCCCGAGTAGCTGGAATTACAGGCACCCGCCACCACACCAGGCTAATTTTTTGTATCTTTAGTAGAGATGGGATTTCACCATGTTTGCCGGGCCTCGAACTCCTGACCTCGTGATCTCCCTGCTTTGGCCTCCCAAAGTGCTGGGATTACAGGCGTGAGCCACCGTGCCTGGCAGGAAGTAAGAGAGCTTTTCACACACCCACTTAGTGAAAATACTCTATTAAGAACAGTATTTTAGGTGACATTTTTTGGAAAGTGAGTATACTCAAAATTATATATACTTTAATCTAACTATTGTGTTGGCATAAGATATGAAATCAAATTAGTAGTGCCCTGGAGGTTAGTGTTGTAGCAGAGGACAATCGAAAAGAATTTAGCTGAAGGGAATTTTGGGAAAAAGAAATAGAATACAAACAACTTTGGACATGATGAAAATTTAGTCACAACTGCAAGCTATTAGATAACAACTATGACAAATTATTGGATTTTTATGTATTTCTTTTTTTCTCTCATTAATGAAAAACATGATTAACCTAATTACGTCTTCTCTATGTTATTGGCAATAATGAGAAGTGAAAACTTAAATATACATCACATGAAAATTAAAAACAACTCAAAAATCCATACTCATAAATCCCACATATACCCTTTTTATGAGGTGCTACATGTAAGTCATAAAATTGTTTTTTAGTGATTAGCAACAATCATTTTCAATATACTTGAAAGATATTTAAAATCATGAGAGCACTACCAAACAAGAAACATGGTTTGAAAGTAGAATTTTAAAATTAGAAAATGAAAGAAGAAAGAGTTTTATGGTTTTACTGCTTACCTTTCATTTGCTTTTTTATTATAGAAAAAAGAAAAAAAGCCAGAAAAGACTTTCTAACAAAAAGAATGCAACTGATGCCCATAATCACATAAAACTCAGAGACTTCACCTATCGAGACCTCAAGATCTATTTTTCTAGATCCTTTTGTCTTGCTCTCACTCTCCTCACCCCCTTAACAGAGATTATGCCAAGAATGTTCATCTACAGTCCGTGTTTAACTTAATACAATATTTCACAAACATCTTTTATTTTTAAGCTTCATTATAAAATATATCATATACATAAAAGACTGATGTGTATACTTTGCCAATATATATGATGCTCTCTGATTATTCCTTCTTAGTGTTATTCCCTTCTCTCTCAGGTAACTACTATTCTGCATATTATGGTAATTACTCCCATGCCCTCTTTCATATTTTACCACCTATGTATGTATCTTTAAATGACATAATGTTTGATTTTTCCTGTATTTGACTTTTTATTATTGGAATCTTAAGTGTTTTTCTGCAGCTTGTGCTCATTATATTTTTGTCTCTGTGTTGATACAAGTAACCACATTTCATGTAGTTTTTGTAACGTATGTAGTATTTAGTATTCCGTTGTAGGCATAAAACGTTTTTTTTGTTTTGTTTTGTTTTGTTTTGTTTGTTTGTTTGTTTTTGAGACTGGGTCTAACTCTGTCACTCAGGCTGGAGCACAGTGGCATGAACTGGGCTCACTGCAACCTACACCTCCCGGGTTCCAGCGATTCTCCTGCCTCAGTCTCCCTAGTAGCTGGGACTACAGGCTTGGGCCACCATGCCCGGCAAATAAACATGGTTGTATTGTCCATGAATTTTTTGGTTAATGTTAGTGTTTTGATGGCACAAACAACGTTCCTGTATTTCTGTACATGGTTATGGCTGCTAGATAAAATACAAGATGTTTAGTTTAATTTGAATTTCAGACAAACAAATTTTTTTAGTAAAAGTATATTCCCAATATTGCATAGAACATACGTACACTATTTTTTATTATTCATATTAAATTTAACTGAGAGTCATGTATTATTATTTGCCGAATCTGGCAACACTCTACATGGTACAAATTTTTTGGAAGTTAAGTAGGATATATACCTACGTGTGTAATTGTTATGTCTTGGGAAATAAGTGTGTTCAATTTATTTCCAAATTGGTGATATTGATTTATATATCTATTTGTGGTTCTGTTGGAATGCTCATCACTTAGTATCTTCACTAATGCATAGTATTGTCCGACTTTAGAGCTTTACCAATTTGATGAGTGTCAAATTTTATATCATTGTGGTTTGAATTTCAATTTCCCACATTACTAATGAAATTGAGTATCTTTTCAAATAACTGTGGACCATTTGTGTTTCTGCTCCTGTGAGATGCCCACTTATGTATTGTGCCTCCTTTTTCTATTGTGTTATCAGTTTCAGGGGTTAGAGAATTTCTTTATATGCTCTGGGCACTAACCATTGTTGGTTTATATGTTGCATAATAGGCTCCCATTTTGTGGCTTATCTTTTGATATTAACATTAGTTTTTGTTCATCACATGTGTATAGACTGGCTTCCAGGATCTCCATTTAGTTCCATTGTTCCTATCATCTGTCACTGAGCCCAAAACACATAATGTAACTATTGTAGCTCTATAAAAAAAATACTGGAATAACTTGTAGGGCATGTCTCCTAATTTTTTTGAGAATTGACTTAAGGTCTTGCAGATGGTCAGTTTATGTTAATATTTTCTATGCATTTAAAATGTGCATTATCCAGTTGTTCAGTGCCATCATGTTATATTTAGATGTCCATTTGATTAAGCGTGTTATCTATGCTATTCAAATCTTCCAGATATTCACTAATATTTTTCTGCTCAACCTATCAACTATTTAGAGAGGTACGTTAAAATTTTCAAATATGCGACTGGGCGCAGTGGCTCATGCCTGTAATCTTAGCACTCTGGGAGGCTGAGGTGGATGGATCACTTGAGGTCAGGAGTTCGAGACCAGCCTGGCCAACATGGTAAAACCCTGTCTCTACTAAAAATACACAATATAAATTAGCTGGACATGGTGGCATGCCCCTGTAGTCCCAGCTACTCGGGAGGCTGAGGCAGGAGAATTGCTTGAACCCAGCAGGCAGAGGTTGCAGTGAGCCAAGATTGTGCCACTGCATTCCAGCCTGTACTGCACTCCAGCCTGGGCAACAGAGTGAGACTCTGTCTCAAAAAAGAAGATAAAAAATTCAAATATGATGGCTGGATTTGTTAGTTTCTTTTCCTTTGTAGTTTGGTCAAATTTTACTTTTAAACTATTTTCAAAACTATTTTTACTAGGTCCCATAATGTTTAGAATTGCTTAATCTCGATAATGAATTAATACTTCTATAAATATATATTGGCCCTCTTTATCTATAGAAATAAATGTTGCCTAAAATTTATTTTGTCCGATACTAATGTAACTGTGCCAAATATCTTGTTTCACATTTATTTTGTATATCATTTGTATCATTTTACTAATATAGTTCTTGTGGCCTTATGTTTAAATATGACTTTTGTAAACAGTGCACAAATATATTTTAAAAATATGATCTGAGAGTGAACAGCATAGTTGGTTTGTGATTTGTAGTATATGTATATACGTGCATATATACATGCGCACATACCTGCATATATACGTGCACACATACGTGCATATATACGTGCGCACATACCTGCATATATACGTGCGTATATACGTGCATATATAGGTGCATATACGTGCATATACAGGCGCATATACAGGCGCATATACAGGTGCATGCACAGGGCATATACACGTGCATATACGCGTGCATATACACTTGCATATATGTGTGGGCATATAGGTGCGTATATACGTGCATACAGAGGTGCATATACGTGCATATACAGGTGCGTATACAGGTGCATAGATGCGTGCATATACAGGTGCATTTATGCGTGTATATATAGGTGCGTATATAGGCGCATATATGCGTGCATATATAGGCGCATAGATGCGTGCATATATACGTGCATATATAGGTGCATATATAGGTGGATATATATGTGCATATAAAGGCGCATATATAGGCGCATATATAGGCGCATATATGCGTGCATATATAGGCGCATATATAGGTTGATATATACGTGCATATAAAGGTGCATATATGCGTGCATATATAGGTGCATATATAGGGCATATATGCGTGCATATATAGGGCATATATGCGTGCATATATAGGTGCATATATGCGCGCATATATACGTGCATACATAGTTGCATATATAGGCGCAGATATGCGTGCCTATATACGTGCATATATAGGTGGATATATACGTGCATATATACCTGCATATATAGGCGCATATATACGTGCATATATAGGTGCGCATATAGGCTCATATATGCGTGCATATATAGGTGCATATATGCGTGCATATATAGCTGCATATATAGGTGGATATATGCGTGCATATATAGCTGCATATATAGGTGGATATATGCGTGCATATATACTTGCATATAAAGGTGCATATATGCGTGCATATATGGGTGCATATGTAGGTGGATATATGCGTCCATATATACGTGAATATAAAGGCGCATATATGCGTGCATATATAGGTGCATATTTAGGCGCATATATGCGTGCATATATAGGTGCATACATAGGCGCATATATAGGTGCATATATGTGTGCATATATAGGTGCATATATAGGTGCATATATGCGTGCATATATAGGTGTATGTATGCGTGCATTTATAGGTGCATATATAGGTGCATGTATGCGTACATTTATAGGTGCATGTATAGGTGCGTGTATGCGTGCATGTATAGGTGCATATATACGTGTATATATAGGTACATGTATACGTGCATGTATAGGTGCATGTATACGTGCATGTATAGGTGCATGTATACGTGCATATATAGGTGCATGTATACGTTCTTGTATACGTGCATATTTATGTGCATATACACGTATATTTATTTCATTTTCTTTTTAAGTGACACATAATAAGTATACATATTTACTGGGTACACTATGATGTTTGATACATGTGTATATTGCATAATGGTTAAATTAGGATAATTGGCATTTGATTTACTTCTATCATCTTATTTAGTATTTTCTGTTTGTCCCACTTTTATAGTTTTTTCTTCTTGCTTACTTGATTACTTTTGGTTTGATCCTGTTTATTTCCCTTGGTTTCATTTTTTGCTGTACTGTTCTGGAAGTTGTACATTCTGTTTTATTTATTTAGTGGTTAATTGAGGAAATTTAATATGTATTTAAACCTCAAAAATTCTAAAATTAATAATATCTTTCTTTTTCCTTAAATTATATGAAAATATTAGAATGCTTGAACTCCAATCACAACATCCCAAATTATATACTTGTATTATTCAGTATTTTCAGTTCTGTTTTGATTTTCTGTGAAGATATAGTCTTCCCTGTTAACAGAAAATAAATCCAAATATATTTTAATAAATACTTTTTCTTTTATGTCATTTTAATCACGTAGTGTTCCATTAATTATTTTGACAAGTCAGCATTTGTCCAACTCACATTTGTTGGACATTCAGATGGTTTCCAAACTTCACTATTACCAACAATAGTCTTGGTTGGCTGAAAATTACTTAAAAGTAAACCTAATAGCTCATAATAATAGTTAAATTCTGACATCAGTTTAACATCATCTATATGGAGCAGTACAAAAATAACTCAGGAAACTGAAACTCTAAAAATAAATAACTTGGTTAAGTTTAAAGAGCTATTAAGTGGTGAAAGTGTGCTTTGGACCCAGACAGTTTACATTTTGAGACATACAGCAAAAATGTGGAAATTGAACAAACACACATACACACACACACACACACACATTCACACACACACACACAATTTCCAAGTTCTATTTAAGGAATAAAAACTGATGTAAAGCTATTTTAAGACACACACACACACACACACACACATATCAATTAGTGACAAAATGTGTGAAGTAGAAACTTTCATTTTTGACTGATTTTCTTGAGTCTTGACTATCCAGGTGTTTTTCTTTTTGCAAAACTTTTATCTCTGCAGGTTATTTTGGACAATTGGACAATTTGCTTTCAAATATCTTTTCTTACCAAGGCAACATCATTGAGCGACTACAATTCACATTGCCTAATACTTAAGATTTCTAGTCTACAGACATGTCTGCTGTAACCTTCAGGCCTCTCCAACAAAAGTATTTTCTCAATCACAAAACAGTTATTCATTATAAATATGTGCACTTTACAAAAAAGAAACCTTTACTTTTTAGTTTCAATTGAAATAGAATTAAATGAACTTGAAGATCTGTTATTCCACTATTCAGAAACATTCCTCTAGCATGACAATAAGAATACCCATAATATAATTTAATTGTAGATATGAAGCTAGAAATAAAAGTGCTTATTAAATATTGACTACTTTAAACTGAAGATGGAAAATTGATTGACTTAGAGAAAAAATATAGATTTTGAAATTTAAATTTACTAAAATTGGCACCATCTTATTGATTTTTCTATTGGCTACCATTTAAGTATGATTTCAGGCTTTCATTAACAACAATTTAAACATATTTGAAAATAAGATATGCATTTTGTAAAATTAAAATATCTCCCACTCAACCTAAGGTGGAAGATACTTAGAGCCACAACACCAAAATATAAGGAGCATGAAAAAAGGATTTTTGCCTGTTTATTCACTACTACAATTGTAGTTTCTTGGACAGTACACGGCCCAGAGTATGCACTCAGTAAACATTTCTTGAATGAATACACAAGTGAATAATTATGGCTCAACATTCACTATTTGGTGCATATTAATTGTGTGTTATCAGTGAAAAAAGGACCCACAGTGCCAGCTCTACAGTAGCAGTTTTCAACAGGTGGGCTAGCTGCTCCAAGAATATATCTGGGGCAGGAGTTGTGGTTTGAGAAACTTCCCTTGATGATTCAGAATTACAACCATGCTTTACAAGTTTTCCCAGTGTCATAAGGGCAAGCGAGTTATCATGTTTCTCTCAGAGTAGATTTAATTTTTTTTCTATTTAACAGTGACTCTCAAAGTCTTGAGTCCGGCCTAGCATGTCTGATAGCATTTTCTCATTATGAATCATCTTTTGTCCTTTATTCGATAAAATAGGTCTGTCTTGTGCAGTAGCAGATGTGGCAAGGAATTGGTAGGCAGTTGTATAGGGTCAGCTGGGATGAAAGGAGATAGCAGACAGAACGTTAACACATGGTGGATACAATTACCAATATCGGAAGAGCCATTTTAAGTATTCCATTTGTGTGTTCACTGATTTGCAGATGTTCTCGGAAACATCCTGTCATTTCATTTTTAGAGTCTGAATCAAGTACCATTCTAATCATTTTAAAAGCTTTTCATTATAAAAAGTTTGAAAAGAAGCTGTGTGTTATTAACAGCTATTGAATATATACATTTTGAAAAAATATATTTTTGAATGGGTTTCCTTGCCCTTCTCATAGAAAATTTGGCAACATTGTGCATTGTTTCTCAAAGGGAAATGTAGATTTAAATCAATATAAGTGTGCCCCAATTTATGAAGTCCCAATTTATGCAAATGTGAATTTAAAAACTCAGTTGGTTTGTTAAATTTTCTGTCTAGAGACAATCTCTCTGTTCAGGAAAACACAGCAAGATCTAATAGAGATCATAGAACAAAGTTTTGCCTTTCTGTCTTGGTTTTACCTTGTAAGATCAGACTATGTCACTCTCGGACTCAATTTTCTTATTTGTAATATAAGACACAAAAAATTCTCTAACAAGCATCAATGAAGTAGTTAAAGCCTGAACAAATTTTATTATAAATAATTGTTCCCAATGGCAGGCTTGCTACTACTACACCTTCTGAAGAGGTATTTAACATTTTAGATACTGTGACCCCACCTTTAGATATTCTGGAGGTCTGTAGTTTTGTTAAATGTTTTGTTAAATATGTTCTCCATGTGAATCTCATGGACCCTCTTTCCCAAAGGCCCAAATTTTGGAACCCCTGTTTTAAACACTTCTGAGAGCTGTTTAATTGACCACAGACATATATTGGTCAAATTTAAAAATAGACCTTTTGGCCAGGCATGGTGGCTCACGCCTGTAATCCCAGCACTTTGGGAGGCCGAGGCGGGTGGATCACCTGAGGTCAAGAGTTCGAGACCAGCCTGGCCAAGATGGTGAAACCCTGTCTCTACTAAAAATACAAAAATTAGCCAGGCGCGGTGGTGGGCGCCTTTAATCCCAGCTACTTGGGAGGCTGAGGCAGGAGAATTGCTTGAACCCGGGAGGCAGAGTTTGCAGTCAGCCAAGATCACACCACTGCACTCTAGCCTGGGCAACAGAGCAAGACTCCGTCTCAAAAATAAATAAGTAAATAAAATAAAAAAATAGACCTTTTATCGCATGCCTTTTCATGTAGCTGATTTGATTATTCTTTTAGATTCCTTTATATATAATACTGCAAATAGACTTATTGTTTAATAATTCTTTTTCCTTTTTTCTTCTTATTTCATATGTTCTAGTTTGGTTCACTTTTCAGACGTGGAATAACTGGATCAAAGGTTATGAGTGTTGCCAGGCAGGTCGATACTAAGTACATGGGTACTAAGTACAAGGGAGGCATTTACCTTGGACAAAAGATTTTAATAATGTTTAAATGCAATATTTTAAAACAAAATTATAGCAAAAACCCATGATGAACAAAATCACATTTCCAATAAAGAGAGGCTCCAATTTCTTCATTTTGCCTCAGGTTCCAATATGGCTGTGCACAGCACTGCTGCCAGCATCATTTGAATATCATCATTTCTGAAGACATTTACAAATTTGAAAGGTGGAAAATAGTCTCTTTATATCATTATTTGTCTCATATGTATTTATTTATACACATCTTTATACCACAATGCCACAATAAAGCATGGTGTCTTCCAAATCACATGTAATATGGCAAAATGATGTAAATTACAAGCAGGTGAGAAAAGACAGGCGATACTATTTTGTCTGTGTAATTCTTTGTGGATTTGTTTTATATTGTTCAAATCTAGATATTTGGTCCATACCAGTTCATGATTATCATGTTCTTGGAGGATTGTTTTTTTGCTAGTGTGGAATCTGTCTGTGTTCACATTAATGCTTTTCCACTTTCAATTCTATTTTGCTGAATACTAATATTTCTTTGATTTATTTGTTAATAATTTACTTGATATTTTATTTTAAACATATTATTTTGTTTACTTATGACTGTAGTAGATAGCATATAGCAGGAATTATTATGGTTCTGATTTGAATACTTGCCTTTTAATAGGCATGCTTAATTTATTTCCTTTTCCTGACATCACTGGTCTGTTTTCATGTGTGTTTGTATACACCATCTTCAGCATCACATCTGTTTTCCTCTCCCGTTTCATTTTGGATTGTGAAGCTTATTCCATGTACTTCTCTATTAGATGAAACTTTCATTTTCTAGTCTTTCTCTAATTTTCCTTACATTTTTACCATTTAAACAAAACTCTGAAATTACTGGGACAGCTGGATATCTACCTGTAAAATAATGAAGTGTGATCTCTATCTTAAACCGTATGTAAAACTTAACTCAAAATGCATCGTAGACCTAAATGTAAGAGCTGAAAATGTTCTAAAAGTAGAAAGTTGTAATGGTTGCATAATTCTGTGAATACACTTAAAAACACTGAATTGTAAAGTTGAAAAGGGTGTGTTTTATGATATTTTATCTCAAAGCTGTTATTAAAAATCTAAAATTAGTATGTCTATCTTTCTAAGGCAGCTTGCTGTAATATCTTGATTTTCTTAATTTAGATTTTCCTATTGCAATGCTATCTCTTTCATGAATCTGGATGTCCATTTGTGCTTTTTGATGGAGGGCTGTCCTGACTGGGAGGTGGCTGTTTTATTTTGTTTCAAATCATACATCTTCTTCCACATTTGGCAATTTCATGGTTGCTTCTGCTACACGTTTTCGATTTGGGGATTCAAAAGAGAGTCACGTGAGCAGCTTGGAACTCTTTATTTGTACAACATAATCCTAGTCACTATGTTTGTGTGCAGTTCAGGCTGGGTCCTAATTTCGTAGCAGCGTCTCAGCTTCCTTCCTGTTCCACAGGCAGCTTTGGATGGACAGTTACGTCTTCTCCTAAATAGTCAGAGAGCGCAATTCTAGGCCCTGGCTTCATGAAGGAAGCCTGGTTTTGCTATCCAACCACTTAAGGGATGAGGTCACTCTCTGTTACTGCAGGACATTAAAACTAGACCCCTGCTGCTTGTTTCTGATTGTGATGTCTTTCACCTTTAGTTAGGGTTCTGCACTGTGAGTTTCCCCTTTCCCTGGCCCACAGATAGTCTACCATTACTATGTCAGTGCAGTTAGGCATTTTTAAATTTTTTTAAGAAACGCACACATGCTCCCACATTTTCAGTGAAGGAGGAAGTTTTAGTATATGCTCAGTCATCCACCTTATGTGGGAAACTAATCAAGGTTAGAAGTATGGAGCTAGAATTGAGCTAATATAAAATACTAAGAAATAGTGGGCATGAGCTAAGATTACTACTTAAGTGTGATTACTACTAGTGAAGTTGAACATTTCCCTATATTGTTGCTAATGTTTCATCTTTTATTTTAGTAAATTAGGTTTTAATATTCTCTTCCCCATTTGTCTTTTTGAAACTTGCTCTTTTCCTCATCGGTTTTTTGTTTTTTGTTTTTTGTTTTTTTTTTTGAGGCAGAGTCTCGCTCTGTCGCCCAGGCTGGAGTGCAGTGGCGCTTGCTCTGTCGCCCAGGCTGGAGTGCAGTGGCGCGATCTCTGCTCACCGCAAGCTCCGCCTCCTGGGTTCACACCATTCTTCTGCCTCAGCCTCCCGAGTAGCTGAGACTACAGGCGCCCGCCACCACGCCCGGCTAATGTTTGTATTTTTAGTAGAGACGGGGTTTCGTCGTGTTAGTCAGGATGCTCTCGATCTCCTGACCTCGTGATCCACTCGCCTCCGCCTCCCAAAGTGCTGGGATTACAGGTGTGAACCACCACGCCCGGCCCCTCATGGGTTCTTATGACCTACAAATGTGGTTCACTTTATTTATATTTTGACACTTAATTTTAGTTTTTTAATAACGTTCAAGGTAGTTTAGTTATTAGTCAATGAAATCTGTTAGCCTTCTTGTAATTTCCCCTTTTAATAGTGATTCTTCACACACACACACACACACACACACACACACACACACACTTGAAGAGATTAGCAAATGATCTTAGTGTATTTGTGATAGGTCAGGAAGCAAAGAAATGTTCAAGAGAGAGCCAAGCTCTGAGTATTTATGGCATTTAACAAGTTTTTCTTTGCTAGAATGAATACTTTATTAAATCAAGTAATCCTCATTATGCAAATATGCTTGTGATCAAATATGGTATTTATGATGGCCACAGTGGAAAAGAATACATTTCTTGAGGTCTCTTGAAGTCGCTATAGATTCTCGATTTTGAATTTGACTGTCAATCATCAGAGTTTTTCTCTTATCATATTTCTATTTGCATACCGGAGAAAAACCACTATGGATGTACAAAGAATGAAATTTCACTTGGCATGTTGCAAAAGTTGGTGTTAACACAGATCGTAACTGAGAAACAAAGAAATGGGGCTTGAGACACAACCAAGATAAGTTCTATTAATATTTAAATTGAGTTTCTCATTGGAGACATGTCTACGTTCATTAACTCTTAAAGAACAGACTTTTTTTTTTACTTCATTGCTGAGCATTTCTTCAGTGAGAGTATATAATTTTCTTTCACCTTTTTTATTTTTCTTGCTTTATTCCTCAAAACAGACAAAAGCTCCTTATTGTATAGACTAGAAGGCAAATTATTTATCATTGATTTCAGAGTCAGTTACAATTTGGCTCCAAACCATTTTTCTCATATTATCCCTCTAAATGATAATAATAGTGCTGCTAATATTAATAGTACATTTTGCTGATGATTTCTGACAAGGCGCCGTTAACTGTTTTAAGCCCATTATATACATTATCTCATTTAATCTTCACAACAAACTTCTTACTAGCTTTCATTTTTGAGATGTGCAATTTGAGGCTCAAAAAGGATAGGTAACTTGCCCAAAGCAAAATAGCCACTTTGAGTACAGAGATGGTGCATTAACTCCCATATTATTTATAGCCAGGCTACACTGGCCTACACGTCATGACCTAAATATCTTAACATCAAATGTCCACGTATTTGCTTGTCTTTTTCTTAACCCCTGGATGCACTGACACTCCTCATCTACAAATCAAACTCTTCCTCAACTTTTTAAAAAACTTCAGTCCTCTTTTAAAATGCTGAGAAATTCCATGCTACACCACTCCAACACATATCATTCATGTAACTCATTTTCTCCAAAATCAAATGAAAATACAGCCACAAGCTTGACAGAGAATCTGAGTGGGACACAGCTGAGTATGGGTGTCAGAGGGATTTAGTGTTAACCCAAGTTTTCTACAATAAATTGGCTTCAGGAATGTCAACTGTTTTCACTCTTCTCCTTAAAGGACTTTGTGCTAACAATTCTGTTACTTCTCATTGAACTTCCATGGCCTGCAGCCAATAGATAACTGAGAGTTATAAGTTAAGTAAGATGTTATTAAGCCTATTTTAATATACCCAATCCATACTTGCATTGGTCTCTATAAAGTATGAATTAATTGTGTTGCTTGGATTGCCTTTTTCTAGATAGCTTAATCCAAGAACTTTCAAACAACATTTTGAAAAGTGGTTTTCTTAGATGCATATTGCTCTGTCATTAAGCCAATGTCCACCATTCCCTCATGTGCTATAATTTTGAGCCAAGAATGATCTTTCCTTTATGTAGAGAAATTAAAGAGAGAATGTTCCAGATATAGCATAATAAATGTCTGACTTTCTTCTTACAAATGATTGTCAAAATACTCTGAAAAGGAAGAGTACAGTTACAATGTCTTCATTGATTTTCCTCCTAAGACCTCTAAAATAACATTGACTAGAGACTTACCGAAAATCAAATTCTCAATTGACATAATATTCAGTTATTCATTTACTCATTCTTGTCTTTATTCATTTAGAACAATATGTATGGAAAAATTTTGAAACTGATCCAACAAGATCTACAATATTGTAATTTCTATAAGACAGTGTACCATTTATAGATTAAGGCATATACATCATGAGATACGTCACAAGACGTATCTCCTATACAAATTTCTAAAAATATGGTAAGAAGAAATAAAGGCCGTCCAACTAAGCCAAATATAATAGCTATTTCTATTTATGTATTATTTTATTTTTATTTACAAAAGAAGAGAGATATATACACATATGTGCAAGATAGAAGATATTTAATGGAAAAGAAACCTGTTGAGAAATCACCAGCCTTTATTTCACAAAATAATAGAATATTAAGGAACATGCATATAGAATCTATGACTAGGTAGCACTAACTAGTTAAATATTTATGTGGCTCAGAATTCTAAAAGTTTGTAGCAAGTTGTTTTTCTTAAAACTAATGTGTTATGATAATTTTAAGTTGGCATATACAGGAAATCTGAAAATTTTTAAATACTCAAATGACTGAATACGTGCCTTGTGTTTAGTGCTGTGCTAAGCAGTGAAGGAGCTACGAGGGTATATAAAGCATGAAACTTGTCTTCAATGAGCTTAGCATCTAATTTGAAAGGCTTCTAATGTGACTGTCCCAGATGACCCCCTTGTGAGATGCCCTTAACTGGTCTCAGAAGGCCTCAGAGTTCTTTCCTTCAAAAGTAGTTGAAGTGAGGAAGTAGCTAAATTAATTTCTGCAAAAGGTTTCCATTAACTAGTTCTTTGGCTATATTAAAATGTTCATATTCTAATTTAATTTCGATTAGTTACTTCATAAATTTAGATTCCTTAAGGTCATACACAAAAAGAAAATTAACATTAGTTTTCACTCTCTCCATTAAAGCTTGTACAGTTGTACAGAACCAATCTATATATAGTTCATAAAAATAAACACCACTTACACAAGAAAATCAGGTTACATCCACTTCTGAATCTGACAAATAACAGTTCAGTAAAATATTAACATTTATAATTCTGACCTTTCATTGTAGTTTCCTCATTGTGGCGTGTCAGAAATATATAGCTGTCAATCTTCTAATAAAATTTATCCAAATTCAGTAGCCAGTTAAGCTCAGTAATTGGTCTGTTATTTGATTATTTATTTTCTTGGTTTAAAAAAATTATAAAGGCTACACACTAAACCAATGCAAATAAGTTGTGAGCTAATTGTCACATTTTATGTAATACCATAACAGTAGAAGAAAGATCTACAGTGACTTATGAAGGGGAAAATAAAAGGGCCAAAGGAAAAGAATATGCCAGTGATTAGCTACTTCAGCCTTTTCAAAACGTCGTTCTTCAGATTTTATTTAATGGGGAGCTAAGAAGTGTTAATGTTAAAAAGAAAAAAAAGAAAGACGAAAAAAGAAAAGGAAGGTCTTCCGTGGCAAAAGAAGCTCATAACGTTGTAGGACTTTTCTGAGACTTTACAATGTCAATACATATGGAAAAACTATAAATGAAAAATAAAGCATTTGACTGCAGGACCCCCTACCCATCCTCTTTTCAAGCAACTATTATCAAGTACTGTTAAGGGTGAGGTTGGCAATCTCATTCTGTAAAGGGCCAGATATGCCTGACAGGCCTTATGGTCTTTTTCTCAACTACTCAACTCCATTGATGCAACGCAAAAGCAGCCATAGACAATATGTAAAAGAATTAGCGTGACTGTGTTCCGACAAAACTTGATTTATAAACAGTGACATTTGAATCTTCTGTACTTTCCACATCACAATACTATTCATTTTTGACTTTTTTTAACCATTTAAATATGTAAAAAATTATTCCTGTCTCACAAAGCATACACAAAGAGAGAGTAGGCAGAATTCAACACATAGGTCACAGGGGGGCCAACTCTTGATCTAGAGGAAACAGGAACCACATTGTTCAGACCCTGACTCTTTTTCCAGAAACATGCATTCCATATTGGAAAAGACACCTGCATTACCTCTTCCTTGTTAAGGGAAAGTGGAGTGAGGGTGAAGTAAACTCGGATGTGGCCATGTGGTTTCCAGCCAGGTTACTCAAAACTGAAAAGATGTCTTCCATTTTCAAATGATTTGTTGCATGGGCTTTGGGGTGAGAAAAAATTGGATTTATATCCGGCTTTTACTGCATACAAGGTATAAGTCTTCAAATAAATCACTTTACCAACCAGAACCTCTGCTTTCATTGCTAAAGAGTAGTACCTACAACACGAGGTTGTAGTGATAATTAAATAAGCATTGAACACAGTGCGTAGCACCACAGAGTGTTTCCCAAACAGTAGTGTCACCTTATTCTTAGTTTGTATTTATGCATATGGTTTGTCTACTGATTATTATTTTCATGTTGAGCAAGTTACATCTGCTGCTTATTATCAAGAGTGGAAGTCTGAGCACTTCTGCCCACTTCTTCTTGGTATTGGAGTCACTGAGGAAAGCACAAGGCAGTCAAGCACTGGTGCATAGAGAAGAAACAGAGAAAGATCAGCTTTAGTGGTGGGTGCCAGTCCCCCATGGCCAGTGGGTCCCTCTTGGCAGTTGACACAGGGCAATTGGCCTGTACACACCCCTCTTGTGTCACAGCAGAAGGACTTTACCTCCTCCCCACTGGGGTTGGCCAGTTCAAAGGAGTGAACATTGAGTCTAAAACAGAAAAATATCCCCACACAAGGTGACAAGTTTAGGACAGGCTGTGAGGATTCTTTATCTCTTGATAAGGAAGTGCTCCTGGACCAAGGTTCATTTGTATGTGTCCAAGAGAAGATAGAAAGACTGCATGTATGGCCGGGCGAGGTGGTTCATGCCTGTAATCCCAGCACTTTGGGAGGCCGAGGCGGGTGGATCACCTGAGGTCAGGAGTTCGAGACCAGCCTGACCAACGAGGTGAAACCCCGTCTCTACTAAAAATACAAAAATTAACTAGTCATGGTGGGAGGCACCTGTAGTCCCAGCTCCTCGGGAGGCTGAGATAGGAGAATTGCTTGAACCCAGGAGGCAGAGATTGCAGTGAGCCGAGATTGTACCACTGCATTCCAGCCTGGGCGATGGAGTGAGACTCCCTCTCAAAAAAAAAAAAAAAAAAAAAAGAAAGAAAGACTGCATGCATTTGACTGCCTTACTCAAGAATTCATATAGAGACACAGGTGTAGATATAGATATTTATTTCTACATATCAGAGGTTTATTACAACTTTGTGTGTGTGTTTACATACAGTGAGTTTTCTTTTCACTGAGTATAATTGAATATAATAAATATAACAAATTTATTAAGAAGTGTCAGCTTAATGGAGAAAACATGAAATGGTTCTGTTTTTTGAAAAATCACTGCTTTTAATTTTTGGCTTGCATCCATAAATGCTATCTAGGGTAAATTCCACCCTTTCTGTCACTTTCAATCCAATAGAGTTTGCAATTTCTTTTTTTTTTTAATTATACTTTAAGTTTTAGGGTAGATGTGCACAACGTGCAGGTTAGTTACATATGTATACATGTGCCATACTGGTGCGCTGCACCCACTAACTCGTCATCTAGCATTAGGTATATCTCCTAATGCCATCCCTCCCCCCTCCCCTAATCTCTAATTCGATTCAAATGTAATTTCAACTTCTCTCTTTCTTGTATCTTTAGTTTGAGGTTACATATACCCCGAAGAAAGAGGAAAGAGTGGTCTGCTCTTTTACCTCACCCTTCATACCACCTTTAGGCAGGCTCAGGAATATCATCTCTCTCCCTGTTTCCTGAGTCTGACTTCTCTAGGAGGAAAAGCACAAGGAGGGACCAGTGCACCAGGATTCACCATAGGTGGACAGAAAGAATCCCTGTTCTTGCTCTGGTTTAGTCTGTTTGCATCTACTGGCGGCCTATTCTAGTGTTACAGTCTTCTCACAGTTAATGTGTGTAGTTTCTTTGGATGTTCTTCAGTCTTATTTCAGCTCCATGGTCTTATAGGTGAGAGAGAGAGAGAAAGAGAGAGACAGAGAGAGACTCATATTTCCCTTTGACCCCTGTAAAAGTATATTGTCAGCAGTGTACCCACCAACTCTTTCTCTAGGTAGCACATCTTGTAAATTGGTGTCTGTCTGGGTCACCCCATGGAACCTGCTCCGTATCTATCCTCTGTGTTCTTTATATATAGCTATGAGAACTACTAAGGACCTGTCTGATGCTATCTTATCACTCCACATCCTTCCTCCCCTGACAATTTCTTGTCCTATTATCCTGCAGTCCTTTCTTGCTTGCCTTGTATTGGTTACTATTCTACCAATTTGTTAACCTTCGGAAATTTTCAGAAATGTGGACACTAGTTTTCATGTTCACATACATGTCAAGTTCTATCAAGAATCTCCTTAGAGAATGGAAAATAGTAGAGCCACTATAGAGAATAATATGAGGGTTCCTCAGAAGAACTAAAAATACAACTACCATATGATCCAGAAATCCCACTGCTAGGTATATATGCAAAATAAATGAACTCAGTATATGTAGCCCAGGAGTTTGAGACCAGCCTGGGCGACATGGCAAGACACTGTTTCTACAAAAAGTACAAAAAAATTAGCCGGGCATCATGGCACACACTTGTAGTCCCATCTACTCAGGAAGCTGAGGTGGGAGGATAACTTGAGTCTTGGAGGTAGAGGCTGCAGTGAGCCAAAATCGTATCACTACTTTAGCCTGGACAACATAGTGAGACCTTGTCACAAATCAAAAGTATATCTTCACTCCCATGTTTATTGCAGCACTATTCACAATAAGCCAAGATATGGAATTAACCTAAGTGCCCACAAATGGATGAATGGATAAAGAAAATGTGGTACAAACACAAAATTGAATATTATTCAGGCAGTAAAAGAAAATTCTGTCATTTTCAACAACATGGACAGAACTAGGGGACATTATGTTAAGTGAAATAAGGCAGACACAGGAAGACAAATATTGCATATTCTTACTCATATATTGAAGAGAAAAACATTGATCTCATGGAGATAGAGAATAGAATGATAATTATCAGAGGCTGGGAATAGTAGTGTGGAGGGGGAAGGAAGAAGGGATGGCTAATGGGTACAAGCACACAGTTAGATAGAAGGAATCAGATGTAGTGTTTGGTAGCACAATGGAGTGACTAGATTTAATAATAATTTAGGCCAGGAATGGTGGCTCACACCTGTAATCCCAGCACTTTGGGAGGCCAAGGTGGGTGGATCACTTGAGCCCAGGAGTTCGAGACCAGCCTGCGCAACATGGCAAAACCCTGTCTCTACAAAAAGTACAAAAAAATTAGCCAGGCATCGTGGCATGCACCTGTAGTCCCATCTACTCATGAAGCTGAGGTGGGAGGATAACTCGAGCCTTGGAGGTAGAGGCTGCAGTGAGCCAAGATTGCACTGCTGCACTTTACCTTGGACAACACGGTGAGACCTTGTCTCAAAGCAGAAACCCACAATCATTTATTGCATATTTGAAAATAGCTAAAAGAGTGGAATTGGAATGTTCCTAACACAAAGATATGATAAATACTTTAGGTGATGGATACCCCAATTACCATGATTTGATCATTACACATTGTAGGCCTGTATCAAAATATCACATGTATTCCGTAAATATGTACAACTATTATGTATATATAATAATTAAAAATTTAAAAATTAAAAAGGATCCTTTGAGAACATTTATCTCACTTGTTTAGTAGCAGCAGATGGCCCTGAAGATTCTTCCGTTCTGCAAACTTTCATCTGAGGAGAGAAGTGGCAGTCTTTCCTTCTAGCAGAGACTGCCAGTCTTCATGATTAACTTTCTTGTAGCCTCCCCTTTTCTAACCACCAGGAAAAGAGAAAGTAACTGCCCTCCCTAAATGTTGAAGAAGTGAAAGGAAAACATCTAAGCATAAATTTCACATTACTCGCAAGGTCAGTGATACTGTTGACTCTTTCCCCTTACCTGTTCCAGTCTTCTATTAGAGGTGGTGAAGAGGTGGTGACGGGTAGGTAAGTGGTTGTTTTATAGGGCATAAGATGCTGATCTTTAGTGAGGCCTGAAAGTTGATATCTGATATCAATTGTTCGAAGCTATCTTTAGCCTGGACAGTAATTAGAGCCTCTTTATAAACATTTTGGATCCCAGTTGTTAATTTAAGGGCAAAAAGAAGCAGCGTTTCAGTAACATTTTATTTTTACTTGAGACTGTCCTTTCTGTTTAATTTGCTGTTCCTTTAATAATTTCTTGTAATGGATGCTTAGGCCTGATATGTGCATTTAAGGCTTAAATTTCCCTGTAAGCACAGTTTTAATATTGTCTCATGTTTTGATATACAGCATCTTTATTATTATGCAGTTCCAAATACATTCTAAATTCTATCATGATTTCTTCTTTAAATAATGTGTAATTTAAAAGTCCATTATGTAAATCTCACACATTTGAGTATTTACTTATTTATTGCTTTATATCACTTTAAGCCAAGAGTATATTTTATATGATTTTCATTTCTTGAAAATTTGTTGAAAATTGATCTATGGAACAGCATGTGTACAGTTGTGGAAAATGCCTGTTGTTCACTTTAAAATAATATTTATTCTGACATTGTTGGGCACAGTGTTCCACACATGTCAATTACACCAAGAAGAATTTTTTCTGATAGTTATATCAGTTACTGAGAGGTGTTTAAATATTTAATTATAATTATGTATTTGTCTATATGTTCTTTAGGTCATGTTTGCTCTTTATATTTTAAGAATATGTCATTAGATGCATATACATTTAGAGTTAGTGTATGATAATTAATTTTCCTAAAGTCTATTTTCTTTTTATATAGCTACACTACCTTGCTTTTGGTTAGTATTTGTATAATTTATTTTTCACATCATTTTACTTTAAAAGTTTCTCTAGCCGTATGTTTAAAATATAACTTTTATGAGCACCACTTAGTTATAATTTTCTTTGTTCCTTATATCCTGTCTGATGACCTTAGTTTTTAGTTGAAATATTTATTGTATTTACATTTAATGTAATTAATTATATATTTGGGATTACTCATTATTTGCTTTATACTTGCCTAAACTACAGATGGTTCCTGGCTTATAATGGTTTGGCTTACAATTTTTTTTTTTTACTTTATGTTTCTGCAAAAGTGATAAACATTTAGTATGCTCCTTGACTTATGATTGGGTTACATTCAGGTAAACCTATTGTAAGTTGAAAAGATTTTATATATATATATACACATATATATATATATGTAAACTATTATTTAGCATATATATAGTATAAGTTTTCTAGTTGTTCTTAGATATCCTGATAAAGCAATCATAAGTTGAAAATGTCATATATATATATATTTATAGCGTTTATTTAACATAGTACAAGTTTTCTACTTGTTCTTAGAGTGATTAGTTACAAATCATTAGTTCACTATTATCAGGAGGGGAATTCTTTTAATAACTATCCTGTTTTAATTGTATATATTTTTTAGTGAAGCTAATTCCCGAACACTTACTGTTTTGAAATTTATTATCTAATTTCATGTATTTATTCTTCCATGAGAACTTTAGAAAAATTTTGTCAATTTATAAAATAGAATTGCATTGCACTTATTTATTTGTTTGGAAGAGTTGACATTGTTTTATAGGAGTTTATCAGGGTATAAATACGTGACTTGAAAATAATGAGAATTTAATAACACTCTTTTTGATTTTTATGTCATGTCTTTTTATCTTCTTCATGACATTTTAAATAAAATTGTGGCTAATTTCTCAATTTTAACATGAAACTGACTAATGAATAGAATCTTTTTAAAGGAACACAATAAGCATGTATTTTTCTATTTCTCAGTTATGTTTTTTAAATCAGAAATTAATGTTGGATTTTATTCATATCCTTCTATTTTTCTTTTCTTTTAACTAATATTTATTTTTTGTCTCCTAGATGCCAGGCAGCCATATATTGTAGGTATCACAATGAACAAAAGACAGTGAGACAATTTGTAAGCTTTAATGAAGCTTATAGTCTGTATCAGTCAAGGTCTTAGCAAAAAACAGATGGCATACTCAAAAGTTACTACTATTCCTAGGCCTAAAGGGACAAGGGGAGGAAATACTTTCTGGAACCCGCAGTGAAAGTTCTATCTGTATGAAAGTTTTGACCACGGGAGCTATTAATAGATAGACAAATCAGCCCAGACAACTTGCAGCCTGTAAAGGAAGGAAGCAAAGGAATTAGTACTTCATTTTCTCCTTCCACCCTCAGATATCTTTCCAGTATTTTCCTTTGGCCAAATCTAGTTGGAAGCCAGAGGGTAAAGAAGCCCAAGCAAGCCAGATTCCTGGAAAATAGTATAACATGGAAATAGAGAATCGATCTATAGCAAAAACTAAAGAATAAGTAGCACATAATATATGGAAACTGGCATTTAGGTAGGTAAGTTTTATATACAGTGATAAGTGATATGTTAGAGGAAATTTTGCATGGCATTACAACTTTTAGAAGGTGCATCTCTGATTTGCTAATCTGTAGTATCTCTTGGACAGTGTTGTCTACCTGTTCCACTCTAGTCAGATCAATATGTGCATCTGTACTCATATTCAGTAACTTTAAAAACCATTTTATTATGCAAATTTTTGAATGCACATAAAAGTAAAGAGAACAGTAATTAGTTACGATCTATCCATCACATACATTCAACAACCATCATTACTTTGGAATCTTGAGCCTTCTATCACCCAACTACTCTTTTTAATTTTATTTGAGAGAGGTTCATAAAAGATTACAGCATTATGTTATTTAATCAGAAAATACTTAATTATACATCTCTAACTGATATAATACTTTAAATAGATTTTACATATCACCATGTCGTTATCATACTTAATAACATTAACTCATTATCCTAAGAAAATTAAATTCTTTAACACCATCTAATGTCATCTATACTCAAATATCTCTCAGATCATGCAATTGATTGAGAGAGAAACCAGACCATTTGTCCTATAGACCATCCCAGATCCTGAATTTCACAGATTGTTTCCTCATGACCTCATTTAATGTATTCCTCTTTTTCTGGTATTTCCCATAAAATTGTGTGTAGCTCTAGGGCCTTAATTGTATTTTGGTCCAATTTTAGGCAAGAATATTTAGTGAGTGGTGGTGTGTACTTTCCATTACATTACATTGGAGACACACAATGTCTGATTGTCCTACTTCCAGTAATGCAAACTGTCATTGTGGGTTCAGATGATGCCAACCTGACCCTTCCGTCATCAAATTTCTCACCAACACTTCAACTAATGTTTTTGGAATTAATTGATTATTGTTGTCAAGGTACATTATGCCTTTAGGGGCCCCAAAATGGGGATTTTCTCATTTTATCATTCCTTTTGAATCTATCAGTTCAATAAAGAATAACTTTCCGTCCTTAATTATTAGCTTATCTTAAAATACACTTCATCTAGAAAGGGAAAATGAATGCTTAAGTTTTCCACGTCTTCATCAGTTTTCAGAGAAATGGGCTGATGCCTTAGCAGCTTCCAATGGTATCTAATAAGTTTTTATCATTCTGAATTTATTTATTTTTATACATGTGATGTGTTTTTGACCAGTGAAGTTATTATTGCTCAAATTATGCCATGTTCTGACCAGTGGGAGTTCACTAAGTTAACATCTCCATTAATATTTTACTTAACTTGAAATTGAGATCTCTCTTTGAATTATACTCACTCCCGACATCTATCCCTTTTAAAATACTATATGTTGCTACAAGACTTTGACGAAATATCACATGAACACCCTTGAATTCTCTAATCACTAGCCATATATTGGATAGTGTTCAATATTCATTCTAACTTTTCAAGATACCATCAATTGACTCTGATTCAAATCTACGTCAGACATGCCACTTAACTGAAATTTGATGTCCTATAGCTCTTCATACCTACAAATTCTGTCTGTACTCATTGTTATGGAATTTGGAGTTCTCCATGATTTATCCCTAAACTTATTTCTATTACTACTTCACCCTACCTCATTGCTGCCCTATTTGTCTTTTTCAGCTTCTGAAAGGCTGATCCATATTGAATACTTCCTGCAAGTCTAGGTTTGTGGAAGTTTCTGAGCTAATTTGGGAAAGGCTAAAGAGAGTTGAAATCAAAACAGTAAGAGATGTATTCACATTTTTTTGTTAATTCATCTAACTCCCTTTGTTATGGCTTTAGGCTCACCAAAAGAGTACTGTCGGTTATGGGCCTTTCTAGGTAGATCTTACTTTCAAAAAGAGACTGGTCTCACCAAAGTAATTTATGGCCTATTTCTCTTTCAGCTATATGTTTTTTTCATTATAATTAAGTTCCTGGCATTTTCACTATAGGGAGCTTTCCATGCTATATCTTTTACACAGGGAAAGTCTGTAGAGAAAAAGATGCCTCATCTACAGTGCCTAGTTATTATCATAGTCCTGTTTTTCACTGCAATTAATTATTCGTATTTCTGATCAGTCTTGTGAGCCAGCACAATGTGAATCTACCCACTCTCTGAGTGCTGACAACTTAGATCACTGAGTCAAAAAGGCTGCAGAGTAGGTCTCAGGCCTTGGCATCATGATAATGAATGTATCTGTGTGAGACAGCCAACAGCCTTTCCCCTGGTGGCATAAGTCTTTGTGTTAGCCTGATCCTCATTTGTCTTATTTGAACTTCTACAGGCACAACTTGCAAGGCATCACAGATTAGATTATGCTTTGATCCAATTATTTTATTTTATAGATGAGAAAACTGAAGCCATAAGAGGAAAGGACTTGTCTGAGATTACAAAGTCATGAAAAAGTCACAATTTATTCCAAGTCTCCTGATACTCAATTGAGCATTCTTTGCCTTGTTTGATGGCTCTAGATGGATTAAAAAAGCATGTTCCTATATCATTTGGACTTCATAAATATTCATGGATTATAAAACTCTAGTGATGCCTGAGACCTTAGAGACCATTTAGTCTATTGTATCTCAACAGGGATCTATGGACTAGATATATTAGAATGATCCCTGGAAATTTTCATTCTATGGTACTGGGATGAGGATAAAAAGCTGTATTTTTTATAAAAATAAAAACTTCCCAGGTGATTCTGCACAGTAAGACTTGGAAACCCCTCCCATTTGATAATTTCTTACTTTTGCGGATGAATTAACAGGCCTAGGAAGGAGAATAAATCTTTTCTTTATACAGAATTTCTTGCTTGGACTCTCGATCACAGCACAGTTGACTTTTGAGCAGTTATTTACAACTCCAGCACTATGTACTAAAAGAGATTGAAGCTGTTCAGTTTGGAAGATCTATGTTAGGGAAACAGCACCTAGGGTAAATCCTGGAGCAGATTGTGAAGTCAGTCCCAAATGTCGTTTGGGCAAAAGTGTTTTTTGCTTCTATTGCTGCAATATGCATAACTTATGCTGTGGGACATATTCAAACAGGCAGAAAGTTACAATTAGAAGGAGGCAATAACATACATTGCTATCACTGAATTTAGAGAAATAATAATTGAAGTCATCATTAAAGTCAAAGCTGGATGCATTTTGGAAGCGTAATCAGGTTCTGAAGGGCCCCAGTGCAAATTATTCACGGCTTTGGAGGTTGTTCTCAGCTACATACTACAATTAGGAATGTAGGGTGTACTTTAATACTCATGGGTAGTTCTGGTTCTGTGACACTAACCTATTTTGGAGGCTCATACGCCTATATCAATTGTCTATGCCAGTACCTCCTCAGATGTGTATCTGTACATTATTTTTCTTAATGATACTGAACACTTTTATATGTGAGGCACAACCACAAAGCATTTTACAGTCAGATAAGGGAGTAAGACAACTTGCATAGGATTGAAATAAAACATTAGTTTACTTAGTAGTATTTGCTCAGAGGCAAGAATTATCACATTCAGTTTGCGGAAGATAATGAGAAACATTGATGGCATATGAGGTGGGCCTTGGAGAATGGGGTGAGTGGAGACAGACGAGAGAGAGAGAGAGGAATGCAAGAAAGGAGATAGAAAGAATGAATGAAAGCATTCATTCCAGGCTTCCAGGCACAGGGAACTGCATGAATAACGCTACAGATGAATGAGAGTACAAAATAGATCAGGATAACCCAGAGACTTAAACTTTGCAGACATTATTTGAAAGGACATTCCACCCTCTTAGTTTCCTTAAGAAGCTTTCAACTGAAAGCTCCTGTCTTCTGCACATTAATAAAGAGTAATGGTTTTCATAGATTGGTGGTAAACAGAGAGCTGTAGTTGGACATCACCTGTAGACCAAATAGGGTACTAACAGAAACGTAGAACTCTGACAATTATGCTATAATTATGTGGAAGGTGGGACAGTAGTGTGAAGGAAAAGGGAGTAAAGGATTTAGAAACAAAAGGGTAAATTTTCAGCCTCTTCCTTGTTACTAATTAACCATATGACCTTGGGTTTTTACTCAATGTCTTTTGCACCTCGCTTTCTTTCTTTATAAAAATAGTATGAAAATGCCTCTTCTTTCTAGGTCTATGGATTGCTGTGAGGGTCAAATAAGATAAATGCAAAATTTGGTGTTATTATTAGAAGTAATAATGGTAAAATAGAATATTTCATATCATTTAAAGATTTTTTATATATACTGAGGAAGGAATTTTTTTCATACTGTTTCAAAACATCAATTCTGTAGTGTTATAACTAATTTTATTAAATGAATCACTGGTACAAAGATCACATTCTGATTCATAAGTCCTTTCAGGATGACTTAGAAATATTTAACTATTAATATGAGTGTGAAAATCCAGCAGACTGAATCATTAAGGAGGAAAAAGAATCAGTTTTGATGCATCAGTCAGGGTTCAGTAGCTGATCTTGTCTATCTACAGGAGCTGGACACAATGATTCTTGCATCTTTTGGATTCAAATGCATTCTTATTATCATTTAACCCCTGAAGCTAGGTTTGGAAAGACAATATTTGTTGCTTAAGACAACTTCAAAAAACCCCATTTCTAAGTTATCACGTTGGAAGGGTTGTCATGAGACCATCACGTTATTTTATTTGCCAAATATGTTATGAATATGTTTCCTTAGTAATGTGCTTTTAAATTTATGTTGTTGTTATTGTTTTTAGAGAAAGAAGATACTGTTCTCAATAAAATAAAGAACATGCTCAGATAACCAACTAATAAAGAGATGAAAATAGTCAATTAACATTGAGAAGCATGTTCACTCTCACTAGTAATCAAACAAATAAAACGTAAATCACTGAGCTATTGTTTCAAACTATTGAATTTGCAGACATTTAAAAGAAAAATAGCTGGGCAAATTCATAACCTCCTTTAAAAAGGGAATAGTTAAAAGAAGTATAGTAGAGTGATTAAAGTACTTTCTAAAGAATAGATGGCAGTGAGGAAATAATCACTATAAATACATGAAAAATATCAGATATATAATTGGTGATCTGCAAGGAAACGAGGTGAAAAGTTAGTAGCATTTACTTCTGAATGGTTGTGCAACTTTTAGATTTTTAAAATCTCAGTTTCTGAATTTTCTGCAGTGATATTTACTGTTATTATCAGTAAAAATGAGAAAACAGGCCAGGCACGGTGGCTCACGCCTATAATCCCAGCACTTTGGGAGGCCGAGGCAGGCGGATCACGAGGTCAGGAGATCGAGACCATCCTTGCTAACACAGTGAAACCCCGTCTCTACTAAAAATACAAAAAAAATTAGCCAGGCGTGGTGGCGTGCACCTGTAGTCTCAGCTATTTGGGAGGCTGAGGCAGGAGAATGGCGTGAACCCCGGAGGCGGAGCTTGCAGTGAGCCGAGATCGCGCCACTGCACTCCAGCCTGGGTGACAGAGCAAGACTCTGTCTCAAAAAAAAAAAAAATGAGAAAAGAAAAATATGTGTGTGTGTGTGCACTCATGCATGAATGCACGCCTATAATCATCTTCTAGAGTTGCTTGTTCTTAGTTACAGCAAAAGTATAATCTACCACAAAAATGACAGCAGCATGCTTTATTGAGCTGCAGCTGTGCATGTGGCCTGTTTTTTCATTTTTTTTTTTTTTGCAAACCTATACTTCTTGTTTGGTTTTCTGTATTATTGATATTTGATATTATAAATATAAATATTATAGATATTTGCAGATCACATGTTTCCAGTTGCCCAGCCACAAATATCAGTGGTGGTATATGCACTATCTACTACACTCATTTACGACATACATTTACATAACAGAAAGGCTACTGTTTTTGTAATTTAAATACACAGGGCTATTTTATTCTATGGGAGCAAGCAGAATTTAATTTAAACTGGCGTTTTCTCTGTAGACCTTGGAGTAGAATTTTACCCAGGAATGCACTATTTTATTATTTTGTAGTGAATAATATCTGTGACAAGCATGCATTATATTACTACTTGCTGAGCCATGAATACTACCAAGTAAATATCTCAAATTTATAAATTTTAATGCAATTTTTATTTTTGAATTGATCTTGTGTCTTTGATGGAATCTACCTAACAGGCTTAAAGTGCACGTAACTGAGCAGTTTTCTTTCCTGTAATGATGCAAAGTATATGAATAGTCAGTAACCTGACTCAGCAGAGAGACAAGAGTTCATAGCCAAGAGATTTGTGCTTTGAGCTTTGGAAATAGCTCTTATTATGTATTTTTGATCTTGGGTGGGATATTAACTATGAGTCTCGGTGTCCTCATCCATAAAATGGTATTAATAGCAACTGCCTTTTTTGCTTTTCAGGTTTAGAGACTTGAAAAGTAAACAATAATACATGGAAGTTCTCTAACACCTTCTGTGCCCAGCTTGACCACATACTCAGCTTTTTGGTAATGAGCAGAATTAAAGTGAACCAAGGGGGAACAAATCGCCGATTTAATTTGGGGTTAAAGTAATTGTCTTCACACTGTGTCACGGCCTAATTTAGTCCAAGCATTCTGTAAGTATGTGTGTCTATTTAAGAGATTAGCTGAGGGTGGCTGATATTCAATGTCAGTTTATCTCAGCTGTGGGAAAACACTCCCTGTGTGTACCCTATCTGTGCTTGTGAGTCAACAGTGAGATTTTGTATAAAGAATAGCATGTTTATGTTTACACGACTGAAAATGTGTGAAGTTCATAAACATCTGAAATAATTCTTTCTTCCTGAAAGCTTTTCTGCTCTTCTGTCATTCTACTTTGTAATATTCAGTTTCACATCTACTTTCCTTGTTACGTTGCAAACTCCATGGGGTCAAAGTGTATGTTAGTTTTGCATACTACTGAGTCTGTTGTGTCCATTATAGTGCTTGACACATAGCAGATGCTCAACAATTATAGTAGTAATTATACACACACACACACACACACACACACACATATATATATATATATACATAATATATAAAAACAATTGACAGACTCATTAAGTCCCACCACCCACCTCCTAGTTCCTAACATAGTGTCAGGTACTTATTATGTGAACAATAAATAGTGACTGTATCTTCTTCGTATTATTTAGGATGGGCCTCTAGGAGTTCAGTAACTTATTGCTTTTCAGTAAATCAAAATATTAATCCTTATATGACACTCAAATGCATGCATACAGTATTGTGCTTAAGTAGGATACTGTCCTCAGTAATTTATATATACATGCGCCTACATTTTTTTTCCATGCATTGAAAATGACTAGTCCAGAGATGAATATGAAGGCAGTGGTAAAAGTTTCGGAGCAATACAATCTAACTTAGGTCTTGAGGCTCATTTGAATTCCCTAATTATCCTGATGTAGATCCTTAGGCTTGTACCTCTCCCTGAGGGTCTTGGTTATTTTTCCTAATAGACTCCCCAGTCTTTTTAATCAAACAAGTCTTCAACATTAAATATAAATCTCATCATAAAATCGAAGTTGCATTTATTCTAGTAAAAGTCTAAAGCTACTTCTACTAATTACTAACTTCAGGGAATAATTTGCCTAGACATTAGCAATGTGCTGAGCCTACATCTGAGCTACAATGTATTTACTTAACATAATTAGTGATTTTAAAAAAGAGAATTTTCCCACTTGGAGTAAAAGGACATCAAAAATAAGTGCTATAATTCAGTGAAGTTTGTATAAAAAGAATGTATGTATGGTATTCATGACACCTTCTAAATTAGTGCAGCGACACATTATATTTTCTCTCTAACTCTTTTTATAAAATAGCAAGATTATAAAAATTTCCAGTTCACCTACATTAAAAACAGCATTAAAATCTGTAGTAGCTAAAGGACATATTATCAATAAATTCCACAATATGTGCTTACAATTTTTTTCCAAGTGTTAGATGATTGATACTTCATTTTCTAATCTCTTTCAGACCTGTCAATTTGGATGGTAAACTGTAATTAAATATCTCCAAACTTATGTTTGGTTTTATTTGCCTCAAATTATCATCTTGTGTATGTGTGTGTGTGAATGTGTGTGGATATGTGTGTGTAGCAGAGAGAGAGAGAGAGAGAGATAAAAATAAAATATAAATAAATGAAACAAACCTTGTGAAATAATAATTATGCTTTGGAAGATAGGGCTTGTTTCCCTCTTGGTATAGTCTCTTCATAATCTTATTTTTATTTTTAAATTTTTTTGTGGGGACATAGAAGGTGTATATATTTATGGGGTACATGAGATGTTTTGATACAGGCATGCCATGTGGAATAAGCCAGTCATGAAGAATGGGCTATCCATCTCCTCCACATTTATCATTTGAGTTACAAAAAATACAATTATACTCTTTGATTACTTTAAAATGTACAATTAAGTTATTATTGACTGTAGTCATCTTGGTGTGCTATCAAATTGTAGGTCACAATCATTCTTTCTATGTATTTTTTTTAAACCATTAACTATCCCCACCTCCCTACCAGGCCCTCACTACCCTTTCCAGCCTGTGGTAACCATCCTTCTTCTATGTCCATGAGTTCAATTGTTTTTATTTCTAGATCCCACAAATAAGTGAGAACATGGGATGTTTGTCTTTCTGTGCCTGGCTTATTTCACTAAACATAATGATCTCTAATTCCATCATGCTGTTGGAAATCACTAGATCTCATTCTTTTTGTATGGCTGGATAATACTCCATTGTGTATACGTACCACATTTTCTTTCTCCATTTATCTGCTGATGGACACTTAGGTTGCTTCCAAATCTTTTATTTTTCCAAAAAACTGAAAATTGAGCTACCATATGATCCAGCAATCTCACTGCTGGGAATATACACAAAAGAAAGGTGTTCAGTATATTGAAGAGATATCTGCACTCCCATGTTTTTTGCAGCACTGTTTACAATAGCTAAGATTTGGAAGCAACCTAAGTGTCCATCAACAGATGAATGGATACAGAAAATGTGATACATAGACACGGTGGAATACTATTCAGCCATAAAAAAGAATGAGATCCAGTCATTTGCAACAACGTGGATGGAACCATAGATCATTGAATTAAGTAAAATAAGCTAGGCAACAAACATAGGAGTGCAGATATATTTTTAATATACTGATTGCATTTATTTTGTGTATATACCCAGCAGTGTGATTGCTGGATCACATGGTAGCTCAATTTTCAGTATTTTGAGGAACCTACAAACTGTTCTTCATAGTGGTTATACTAATTTACATTAGCACCAATATTGTATAAGGGTTTCATTTTCTCCACATCCTCACCAGCATTTTTTATTGCCTGTCTTTTGGATATAAGCTCTTTTAATTGGGGTCAGGTGATATTTCACTGTAGTTTTGATTTGCCTTTCTCTGATGATCAGTGATGTTTATGCTATTTTCATTTGCCCATTTGCCATGTGTATGTCTTCTTTTGAGAAATGTCTCTTCAAATCTTTGGTCCATTATTTGATAGGATTATTAGATTTTTTTCCTATAGAGTTGTTTAAGCTTCTTACTTATTCTGGTTATTAATCCCTTGTCAGATGAGTAGTTTGAGAATATTTTACATTTCCATTTTTTGGTGTTCTCTTCAATTTCTTTCATCAGTGTTTTATAGTTTTCACTATAGAGATTTTTCACTTTGTTGGTTAAGTTAATTCTTAGATATTTAATTTTATTTGTGGCTATTGTAAATGGGATTACTTTTTAAATTTCTTTTTCAGATTGCTTACTCTTGGCATATAGAAATGCTACTGATTTTTGTGTATTGATTTTGTATCCTGCAACTTTATTGGATTTTTATTAGTGCTAATTGTTTTCTTGTAGTCTTTAGATTTTCCAAATAAAAGATCATATCATTTATACACAAGGATAATTTGACTTCTTCCTTTCCAACTTGGATACCCTTTATATCTTTCTGTTGCCTGATTGCTTTAGCTAGGACGTCCAGTACTACATTAAATAAAAGTGGTGACAGTGGGCATCCTTGTTGTGTTCCAGGTCTTAGAGGAAAGACTTTCAGTTTTGTTCCTATTCAGTTGATATTAGCTGTGGGTCTGTCATATATGGCTTTTATTATGTTGAGGTATGTTCCTCCTATTTCCGCTTTTTCAAAGGTTTTTATCATAATGGGATGTTGAATTTTATCAAATGCTTTTTCAGCATCAATTGAAATGATCATATGGATTTTATCCTTTATTCTGTTGATATGATGGATCACATTGATCAATTTGCATATGTTGAACCATCCTTGCATCTCAGGGATAAATCCCACCTTGTCATGGGGACTAATCTTTCTAATATATTGTTGAATTTGGTATGCCAGTATTTTGTTGAGGATTTTTGCATCAATATTCTTCAGAGATACTGGCCTGTAGTTTTCTGTTATTGATACCTTTGTCCAGTTTTGGTATTAGGGTAATATTGGCCCTATAGAATGAGTTGGGAAGCATTCCCTTCTCCTCTGTTTTCTGTAATAGTTGGAGTAGGATTGGTATTATTTCTTCTTTAAGTGATTGGTAGAATTCAGTAGTGAAGTCATCAGGTCATGTGCTATTTTTTACTGGAATAATTTTTATTATGACTTCTATCTTGTTACTTGGTCTGTTTTGGTTTTGAATTTCTTCCTGGTCCAATCTTGGTAGGTTTCATGTATGTAGAAATTTGTCCATTTGTTCTTGATTTTCCAATTTAGTGGCATATAGTTGCTCGCAGTAGTCACTAATGATCCTTTGAATTTCTGCTGTATCAATTTTGATGTCTCCTTTTCACTTCTGATTTTATTAACTTCATCACCCTGCATTTTAACTTTTTGTTGTTTCTATTTATATACTTTTGTACTATGTGTTAAAAAGTTGTTGTAATTATTATTCTGATTGGTTCATCATTTAATCTTTCTACTTAGAATAAGAGTAGTTATACATCACAATTACATTGTTACAATATTCTGGGTTATTCTGTGTGCTTACTATTACCAGTGAGTTTTGTACCTTCAAGTTATTATTTATTGGTGATTAGTATCCTTTTCTTTCTGATTCAAGTACTTCCTCTAGTATTTCTTGTAGGACAGGTCTGGTATTGATTAGATATCTCAGCTTTTGTATGCCTGAGAAAGTGCTTATTTCTCCTTCATGTTTGAAGGATATTTTTGTCCTTTGGCACTTTAAATATGTTTTACCCCTCTCTCCTAGCCTGTCAGATTTCAACTGAAAAGTCTGCTCCTACACCTATTGGAGCTCTATTGTATGTTATTTGTTTCTTTTTTCTTGCTGCTTTTAGGATCCTTTCTTTATCTTTGACCTTTGGGAGTTTGATTATTAAATGACTTGAGGTAGTCTTCTCTGGGTTAAGTCTGCTTGGTGATCTATAATCATTTTTTGAACTTGGATATTGATACCTATCTTTAGGTTTGGGAAGTTCTCTGTTATTATTACTTTAAATAAAGTTTCTACCCATATGTCTTTCCCTACCTCCTCTTTTAGGCCAATAACTCTTAGATTTGCCTTTTTGAGGCTATTTTCTAGATGCTATATGCATGCTTCATTGTTTTTTATTCTTTTGTTCTTTTGTTTCCTCTGACTGTGTATTTTCAAATAGCCTGTCTTCAAGCTCGCTCATTCGTTCTTCTGCTTGATAGATTCTGCTAGTTAAAGAATCTTATGCATCTTTCAGTATGTCAGTTGCATTTTTTCAACTCCAAAATTTATGCTTGATTCAGTATACTTATTTCAGTCTCTTTGTTAAATTCTTCCGATAGAATTCTAAAATTCTGTGTGTTATCTTGAATTTCTTTGAGTTTCCTCAACATAGCTATTTAAAATTTTCTGTCTGACAGGTCACATATATCTCTTCCTCCAGGATTGTTCCCTGGTGCCTTATTTAGTTCATTTGGTGAGGGCATGTTTTTCTGGATGGTGTTGATGCTAGTGGATGTTCTTCAGTGTCTTGGCAATGAAGAATTAGGTATGTATCATAGTCTTCACTGGCTCAGCTTATTTGTAGCGTCCTTCTTGGGAAGGCTTTCCTGATATTTGAAAGGACTTAGTTGTGATCTCAGATGTATATGCTTTAGGGGACATATCATGCTCATTAATGCTGTGACTTTTGCAGACTTCTAGAGATACTGCCTTAATGTCTTGGACAAGATCCAGGAGAATTCTCTGGATTATAAGGCAGAGACTCTCGTTCTCCTCACTTATTTTCTCCGAAGCATATACAGTCTCTCTCTCTGTTCTGCACCTGCTAAAGCTTGGGGTGGAGTGACATAAGCACCCCTGTTGCCACCACCACTATGACTGCATTGACTCAGACCTGATGCCAGCACAGCACTGGGTCTCACTCGAGGCCTGCTGGAACCACTCCCTGGCTTCTGCCTGTGTTTCCTCAAGGCCCTGGGGCTCTACAATTAGCAGGTTGAAAAGCCAGTTGGGCTTATGTCCTTCTTTTCAGGGTAGCAAGGGCACCCAGGCCCTGGGTGGGTCCAGAAGTGCTGTCTGGGAGTCAGGTACTAGATTAAAAACCTTGGAAGTCTACCTGACGTTCTGCTGCATTGCGGTTAAGCTGGCACTTAAAGAGTGGGAAGATGCCATCCTCCCACTCTTTTTTCCCCTTTCCAAAGGCTGAGGAGCCTCACACCATAGCCACCGCCACCCGAGTCCAGAAGGAGTACTGCCAGACTACAGCAGATGTCACTTAAGGCCCATGGTTTTTTAAGTCAGCTTGTGGTGAATACTGCCTGGCCTGTTACTCATCCTTCAGGGCAGTGGGCTCCCCTCTGGGCCAGGGCAGGTCCACAAATGCCATCCGAGGGTCAAGAGCCCACTTGGTGCTTTAACTCCCTCTGGCTGTGCTGGTATCTACGGTGCAAGAAAAAGTTGCCTTAACTATTCCCTGCTTTTCTCAAACAGAAGGAGTTTTGCTGCTAATATGCTGAGTCTTTCCTGAAGCCAGCAATTTTGAGAGGCTCACAAAGGCCCTTGATGTAGTACCTGGGTATCACTATTCCTTATTTGGGGCCCAAAGGCTCTTCAGTTAGCAGATGATAAATGGTGCCAGGACTGGGTCGTTTTCTTGGAGGCATCGAGTTCTCTTCTGGCCCAGGGTGTGTCTAGAAATGTCGCTTGGGAGCTAGGGCCTGGAACAGGCATTTCATGACTGAACAGTGCTGTACCCTGCTGTGGCTGAGCACGTATCCTAGATGCATCTTTGTAATATTTTTTATCTATTATTTGGCAAAGACAACTAAACATACCCACTAGTGATCATTTCTGGTGAGACTAAAGTAATATATATTATATATAAATATATATGCTTATTATATATAAACTTTTATATATAATATATAATATAATATATTATATTATCTATAAATATATATAATATGTTCTATATAATAATATAATATATATAAAACTATATATAATATATAAATATATATAGATAAAAGTTTACATATAAAACTTTAAACTATATATATGATCTGTATATATCTATATATAAATATAATCTATATACCTATATATAGCTATAATCTATAAATAATATATGTAAAAAACTTTAATTTCACCAGAAATGGTACAGTAGTGGGTATGTTTAGTTGTCTTTGCCAAATAATAGGTATGTATATATGATCTATATCTATAAAATATATATCTATGTATAATAATAGATATATATAAATGTATGTATATATAAATATATGAATTCACATGTATAACATGTACATATATTATATAATATAATATAAAAATACATAACATAATATATATAATATATAATGTATAAATATATTATTTATATATATTATATATATTATATCTTATATGTGTATATATTTTCTATAAATATATTATATATAAATACTATGTACATAATATATACATGTTTTATAAAATATATGATATATTTATATAATATATACATATAAAATATATATATCTTATATATAATATATAAATAATATATGATATATGAATAATGTATTATAAATAATATATGATATATAAATAATATATTATAAATAATAGATGATATATAAATAATATATATAATATATGATATATAAATAATATATTATATATAATTGATGATATATAAATAATATATATAATAGATGATATATCAATACTATATTATATATAATATATGATATAAATAATATATATAATATATAATATATAACTAATATATAATATATAATATATAAATAATATATAATATATAAATAATATATAATACATAATATATTATATATTATATAAACAATATATTATATGTAATATATAATATATGAATAATATATTATATATCATATAATAAATAATATATTACATATAATATATTATATAAATAAATTATATCTAATATAATAAATAATATATTACATATAATATATATAATATAATAAATAATATATTACATATAATATATAAATAAAATATATATAATATAATAAATAATATATTACATATATTATATAAACAATATATTATAATATATTATAAATAACATATTATATATTATATATTATATAAATAACATATAATATATAATATAAAATATATAAATAATATATAAATAAGATATAATATGTAAATAATATATTATATATAATATGTCAATAATATATATAATATGTACATAATATATAATAAATAATATATAACATACATTATGTAGAATACGTAAATAATATATAACATACATTATGTAGAATACGTAAATAATATATAACATACATTATGTAGAATACGTAAATAATATATAACATACATCATGTAGAACACGTAAATAATATATAACATACATCATGTAGAACACGTAAATAATATATAACATACATTATGTAGAATACGTAAATAATATATAAATTATATATAACACGAAATATATATAATATATAAATTATATATAACACGAAATATATATAATATATAAATTATATATAACACCTAATATATATAATATATAAATTATATATATTACATATTAATTATGTATAATAGATAAAGTATATATATTGCATATTAATTATGTGTAATAAAGTATATATGTTGCATATTAATTATGTGTAATAGATAAACAATATATGTTGCATATAAATTATGTGTAATAGATAAACAATATATGTTGCATATAAATTATGTGTAATAGATAAACAATATATGTTGCATATAAATTATGTGTAATAGATAAACAATATATGTTGCATATAAATTATGTGTAATAGATAAACAATATATGTTGCATATAAATTATGTGTAATAGATAAACAATATATGTTGCATATAAATTTTGTGTAATAGATAACAATATATATTGCATATAAATTTTGTGTAATAGATAAACAATATATATTGCATATAAATTTTGTGTAATAGATAAACAATATATATTGCAATAAATTTTGTGTAATAGATAAACTATATATTGCATATAAATTATGTGTAATAGATAAAGAATATATATTGCATATAAATTACAATATATAAATAATATGTATTGCATATAAATTACAATATATAAATAATATGTATTGCATATAAATTACAATATAGAAAATATGTATTACATATAAATTACAATATGGAAGTAATATTACATATAAATTACAATATGGAAGTAATATATATATTACATGTAAATTACATGTAATATATAAATAATACATATTACATGTAAATTACATGTAATATATAAATAATACATATTACATGTAAATTACATGTAATATATAAATAATATATATTACATGTAAATTACATGTAATATAAATAATATATTTTACATGAAATTACATGTAATATATAAATAATATGTATTTATATGTAATATATAAATAATATATATAATATATAAATTATATAATTATATATTATATATACATATATTATATACATATACATATATACATATATCCATATATAAAGGCACTGGGCCTAGTGCCTTTGTTCATCTCAGTTATTGCTGGGTTAGTGAAAGTGATGCTAACATTCTCGACCCTTCCCACAGGAATGGCTGCAGAGTTCAGTGTTTAATTGCTTTGAAAATCATTGAAAATGGCTTTTCATTTTGAATATTATGGCTTAAGTAGTAGATATATTTTTATATAAATGTTTATATGTATAAAGTTTTGTATATACAAATTTATGTATATAAAAGGCTTTATATATATAAAACACTTGATTGCTTCGTTCTTTAACAACCATAAAAGTACCCCAGGACATCAAAATAGTTTTTTCCACAGTTTTGGGGAAAATGGGTAGTATACTTAAAGGGCTTTGGCAGCATCATGCTGCTAAATGTTTACCTGCATGGCAGTTAAATGGTCTCAGGTGAATTTGCTTTTACCCCCTCCAGAAGCAGGACAATTGTAGGAATTTTCACTGCAAGCTTCACAATATGCAGCACAGTATCTGAGCGCAGCAGAACTGTCACTCTGGAGTGGATCTGAAGAGCAGTCAAAGGAAAGCTAATTGCTTTACCTTAGGCTTGTTCAGTTAACTTTGGAGAATATTTCCATATTTGTGTTTGAAATCACAACTTGTCCTCTGGATTGAATCCTGAGGAGAAAGTCATTCCCCAGTCTGTTTTTGCTGACAATATGCTGACTCATGACAGCTTCATATCTGGACAGTATTTTCATCCCATGTGGCTGAATGGGAAAATATGAAGTTCAATATGGTAACTTTTAAACAAAGAAAAATTCTGGAAAGCATTTTGCTTCTGACACTTGGATTCACTTAATCCATCATCCATTCACTCATTCATTTCCTTCAAAACACATTTGTTAAGTACCAATTACGGTTCAGATTTTACACAAGATGTTGCTGATATGACAAAGAATACAAAAAATCCTGCCTTAGTGAGCTCAGAATCTAGTGAAGAAAATGAAATATAGAGAATATTAATACAAAGTTATAACTACAGCAGCAATTTTTAAAAACACAACTTAAAAAAACAAACAGTTATCCGAAGCTGGATCTTCAAGGTTCTTCACAGAAAAGCAGAGTAAGGCCCACAGAGGTTTAAATTGCTTCCTTCCTGGAAGTGAAATCTCAGGGTTAAGAACATTTAAAGGAGGGATAGATTAGTCTACCTTGGGTGTTCAGGAGATGGACCGTCTATGAGGAGAAGGAATTACACAAATGAAAAAATGACGTCTCAGTGAAGAGTAACAAAGGCTTAAAGGTGGGAAGATGATTTTATATATATATATACATATATATATGTAGAGAGAGAGAGAGAGATAATCTATCTAGAGATATAAAGATGTATAATTGTATATATATATATATATATATATATATATATATAGAGAGAGAGAGAGAGAGAGAGAGAGAGAGAGAGAGAGAGAGAGAGAGAGAGAGAGAGATCAAGGCCATGCTGTAAAACATGCTATGAATCTTCTTCCCTTAGTGAGTATGAGCAGTAAAGCATTACCATGGTGTTTTTTATAGATAAATGGGATACTTTTCAGAATGATTGTCATTTGCATATTCCAAGTCACTATTACCAACAAAATGTGTAGAGCTGTTGAGGCCAAGATCCCAGGTTAAGACAAATAGCTCCATTTTGTCCTGCAGTCATACGTAGTGCCACTAACACTGCTCAGGAGCCTCAGCGGTCACTGGTCACAGAAAATCCCATGAAGAGATGGAGCCAACATCCTCCCTGTTAAATAAAATTAACCCCCTTAATCATGTGGATGGGATGAGTGGAGGGCAGTACCATACTCACATAAGGATATCACATTTAATCCTAGGCTGTGATACCTGCCAGTGGTGACACTCTATGGGTCAATTTACTTATCTTTAGCCTTCTGCAGTGACAGAAAGATTATAGCCGTTTATTTAATTCAGCAGGAGATTGTTGAGTAAATGCATTGTCTATTGTCATTATATATATTATATGTAATATATTATTTATTATATTAGATATAATTTATTTATATAATATATTATATGTAATATATTATTTATTATATTATATATAATTTATTTATATAATATATTATATGTAATATATTATTTATTATATGATATATAATATATTATTCATATATTATATATTACATATAATATATGTACCTTGAATTTTTTTGCCTAAAATTAATATCACCACACTTGCTTTATTTGTGCTATAAAAATAATAGCTTAATTTTAATTTCTGAATCCAATGTGTCTATATTTTAATAACAATTTAGTATTAAATTATTCTGATACTAGTAGACTGAGACATAGTCTTTTCAACTTTTCTGTGTTTTCTTATGTTGATTTCAATTTACTTCATATTCCCCTTTCAAAGTATTTACTTAGTTTCATGTTTTCCATGAAATTTTTCATTTACCTTGAGGCTTGGATATTATATTTACATTTATATTATTCAAGTGTTGTCCTTAAACTTTAATACATACATTTAAATATCTTTTTCTAAGATAGATATTTAATCTGTATCTATTTCCTCTCTCTTACAATACTAATTTCCTCACATTTGGTGATACTTTATGGTGTGCTTTAACTTTGTGTTGAGAATCTCTAATAGCTTGTCTTTACATTCTTTCCCTTTTAACTACTACTGACCTCAAGTGATTATTGTGGAAGGGCATGCTGTATTAGAGAGCTAATTTCTAGACTCCACCCTGTCCTTCTGGTTATTGCTAGTCTTCCTACTTTTTAACTTATTTACTGTTCCATTCTCAGGCTATACATCTTTGTTCCTTACTCCATGACCAAAAGGGAGAGAAGTAGGAAAGTAGAGAAAGAGCCACCTGTCTTGCTGCTTCCACTATGGTACCCTAAAAATTCACACTGTTAGTTCATTAGGAACCCCCTCCTCCACTTCACAATCTAGGACACCCCTGTGGTCTTTCCTACTCCTTTTCTATCTTTGTAACAGATTATTCTCATTTTGAGCTGTGGTTTCCTTTTCAATTGAATCGTATCTGCCTTTAGTCCATCTGGTATTCTTCACTCCACAAAAGATGAAACTGAGACACAGAGAATTATGTATCTTATTCATTGTCACACAGATAGTGAGTGAGTGGCAGAACTGGGTTTTGAATCTAGGCAATCTGGCTCCAGAATCCATGCTTTCAACAATTGAACCATAGAGCCTTCCCTTTCTGCCTATAGCCCCTTTCCATTAAATCTCTCATTTTTAAAATGTGCTATTCCCTTAAAAAGCAGCATTAATTTTCATTAAAATAAAGATAAAATCATAGTAATACAGCTAGAGATGAATACCTAATTCTTATCTCTCCAGGGTGTTACTGTCTATTCATAGAAATATTTTTTGACTCATTGCTATTACTGTATATTTTTACCTTAGCTTTTTTTCCTTCTTATAAGCCATAATAAAGAAGAAAAGCCTCATTTTAATTAGTTGTGTGTACAACAAGAGCAGCATACTTGGTCTTTTAGTGGTTTTAGAAATGAAAATAAAGTTATTCCAATGAATATCTAATCTATTAACTAGGAACAAAACTAAAGCCAAATGCATCCAAAGAAAGGAAAGGGGTTGGTTTCTAAATGAAATATTTGTGGATAGTAAAGCATATATGTTCAAAAAGTGTTAGATATTAAAAATATTTAGTTTGATTCTCATGATCAATTTTTCTCCCACTGAATCTTCCTTTCACAGATATGTCAGAAGTGTTCATGACTAAAGAGAGATGTCAGAAAGCAAATGAATCCTCATAGGTGTCTCACTTCAAAACTTTTAAAAATACCTGCAAAATCACCAAGAAGTTAGTTTACTTTGGGCCTTTATTTCTGTGTGCTTCCCATACAACTCAGGATACATCACCAGCTTCTCTTCTAAAACAGTAAGACATTGAAGGCTCATATTTTTCTTCTGTGCTTTATGATCCAAGTGTGTTCATAAAATAAGATATAGTAAGGCCATTCTATAAAATATTACGGTAAAATAAAAATGCCAACGTTGAACCTGATTTTCCCTATACATCTCTGACCCCATTAGCTATATCCTTTCAACTCTTGAGCAGGGATTGCATTTTTGCTCAATGCTGTCACTATGGGAGATGCTCAAAAAATATTCTCCAATTATTGACATTTTATTGAGGGTTCTTCCTTGAGTATGACAGCCAATCCACACCTTCTAATATGAAGTGATTGGGAAGCCCAGAGATACTGACTAATTCATATGATAAGGACACAGTTTTGCAGCTATCATATTCTAGTCCTTTTCTTGACAGTCTTGATGGAGGCAAGAGGGGTGATATTGGCCTGTAACTTATTGCCTTAACACTACCAGCCTTTTTTGTTGTGAGTTTGACTACCTTCACTTAAGTCATGTAACCACTTATTCTTCAGGTTTTCTTTGTTCTCAAGTGGAACTATTATTTCAGGAGCTTAAAGGGCTTTTGGAGAGCTAGAAATTCAGAAGTCGAGCAGAATCCAATTGTCTTTAGGACTATTTCCTTAGCACTGTGAATTTTGTATCTTCATTTTTAACAATACAAGAAAATTAAATTGATGGATAAGTTACAAATAATAGGAAACAGACTAAAATAAACATATAGAAGGACAAATCAACTATAGTCAAAATTTGGTTAAGCTGACCAAGGCTTTCTTTTATGCAAAATATTAGGAAAATTATCCTGTGAGATAGGATTAAAAGGTGAGCTCTTTGGTCAGTGGAGTTTAATTGTCAAGGTTAGGGTGAGTGTCTTTCTATTCAAATTTCAAGCCAGAGCAGAAAGTGCTATATTATGTAGGGTAAAAGCAGCAAGCGATTGGGCAAAGACTGTTATCCAGCTGATGATGATGCTCCTCAAACCTTGTGTTTTTAATGTGAACCTATCTTCCTATTTCAGATTAAATACCACTGTCTCCAGACTCCCGTTTCATCAACTTTGTCTCATTTGTTTCCTCAAGGATAGCATTAGGAGAAATATCTAATGTAAATGATGAGTTGACGGGTGCAGCAAACCAACATGGCACATGTATACCTATGTATCAAACCTGCACGTTGTGCACATGTACCCTAGAACTTAAAGTATAACAAAAAAAATCCACTCCTAGGGGTAGATCTAGTTGTTTTGGACCATTGTCCGTATACCCTAACCATGCCTCTTCTGACGTCTTCTGCTCAAGCTACCTCTTTTTTCTGGCTCTCCAAGTATTCTTCAGGTCTTACTCACATTCTTCATTTTAGCCTAATATCTGTAGCTCTGACTTATGCATTGTTTTTTAATTCAGAGTAATTTGTCTCCACAAATTGAATTTTGACTTTTGATCTCAAATCCTGCACACTGCTCAATCCATGTTACTTACCAATCTATCCTTACCCAATTGTTAGTCCTAGACATAAGTATGCATTACCCAAGTTCTCCCTCTGCCACCCTTTTGCTTGCCGTATCTCATGTCTGTTTATAAACCTGCACTGACTTCGGGTGATTTTTTTGTTGTTATTCCTAATCCTTTTCACTTATGACAAATAATGTTATTTCATAATAAATGAAAATAGCCCTTAAAATACTTACCTGCCTGAACGGTAATTAATTGATAATATACACTTTAAAGTATTTTAAAACATAAGAAGATGAGAATACGTAGGATGTTAAGATAATGACAAATCAAAAATATTTTGATGTTTAAGTCATTTACATGGCTTTTCCGTTTTTATAGACATTATGGAACATATACTTGAAATATTTTTCTCTTATATATGATAATCAAAATGTTTTAAATCTAGACGCATAATTTGCAGACACTTTAAGACCACTTATTCACTTAAGATTTCTTGGATAGTGCTTATTGTCATCTTCATTCTTTCTCTCTATGTAATGTTTAAATGTGCTTTATAATATTAAACAAGTCAAGGATTGTGTGCTTATTTTGCAATTTGTGAAATAGCTTTGTATAATTTTTCGGTGTCACTAGTGCGGGGCTGTAATAAGTAGATTTGAACTTTGCTTTTGTGTGGTATAATAACCTATAGCTTGAACCAGATATCTAACAATTTTTCCAGTTTGTACAATAGAACAAATATTTTATAAATTCCGTTTAATAATTTCAAACTTGGAACAGATAAATCTGGGTTAAATAAACTAGTATATAAACCCTGTCTTCTCCATTATAGAACTAAAATAACCTGAAACCCAAACTAAAATTTTACATACATTTTCACTTTAACCTTACAATTCCATCAAATAGACAAGACAGACATTCACATGAGTCTCAAATTAAGTGAATTATCCAAAGTCTCATTCTTTCTACATAATAATCTCAGTGACTTAAACCCAGGGTTTTATTTTAAACCTCCAGATCCATTGTTTATTATCATCATTTTGTTTATTGTGTTTTTTGTTTGCCTACAACCCTCATTATTATTATTTTAAGGTCTCTTGTAATAAAAGTTGAAAAATACTGTCTGCCCATCATCAAGAGTAATACTTTAATACCAGTGTTCACAGAAATAATTAAGCACATGTTCACAAAATAAAACTTGAGTAAAGACCATTTCTTTCTTCTGTTTAGGGCGTAATTAGAACAATATGGTTATGCTAAATTATAGCATCACAATTTTAATGTTTTATTAGCAAACAAGGAAGCATATTAATGTAAGTATTAGGGATTTTAAAAAATTGTACTGAATTTAGCTGATGACGTATAAGCTATGTCCACATCTAAAATCTATAGAATATAGTCCCATTTATCTGGTTATGAATTTTCATGTCTGGTTGGTCAAACTGCAGGAGTTAATCTTTATTAGTCTCAAGTCACTTCTTTGATATGGCCCTTTGGACACTGCTTATAAGGCAAGTGAGGTTTAGTGGGTGGATGTTACATATTATATCATATAAGCAGTCTTATAAATGAGATATGTTATTTAAATCAACGATTCATTATTATTTTTTGTTTTTTGAGATGGAGTTTGGCTCTTGTTGCCCAGGCTGGAGTGCAATGGCGCGATCTCGGCTCATCGCAACCTCCACCTCCTAGGTTCAAGCGATTCTCCTGCCTCCGCCTCCCAAGTAGCTGGGATTACAGGCATGTGCTACCACACCTGGCTCATTTTGTATTTTTAGTAGAGACAGGGTTTCTCCATGTTGGTCAGGCTGGTCTCGAACTCCTGACCTCAGGTGATCTGCCCACCTCAGCCTCCCAAAGTGCTGGGAACACAGGCATGAGCCACCGCGCCCAGCCAATTACTCATTATTGAATCATAAGTGAATGGTGAGTAGAAACTCTCTAAGAAACAACAGAATGCTCCCTAAGAGGGACACGTTGTCACTCATTTTCTAATCATGTATATGTAGAGATTTGGTTCACTTCTCTATAGAATTTTTCTGACTTAGTTTTTCCTCAGGAAAAGGCAGATGATTTTATGAGAAATAACTGAAGACCATTTAGATCATAATTATGAATCCAAATGACACCATAAATATGCAGAATAGAAAATGGTACATTGCTTTGGAGGAAACAAATTTACAAGTACCTGTAATTCCTGCTTTTATGTAATTGTTCATTTTATGATACTACCCTGTACTTATTAAGTCGTATCATATTTTTGTAAGTCTGACAAGCTGAAGAATGGTCTTATATAATTTAGCTGTTTTTGTGTTTTACAGTACTTGATTCTCAAGCCAATAAATGTCTAGTTAAATTGCATATTAAGCATATCATATTTTCCATTTTTCTTTTTTTATTAGTAAAATTTATTTCTTTTTCTATATAAAGAATACATCTTTTTCTGTATACAAATGTATTTTCCTACACACTTCCTAACTTTGTAGGCCACTGGTCTATGGGATAGACCATCCTCTTTTTTTTTTTATTATACTTTTAAGTTTTAGTGTACATGTGCGCAAGGTGCAGGTTTGTTACATATGTATGCATGTGCCATGTTGGTGTGCTGCACCCAGTAACTCGTCATTTAACATTAGCTGTATCTCCTAATGCTATCCCTCCTCCCGCCCCCCACCCCACAACAGGCCCCGGTGTCTGATGTTCCCCTTCCTGTGTCCATGTGTTCTCATTGTTCAATTCCCACCTATGAGTGAGAATATGCGGTGTTTGGTTTTTTGTCCTTGTGATAGTTTGCTGAGAATAATGGTTACCAGCTTCATCCATGTCCCTACAAAGGACATGAACTCATCATTTTTTATGGCTCCATAGTATTCCATGGTGTATATGTGCCACATTTCTTGATCCAGTCTATCATTGTTGGACATTTGGGTTGGTACCAAGCCTTTGCTATTGTGAATAGTGCCGCAATAAACATACGTGTGCATGTGTCTTTATAGCAGCATGATTTATAGTCCTTTGGGTATATACCCAGTAATGGGATGGCTGGGTCAAATGGTATTTCTAGTTCTACATCCCTGAGGAATCGCCACACTGACTTCCACAATGGTTGAACTAGTTTACAGTCCCACCAACAGTGTAAAAGCGTTCTTATTTCTCCACATCCTCTCCAGCACCTGTTGTTTCCTGACTTTTGAGTGATCGCCATTCTAACTGGTGTGAGATGGCATCACATTGTGGTTTTGATTTGCAATTCTCTGATGGCCAGTGATGATGAGCATTTTTTCATGTGTCTTTTGGCTGCATAAATGTCTTCTTTTGAGAAGTGTCTGTTCATATCCTTTGCCCACTTTTTGATGGGGTTGTTTGTTTTTTTCTTGTAAATTTGTTTGAGTTCATTGTAGATTCCAGATATTAGCCCTTTGTCAGATGAGCAGATTGCAAAAATTTTCTCCCATTCTGTAGGTTGCCTGTTCACTCTGATGGTAGTTTCTTTTGCTGTGCAGAAGCTCTTTAGTTTAATTAGATCCCATTTGTCAAGTTTGGCTTTTGTTGCCATTGCTTTTGGTGTTTTAGACATGAAGTCCTTTCCCATGCCTATGTCCTGAATGGTATTGCCTAGGTTTTCTTCTAGGGTTTTTATGGTTTTAGGTGTAACATTTAAGACTTTAATCCATCTTGAATTAATTTTTGTATAAGGTGTAAGGAAGGGATCCAGTTTCAGCTTTCTACATATGGCTAGCCATTTTTCCCAGCACCATTTATTAAATAGGGAATCCTTTCCCCATTTCTTGTTTTTGTCAGGTTTGTCAAAGATCAGATGGTTGTAGATATGTGGCATTATTTCTGAGGGCTCTGTTCTGTTCCATTGGTCTGTATCTCTGTTTTGGTACCAGTACCATGCTGTTTTGGTTACTGTAATCTTGTAGTATAGTTTGAAGTCAGGTAGCATGATGCCTCCAGCTTTGCTCTTTTGGCTTAGGACTGACTTGGTGATGTGGGCTCTTTTTTGGTTCTATATGAACTTTAAAGTATTTTTTTCCAATTCTGTGAAGAAAGTCATTGGTAGCTTGATGGGGATGGCATTGAATGTATAAATTACCTTGGGCAGTATGGCCATTTTCACGATATTGATTCTTCCTACCCATGAGCATGGAATGTTCTTCCATTTGTTTGTATCCTCTTTTATTTCATTGAGCATTGGTTTGTAGTTCTCCTTGAAGAAGTCCTTCACGTCCATTGTAAGTTGGATTCCTAGATATTTTATTCTCTTTGAAGCAATTGTGAATGGGAGTTCACTCATGATTTGGCTCTCTGTTTGTCTGTTATTGGTGTATAAGAATGCTTGTGATTTTTGCGCATTGATTTTGTATCCTGAGACTTTGCTGAAGTTGCCTATCAGCTTAAGGAGATTTTGGGCTGAGACGATGGGGTTTTCTAGATATACAATCATGTCATCTGCAAACAGGGAGAATTTGACTTCCTCTTTTCCTAATTGAATATCCTTTATTTCCTTCTCCTGCCTGATTGCCCTGGACAGAACTTCCAACGCTATGTTGAATAGGAGTGGTGAGAGAGGGCATCCCTGTCTTGTGCCAGTTTTCAAAGGGAATGCTTCCAGTTTTTGCCCATTCAGTATGATATTGGCTGTGGGTTTGTCATAGATAGCTCTTATTATTTTGAGATATGTCCCATCAATACCTAATTTATTGAGAGTTTTTAGCATGAAGCGCTGTTGAATTTTGTCAAAGGCCTTTACTGCATCTATTGAGATAATCATGTGGTTTTTGTCTTTGGTTCTGTTTATATGCTGGGTTACCTTTATTGATTTGCGTATGTTGAACCAGCCTTGCATCCCAGGGATGAAGCCCACTTGATCATGGTGGATAAGCTTTTTGATGTACTGCTGGATTTGGTTTGCCAGTATTTTATTGAGGATTTTTGCATCGATGTTCATCAGGGATATTGGTCTAAAATTCTCTTTTTTTGTTATGTCTCTGCCGGGCTTTGGTATCAGGATGATGCTCCTCATAAAATGAGTTAGGGAGGATTCCCTCTTTTTCTGTTGATTGGAATAGTTTCAGAAGGAATGGTACCAGCTCCTCCTCGTACCTCTGGTAGAATTCGGCTGTGAATCCATCTGGTCCTGGACTTTTTTTGGTTGTTACACTATTAATTATTGCCTCAATTTCAGAGCCTGTTATTGGTCTATTCAGAGATTCAACTTCTTCCTGGTTTAGTCTTGGGAGGGTGTATGTGTCGAAGAATTTATCCATTTCTTCTAGATTTTCTAGTTTATTTGCGTAGAGGTGTTTATAGTATTCTCTGATGGTAGTTTGTATTTCTGTGGGATCGGTGGTGATATCCCCTTTATCATTTTTTATTGCGTCTATTTGATTCTTCTCTCTCTTCTTCTTTGTTAGTCTTGCTAGTGTTCTATCAATTTTGTTGATCTTTTCAAAAAATCAGCTCCTGGATTCATTGATTTTTTTTGAAGGGTTTTTTTGTGTCTCTATCTCCTTCAGTTCTGCTCTGATCTTAGTTATTTCTTGCCTTCTGCTAGCTTTTGAATGTGATTGCTCTTGCTTCTCTAGTCCTTTTAATTGTGATGTTAGGGTGTCAATTTTAGATCTTTCCTGCTTTCTCTTGTGGGCATTTAGTGCTGTAAATTTCCCTCTACACACTGCTTTAAATGTGTCTCAGAGATTCTGGTATGTTGTGTCTTTGTTCTCGTTGGTTTCAAAGAACATCTTTATTTCTGCCTTCATTTCGTTATGTACCCAGTATTCATTCAGGAGCAGGCTGTTCAGTTTCCATGCAGCTGAGCGGTTTTGAGTGAGTTTCTTAATCCTGAGTTCTTGTTTGATTGCACTGTGGTCTGAGAGACAGTTTGTTATAGTTTCTGTTCTTTTACATTTGCTGAGGAATGCTTTACTTCCAAATATGTGGTCAATTTTGGAATAGGTGCGGTGTGGTGCTGAGAAGAATGTATATTCTGTTGATTTGGGGTGGAGAGTTCTGTAGATGTCTATTAGGTCCGGTTGGTGCAGAGCTGAATTCAATTCCTGGGTATCCTTGTTAACTTTCTGTCTCATTGATCTGTCTAATGTTGACAGTGGGTTGTTAAAGTCTCCCATTATTATTGTGTGGGAGTCTAAGTCTCTTTGTAGGTCTCTAAGGACTTGCTCTATGAATCTGGGTGCTCCTGTATTGGGTGCATATATATTTAGGATAGTTAGCTCTTCTTGTTGAATTGATCCCTTTACCATTATGTAATGGCCTTCTTTGTCTCTTTTGATCTTTGTTGGTTTAAAGTCTGTTTTATCAGAGACTAGGATTGCAACCCCTGACTTTTTTTGTTTTCCATTTGCTTGGTAGATCTTCCTCCATCCCTTTATTTTGAGGCTATGTGTGTCTCTGCACATGAGATGGGTTTCCTGAATATAGCACACTGATGGGTCTTGACTCCTTATCCAATTTGCCAGTCTGGGTCTTTTAATTGGGGCATTTAGCCCATTTACATTTAAGGTTAATATTGTTATGTGTGTGTGAATTTGATCCTGTCATTATGATGTTAGCTGGTTATTTTGCTCATTAGTTGATGCAGTTTCTTCCTAGCTTCGATGGTCTTTACAATTTGGCATGTTTTTGCAGTGGCTGGTACTGGTTGTTCCTTTCCATGTTTCGTGCTTCCTTCCGGAGATCTTTTAGGGCAGGCCTGGTGGTGACAAAATCTCTCAGCATTTGCTTGTCTGTAAAGTATTTTATTTCTCCTTTGCTTATGAAGTTTAGTTTGGCTGGATATGAAATTGTCGGTTGAAAATTCTTTCCTTTAAGAATGTTGAGTATTGGCCCCTGCTCTGTTCTGGCTTGTAGAGTTTCTGCTGAGAGATCAGCTGTTAGTCTGATGGGCTTCCCTTTGTGGGTAACCTGACCTTTCTCTCTGGCTGCCATTAACATTTTTTCATTCATTTCAACTTTGGTGAATCTGACAATTATGTGTCTTGGAGTTTCTCTTCTCGAGGAGTATCTTTGTGGCGTTCTCTTTATTTCCTGAATTTGAATGTTGGCCTGCCTTGCTAGATTGGGGAAGTTCTCCTGGATATTATCCTGCAGAGTTTTTTCCAACTTGGTTCCATTCTCCCCGTCACTTTCAGGTACACCAATCAGATGTAGATTTGGTCTTTACACATAGTCCCATATTTCTTGGAGGCTTTGTTCATTTCTTTTTATTCTTTTTTCTCTAAACTTCTCTGCACAAGACACTTTGAGAATTTGAAATAGGCTAGCAGTTGTGAATAATGTCATTCTAAATGTTCAGTATAGTTTGTACCTAATTTAAACCTGTTAGAAACTATAAGTGGAATAATGTCATCAATTTTCTATTATTGTTATTCTTATATATAAGAATATAAAAATTAATATAAAAATTTATTGCAATATAGTGAATAATTTTAAGGTGCGTAAGTATATATGTTTGTGTGTGCATGTGTGTATGTGTGTATGGATATATAAAAACTGGCAAGATATATTGAACAAGGTAAAAACAAGTGAAAGTAAATGGTTTCTCTGGGTATTACAGTAGGCAGGATTCTAAGACGGCCCCTAAGATTTCTGGCACCTGGTATATATGCGCCTTCTCCCAGTTATTCAGTTAAACACTAACTTGGGTGTTGTTATAAAGAGATTTTGCAGATGTAATTAAGGTCCCTAATCAGTTGACCTTAAGATAGAAAGAAAATATGTGTGGGCCTTGCTTAATCAGATGAGACTTTAAATCTGGATCTAGAAGTCAGAGATAGAAGTCAGAGACTCCGTAGATGGATTCCACATAAAAGACATCTATATTTCAAGCTTGGAGATGGAGGTAAATATATAGGTGGCTTCTAGGAGCTGATAGTGGTCCCTAGTCACCAGCCAGCAAGAACACAGGGACTTCAGTCCTGCCAGCACGGAATCCTGACAAAACCTGAGTGAATTTCAAAGAGAATCCAAAGCCACAAATAGGATTACAGCCCCAGAGCACACCTTGATTCTAGCCTTAGTGAGACCCTGAGCATAATACCCAACTAAGCCATCTTTGGACTCCTGACCCAGAGGAACCGTGAGATAATAAATTTGTGTTCTTTTAAGCTAATAAGTTTGTGTTAATTTGCTACATAGAAATTGAAACAGAAAGTTAGTTTGTTGTGAAGTTACATTTTTGAGATGGGGTACCACTATATAGCCCATACTGGCCTCAAACTCCTGGGCTCAAGTGATCCTCCAGCCTCATACAGCTTATATTTTATCTGCATATATTAAGCCAAGTCCTCTCAAAAGAGCAGTGGCCATAATTGGTCTGGACTCTTGAGTAAAGATCAAAGTCTTTAATGTTTGAGAACTCCTATATTTCCCTCCAATTCACTTTTTCAGTCTTACCTTCAGCTATAAGCTTTTATTCATCCTCTTCTCTGAGCATGCTCTTCTCTGCATATATTTTCCTATCAATGGTTTCACTGTATTCTCTACCTAGAAGTCCTTCCAACATTCCTTAAGTATCTACTAGTACAAATATTAAACATCATTCAAGATTTAATTCAAATGCCACATCTTTCATAAAACTGTCTTTAATCTATTGCATCTATTATAAACTGTCCCTCTTTTGTACATGCAGAGATGTAGCCTAATTTTTTCATGAGCTTTTCATGTTTTTTGTTGTATTCTATTTATGTAGACGTTTGCTCTTCTTTACAAGGATGAAGAGTCACTGTAGCACTTATACTGCCTTGTATATAGAAGGTGATTTAGTATTGGATGGATAGGTGGATTGATGGATGGACAGATTAATGAGATAGTGAAATCTAAGAGTTGGCCTTTATCATTCTAATAATCCAGCTAGTCCACCTTCCCTCTGATTCTTTTCCTTTTTAGGTTACTTAGTATGTCAGTAAGTAAACATTCTGACTCTTCTCTCACTAGCCCTGACTATCCCACTGCTTTTCTCTATTTTTCAGAAACCTATGAGCAGTAAACTTGAAAACACATTGCATGAGAAATTATGGTAATCTCGTATTAACTGCTCTAATTTGGCCTGAGGAAATTACTTGATGTGTGGGGGATAACTGTATGCTTATTCAATCGGTCTCACTTAATTCTGAAAGAACTTTCAAAAATAAATATTTACCCCTTACTGATAGCTAGCTAGCTGGCTAGCTAGATAGGTATACATATATGTACTCTACACATTTTAAAATCCTTTTAATTCTTTTGTTTCTTGAATGTCTACATTATACAAAGTAAAAGTCAAAATCCTTGGTGACTAAGCAAACAAGAGAATAAAGTTATCACTCAGTGTACAGAAAAATATGTGTCATCTGGGCTTGAAGAAGCAATTAGAATAATTTGCTTCTAGTGTCGTAATTTGCTTCTAGTGTCATAATTTTGCTAGATAGAAGGAAACAGATGAAAGTGCGTGAACTTGAATGATGCTGTAAGTAATTTGTCAAGACAGTTATAATTATTACAAAGCCAGCAAGAGTAAGGGGAAATTTTATACTGACCAGAGTTATAATGGATAGTTTGTGAGGAAGTCAGATGATAGCACTTGATACTGTTCACAATGGTGTAGTCATCACATATAACTGTTTATAGATCACCAATCGCTTCTAATAACTAAATTATGTATATCAATACATTGATGATGTTTCAGTTAAGTGTGCCAGAATCCTTTGTGTGTGTGTTTTTAAAATTGTGCCTATTGAATGTTGCTTATGGTGATAACTGTATGTAAGGAAATTCTTCCTCTAAAAAAAAAAAAGTAATTTATTACATGCCTTTTCGTGTCTTTCTAGTTCTCCCTTGGTAGGTGCTCTGCCTTTCCTATGCTTACTTTCATCCAAACTGCCCATTGTTCGCCTTTCTTCTATTTGATTCCTGGATATCTTTGTAAGGATGATAATAATGATTGTGAAAGCTACCAATTATTCAACAGTTACTATGTGTGATGTAAATGATATGCATATAAGTGTGCATATGAGTGTGTGTGTGTGTGTGTGCATACACATATACTTATTTAATCTCCCAAATAATGCTAAACAACAGGGTAGATAATAAATATTTTAAAATTAATGAATAATATAGCTGATAAAATCATAGGAAACACAAATTCTAGAAAAAATGGGAAAGAACAAAAAGTGGCAGAGAACTATTAAGAAAAGCTTAAAGAATCTGAACCTTTGAAACTTTGAAAGATTTAATCATTTAAGCTGTGAAACAGAGCTTCAAGTCAAACCCAAATCTGACTAGTCCCCAGAGTGTATATATTCACTCGGGGTACTAGAGTAATTGCCTCATCCACAGAAAAGTCAATGGCAACTCTTCACTCTCATGTCTTCAAACTTCATGTTGGTTCTCTACCTATTTTCCTTATTTTCATTTCTCCTCCAATTGATTCTTTATGATGTAATCAGCTGTATTATTCACCAATTCTAAAATATTTATTGAGTGTCCACTTTGTGCCATGCAAAGAAATAAGTGGAAAATAAAAACAGACACAGCCGGTCACCATCATGGATCTTATATTCTAGTAGGAGGAGACAGACAACAAATAAGTAAAACACATGATATATCAGGTAATGATAAGGGCTATGGATACAAAACAGGGGAAGGAGGGAGACAATGCACTGGAGCCAAGGCCTTGGCCAAAGAAGGCCTCAGTGATAACCTGAGACTATTCAGCAGATACCTGAAGGAAAAGTTAGGTGACATAAGCCCCATACAAGTGGATAGGAAATTTGTGCAGAACACTCACAGGTGAAGGTCCTGAAGCACATGCTCAATGGTCAGACTAGTAAACATATGCATGTACACACTTCGCTTCCGGATTCACGAGTGCCTAATATAATAGTAATTCTCACTGTTTTTGACTGAGTGACAAGGGGCTCAACATGTTAAAGTTCGTTCTAGAGCTCATCCTCAGGTGCTGATGGGGCACCTGAATTCTGCTAGACTATGTTGTTTTTGATTCATGAACTGAAGCACAAGCATCAGTCCATAACTAAGTGGACTCGGGGAATAGTACCAGGCAGAGGTAGGAATTCCATGGGCTCCATTTGTCATGTTGTTCTGGTCTTTTTTTGGTGTAGGTAGTAGAGAAGCCACCTTTCTATTAATCGCAATTATTCTTTAACCAGACAAGATTATCCTGTGCAACTTTTAAAAAAGTATAATTTTTGTGGGCACGTAGTAAGTATATATATTTATGGAGTACATGAGATGTGTTGATACAGGCATGCAACGTGAAATAAGCACATCAAGGAGAATGGGGTGTCCATCCCCTCAAGCATTTGTCCTTTGAGTTACAAACAATCCAATTACATTATTTAAGTTATTTTAAAATATACAATTAAATTATTATCGACTATAGTCACCCTATTTTGTAGTCAGTAGAAGGTCTTATTCATTATTCCTATTTTTTTGGTAAGCATTAACCATCCCTACACTCCCCTGAATTCCCCACTACTTTTCCCTGCCTAGGGTAACCATTTCCACTGTTACCTTGTTACCTAGGGTAACTAGGTAACAACTGAGTTCAGTTGTTTTGATTTTTAGATTACTACAAATAAGTGAGAACATGCGATATTTGTCTTTCTGTGCCTGGCTTATTTCAATTAACGTAATAATCTCCAGTTCCATCTATGTCTTTGCAAATGACTGGATCTCATTATTTGTTATGGCTGAGTAGCACGCCATTGTGTACATGTACTACATTTTCTTTATCCATTCATCTGTTGGTGGATATTTAGGTTGCTTCCAAATCTTAGCTATTGTGAACAGTGCTTCAACAAACATGGGAGTGCAGATATCTCTTCAATATACTGATTTCTTTTTCGGAGGTATATACCCAGAAGTGGGATTGCTGGATCACACAGTAGTACAATTTGTAATTTTTAGAGAAACTTCCAAATGGTTCTCCATAGTAGTTGTACTAATTTACATTCCTGCCAAAAGTGTGCAAGGATTCCCTTTTCTCCACATCCTCGCCAGCATGTTATTGCCTGTCTTTTGGATATAAGTCATTTTAACTGGGGTAAGATAATGTTTAATTGTAGTTTTGATTTCCATTTCTCTGATGATCAGTGATTTTGAGCACTTTTTCATATGCCTATTTTTCATGTGTATGTCTTATTTTGAGAAATGTCTATTCAAATATTTGGTAGGATTTGAATAGGATTATTAGATTTGACAGGATTATTAGATTTTTTCCTATAAAATTGTTTAACCTCCTTATATATTCTGATTATTAAACCCTTGTCAGATGGGTAGTTTGCAAATATTTTCTCCCATTCTGCTGTCTCTTCACTCTGTTGATTGTTCCTTTGCTGTGCAGAAACTTTTTAACTTGATGTGATCCCATATGTCCATTTTTGCTTTGGTTGCCTGTGCCTGTGTTGCATTACTCAAGAAATATTTGCCCAGACCATTGTCCTGGAGATTTTCCCCAAAGTTGTCTTGTTGTAGTTTCATAGCTTGAGGTCTTATATTAAAGCCCTTAATCCATTTTAATTTGATTTTTGAATATGGTGAGAATAGGGCTCCAGTTTCATTCTTCAGCATAAGCATGTCCAGTTTTCCCAGCACTATTTATTGACGAGTCTGTCTTTTTTTCCAGTGTATGTTCTTGCCATCTTTGTCAAAAATGAGTTTATTATATGTGTGTGGATTTGTTTCTGTGTTCTTTATTCTGTTTCATTAATCTATGTGTCTGTTTTTATGTTAGTATCAGGCTGTTGTGGTTACTATAGCTCTGTAGCATAATTTAAAGTCAGGTAATATGATTCATCCAGTCATGTTCTTTTTGCTTTGGATAGCTTTGGCTATTCTGGGTCTTTTGTTGTTCCATGCAAATTTTAGGATTATTTTTCTATTTCTGTGAAGAATATCATTGATATTTTGATAGGCATTGCATCGAATCTGTAGATTGCTTTGGGTGTAGACATTTTAACAATATTGATTCTTCCAATCCATAAACATGGAATACTTTTACATTTTTTGGTGTCTTCTGCAATTTTTCATCAGTGTTTTATAGTTTTTATTATTGAGATTTTTTACTTTGTTGGTTAAGTTAATTCTTAGGTATTTAATTTTATTTGTGGCACTGTAAATTGAATTACTTTTAAATTTCATTTTCAGATACTTGCTCTTGGCATATAGAAATGCTACTGATTTTTATATATTGAGCTTGTGTTCTGCAACTTCATTGAATTTGTTTATCTGTTCTGATAGGTTTCCTCGGTGGTGTCTTTGGATTTTCCAAATATAAGAGTATGTCATCTACACACAAGAATTACTTGACTTTATCCGTTCTAATTTGAATGTCCTTCATATATTTCTCTTGTCTGATTGCTCTAACTAGGACTTCTAGTGCTATGTTGATTAACAGTGGTGAAAGTGGGCATCCTTGTTTTCCAGGTGTTAGAGGAAAGGCTTTCTGTTTTTCCCTGTTTGATATGATACTAGCTGTGGGTTTGCCATACATGGTTTTTATTATGTTGAAGTATGTTCCTTCTTTCCTCAGGTTTTGAGGGTTTTTTTTTATCATGAAGATGTGTTGAATTTTATCAAATGCTTTTTCAGCATCATTTGAGATTATTATATAGTTTCTATCTTTCATTCTGTTGGTATGATGCATCGCATTGCTTAATTTGCATATGGTTACGCATCCTTGCTTCCCAGGGATAAACCCCAGTGGGTCATGATAAATGATACTTTAAATATATTGTTGAATTTGGTATGTGAGTATTGTTTTTTGAGGATTTTTGCATCAATATGGATCAGAGACATTGGACTATAGTTTTCTTTGATTGATGTATCTTTGTCTGTGGCTTTGTACAATGAGTTTGCAAACAATCTATACTCTATTTTTTGGAACTGAGTAAGATTTTGATTACTTCTTCTTTATGCGTTTGGTAGAATTAAGCAGTCAAGCCATCAGGTCCTGGGCTTTTCATTGTTGGGAGATGTTTTATTACAGCTTCTATCTCTTGAATTTTACTGATTATTTCAGGTTTTTTATTTCTTCCTGGTTCAACCATGATATATTGTAGGTGTCTAGAAATTTGTCCATTTATTCTAGATTTTCCAGTTTATTTGCCTATAGTTGCTCATAGTAGCAACAAATTATCTTTTGAGTTTGTGCAGTATCAGCTGTTGCAACGTCTTCTTTTTCATTTCTGATTTTATTTATATCTTCTCTCTTTTTCTTAGTGTGACTAAAGATTTGTCAGGTTTGTGTACCTTCTCAAAAAAACAACTTTTGTGTTTCATTTATCCTATTATTTTTTTAAATTTTGTTTTTTTTAATTTCTGCTCTGATCTTTATTATTTTCTTCTACTAATTTTGGGTTTGTTTTGCTCTTGTTTTGCTAGTTCTTTATAATTCATCATTAGATTGTTTATCTGAGGATTTTCCTCTCATTTGATGTAGGAACTTATAGCTATAAACTTTCCTCTTATTACTGCTTTTGCTGTATCTCATAGGTTTTGGTATGTTATGCTTCCATTATCATTTTTTTTCTAAAAATTTGTCAATTTCCTTCTTTATTTTTTCATCCACTCAGTGGTCATTCAGGAGCATATTGTTTAATTTCCATGTGTCTGCATAGTTTCCAAAAATTCTCTTGTTATTAATTTCTAGTTTTATTCCATGTGGTCAGAGAAGGTGCTTGATATTATTTTAATTTTGTTATATGTCTTAGGATTTACTCTGTGACTTAACATATAGTATATCCTTGAGGATAATCCATGCACTGAGGAAGAAAATGTGTATTCTGCAGCCATTGAATGAAATGTTCTGCAAATAGCTATTAGATTCATTTGTCTATAGTATAGCTTAAACCTGATGTTTCTTGATTTTCTGTCTAGAAGACCTGTCCAGTGCTGAAAGTGAGGTATTGAAATCTCCAGCTATTATTGTACTGGGGCCTATCTCTATCCTTAGCTCTAATAATATTTGCTTTATAAATAATATTTGCTTTATATATCTGTGGGCTCCAAAGTTGGATGCATATATATTTAAAATTGTTATATCCTCTTGCTAAAATTGACCAGTTTGTCATTATATAATGACGTTTTTGTCTCTTCTTATAGTTTTTGTCTTGAAATTTAATTTGTCTAATATAAGTGTAACTACTTTTGTTCTTTTTTGTTTTCCAGTGGCATGAAATATCTTTTTTGAATCTTTATTTTCAGACTATGTGTGTCTTTATAGGTGAAGCATGTTTCTTGTAGGCAACAAACAGATCATTGGGCTTTTTTTTTTTTTTTTTTTTTGACGGAGTCTTCCTCTGTCACCAGGCTGGAGTGCAGTGGCACAATCTCAGCTCACTGCAACCTCTGCCTCCTGCATTCAAGCAATTCCCCTGCCTCAGCCTCCCTAGTAGCTGGGACTACAGGTGTGCACCACCACACCCAGCTAATTTTTGTATTTTTAGTAGAGACGGGGTTTCACTATGTTGGCCAGGATGGTCTTGATCTGTTGACTTCGTGATCTGCCTGCCTCGGCCTCCCAAAGTGCTGGGATTACAGGCATGAGCCACTGCACCTGGTGGGCCTTGTTTTTAATCCACTCAGCCACTCTATATCTTTTGATTTTAGAGTTTAGTCCATTTACATTTAATTTCTGTTATTCTTTACTTATGTTTTCAATATTTAATTTTTGTGGGCACAGAGTGGATGTGCGTATTTGTGAGGTATGTGAGATGTTTTGATACAGGCATGCAATATGAAATAAGTAAGGACATATTTCTGGCATTTTGTTATTTGTTTTCTGGTTGTTTTGTGGTCTTCTCATCCTTCTTTCTTCCCTTCCTGTCTTCTTTTAGTGAAGGTGGTTTTCTCTGATGGTATTTTTTTTTATTTGAGGTTACCATTAAGCTTGCAAATACTATCTTATAATGCACTATTTTACCTTGATAGCAACCTAACACTGTATAAATAAACTAGCAAAGAGAAAACTAATAAAAACTCTATGCATGTATACATATGTAACTAACCTGCACATGTTATCCTAAAACTTTCCCCCGCTTTGTGACTTCTTATTTCTTCTTATATCTTATTGTACAATGTTTGAAAAGTTGTTACAGTTATTATTTTTTATTAGGTCTTCATTTAGTCTTTCTACTTACGATAGTAGTTTACACATCAGAATTACAGTGTTTTAATATGTGTTTTTGTACTTACTATTACCAGTGAGTTTTGTAACTTCACATGATACTTACTGCTCGTTAATGTCCTTCTTTTTCTGATTGATGTACTCCCTTTAGTATTTCTTGTACGACAGGTCTGGTGTTGATTTAATCTCTGTTTTTCTTTATTTGGAAAGTGTTTAATCCTCCCTCGTGTTTGAAGGGTATTTCCAATGGATATCCTATTCTAGCATAAAAGTTTTTTTCTTTCCTCAGTCATGCCATTTTCTCCTGGCCTGTAAGGTTTCACTGAAAAATCTGCTGCCAGACATATTGGAGCTTCATTGTGTCATTTGTTTCTTTTCTCTTGCTGCTTTTAGGATCCTTTATTTATCATTGATCTTTGGGAGTTTGATCATTAAATGCCTTCAGGTAGGCTTCTTTGGTTTAAATATGCCTGGGGTTCTATAACCTTCTTGTCCTTAGATATTGATATCTTTCTCTAGCTTTCAGAAATTCTCCGTTATTATCCCTTTGAATAAACTTTCTACCCCATTTCTTTCTCTACCTCCTCTTGAGGCCAGTTATGCTTAGGTTTGCCCTTTTGAGGCTATTTTCTAGATCCTGTAGGCATGCTTCATTGTTTTTTATTCTTTTTTCTTTCGTCTCCTCTGACTGTGTGTTTTCAAACAGCCTGTCTTCAAGCTCACTAATTCATTCTTCTGCTGGATAAATTCTGCTAGTAAGAGACCCTTACATATCCTTCAGTATGCCAGTTGCATTTTTTTCAGCTCCGTAATTTCTGTTTGATTCTTTATAATTATTTCAATCTCTTTGCTAAATTTATCTGATATAATTCTAAATTCCTTCTGTGCATTATCACAAATTTATTTGAATTTCTTCAACATAGCTATTTTGAATTTTCTGTCTCAAAGTTCGCATGTGTCTGTTTCTCCAGGATTGTTCCCTGATGCCTTATTTAGTTCATTTTTTTGAGGTCATGTTTTTCTGGATGATGTTGATGCTAGTAGATGTTCTTCAGTGTCTTGGCATTGAAGAGTTAGGTATTTATTAAAGTCTTCACTGGCTGGGCTTATTTGTAGCTGTCCCTTTTTGAGAAGGCCTTCCAGATATTTAAAAGGACTTGGGTTTCGTGATCTAAGCTGTATCTGCTTTAGAGGACACACATGCCCATTAATGCTATGATTTTTGCAGACTTCTGGAGGTGCCACTGTAATGTCTTGGACAACATCCAGTAGAATTCTCTGGATTATCAGGCAGAGACCCTGATTCTCTTCCCTTATTTTCTCTCAAACATACACAGTATTTTTTTTTCTCTCTCTCTCTCTGTTCTGAGCCCCTTACAGCTTAGGTGGAGTGACACAAGCACCCCTGTGGCTACAATTCTCCTGGTTGAGACCTGCAACCAGCATAGCACTGGGCCTCTTCCAAGGCCTACTTTTATCACTTCCTGGCTACTGCCTATGTTTGCTCAAGGCCCTGGGCCTCTACAATCAGCAGGTGACAAAGCTAGCCCGGCCTGTTTTCTTCCCTTCTGGAGAGTGAGTTCCCCCAGGCCCTGGGTAGGTCCAGAGGTGCTGTGTGGGAGTCAGGGAATAGAATCTGAAAACATTAAGTCTACCTGGTGTTTTATTGTACAGCAGCTGAGCTGGCACTCAAACCATGAGATGCAATCCTTCTCACTCTTCCCTCCCCTTTCCAAAGGCAGAGGAGCCCCAGTCCTTAGCCACTGCCAACACAAGCCGTGGGGAGTACTGCCAGACTACTTATGTTCCCTTAAGGCCCAAGGGCTCTTATGTTAGCTTGTGGTGAGGGATGCCTGGTCTGGGACTCACTCTTCAGGGAAATGGGTTTTTCTCTGGCCCAGGCAGCTCCAGAAATGCCATCCAAGAGACAAGTGCTGGAATTAGGGACCCCAAGAGCCTGCTTGTTGCTCTGCCTCACTCTGGCTGTGCTGGTACCTAAGGTGTAAGACAAAGTCCCCTTTACTTTTCCTTTTGCTTTTCTCAAGCAGAAGGAGCTTTGCCCCACAGCCACCATAGCTGGGAATGTGTTGAACCTCACGTGAAGCCAGCAAGCTTCAGAGGCTCACCCAAAGCCCTCGATGTAGTATCTGGGTATAGGTGCTTGTTATTTGGGGCCCAAGAGCTCTTCAGTGAGCAGGTAAGGAATGCTGCCAAGACAGTCATTCTTTTCAAGGCAGTGTGTTCCCTTCTGGCCCTGGGAGTGTCTAGGAGTGTGGTCTGGGACCTAGGGCCTGGAACGGGGGCCTCACGACACTGACTGACTGATGCCTTGTTCTGTGGCTGAGCTGATATCCTACAGGCAAGACAAAGCCCCTCCCACTCTTTCCTATCCCCTCGTCAAGTGGAAGGAAGGGGTCACTTTAGTAGCCATAAGCTTTGCAGCTTGGTGTTAAGGGAATGGTGATGCCAGCACTCCTTTAGCCACCCCAGCTGGTTTATCAGTAGGCTGTATGTTCCTCAAGTCCACTGTCTCTGAGCCTAGTTAGCACTAGGACTCACCTAAGAGTTGCGGTCTTTAGGGCCCAGACTGCCTTTCAAGTTTACCCAGAAACTCAGAGCAGTTTAGGCCTCGATGGCAAGGTTTCCAGGAGCACAGTTTCCATCCACTAGGATCAGTGCCTTCACTCTGGCTAGGTCTCGTTTAAATGCCCTCTCCATGGGTGGGTGTCAGCTGAGTTTGTTCAGGTTTTCCTTTTTACTGTAACAAGAGCAAATTGAGTTCAGTACCTCACAATTGCTGTGCCATTCCTCCCACAGCTCCCAGAGACATTCTATACACCATGCCACTATTGCTGGGGTAGGTAAGGGGTAGTGTTAGAAATTCAAGACTGTTTTTTCTATCTCTTCAGTGCCACTCCATCTCAGGATTTTGATAGTGAAGGATAGGTAGATCTTGTATGATATGCCAAATAATTCATGAAGGGATTTAGGGCAGAAGTCAAGTAGGATTGGAAGTTTTCTGGTCCAAGTGCCTGAGTGAATAGTACATAGTGGTGTCCGGGGTTGCAGTTGTTTGGGTGAGTGTTGGTGATAGTGTTGGAAGTTGACATGGACTCGATGAATCCAGCTTTTGAGAACGTAAGTTACTGTGCAATGTCTATATACGACATTCTACTTTGCTTCCCGGTCTAATACTTGATCTACTTTTTCCATTCATTGATTCAGCAAATATTTGAGTTTCAGCTATGTGCCAGGAAGTGTAATAAATGCTAGAGGTGAAGAAATAAGACAGGAAAGGTCCCACCTGTAGAGAGGTTATAAGCTAGTCTATTGGGGAAAATGAGCATTAAACATCATATGATTAATTGCAGTTTCCATAGGAGCTAAACATACAGGGATTTTTGAAAACTTTTAAGAAGGCGATCTCATTCAGTCCAGAAATATGATGGACCTACCTGAAGTGGTATTTTGTTGTTTTCCAAGACACTCAGTTTTTTTTTTTTTTTTTTTTTTTTGCCGCAATCCTGAAGCTCCTCCTTAGTTACAGCAGAATCTCACATATACTGACAGCCTCAATTCTCTTATCTGGAAAATGGGGATGATGACATTCCTCACATAATACTAAATGAAATTAATTCGTGAACAAAACATAGCATGATGCTTGACAATACAGACCCTTTCTCTTCCTGTTCTCCTAGTCTGGTACTCGCAGCTGTCTATTTTTCAGCAACAGAGATCAGCAGATGTTAGCACACCTGTGGAAACTGGCATTTAAGATAGTACATCCTTGGAACATATCAACCAATCTAAATCTGCCTTACTCTCTCCTGTTTTTGACATTTCATCATCTCCATCATCATTATGATGAAGAGTGCTTTCAGATGACTTAATAGAGAAAATTATAAATCTAGATGAATGGTCCAAACCCTCATACTCTGCTCTATATATTTTTTTCATTCACATAGGCAACAGCATTACACAGCTTAGATTTTGCAAGATCCACATAGATTTTTTTCTTGCTGATTTTATATTTGGACTTGTTAGACAACATGTCTCAACTTTTAATTCAGAAAGAAAGGTTATCATACTTAAGACAAGAAGGTATACATACAATGTAATTCACAGTTTTGGACTTTGCTATCTCAATTTGCTCCAAGTGGTTTAAAGCAAGCGCAAGGGCAAACTTGTGTTTTCTCTGTTAAAAATTACAGGAAACCCAGTTCATCCAAAGCCTATTTCTTTTTCCTTGATATATACTCCATTATTTGCATGTTTCTTTTTAAGTGTTTCATCTTTATCCTCTCTTTGTTTTAGAAAAAAGAATTTCCCTTGATATCCCACATTTGCAGTTTATCTTTTTTTAAAATAAATGAGACGGGAAAAACATAGATACACAAAGACATAATAGAGCATAGTGGGGGAAAAGAGTAATGCTCTGAAGACAGGCTGCCTGGGTTCATATTTCTGTTAAGCTAGTAATCAACTATGATCTGGGCACACTTGAGGGATTGTGTCTGAATCTTTCTATATATTGCTTTCCTCACTTATAAAATGATGATAATAATAGAACCTACTGCAAAGAGCTAAATACCTGTATGCCTCACTTACGAGAATTTCAAGGCAATAGTGGCCTCTATTCAGAGGAATGCAATGGTTATTCTCATTGTTATAAAATTCTTTGAAAGGTAGGCACGATCAGCCTTCTGTACGCCATTCCTCATTTGTACATAAGCCTGTAATGTCCTTTGATATTTTCAGGTGACAGCTCTCCAGGAAGCAGTTGTGTCACCTGAGCAATCATTATTCAACATCATACCCACATTTTGTTTTAATAATAAATAAGCAGTATGTATGTAGGAGGTAGAGGGGGCAACTTCTCTGAATCAATCTATCTATCTATCTATCTATCTATCTATCTATCTATCTACCTATCTATCTTTCATATAAATGTGTATGTACTGATGAAGAATTAAAATAATCCTACACAAATTTGCGTTTATTCAATCTTAGAAAAAAGCAAATGCTTTTTTTCTCCAAGGCACTCATCAATAAATCCAGGAGCAAGTAACACAGGTCTGGTTGTCAGGAATATATAAGATTGGGTTTTAAATTTCCTGTGGGGTATCCACTTAAGCTGCTATGTGACTTATAAAGTTGATTTCTGTTTCAGTTTCTACCCCTGCCACCACCTATATACCAAGTACCTGGAGAATTTGTTGGGATGACTACTCATCATGAATCAGAGTAGTCCAAAGTATGGACTTGGAGACAGAAAAGCATTTCTCTGTCACTTGCCAGCTGTGTCACTCTGAACAAATGACTTAAATCTCTCAGGTCACTGATTTTCTTATATATAAAACTGAGATTAAAAATGTCTGTCTCTTAAGATTGAGATGAACATTAAATGAGATGGCTGTAAACTTCTTAGCACAGTGCTGACATGTAGTATAACACTCATTAAATGATAGCCAGGCTTACTATTACGTGTAACTGGATGCCAATCATTTAAAAATCAAACCTATAACTGTTCATCTAGCATGTATTATTTAAAAAGTGAGTTCTTTAGATATTGAATCCTAATAAAAAATTTTACACAGAATATAGTACTCAAGGCTTGGTAAAAACACTTTTTTACTTAACTTCTGGTACTGATATACAATTTTTTTGTCTAAGAAGAAACTTGATTGTAAATAGTGGATCATAGTCCTTACTACTACTGAATTGTCATTTTATCTGGGAAATTTTGTAGTGCTAATAATGATAATGAAAATAGTGTTCAAAAGGGGAAATCTTATATAGATAGATTGAAATGAGATTTACAAAATAAAAATGGAGATGCAAATTGGAAGAGAAAGTGCCTATAAGGCTGTTTTTCTGAATTAAAAAAAAAAGTCGAATGAAGCCACTTTTCCTGTCTTCTCTGTACCCTATTACTATTTTATGTAGAACTAGTGGCAACTGTGTAGTAAGGAAAAAAATTGATGAATAGGTGTTCAATTAAAGCATACCGTTCATTCAGCCACCCCCTAAGAAGACAAGAGTAGAAACCATCCACCAACAAGAGATCAATTTTTTCAAATAGCTTTCATTTGCTGGTAATCTTTTTATGAGATATTCTTGATCTAACCTAGTCATAAACAAATTTTTCCTACTCTGTTTCTTTGCCTATTTTGAACTGTCATTGGTTAATGTTGTTTGAAATTGTTTCCAATGAACTACGAGAGTAGCCAAAAAAATCTGCTGTCAGTTTAACATCATGGCAGTCCAAATTATTTCAAAAGCAGAAAAAATTTGCAAATAGTCTTTGAATTACTTTCTACACACCAGACAATATTTTGGATTCACTTTTCCTATATGAAGGTTTTCCAAGATTAAATTGACCAAATTAGTATCTACTGAAGGACTTGAGAAAATGATATGACAGCCCCGCAGGGAAAAAAAACTAAATAAAATACAGTCACTGCCTCTCAGACACCTTATACATCTCTCCAAAGTCTAATTTAAGTTCAAGGTCTAGACATATGGCAAAGCTCAGTTTGTTCATAGGAGGCTTCAAAATGCAAAAACTCACAGGAGCTGATAAAATAAAGCTAAAGAGGAGAGTTATATGAATCTGAGAAGTTTTTAAAAGAAGTAGATTACAGAATTGAAAAGCAAAAATTCTGGTAATGTAGCAAATTAACACCTTAAGAAAATTTGATTTTAACATTTAGACTATTCTTTTTACAGTCTGTTATTAACAATTTCCTTTTAATTATATCTAAATTAGTCACACAAAAATGCTTTTAGAGATTCCCCTTTATGAGCCTTAACACAACTTACACAGATCATTTACAATGTGCTTGAAATTTCTGACTTCTATACTACCTCTTTCTTAAATAACCGGTTATTTTACTCTAGGACAAAAATTTACTACACAGTATCCCTCCTCATACAGCATTGTTTTTTAATATACTTCCTTGAAAAAGAAATAAGAGAAATGTAAAGAATGTTATGGATAGAAAATTTATTATTTTTTGCAATTTTTTTTCTACTCATTAGTTCCCTCATATTTTGAACCTCCCTTTTAATAACTTCTGAATTAGACAAAAACATATTTTTTCCAATAAAGAATACATTTATTTGGCACATTTTATATAAACCTGGGAAGCAAGAAATCCCAAAGTGCCCACCAGATATTTGCATATTTTTAGATGAGAACAATTTCACTATTTTAAGATTTTAAACCACACACAAAGCTCACTATTTAAGCACTTATTCCAGTCACATGTATTTAACTTTTTTACTTTCAACAGTTTTGTCTAAACCACCTCAAAGAACCAAGATATCATGCAAAGCTAGTCATCATTTAAAGCCATCTTAATCATTTTAAAGCCTATGAACATCAGTGATTTACCTAGGTACAAATCTTAAAGTTGAATTTTAGAAGACACAACATTCTCTTCAAACTAATAAGCTTAGACTAGTCTTATTTAATTTATGATTGCTCTTTTATTTATAATCCAATTTGATCTCATGCTAGACACAACACCCATCAAATACCTGTATATACACTTAAACAAACACATTAAATAAAACAACCTACATAAGATAACTTGATTGATATAATTTACAAAATTGGGACCCATTTACCTGACCAAATTTTATTTGCCCCAATAGATATGGAAGATAGGAAGAGGCAGGGAAGGGGATCCCGTAGCAACAAACAAGCAAGGGAATGGGCCAACTGGGTTGCTTAAGGGGAGAGTCTAGAGTCCCCAAGCTGCTGGAGAGCTCACCCAGCAGTGGAAACACTGAAGAAAAATGTTCACATGGACACTTGGCTGCCACTGTTGGAAGCTGTCTGTCAGGTCAGGGGTCCAAGACTTCTAGTAAATTACTTGAGCAAGGTAACTCTTTGGGGCTCATGGGAAAAGGTTATCTCTAGGATTGATGGGGAGCTTCTTTCTCTCTCTCACCAGGGACAGTTAGGACATTCTTATTGCTAGTGGCCCTTTTGCTTATAGTAGGCACAGTAATTCTGGTCCAGTGGGTGACAAGTTGGGGCCTCTTGTCTGGGCATCCCAGACTCTAATCTTGCAACACTTTCTTTGAATGGGTAACCCAGAGGGGAATGGGGGCTTGAAGCATTTGCTAATAATTGCAGTTTTTGGCTATTTTTTTACCACCTTTTTTGTGTCCCTATTGTTGTAAACTTTAATGACTACTTTTAAGAGTTGGCTCAGAAGAGTTTGAGATCCCATTGCTGATTTTTGTAGCTTCCTCCAAATGTCAGGGACAAATTTACTAATAGAATGTATATGCAGGAGAACTTGCCCTTCTGGGGAGCCTGGGTATTCATTAATAAATTTCATGAGTTCCTCAACTAAATGACCCTGAAAAAGTGGGCTTTTCCTCTTTTCCCTGAGTTATTTCTCTAACCTTGTTATAATTGATGGGCTTAACCACATACTTTTTCCTCCACATTTTTTTCCCACAGCAGACCAAGCAGACAACAATATTTGTAAATCATGATAAGTTAAATCAAAGGATATGGTCAATTTAACACATTTCTCTGAAAACTGGCCAAATTTTTCCTTGTATAAATTCAAATTAGACATAGAAAATGGCACATGTACTCTAAATATTTCCTCATTTCCTTCAACTACCTCAAACAATGGGCATAAGTTTGACTTTAGAGGCTGATATAAGGCCCAAATCCTGGTGGTACTGGTTGGGTAAGCCCTGTGTCAAGGTGGGGTATAGACTGAGGTTAGTCAAATAAGGGGGAAGGGAGCCTGATAACCTTGGGATAGAATCTTTCATTAGAGAACTAGTGGGATACCCTCAGATTTGTGGGACTGAAAAGACTCTGGGAAAGGCATAGGCCTTCTCGGGGGAACAGCTAGGAGAGGATCCCTTAGGTATGGCTTTCTGATGCTTGGAAGTAATGTGAGCCAGTAAAGAACCAGAAAAGTCTATACGTAAGGGACCTCTTCTTTTCTTCTTTTTTACAGAATAAATCAAATTGTAATGTATAAAATCATGTTTAGGCCAAATCTGTTGGTTTTCTAATTTGCATTTAACCCTAACAGTGTTGCAATAGAAAATGTGTTTCTTTTTCTTTAAGCTGAATTTGAATTTGCCCCGGTAGCTGAAAAGACATCCTAGTGGTCAGTCCTCTGGGATGCTCGTCATTGTCCCATGACTAACAAGGATTTTTGCTAGATGTAGAAGTTTTTCTAAGTCTAGTAAGAGGGGAAGCAACTTGCCCCTTATTGCTTTTCCTTTTTAGACTTTCGCTTCCTGAAGGGAAAGTTTAAATATAGGTATCAAGGTGTTACAAAAGCAAATTATTAGCTACAAATGGGCAGTAGAATGTTGAGCCTAAATTCCACAGAGAGTGAGAATTAAGCAGAGAGGAGGGATAAACACATGGCGACTGTGGATGGGAGGAAGAGAAGGGGGTAAACAGTGTTGCCCAAGCAGAGACCGTAAAGGCCTTAACTTTCCAGAGAATCCCCCTCAGCAGTGGAGACACTTTATAAAAATATGTTCGCCCAGCCACTTGCCTACCTCTGTAGATGGTCATCCAGCAAGCCAGGGATCTGGAAACTTCCAGTCTCTTTGACCAAGAGGGGCTTGAGCAAGGTAGTTGTAAGACAGCACACAGGAAGGGGCTTGAAACTGGCTATTAGGAAAATAATAACTTCTAACTTCAGGGCAAAAAAAAAAGTGAGACCAATATTCCCCTAGGAGAAGGGGCTATAACTCACATTGTAGAAGGAATGTTAATGCTGAAAACACCAGAGCATTGGGTGGGGGCGACCTATAATACCAATGATGAAAACCTGGAGTACCCAAGTTTCAGCTAACGAGGGTCCCCTCACCAAATGCTGAAAATCCCAGGACACCCAGGAAGAAGCCAACACTTAACTCAACACCAAGCTGAGGTCATAGAACAACGTAACTCTGGCACCCCAGAGTCAACACAATGGAGGACCTCTCACAAACAAGCATCCTGCCTTAAACAATTGCCCAAATACAGTTAACAGAAATTCAGAAGCAAATATAAGACTGCAAACAAAACATATATTTTAGCACTGAAAATCAAATGACTGGTGAAACAATAAAATGGTGTCAGAAGAGAAGGGACTAGGGGAAGAAGTGACAAGGATGTGCTTCAGGGCATTCAAACAATGGGGGACTTTTAACTGACCACTTAGCCAAAGGCTTTTATTTTATTCCCTAGTTCTCCTGATATTGGAGAGGGGTACACTGGACACTCACCCATCTGTAGGAGCCAAAATGGTGCTGATTGATCTTCCAAATGGGACTCTGGTGAAGATCTCTCTAGGTTTCCTCAGCTTGGGTGAGCTTGGCTGTCACATGGGGGGCGGGCACAAGGACCAGTAACCTACTGGCCTACTGGTCAGAGCAGTGAGTTTCACATGAGGCAGTGGCACTACAACCACTTGCCTGTCTGCTCAACTCTGACAGCTGCCAGGGAAAATGATGGCTTTGAGAAGAGTCTTTGACTAGTGTTACAGCTCTGTTGTGTTAGCAGCTTTTTATTGTTACAGCCTCAGTGTTGTATCTCTTGCAGGCTAGATCACAGACTGCTTCACCATCTTTCTGCTCATCATCTTTCTGCTTATCATCTTGCCAACTGTTGTCTCTCACTCTCTCACCATTCTCTTGCCATTCTTTTTTTTTTTTTTTTTTTACTTTTAAAAATTTATTTTTTATTTCAATACGTTTTTAGGGAGCAGGTGGTGTTTGGTTACATGAATAAATTTTTTTTTTAAAATATTTTTTATTATACTTTAAGTTCTAGGGTACATGTGCACAATGTGCAGGTTTGTTACATATGTATACATGTGTCATGTTGGTTTGCTGCACCCATTAACTCATCATTTACATTAGTTATATCTCCTAATGCTATCCCTCCCCCCTCCCCCCACCCCACAACAGGCCCCAGTGTGTAATGTTCCCCACCCTGTGTCCAGGTGTTCTTATTGTTCAATTCCCACCTATGAGTGAGAACATGCAGTGTTTGGTTTTTTGTCCTTGCAATAGTTTGCTGAGAATGATGGTTTCCAGCTTCATCCATGTCCCTACAAAGGACATGAACTCATCATTTTTTATGGCTGCATAGTATTCCATGGTGTATATGTGCCACATTTTCTTAATCCAGCCTATTGTTGTTGGACATTTGGGTTGGTCCCAAGTCTTTGCTATTGTGAATAGTGCCGCAATAAACATACGTGTGCATGTGTCTTTATAGCAGCATAATTTATAATCCTTTGGGTATATACCCAGTAATGGGATGGCTGGGTCAAATGGTATTTCTAGTTGTAGATCCCTGAGGAATCGCCACACTGACTTCCACAATGGTTGAACTAGTTTACAGTCCCACCAACAGTGTAAAAGTGTTCCTATTTCTCCACATCCTCTCCAGCACCTGTCGTTTCCTGACTTTCTAATGATCACCATTCTAACTGGTGTGAGATGGTATCTCATTGTGGTTTTGATTTGCATTTCTCTGATGGCCAATGATGATGAGCATTTTTTCATGTGTCTGTTGGCTGCATAAATGTCTTCTTTTTTTTTTTTTTTTTTTTTTTTTTTAGCTATTCTTTTTTTTTATTATACTTTAAGTTTTAGGGTACATGTGCACATTGTGCAGGTTAGTTACATATGTATACATGTGCCATGCTGGTGCACTGCACCCACTAACTCGTCATCTAGCATTAGGTATATCTCCCAATGCTACCCCTCCCCCCTCCCCCCACCCCACCACAGTCCCCAGAGTGTGATATTCCCCTTCCTGTGACCATGTGATCTCATTGTTCAATTCCCACCTATGAGTGAGAATATGCGGTGTTTGGTTTTTTGTTCTTGCGATAGTTTACTGAGAATGATGGTTTCCAATTTCATCCATGTCCCTACAAAGGACATGAACTCATCATTTTTTATGGCTGCCTAGTATTCCATGGTGTATATGTGCCACATTTTCTTAATCCAGTCTATCATTGTTGGACATTTGGGTTGGTTCCAAGTCTTTGTTATTGTGAATAATGCCGCAATAAACATACGTGTGCATGTGTCTTTATAGCAGCATGATTTATAGTCCTTTGGGTATATACCCAGTAATGGGATGGCTGGGTCAAATGGTATTTCTAGTTCTAGATCCCTGAGGAATCGCCACACTGACTTCCACAATGGTTGAACTAGTTTACAGTCCCACCAACAGTGTAAAAGTGTTCCTATTTCTCCACATCCTCTCCAGCACCTGTTGTTTCCTGACTTTTTAATGATTGCCATTCTAACTGGTGTGAGATGGTATCTCATAGTGGTTTTGATTTGCATTTCTCTGATGGCCAGTGATGATGAGCATTTTTTCATGTATTTTTTGGCTGCATAAATGTCTTCTTTTGAGAAGTGTCTGTTCATGTCCTTCGCCCACTTTTTAATGGGGTTGTTTGTTTTTTTCTTGTAAATTTGTTTGAGTTCATTGTAGATTCTGGATATTAGCCCTTTGTCAGATGAGTAGGTTGCGAAAATTTTCTCCCATGTTGTAGGTTGCCTGTTCACTCTGATGGTAGTTTCTTTTGCTGTGCAGAAGCTCTTTAGTTTAATTAGGTCCCATTTGTCCATTTTGGCTTTTGTTGCCATTGCTTTTGGTGTTTCGGACATGAAGTCCTTGCCCACGCCTATGTCCTGAATGGTAATGCCTAGGTTTTCTTCTAGGGTTTTTATGGTTTTAGGTCTAACGTTTAAATCTTTAATCCATCTTGAATTGATTTTTGTATAAGGTGTAAGGAAGGGATCCAGTTTCAGCTTTCTACATATGGCTAGCCAGTTTTCCCAGCACCATTTTTTGCTGTCGTGTAACTGCTGTCTCTCGTTGTCTCTCACCATTCTTTCACTTGCTGTCTTTGTCCTTGCATTGGTCACCAGGTGATGCAGGGTAAGGAAGCCCCACAATTGGGGCTTAGCCTGCGAGGATTCTTGGCTTCACTCAGGAAAGAATTCAAGGGCAAGCCGGTGCTGTTAGACAGTAACTTTTATTGAAGCAACAGTGTACAGCAATAGCAGTGAGACTGCTCTTTGTTGAGCAGAGCCACACCATAGGCAGTGTGCCCAGAATAGCAGCTCAGAGGCAGTTCTGCAGTTATGTTTATACCCATTTTAATTATATGCTAACTAAGAGGTGGATTATGCAGAAATTTCTAGAAAAAGTCTGGTAACTTGTAGGTTGGTGGGTTGTTGCCATAGAGAGAGGCAGTAACTTCTGGGTGTTGCCGTGGCAATGGTAAACTGACGTGGCACACTGATGGGCATGTCTTATGGAAAAGTAATTCCACCCCGTCCCTGTTTCAGCTAGTCCTCAATTTGGTTCGGTGTCCATGCCCCACCTCCGGAGTTGAGTCTTGCCTTCAACTCAGATGAACTGTATTTATTGCTACAATCAACATCTTCTATTTGTGCTTGGAATCCCATTCTTTCTTCTTTATGTAAGAGATTTGCTATTAAAAATAACCCCCTTCTTCAGCATTATTATTTTCTCCCTCTCTACAGTTCATCCGTCTCAGTACAGAGACATGTAATTTCTTCCATCTTCAAACAATCTTCTCTAGAAACCTACATTCTGTTCCATGCATAACCCCATTTCTCTGCACTCTGTGTCCACTTCTTCCCTTTTCCTTTTCCTTTGAAGTCACTCAACTACTCTCATACCCATCACCCATCAAATTTACTATTATCAATGACACTTAGTGATCTTTACATTGCTGAATTAAATGGCTGATTTTTACTTCCCATCTTATTTGAGCTAGAAGCAGTATTTTGTAAAGTTTGCCACTCTCTATTCTTTAAAATGTCCCCTTTACTTGGCTTCCAGTATACTTCATCATCCTGGCTGGTTTTCCTCCTACCCTGCTGGCTATTTCTCCATCTCCTTTTGGGCTCCTTCTTCTCTGCCTAGACTTTAAATGTTAGAGAAAGCCAACACTCAATCATTAGATATTTTCTCCATCTATATTCACTGCCTTGGTGATCTCATTCAGCCTCCCAGCTTTAACTATTGCCAATATACTGATGATTTTCTAATTTATAAATCTATTCTAGATGTAGCCCCTTAAATCTAGTCATCTATATTGAACTGCATGTTTGACATAACCACTTGGAAGTCTGAAAGGTTTCTTATAATTCTGTCTAAGATAGCACCCCACCAATGCCTCTCCCATACAACCACACACAGATCTACTCTTCCTCTATTTTTTCCCATTGCTTCCATTAACTGACTACAGTCAATACTATGTTAATTGTATATTTTAAAATCATTGACAGAGTGTAATGGGATAGTTTGTAACACAAAGGGTAAATGTTTGAGGGGATGGGTACCCCATTCTCCATGATGTGATTATTTCACACTCCATTCCTGTGTCAAAACATCTCATGCACTCCATAAATATATACACCTACTATATACCCCAAAAAGTTAAAAGTAAAAAAATTTAAAAATAAAATTAAAAATTAAAAAATGAAACAATTATTAACGCAGTTGCTCTAACCAGAAGCTAGAATTGACTTTGATTATTCTTTTTCACTTACCTACTGTATCTAATTCATCAGCGATTCCTGTTGTTACTATCTTTAAAAGTTATCCAGGATGTTATTATTTATTGTGATCTTTCACCACTGCCATCTCTAAACCAGCTTCACCAATTGACTATAGTATGCAATATCCAGTACAAGTCTCCCTGCTTCTTTTCTTGCTACCATTTTTTTTTAAATTCAACCCAGGTGTGAGAGTTATCCTTTAAACCATAAGATGATTAATTTCTCTCTTATGTACCAAGTTCTCCAGTGGATAGCCATTACAACAAAATGAAATCCAAAACTCTCTATCATAGTTTACAAAGTTTTGCATTATCTGAATTCTGCCTAACTTTCCACTTTATTTCTTACCACTTTTTACCTTGATCTCTCTGCTCTAGCTACAGAGGCATTCTTGTGTCTCTTTGAACACGCCAAGCTTGTTTTTTATACTAGAGTCTTTGCACTTGCTGGTCCCATAGCCTGGATTTCTCTTCTTCTAGGAGTTTGTGTCACGCACCCTGAGTTTATTTTGGTCATTACTCAAATATCAACTTCCCAAAGAGAGTTTCTGTGACCATCATATCTGAAATAGCACCTTCTTCATTCTCTACCCTTAGAGGCTACCTTATTTTCTTTATAGCTCTTACCATACCTCTCTACCCTTAAAGTCTACTTAGTTTTTTTCACAGCACTTACAATACCTGATATTATATCATATTTTATTGACTTTTAATTCACACTAGAATATGAGATCCATAATAGCAGGATATTTTGTCTGTTGCTTTCACTGTCATATCTCCAGCACCTACAGTAAGGTACCAAATAAATAATTTTTGAGTAATAAATGCATTTAGGAACCACTGGAATAAACAACTATCTCATTTTTATTTAATATGTTAAGTAGGAAGGAATGTTTACTATTTTAATATTTTCATTTTCATTAAGAGTTTAAGAAGATATTCATGTCGTTTTATCAATAAAGGCTCAAAATAAAATAATTTTAGTGGCTATATATAATTTCATGTATTTACTTAGCATTTGCCTATATAAGACATTTGTTTCCACATTTTCATAGCTATGCGGTAAACATGTCTATACCAATCCTTTTTTTGAAGTTCATATTATCTCTTTAGAATTTTTCCTAAGAGGTAGAAATTTTTGATCAAAGTATAGAAAATTTAAGGTTTTTATTTTATATAAATATATGATTTCCAGCCAGTTATATCAATTTGCAAAGCAAATTCATTCATTTATTTACTTCAATAATATTTATTAAGTGGACAAAATAGATAAGACTTCTTGCTCTCTTGGAATCTTGAAGCTTAAATTCTAATGATATATGGCAGATAATAAACAGTCCTAATAATAACAGGTAAGTGATGTATAGAATATGACAGAGGATGACAAACGCTGTGCAAAAAAAAAAGAAGAAGAAGAAGAAAACTAGAGCAAGGTGGGAGGTTGTGACTGCTGCTGGTGGGCAACATGTTCACGTAATAAAGGGAGTGTTCTGATAGTCCTCATTTAGGAGATGAGGTCTGAGCTAAGGCTTAAAAGGTGAGGAAGATGTGTATGGTGCTAAGAATAAAAGCATAGTGTGGGTGGATGTACCCATTCGCTGCATCTTTGCCAGTATGGAGTCATTATCATTGTGATGTATGAATTTCTTCTGTTGAATTTATGCTAAAGTTTAAAATAAGCCAGAATATTCTAAAAGGTATGTAAAATTATGTATCTCGTGAGTACATCTCTAACTTCATCTGCTTTCAGACACTTCTGCACTTACTCCCTTATCACACTGACTGTTTAATTATTTGAATGTGCTGGTGGTTTCTGGCTAATTTGGGACAGTCACACTTGTTACTTACTAGCTGGTATATTATTTCTCTCTCTCACTCACTCATTTTCTCTCACTCTGTATCTTTCTCATACACACACACACACACACACACACACACACACACACACCACTGCCTTATTACGTCCCAACTGAAGAATGTTCTCAGTTTGTGTGTTTTTTCTTCTGGGAAATTATCACGGAGACTCCTAACTTGGTTAGGTTCTATTATTGTTTACTATTACAGCACACTGTAGGGTTATTTGTGGTCTTGGTAGTGATAGTAAATAAAGATAAAAGATAAAATACTGTAAAAGCCTTATCGATGTGATAGTAACACTTCTTAATATAACAACACAATTTTAAATCTTACTTTTATACCATGAATTGCATTGCCCAAGGATATATTGAAGTTTTAACCCTCAGTACCTGTGAATGTGATCTTACTGGAAAATAGGTTATTTGCACACGTAATCAAGATGTCATTAGGGTGAGACCTAATCTAATATGATTTATGTCTGTATAAGAAGAGGAAAAGAGACACAGACACTGAGGCACGCCGGGAGAATGCCATGTGATGACAGAGGTAGAAATTGAAGTAATGAACCTATAAGGCAATAAAGTTTTCCAGCAACACCAGAAGCTGTGAAAATGACATGGAACATATTCTCCTTTAGAACCTCCAGAAGAAACCAACCCTGCCAACATCTAGATTTTGGATTTCTTGTCTCCAGAAATGTGAGATTAAACGTTTCTGTTGTTGGCTGGGCGCGGTGACTCACGCCTGTAATCCCAGCACTTTGGGAGGCCGAGGCGGCAGATCACGAGATCAGGAGATTGAGACCATCTTGGCCAACATGGTGAAACCCCGTCTCTACTAAAATACAAAAAATTAGCCGGGCAGGGTGCTGTGCGCCTGTAGTCCCAGCTACTCGGGAGGCTGAGGCAGCAGAATCGCTTGAACCCGGGAGGTGGAGATTGCAGTGAGCCGAGATCACGCCACTGCACTCCAGCCTGGTGACAGATTGAGACTCTGCCTTGAAAAAAAAAAAAAGTTTCTGTTGTTTTAAGATAGCCAGTTTATGGTACTTTGTTATGGCAGGCCTAGAAATCTAACACACATATTTTAAATTTTATATATATATATATTCACATATTATGTATTTTGATAAAATGTTTTGTAATTTTATAAAATATTTATAAATCATATTTATTGTAAAGTAAACTATATACATTTTGTTATGTTCTTTGACATAATACAAATTACTTATGCAAACTTATGATAAACAGAGATTTATTTGGATCACATAGAACCAAATAAATAGAATGTGGGAAATCAAAGACTGAGGGGCCCACATCTGGCTAAAGTCATTTTACTTGCATTATAACATGGTAGAAGGCAAGATGTGGGCATATGGGTGAGAGAGCAAGAGATCATAATCAACATAAATCCATTTGTGAAAGTGGAGCCCTCATGATCTAAATGCCTCCCATTAGGTCCCACCTCCCAACACTGTTGCATTGGGGATTATTTTTCAACACATGCTTTTGGGAGGACACTTTTAAACTACAGAAACAATAAACATGGGAATAAATGATTTCAATGGTGATGGTTGCTATGAAAAAGATGAGTGAATAGCAAAGAGTAGTACTTTAAATAAGGTAATCAAATAAAGCCTCTCTGAGGGGGTGACCTTAAGGCAGAGATTTGAATCGTGAAATTATTTATTTCCAGGTTTATTGTTTCTATAGTTTTAATGTGTTGTTTTAAGCCACTGAGTTTGTGGAAATTTTTATAACTGCAATAGGAAACCAATAGTTTCTTCATTTGTAAAATAAGCATTAGTGACCTTGTAGAATTGATGTGAGGTTTTAAAGGAAAATAATAAGTGATTTGAATGGATACAAAGGAGTTAGCAGATAAAGGAATAATATGTGAGATATTCTCTGAAAGCGCAGAGAACACTCATGTGAGCGTGATTCAGCCCTCCCACATGAGGGACGCCTCCATGTGAGGCCCCAGGAGGAGCTAAATCTGATTCTCTTCTCCTTCCCCATCCTCATTTCCAAGGCCTTTTAGTATCTGGCCCTGCATTTCTCTCCATCCTTATCTCTATTTGATCCCCCACTCATTCTCTTCACTCCAACCATACTTTCCATCCAGGTTTTTTGTCTTTGCTGTTTATTCTCCTTGGAACTCCCCTGTATGATTATAGAGCGGTCTTGTCATTTAAGCCTCAACTGAAATGATACCTCTTTTTGAAAGGACTTTAGAGATCACTCAGACCAAAGCAAACTTCACTGCAACTCTCTACCATATTTCCTTAATTTTGCTTTTTGTAGTGCCTAGAAGAAACTGAAATGTATCCAAATGTATTGAACATATTTATTTCTAGGTTTATTTTCTCTCTAACTTCTCCAGGATGTTAGTGAAATGAGGACACTGTTTTTCTCACTGTTACATTTCAGAAACAGAAAGGCACATAATTATATACTTAATAAATTTCTATTGCCTTCCTACATGACTAAAGACAGCACTGCTTTTAAAAATTTTGAGAGTGAGTTAATAATGTCCTTTTTGTTTAAGCCGGTTAGAGAGTTTTCTGTACTTGTATCTTAACTAATTGAACTTTTCCCTCCTGAGTGTGTCTATTAATTCATCTATCTATCTATCTATATATTAAAAATCAGATAACAGAGCAAAGTATGAAAGACAAATTAACAATTATCTGAGTCTGTCACCGGGTTACTATTTTGTTGAATATATTGTGTATAGATACAATACAATGAGATATTTTCTATTTTCTAATGCATTCATATAACTGTATCAATGTCATATACTGTACTGCTAATATAATCTATTTTTATGTATGATAATATGAATGTACACTATTATACAAATATAATTTTATAATTATTTCAATCATTATGTAACAATGACATTCTAATTATCCAATATGAATCTATCTAGTATCTAAATATTTAATACCTAAATCTAATATCTAACACATAAATATCAAATATGACATTCTAATTATCTAATAGTGACATTCAACATTCTCTTGGGAATATTCTAATTATACTCTGTGATGTGGTATAATTTACTGTTTTTCATTTGATATTGTCATATAACAGTGTAATAGACAGTGACGTCATAGCAGAGGGTGTGTTTATTGTTGACAAAGAGTGGTCAGAGATGTTTTTCGAATTATGTGACTTTTAAGCTAGAACACGAATTGATAAGAAAGGAGTCTGACATAGGAAAATCTGGGGGAAGAGCCCTCCAGGAAGAGGAAATAGCTGCTACAAGTGTCTTAAGACAAGAAATAGGTTGGTATCTTCAGAGACTGAAGGGACGCTGATGTGGCTGCATTTCCTGCCTAGAGGAGGCAAGTTGATGCAAAGGAAGAAGTTATCAGACGTGAAGTCAGAGTTGCGTAAGCCATGGAAAGAAACTTGAATTTTTTCTAACTTCAGTGGACAGAGAGTTTTAAGCAACAGAGGTGATTGAATTGCTTTGCAGTTTTGAAGTATCACTTTGGCTTTACTATGGAGACTTCATAACCACTTCACATTGCTTCTGTCCAATTCACATCAGGTTTATTTCTAAGAATTAAATTTAGTGTTACTGTTGTTGCTGTGTTGCTGCTGCTGGTTCTTTTATCAATGTGACTTTTTTCTCATTGCAGTTACTAAGTAGTTATTGTTTAACTATATGAAATTAGTTATTAAAATAATTTTTCATTTTACTCTGTGCTTTTATTGATGCTGCGACATCTTCAGTTGGTATTTTTAGACTTCTGCAGGTATAATTTTATATTATCTGCAAATAATAATTATTTTTCCTTCTACTTTCTGACATCTGTGATTATTATTCTGTCCCTTGATTGAATGTATTGTCTGACACTTCCACAGGAACGTGAAGTACTAGTTCTCACAAACTCCCTTGCTTTGTTCCCTATTTAAAAGCAATACTCTTTGTCACAGACTGCTAGTTATTCCACAAACCCTCCTTCAGTACTAGAATACTTGATGTTTAGCTGGGTGCGTGAATGACCAGACTACATTTCCCAGCTTCTTTTGCAACTCCACTTGGCCATGTGACTGAGTTCTAATGAGTTGTGAGTTGAGATGTGCCATTTCCAAATTTTGCCTTTTAAAGGAATAGGTGTCTGTTCCCATTTTTGTTTATATCATCTGGTAAATTTCAGTCAAAAATTTTTACTTTCAACTTTTCTGAGTCACATTGCTTTGGAAGTTTTGTGTTTGTTTGTATAAATATAATGCTATTGGTTATTATCATTAATTTGTCTATGAGTCTTCTCATTAAGTGGGGAGCTGATTTGACTTACATATTTGTTCTCGTGTGTCATCACATTAAGTTTTTTTCTCTGATTTTATTTAGCCTGTTTTGTTTCATTTCTTATCTGAAGAATACCAAAGATCTCAACTAATTTTTATTCTGCTAAGTTTTTGTTTTATATTTTTAAAATGCACATTCAATTTAAAATTTTCAGATACCACTTTTAGAGCCACAAGAGTTTCTTTAAATTCTTCTCTATGAAATATTAATAGCCACATCTGATGCTTGAAACCTTCTTTGTATTTTCTCAGGGATTTATAAAACTCCCACAACCACTTTGCGAGACAGGAACGTATTTTATCTTCAATTTGCAGGGCACAAAGCTGAAGTCGAGAAGAGTCAAACATTGAGACAGGGTCACATAAATATTTCTTGTTAAAGCTACATTCAAAATAAGTTTTGGCTAGTTCTTAAGGCCAAAATTACAATAAGTTAAAGTGAAGAAATGATTACTTCTTCCCAAAATCAGTCCCACAGTGAGTAAGCCTAATTCCAAAACAGTGATCCTAACGTTGGATCTGTTTTCACATATTTATGAAAATATGTTTTTATGAATACATCTATATATTTATAAAATCTCTTCATTTCCTGTGTAGTTTTAATGTTTCCCAAGCCTATACTTTAAATTACTAAATTTTTTATAGGGTTGATTATGTTCCTTATTGTTTCCTATTGATTTTAGAGTTATTTTTTAGTTTCTCCACTTGTTAAATATCTGTGGTCACTTTTGTTCTTCAGCCACTACTGCAGAACCTGGCAACAAATACTACTTAGCTAGTTGTCTTTGCTTGCTGTATTCCTGTTCTCTTCCCTTCTATGTTATAGAGCATTTTACATATTGGTGCTATGCTGTTATTATTTGTTTTTCTTCTCGTTTATTTTGAATTGGGGCCATGGATTGTCCCCACTGCCAAAAATAGATGAATACGTTTTCCTTGATATCTCTGTTCTAGGAAAATCTTTGACTTAACCCTCTCTCTCCACTTTGAACAGTGGTTCTCAAACATGGATGTGAAAAAGTACAGAGCATCAATCACCCCTCCAGACCTACTAAAGAAATCTTCCAGTTGCAGCTTCAGAATCTGTCTTTTTTAGCCCAACTTCCAGAACTGGTCTGCATATTTTTTTGGACCAATGCCTTGAAACATGCACCGAACAATTTGCACATTTATTGTTTTTATTCTTTGTTCAGTCATTTAGCTCCTTTATGGGAACAGGGGGCTTGGGGGACAGTGAGGAGATATCTGGGGCTGTGAGTAGTTGCAGTCAGGAAGTTTTTTTCTTAGTTGTTGGTTTGTTTCTTAGTTGCTCAGTTTGATTTTTTGGCTCCTATGCACTGGCATCAGCAGCACCGTGTTGGGGGCATGCTCTCATCTGTTGGTGAAGAATGGCCTTTTTGTGTTTCAGTTTACTCCCTCTCAAAGTGAGAAATTCATTTTCATAAAAAGTCCAGGGTTGTTGAGGTTTTTGTTTTGTTTGACCCTATGTATTTTTCTGTGCAGAAGGCTGTGGCTATGATTCTCAAGAGATTGCTTCTACTTCTCTCTGATATTCTGTCTGTTTAGAAGGAAGATAAACTACAGGTTGGCAGGTAGTTAGGGAGGCAATCACATCGGTTGTATGGCTTTGCATCTTGTCCAGCATTTAGTTTCTCAGGAATGCTTATTTGCAGTGGAGAAACAAGCTCCACACAGTGCAGCCTACACTTCCTCCAGATCTGCTCAAGTCTAATTTCCTTGCTTCTTCAAATTGGAATATCTGGACCAAGGTAGTGATAGGGGTTATATATTGATTTTTGAGTCTTCTTTCAATCTGGGCCAAATTATACTGGATCTGAATCATACCTCAAGAATTATATTGATTAAGACTCAGTTTTGTTTCAAGTTTCAGCATTGATGAATCCTTTCTGTTCATTTTGGTTAGTCACAGGGTGAGAGGTTTTATAAGCCAACACTATTTCCGCTTGCTTTCCCATAGCTTATTCAGTATATTGAAAAATTTTCAGGAAACAACAGCAAAATCCTACATAATATTCCTTGTTGAATATCAAATTTCTGTTTTTGACTTTCCATTGGAATAAGTCAGGAATGTCTACGTAAGACAATGCTTGAGGGTAAAAGATGAGTGAATGCGGAGATCTTTGTGAGATTGAGATGGCTGGCATCAGCTCTGAAGCCATGCGATCATTAATAGTAAGTTTCTGCTCTGCCATTTACAGATGCTGTAATCTGAATCGATCTTTCAATTTGTTCAAAATTCAGTTTTCTTTTAACTTTGTAAAATAAAAATAACTCTTGTTACTACATGTTGGGACATTTTTAACAGATTAAATGTGATAATATAAATCTGAAGTATTGAGCACTGTACCTGGCATAGAATGAGCTCATTATAATATCAGTCTCCTTATTCTTTCCCTTGTCTAACCATCAGTGGTGAGAAACAGCTGTTGATTTGCCAAAATATATGCATAATTTTATAAATGAAAACATCCAAAATCTCTTTGGGTGGCCTATTAAGGAATGAGCTACAGGGTTTTTCACCTTTATTACTATTGACATTTTGAGACAGATAGTTCTGTGGGCTTTTTTGAGGGGGTGTCATCTTGCTGAATTTAGAATGATTAGCAGCATTCCTAGTTTCTATTCAATAGATGCCGATAGCACCAAGAGCCATCCCAGTTGTGACAACCAAAAATATTTCCAGACTGCAAAATGTCTTCTTGGGATGGGGTGCAAAATCACCCCCAATCTGAGCACTACTGAGCTAGAGGAATGAAAAGGACATTGTGTTGGAAGAGGGTAGGGACTTAAGCTTTGAAATGTTGTTCATAGCTTGGAAGAGGCCCACCTTAGCCGTTTCTGCCATTGGGTGAACTAGGCTTTTTGTGCCTAGGTGTTAGTGAATGGATGTCAGAGCAGAAGGTAGGAGACAGGAGAAGAGTCTTCTCTATTTAGAGGGAATGGAAAAGATGCAGGGCAGTGTCAGAAGGTTTCAGATCTCTCATGAGCAAATGCAAAACTTCTGTGTTCTCAAGACCGGAAACACATTTCTCAGCCAAGGGAAGAGGCTAATTGAGAGGAGTGATCGTGGCTCTTCTTCATTTTCTTAGTAAGCTCCTGAAGGTGGCAAGACCGCAGAAAAGCAATGCATTTAATACCTCAGGGACTTGTTAGTGCCTGAAATTGAACATGGAGGCATTGGGATGATTTCATTGTGCCTCAGAAGTTATTAAACTGAGTCAGGCAAGTCTGCACTCTGGCTCCCCATGTGCAGGTGCAAGCAGTGGCCCCAGTGGGGATCCGAGGGCAGTTCCCTGGCTGGTGGGGTAATGTTCCAGGCAGGAACACAGCTGCCTCTGCTGCACAAAAAATCTGCCTGAAAAGTGGGAGGCAGCAGGTTGTAATAAGCCCCACTCAGCTCCCACACACTTGGCAAGTCAGTTTTCATACCCACAGTGTTCTGCTAGCAGCAGCAGCTAACTGGGTTTCAAGTGGCCCGTGCTCAGAATTTAAAACCATCCCAGGCCATAAGCTTTCCCTATGGACACAGAAACCATATCTTTCAGGCTGCATCCTTTCCAGTCCACCTGTGAAGCAGGGCCATGCAGCTCATGTGCCTTGTTGCCGTAGCACACTTCTCACTTGCCCCTCGGTTCTGGCCAATCAGCTTTGTCCTTACTAAGGATTATATCACAAATCCCAGTTGGGCTCTTCTCTCAAACTGTGACTGCAGCCTGAGTTAGACTTCTGCAACGTCCCGTGAGGTGGGATCAGGAATGGCTTCCCTCCATTCTTGCTGGAATCTGGGTCTGCACACAAAGCATGTCCCGATGCTGCTCCTTCTTATATATTCCTTACTTTTCACTGAATCACCTCTAGAGCTGAGTAGGTTTGAAGTCCTCCCTCATGACTTGTATTGCCTGGCTCGCCTGTGGGAGTATATGTCATGACAGCAATCTATCCCTCTCTCATGCTCTGGGGACTAATGGTTTTCCATCTGTTTTATGATGTAGTCTGTTGCCTGCCACTTCATTCAAAGGGTCTGTGGTTTCTTTCAGTTTTTCTGTTAAGTTCTTACATTGTTTCTTCGAATAAATTTTACAGCATGAATCTCTACATGCCATTTTGTCTTACCAAGTGGGATAAGTATGCTTATAATGCTTCCAATCTGCCATCTTGGAAAAAAAGAAAAAAAAAACTTTAAATATTTTGTCTGTAATGTGCTATGGAAGAGACCTTTTCACATTGTATCTGTTTAGGAATTGATGGGCCTCCTGTATCTCAATGTCTAAGTGTCTTGCTCGACTTAGGAAGTGTCATCTATTATTTCAATAAATAGGTCTTTGAAAACATGTTTTCTCTCTTTGCCTTCTGGGCTATCAGTGATTTTTATATTTGGTCACTTTATGTTGTTAGATAGATTCCAAAGGTTTATTTTATTATTTTCTTTTTTTCTTTATTTTTGTCTGACAGCGTTATTTCAAAAAAAACTGTCTTCAAGCAAAATGTGATCTTAACATAAGTCAGTTATGATTGAGTATATTGTTGAAGCTTTCATGTGTATTTTTTAGTTTATTCACTGCATTCTTTGGCTCCAGAATTTCTGTTCGTTCCTTTTTTATGGTCTCTATCTCTTTGGTAAAGACAGGGTGGCAGTGGCCATGCTGCTGCCCTGCCACTGGGTGTTGGATGCCACCTTCAGTGATGGCAGTCTAGGCCAGTGGGTGAAAAACACATGTGCCACATATGCCTTATCCCCAGTGGTGCTCCCACCTCAGCCCCAGGTGTGGTAGCCCATGAATGCTCATGTCTAAGCCCCAGGTTAACAGCCAGCTCTTCTTTTGCATCTCAGCCTCAGTGTTGCTTGGCTCCAAGACAGTGTGCAGTCTGTTGGGGGTGAGGCTCTAAGATGCTATCTTGCCCAGCCTTGATGTTCATGTCTTTCCCTTGGTTGCAGTAGCCTGTGGTCGCTCATGTCTGAATCTCCAGGGAAACATCAGACATTTAGTTTGCACCTAGGCCTCAATGCCACTGGGCTCCAGGACAGTATGTAGTTCATCGGGGGTGAGGCTCTGCAGTGGTGCCTCATTTGTGCCTCAGTCCTAAAAGCAGCAGCCCACGCCTTCGTCCCACCTCTGCACCAGATGCTGTAGTCTGTAGTCACTGATGCCTATGTCCCTGGGGCAGCAGTTCGTGCTTCTCTTGCACCTCAGCCCTGGGCTACTGGGCTCCAGGACAGTGCTCAGTCTGTTGAGGGCAGGGCTCTAAAATGGTACTTTGTTGTAGCTGCTTAAGTCTCAAGAAGTGTGAGGGACCCAGCGGGAGCTTTCTCCCTGAAGCAGTGCCATCATACAATCTCCTGGCAGCTTTCTATGTTAGTTTCGGGGCCCATGATGGTTGAAGGGATCTCCTGTGGCTGGGATTATAGGAGTCTATAGTGAGAATGTAAACTACTGAGGCTCTCTCACCTATCCTTTCTCTGTATTTGGAGTCTCTCAGCTCACAGCTGATCCTGGATGAGCAGGCTGCCTTGATTCCCTCTCCATCTCTGCTTTAAGTATTGCCTATCACTTTTCTAATGGATTCCAGTGATTTCCTTTGAATTATATATTCAAAGTGTGATTATCGACTCACCGTTTGGTTATTTTTAATGGAGAAAGTGAGTACAAAATGCCTCTAGTCTGCCATATTCATGGTTTCCAAGAAATAATTTTTAAAGGTTTTTAAATATTTTATGTAATTATAATGATTATGGGCATAAGAAGGATTATGGAGAAGAACGGAGCAAAATAAAAGCTTCATTCACTCTGCTGTCATATTTGATTATATCTTGAGGTCAAATTGATCTTTGCTATTGTCTTGGCTGCCGGCTCTGGCTACAGCTAATCCTGGGCAGGCTTTGCAGCTCCTACCACTTCCAGGCCCACAGCTGCAATCCCAAGCTTGCTCACCAAAACAAGTGTTTATTCATTATATCTTCAGTAGATTTTATTTTATAAATATGAATTGTTTATATGCATTTCTAATATGTCAAATGCTTTACTAGCTTTTTAATATCTTTATATCCATTTTCCCTGGATCATTACTTACTGTTCTTAACTCAGTGGTTCTTAACTGGAAGAGATTTTGCCACTTAGGGGATACTTGCCAATATCTAGAAATATTGTTGGTTGTCATAATTGGTGGCAGCAGGGAATGCTACTGGTATTTAATAAGCAGAGACAGAGATGCTTCTAAGCGTCTTATTGGACAAAGGACGACCTCACACAAGAAAGAATTATACTGCCTAAAATGTGATGGTGCTGACAGTGAGAAACCCTGAGTTTAACATAATTTGCTCAGAACTCTAAAAATGATTCACTTTCCAAAAATTTGCTGCATTTTTTCTTCTGGTCAGAATGTGCACAATGGAAATTCTTCCTGAAGGATTTGTGTGAGGAGACCTATTCTATAGCTGTTAAATGATTGGCAGGGAGGTTGATAGATGGAGGTGAAGTCAGCCAAAACTTAACTGATATTTAACAGCCAGGAAATACCCAACCTGGAAAGTATTCATTCATAGCATCACAAACCACTAAAGAAAAGTGATATTTTACCTCTGAGAAAGTTAACAGCAAAAGTATAGTCTTTCTAATTAGTTTTTAGCTTGCAATCTAAATAAATGACAAGTAGAGAATATCAGGTCATAAAATATCATTTAATTTTAAGAAATATTTTCATAAGAATATTGACATAAAAGTGATTTAAGAAAGTGAAAGTTACATTTAGCACAAGATTTTGCATTTTTCAAAAGTATATGATATTGGAAAAACATATAATTACATATTATTTTGAATTTGTTCTATGTAGCAAACTTTGTTCAGACCTCTTTAAGAACATTTCATAAATTTGGCATCATTACTAACATCTCCATGTTAAGAAGATTTTCACAGAAGCAATATTTTCTTGTGTCTCTAAATGGGAGAGAGTGCCTCTCCTCACTAAATTGCCATATTAAAGTGGACTGTTCAGCATTTATTTTCTTCAACCATTCTGTCTAAAATTCAGCCTGATGTATTAGCATTAGCATGAGTCCTCCTGCAAAATTGGTCAGTGGGTAGTTATGCTTTTGTGTGTTTTTCACATCAAAAAAAAAAACCCCACAAGAACAAAAACAAAACAAACACAAAAATGCTCAGTAAATAGTTAATGAATAAATTGTTCTATTCAAGGGGATTGAGAATGGACCTTGCTCCACTGCTTCTTTTTTTTTCTGTATTTTCAACATCTGCCTTTCTACTGGCTAATTAACTATAGTTTATAAATATGTTTAATATTAAATAAAAATTTAAGTAAGAGGAAGCATCAGGAACCACTTTAAAGGTGAATTGTAAAAAATAATGTGATAATAACTTCACTCTGCTTTTCCTTCTCACTTCTTTTCTTCTTTCTTCTTTTCTTTCCACTTAAGCCTCACAAGAGTGAAGCTTCTTGTCTGTCTCTTCTTACTTACCAGTCACTCTTTCTTCAACCTGGTGCTCTCTGACTCCTGTCTCTACCACTCAAATAAAGCTGTACTTTGCAAGACCATCAAAGCCATTTTAATTATCAAATCCAAAGACTCCTTTTGGATATTTCAGGTCTCCAAACAAATTGCATCTTCTTAAAGAGGAATTTCCTGACCACCTGAGTTAAATCTCATGACATTCGCAAACATATTGCCGTATTTTACATTCTTGATAGTCCCTAGTACTTGATCAAAAAGCTATCTATAGTTATTATACATATTACCTGGGTGATGAAATAATCTGTACACCAAACCCCCATGACACAGAGTTTACCTATATAACAAACCTGCACATATATCCTTGAACCTAAAAGTCAAAAAATAAGAAATCAACTGTAGATATTTGTTTATGTGTTTATTTTCTTTCTGCCCCCACTAGCATAAAATATTATTGAGGGAAGGGACTCAGCCTTGTCCACCAGATCCTAAATGAGACTTAGTAGACACATATTAAGCATTCAAGTAATATCTGTTTACTGACTGGGACTGATCAATTTGCCTCTTACCTGACCTCTCTGGAACATTTGTCAATGATGACCGTTTGCTTCTAGATGCCCCTTCACGGCTTTTGAAATAGTACCCTTCCTTTTCAGTCTATTTTGCTAACTTTCCAATATGATGTGATCTGTTTGAGAAAAGGGACTGCTATTAGCATATTTGCTGGCACATGAAGGACTCGCAGAACACTCATAAAACATCCTTCTATTTGGGCTTCAGTATGAAAGATCTTAACCGAACTGTGTGTTTAAAATGATGTGTATTGAAAGAAGTATTATTTTTGGGCCACGAAAATGCCTAAATATTTCTAGTGTGATAATTAGGTATTGAGAAAGTTGGAAGTGTATGAATATTTAAATTGCTTAATAGTATGAACTGTAGTGTTTTGGTACTTGGTTCATACAATTACTTGACTGAATGCTGTGCAGCCATTAAAATTATATTACAAATTATAATATTAAGATAAACTTAAATTATTTGTTATAAATTAACAAGGCACGACACAACATTATGCATAAAATATAAGTACAACTTTATAAGATGTATGCAACAATGAAAACTAGCAAGGAATGAAACTTGCTCATTTTTTGTTTCAATGATTTTGTTGCATTGTTTCAATGAAACAATGAAAATTATAACAGACTGTAGTAGCAGCTGAGTGATTTTATGGAATTTCAGATGTCTGTTCTTACTTTTCCAGATTCTCTGTAGCCTTTTAACTATCGTATATTTTAAAAACAATTCAAAGCTGAATACACTTTAAGCATCCTGTATAACTTGGAATGAACTTGTGATGAAATGTCAGAAGAGGTTAGTGGTAGGTGTTGTCACGTTTGTTCAAGAAGGAGAGGTTAGTGGTAGTGGTGGCATCTTTGTTCAAGAAAGAAATACATCCCCTTTTATTCATGGCCTTTGTGATTTTCTTTGTGTTTAATGTATTCCACAAGTAGATTCTCCTCTCAAGGTATCGCACCCTGGAAATATAAATAAAGACTTAAATTACTCCCATGAAAGTGACTTCTTCTAGCCCACACAGTGAATCACTGGCAGACCCGGGAATGAAACCTCTCAATTTACACTCTTAGACTTCATAAACATCCCTAAAACACTTCATCTCTCCTACATTGTTAGCTATATAACATTGTTAGCTCCTACATTGTTAGTTCTACATTTATTAGACTATAAGTCTTATGTTTTCCCTTTGATTGCTATTGCTCTAGGTGGCAACAAAAGTCATTCTAACTTCACTTATAAGAGCCAGGTTTGTTTGACACACACATTGTGGAGTTCATTAAATTATTGCTTCTTCTCTGTCATTTATAATTTTGAGAATAAATCTACGTTCTTGAAATTTATTGCACCTGCATTTGCAGAGGCATAGAGAAATGTGGCAATTTATTCATAAAACGCTTTATCATGTAAATGAATGATGGCCAGTCTCTAGTTCACAAGATGATTAGAGTAACAGAAAACACACAAATTCCAGCTTTATACATACAACAGCTTCAAGGCTATGTAGTTAGAAAAATATGATTGGAGGGTTGATCTGAGTTTAATGTATGAATTCACAGCCTCTGCAGGCTGTCCCTTACTCTACAGGAGTAAGGCCATCAACCTGTGTTATAGAAGCTACTAGGCCGGAGTACATCTTTTTGTCTCTGCGCACAAGAATGACTTGCTATCAGCTAATTTAGACAACCCATATACTCCCTTATTAGTGGCTAGCTACATATTTTTGTATTGTTTCTGACTTGAATAAGTTTATTGTGCATACATTGTCCAATTATAGCAACCTTGAGCTGGAGAGAAAGCTCATCTTCTCTAAAGAATACGTGTGAGGGAAAAATAAACTTCCTTCAAACTATATATCACCCCATGAACAGAATGCTCCTCAAGCAGGTATACAACTCCAGAAGAAATATCAGACATTCTCTTAAGAAATTGAATGACTCAAGAGCAAAAACTTTGATACCATTTAGATGATTGCCAGCATAATCCCTACCCAGATAATCAAAGGCAAATCCCTCTGATTAGTAAGCCTTGCCCACATACCAAGCGTGCCCCCATAGGGTTTTTGATGTTAGTTTGTTTTCATTTTAAATATTCAAAAGAGTATATATAAGTGCAATGTAAACAAGCAGACAGACACCTTCAGAAGTCTTAAGAAATATAATATTACCATTAAATTAAAAAGCTTTCCATGTGCTCTCCTCAAGCGCATCCCTTATCCAGGGATTGCCACCACGTTGAACTTTGTAGTACTTATTCCCTTTCTCTTCTCTTTGGAGTGTATGATGTTAATATCCCTCAACAATATATTTTGCAGTTGTCCCTGATTTTGAAGCTTATACGTATCATGTCATACTGTGTAAGTTATTCTGACACTTTTCCGTCCGATATCATGTTTTTGAAATTCAATCCTGTGGATATGTGCAATTATAGTTCACTTAGTTTTACTGATGTACAGCATTCCATTTTATGAATACACTAAAATCTATGTATTAATATTCTTCCAGTGGGCACTTACATTGCTTGGTGGCAAATTTTCAAACTTTCTATTGTCTGAATATGTCATTGTTTCACCCTCACATTTGAAAAATATTTAAATTTGGCGTATGAGTTTAGCTTGGTGGGCCTAATCCCTTCTCATTCCCTTGCTGAAAAGTCAGCTCTCAGTGTAGTTGCAATATGTGAATTATCTTTTCCCTCTGAATTCTTTTAATATCTTCTGTGTGCCTTTGGTATTCTGCTGTTTCACTGTTATGTGTTTAGGTGTGCATTTGTTTTCATTTATTTCACTTAAAATTTGTTGGTCTTTCTGTATTTGAAGTTTAATGTCTTCAAAAATTGTGGAAAAACATCAATTATCTCTTTGACTATTTCCTTGACTCCTATTTTCTAGAGTCTATTGAGATTTTAGTTACATATATGTGAGACCTTCTCACTCAATACACCACATCTTTTAATTTATTTTTTATAATTTAATCTCTGTTTTTATTAGGCAGTATTCCAGATAATTTCTTCAGATTATTTTCCTTTCCAATTTAAAATATCTGTATAGTATTTGCATTAACGAGAAATTTTTATTTAGAAGTAATAAAAACCAATGCCAACATTACCAAACATATGATTCAGCCTTCTAGGAAAGTTTTGGAAATACCCTCTAGTGTAATTGAACATTTTTTTTCTCATTAGCTCACAAGACATTTTATTTCTCAAAAGTAATTGGTAATTTTTTTTTAAGCGCTAACGTTTTCAGCCATTCTAGGATATAGTATATGTTTACTGATACAATATTTTCTTCATTGATATTTCCTTTGCTAGTTCTTCTGCATCAGCATTTTGAGTAATATAAAAAGGTAGTCTGAGGCACTTTTTCGTACTTGGTTTAATTTAGGTATGAATAATGTAAAGTGATGATTTGTAGGAAATCTCAAAAATAATTTCCCAAGTTTTGCAGTTAGTGCCAAGGACATTTTGCAAATGTACTTATAATTTCATTTAGATACAAATAAAGAACTAAATTAAAAGAGAGGTAAAATGCTTATTTTCTTTGGAGTGCAAAACTTGCATACAGATATTGATTGCGTACAACTCTGTTTATAGTGATAAATGAGAATAGTCTTTATGATGGTAGAAAAAAATTTCCACACATAACAGCAAAACTTTTCATAAGGCTTTGGTAAGAAATATATGATAAATTATCTTTAAAGTCTTATATGCCAATATTAAGCTTTAAGTTTTGCCGAATAAAAGTCGTAAATATCATCATTTCAGCTCCAGTCGTATTTTTAACAAAGGGATTTATATGGTGACAAAACAGAAGTTATGCTTGAGGTGTAAATGTATTAAGTGAATATATCTCTACTGACATTCAACTTCTATGAGCTAGCTAACCTTTAAATGCTAACAAATTTGCCAGTAGACACCTGACTCCCATTTATTTAATGTTTTATTATAGTTGTTATGTTGTATGTTGTATTATTTTAGAGAAACTAATAGAATTAGTTACTATTTAAGAGTTACTTATTTTGTTGTGGTTGTATTAATTAAGCTCTTATAGGGGAGAAAAAGCTCTGTAAAGTAGAATAGTTTCGTTGAAAAAGGATTTATGGGCAACTGTTTATGACCAAATCCTGGCACTTGCATTCATTAGCTGTATGACTAGGAATCTTTTCTGCACTTAAGTGCCCTCATTTGTAAAGTGGATATTATAATACATATGAATACATATGTGATAGAGGTATAGTGAAAGTAAGTTAAATAATAAATTTTAAGCATCTAAAACAGGGTCTAACATCATATATTGAAAATGTATTATGTTTTAGTTGTGATACCAGATGCTAAGATACGGAGAGGACAGACAGCTCCTAGCACATAATAGGTAAGTTCATTTCCACCAATTTAGTGGTTCTTGGTCTTTATTCCGTTTCAGATTCAGATCTGCACTGCTTACTCAACAGCCAGTTCCCATGTGTTTTTAAATTCTTGTTGCTTCCTCACCAGTGTTTTTTTTTTTTTTTAAATAAATGTGTTCCAGTTACTTTCCACTCCTTTTCCAACTGATAGGATAATGTACTTATGCATTCAGAAATCTACAGTTGCTTTCTATTACAATTGATTACACCTCTAAACTTGCTGGCCTAAGAGGGGGAGTGGGTGATGAGATTTAACAACAGGCGAGTTGCTACAATATACAAATCTCTATGATTGGCAGTTTACTGTGAGTACTGAGACTCCCACCTTTTCTAATAGTCTTGCCTCCTTAAGGGATCCTAACAGGACAATGAGATGAAAATATTTAATAGTACAGACAAAGACGCTACCTATGTTTTCAGAAGGCTTGTAATTCTCTCTTAACTCACAAACTCATTTTAATTATTTATTGTGCCTTCTCTTTCTCAAGTCCCCCCAAGATGGTAACAAAACTAATTATATCTCATCATTTACTTTTACAGTATGTTAATTCTACTCTGGTTCAACAATATCTCAACAACACAATATCTTCATTACCTAGAAGAGTAAGAATGTAACTATGTGCATCCAAGTTTTTGCACTGACTTTATATATAATTTGACAGTTGTTGTCATTTAATGAGCTCCATTGTTAAATTATGATAAACTACTGTTGTTGCTAACTTTAGTTCTTCTGGAATAGGTCATATTACTCTCATTTTATGGGAAGCTGTAGTTTACTTCCACTGGACAAATTCTTGAGTCTCATTTTTCTCATTCATAAGATAATGATAATGGTACCTGTTTCATTGGGCTTATAGAATTAAGTACAATAAAATAAAAGCAATTACCCCAGTGCATTATTTACTATACACTAAATAGATGGTAATTTCACATGAATGAGAATATCTGAATAAAATCCCATTCACCTATATTATGTATTAGATGAACTTTAGAATCATAGAATTTAGAAATAGGGCAGTATGTTGGGAATTCTGTACTCTAGTGATTTCCAACTGTGTTGTAGGACACATTGGGTTTCTGAGGCTGTTGCATGAGAGGAGAACAAGCACTTGTTACCCTCTTTCACGTTATTCAACCAAAAGAGTTGTAGATTTCATTCACATCATAATTTCATTACCTTATAGAGCACTTATTGGGCAGATTTACCTCATTCAATTCATGATACACCACATAATCTGAAATAACCAACCATCCCAACATAGCACCTTCTGAAGATGTTCATAGGTCATTATGGATGGATTTCTTAATCACTGCCACAGTCCAGTCATAGTTATAGATATCAAATGCTTCAGAGAAGACTGAATATTCCAAAAGAAAGTATGTGTAATATTGATAAGTATGTTCTCCAAAACAATGAAGTTCAATTAGAAATCAACAAAGAAATAAATTTGTGAAATACACAAACAATTGAAAAATTAAACTACACATTTCAAATAACCCATAGGCTAACAAATAAATCGTACAGATAATTAGAAGAATGTCTTTAGCTGAATAAAAATAAAACCAAATATCAGAATTTATGGGGTCTGGCTAAAGCAGTGTTTAGAGGGAAATGTATAGCTATGATGCTTATATTAGAAAAGAAGAAAGATCTTAAGTAAATTAATCTCAACTTCTACCTTCAGAAATAGAAAAAGAAGAGCAAATTAAATCCAAAGCATACAGAAAAAGTAAATATAAAGATTAAAGCAGAAATTAATAAAAGAAAAAACAAAGTAAATACAGAAAATCCATGCAGCTAAATGTTGATTCTTTGAAAATGAAAACAAAATTGACAGCCTTGTACCTAGACTGAACAAGAAATTAGGAGAGTGGATATTGCATAGTCAGGATTATCCAGAGAAACAGGACCATCAACAGGGTATGCATGTGTGTATGTGTATGTATACATATGTGTGTGTAGTATGTATGTATAAATATATATACACGCATCTATATGTATACATATGTATACACATACATGTGTATCTAAAGAGGCAGCTATATAGAGAGATATTTATTTTAATGAATGGTTCACTTATTATTCTCAGAACTGGAATAAGACAAGGATACCCACTCTCACAACTCCTATTCAACATATTACCGAAAGTCTTAGCCAGAACAATCAGAAAGGAGAAAAAAAAATGAAAGATGTAGAAACAGAAAAATAAGAAGTCAACCTATCTATCTTCACTGACAATATGATTCTATAAATAGGAAACCCTGAAGACTCCACCAAAAGGCTTCTAGAACTAATAAACGACTTTAGTAAAGTTTCAGGATACAAAATCAATGTACAAAAATTAGTAGCATTTCTATACACAAATAACATCCAGGCTGAGAGTCAAACGAAGAACACAGTTTCATTTAAAATAGCCAAACGAAAGTGAAATACCTAGAAATATATCTAAGCAAGTAGGTGAAAGATCTCTACAAGGAGAACTACAAAGCATAGAGAAAAGAAATCAGTGACAACACAAATAAATGAAAAAAAATTACTTGTTTATGGATTGAAAGAATTAATATTGTTAAGATGGTCATACTGCCCAAAGCGATTTATAGATTCAATGTTATCCCTATCAAACTGCCAACATCATTCTTTACAGAAGTAGAAGAAACTATTCTAAAATTCATATGGAATCCAAAAAGAGCCTGAATAGCCAAAGCAATACTAAGGAAAGGACAAATACCTGAGGTGATGTATACCCCATTTACTTTGATGTAATTATCATGCATTGCATGTCTGTATCGAAATATCTCATGTACCCCATAAATGGATACACCTAATATGTACTCACAAAAATTAAAATAAATACATTTATAGAAAGAACAAAGTCAGAGGCCTCACATTACCCAGTTACAAACTATACTATAAGGCTACAATAACCAAAAAAACATGGTAGTGGTATAAAAACAGACACACAGACCAATGTGTCTCTTACAGAAAAGAAAACTCAGAAATAAAGTCACACACCTCCAATCATCTGATATTTGACGAGGCCAACGAAAACAAGCAGTGGGGAAAGGACCCCTTGTTCAATAAATAGTGCTGGGATACCTGGCTAGCCATATGCGGAAGAATGAAACTGAACCACTACCATTCATTAAATATATAGAAATTAACTCAAGATGAATTAAAAATTTAAATGGAAGACCTCAGACTATAAATATCCTAAAAGAAAACCTAGGAAACACTTTTTTTGACATTGACTTTGGCAAATAATTTATGGCTAAGTCCCCAAAAGCAACAGCAATAAAATCAAAAATTGACAAGTGGGACCTAATTAAATTAAAGAGCCAAACAGAGTAAACAGCCTACAGAATGGGACAACATATTTGTAAACTATGCATCTAACAAAGGTCTAATATCCAGAATCTATAAGGAACTTAATAAGGAAAAATCAACCCTATTAAAATTAGTAAAGGACATAAGCAGACACTTCTCCAAAGGAGACATGAAAGTAGCCAACAAACACGAAAAATTGCTCAGCATCACAAATCATCAGAGAAATACAAATCAAAACCACAATGAGATACCACCTCACACCAGTCAGAATGGCTACTATTAAAAGGTCAAAAAATAACACACGCTGGCAATGCTGCAGAGAAAAAGGAATGCCTATACACCGTTGTTGGGAATGAAAATTTCTTCAGCCACGGTGGAAAGGAGTTGGAGATTTATCAAAGAACTTAAAACAGAGCAATCCCATTACTTGATATATACTCAAAGGAATAGAAATTATTCTACCAAAAAGACACATGCACTCATATGTTCATCACAGTGCTATTCACAATAGCAAAGACATGCAATCAACCTAGGTGCCCATCAAAGGTTGACTGGATTTTTTAAAATGTGGTACATGTACATCATGGAATACTATGCAGCTATAAAAATGATAATATCATATCCTTTATGGCAACATGAATGGAGCTGGAAGCCATTATGCTAAGCGAGTTAATGTAGAAACATAAAACTAAATACCACATGTTCTCACTTTTAAGTGGGCGATAAACACTGTGCGCACATAGACATAAACATGTGAACAATAGAAACAGCAGGCTACTAGAGCAGGGAGGGAGGAAGGGAGGCATGGGTAGGAAAACCACCTATTGGGTACTATGCTCGCTACTTGGGTGATAGGATCTATACTCCAACCTCAGCACTGTGCAATATACCACGTAATAAGTCTGCACCTGTACCCCTTATATGTAGAATAAAAGCTGAAATTTTTAAAAAAAGGTTCACTTGAATGTGGAGGTGTACGTTCAAAATCTGCCAGATAGGCAAATAAGCTGGAGATGCAGGAAAGTGTTATAGTCCAAGTTCAAAGACAATCAGCTGGCAAAATTCCTTCTTACTCAGAGGAAGTCAATATTTATTCTATTAAGGCCCTTCCATGGTTCAACAATACCCCCACACATTATGGAGGGTAATCTGTTTCACTCAAAGTTCACTAATTTAAGTATTAATCTCTTCCAAAAATCAACTTCACAAAAATATCCAGAATAATGTTTAACCAAACATCTGGGCAGTATGCCCCAGACAAATTGACATATAAAATCAACCATCACAGACAAATCACCGAAGCCAGTGCTGAAAAGAAGACATCACTATAGACTTTAAAGAAGATAAAAAGATTATAAGAGAATACTATGAAAATTTTATGCCCAAAATTAGAACATTTAGATGAAACTGATTAATTCCCTAGAAAGACTCAAAATTGTTGAATCAGACTCAAGAAGAAATAGAAAATCTGAATATAACTATCACAAAAGATTGAATTTCTAATGAAAAAGCCACACACACACAAAGACCAAGCTCAGATTACTTCAGTAATAAATTTTACCAAGCTTTTTTAAGAAAAATTAATATTAATTCACCACAAACTCATCCAACAAATAGAAGTAGGATTAGTGATTACAAATTGAGACTTGACATACTAACTAAAAAACAGTTTGTTTTGGTTCCAATCCATGTGATTCTTCAGTTTTCCTTTTATTTCTCCATCACTTCCAATTTAACCATTGTCCCTGTGACAGTTGGCCTGTTGGATATTGGGGGTAGTCTCAGTCTGTCCAGATCACTGAAGCATCTTTGTCAACATGGTAGGTAAATTGATGATGAAAATGATTGTCTTTAGAGCTTGAATTCTTACTATGTGCTACACTCCTTGTTTGGCACTTTTAATATATTATATTAAATATTATTATTTTAAGTACTATTAATTGCATCAGATTGTGAGGGCTGTGTTTCTGTTAATGCCAAGATTGAAATACAAGTTTGTCTTATGTGGGTTGTGCTTAATATTTTAAAAAATTAGGCTGATGTTCTTATTAAGATTTTATTTGTATATCATAAAATTAATTATTAAAAGTATACAGTTCAGTGGTTTTGGGTATATTCACAAGATTGTTCAACTGTCACCACTATTTCGAGAACATTTTAATAACCTGAAAGGAAATTTTACACCTGTTAGCAACCACTCTGCATTTTTTCCTTGTCCCAGACTCTGACAATCACTAATCTATTTTTTAATCCCTATGAATTTGCCTATTGTGAACTATCTTAGGACCCTTCTTGGCAATGAATTGACCACAAATGTGTGAATTTATTTCTGAACTCTTCTATTCCATTGATCTGTATGTCTATACTTGTGTCAGTATCATACAGTTTTAATTACTGTAACATTGCAGTAAATTTCAAAATCAGAAAGTATGACAATTCCAACTTTGTTCTTTTTTATTAAGATTGTCATGGGTATTCTGGGTCCCCTGCATTTCCATATGAAATTATGATCAGCTTATTCATTTCTGCAAAAATTGACAGTTTGAATTTTGGTAGGGCTTGCATTGTTTCTACAGATCAATGTGAGCAGTATTGCCATCTTAACAATATTAAGTCCTCCAATCCGTGAACATAGAATGCCTTTCCACTTGTTTAGGTCTTTTTTTTTTTTTTCAAATCACTATTATAGTTTTCATTGTGTAAGCATTGTAATTCTTTACTTAAATTTAATCCTAAGTATTTATTTTACTGTTGCTATTGTAAATGGAATTATCTTAATTTCATTTTCAAGTTTTTTACTAGTTCACAGAAATACAACTGAGTTTTTGTATATTGAGCTTGTATTCTGAAACCTTGCTGAGCTCATTTATTATATCTAATAATAGTATTTTTGTGTGTATGTGCGGATCCTTTAGGATTTTCTATATATCAAATCACGCAGTCTGCAATAGAGAGAGTTTTATTTCTTTCTTTCCAATTTGGATGCCTTTTCCTCCTTTTGCTTGCCTAATTGCACTAGGTTATACTTTCAGCTCTATGTTGAATAGAAATGGTCGTTGTCTTGTTTTTGATATTAGGAGAACAGATTACAGTCTTTCATCTTTGAGTATCATGTTAGCTGCAGGGGTTTTTTATGCACTCTTTGTCAAGTTGAGGGTGTTTCTCTCTATTCCTAGTTTGTTGAGTTGTTTTCTTTTTTCAGTCATGAAAGGGTGTGTTAGATTTGGTGAAATTTCTTTCCACGTCTATTAAGATGATTGTTCTTTATTCTATTTGTTTGGTGTATTACATCAATTTCTTTTTGAATGTTAAGCTAATCTTGATTTCCTGGGATATATCCGATTTGGTCTTGTCATATTACTATTTTTGTATTGCTAGATTTTGTTAGCATTTTTGAGGATTTTTGAATATATAGTCACATGAGATATTGGTTTGTAGTTTTCTTTTCTTGTAATTTTTAAAATCTGGTTTGGTATTATAGAATGAGACAGGTAGCACTTCATCTGTTTCTACTTTACAAACTATTTTCTAAAAGATTCATGGTAATTCTGTTTTTAAATCTTTAGTGAAATTCACCAGTGAAGTCACTGGACCTGGGCTTTTCCTTGTGGGATTTCTTTATGACTAAATAAATCTCTTTATTTATTACAGGTCTATTCAGATTTCTATGTGTTATTTGTAATTCGAAAGGCAACCCTTGTGGTATGTGGTATGCTGACTACATCCGCCTTTTAAAAAGAGGGAAACAAAGGTTAAATTTCTTGCCCAAGCCTTTGAAGGTAATAAGTGGCAAAGCTAGGTTCCTGGTCAATCGTGCTCCAAGATGCATGTCAGTTTTTGAATCACACGCACTTCCACAGAGACTGATTAAAATTATGTATTCCCTTTGATATAGCCTGGGTGCTTTGAAGTAAATGTCTACTGGAAAACCAAACTCCGGGGAGTATTTTGGTGCAGATTGTGGACATCTTGTTAAAAGATTTAATTTGAGCCATTTTTGTTTATCTCTCCTCCATCTGGAAGTAATATTTTGGTAATGTTTTTATTTGCATCTTATCTAATGATTTATTTTTACTTTATATGGAATGGACAAACTGAATTCCTCCTGCTAAAGAAAATTATATTTTTCTGCTAAATTTATTTCTCTTTCTGAGACACTTGTTTTTATAAGACAGATTTCTGGACTTTCACTATGAAGAATCGAGAGATTAGGTGGCACATAAGAAAAGTGTTACAGAAAAAAAGAGAAAAGTAATTTTAAAAAATCATGCAGGGTAAGGTTTTGTGGGTGTTTTAAGGTGATGGTTTGAGAGGTAAGAGCTGAGGAAAGGCAAAGCGATGAGGAAAAGTGGTTATGATTAATTGAACCCCCTCTTATGTTTCCTGATAAACAGAAGTTAATGATTCTTTTTTTGCCAATAGACTAAGTGTATTTAGTTACAAGGCTAGTCCATGTTTGAACCATGAGGGTCCCAACTTATATTACCATCACACTCTTATCCCACAATAAGGATGTATGTGACTTTGCTTTTGTACATGTGCCAACCTTATATAAAAGGTGATAGTGGACTTGAATCTAGTTTGCATGGGACTAGATTGATTTAATCACTCATTAAGTTGGCAGATTATTTTGAGCCAATTTTGTTCTAAGCCCTGCGATAGATTATGGGTGAATAAGATAGTCATGATCTCTGTCTTTATGTAATTTATAGCCCAGGAAGGGAGATTGATATTTAATGGTTATTATATACGATAGATATTTAGTGGTTGCACACACACAGATGATTACAATTTATGGTATGTCCTATGAAGAGAAAGAAAAAGGAATTATGGGAGATAAACATTCTAGATGTAAGTTAAGTGGATGGGAGTGGTCAAGAAAACTACCTGTGAGGTAGTGATTTCAAGCTAAGACCTGAAATCTGAGTAGGAGTAACTAAGGTGATTGAAATGGTTTGGCCCTGTTTCCCTGCCTAAATCTCATCTTGAATTGTATTCTCATAATTCCTACATGTTGTGGGAGGGACCCAGTAGGAGATAATTGAATTGTGGGGGTGGTACCCCCATACTGTTCTCATGGTAATGAATAAGTCTCAGGAGATCTGATGGTTTGATCAGGGGTTTCTGCTTTTTCGTCTTCCTCGTTCTCCCTTTGCCTGCTGCCATCCATGTAGGATGGGACTTGCTCCTCCTTGCCTTCTTCCATGATTGTGAGGCTTCCCCAGCCACGTGGAACTGTAAGTCCAATTAAACCTTATCTTTTGTAAATTGTCCAGTCTTGAGTATGTCTTTATCAGCAGCCAGAAAACGGATTAATATGGTGATGAATGTTCCAGTCAAAAGATTCTGCATGTGGACAAGTCCAAAATTGGGAAAGAGTTGGTCTCTTTTGAGTAATTAAAGTCACCATGTAAAAATATACAACTGAAGAGGTAGGCAAGGGTGAGATCACACAGATAGTGTTAATAACTTTAAAAATATGTTATCTTGTGCTCACATGGGAGTTAGTCATAGGTACATTTGGGAACTAATTTCTTCATCTTTCCCTAACTGGAATTTTCAGACATTCAAGAGCAAAATATAAGTATTTCAGAAGACCAAGTTTAAGAACATCTAGATTTTGAGAGTGCTCACTCTCAGGAGCATATGTACACATTTGCTAAGTGGTAAGACAGGTAACACGGAAAAATTCACATTGTGTAGTTGGCTGTCCACTAATCCAACAGTGTGCAACTGACACTAGCCGGACAAGGTTATAGGTCTTTGGCTAGAAGATAGTTGTTTTTTTTTTCTGGATCAGCATGTTATCTACTGCTGTGCTCTATGCATTTTCCTCATTCAATTAGAAATTATATCTAGAATTATATCTAGAAAATCCTATTCAATCAATATTTTAAAACTACTAATCATTTATTCACTAAAACTAATAATGTATTAATAACTAATAGTCATTACCTTGTTAATTTTTCCCAAAACATTATTCAATAAGTTAGAAATACTTGTGAACTGAGACTACACTCAAGAACATCTAGACATTTTCATGTATCTTTCACAGCTATAATCTATATATATGATATAACATGTGTAGAAAGAATAAATGAAAAGCATATTTTATTTTGGTGAAAGTTTGAAAAATCAATACCTAACTGAAAGCTAGAAAAATGCACAGTTCCCAATATATCCTGCGACTCAGAATCTTAAGAAGGTTCCATTTTTAACCACGTGCAGGTTCAAAATGTAAGTAGCAACATTAAACTTATGCTTTTCATTTCACGAACCATGTATAAAACAGGTAGCTAAATTGAAAATAGTTAATTTTAGGTTTTATTGTATCATCTAACATCCATGCATGGGGAAAATAAGGCTTTGGAGTATTATCTTTCTTTCTATTCTCTTGTTTATTGGATTACATATTTTTCAGTAAGCATATTTGAAATAGAACTACAGGAGAAATTGAAAGAAACAAAAACAGTGCATCCAAGTTGGCGACTAGAACATCAATGGATGGCTTTTAAACTTCTAAGAAACCATCTGGAGCAATAACAGTATTGATCAGTATTCATCATAGTACCCAAGAAAGGCTAAAGGTGTCCAGGTTGTGATATAGATGGACATCAGACCTAACCCTTGATCTAATATTTCTGAGACATGTACCCATCATCTTGTGAACATGTGGCTGGATGAATCCATCTTTGTTAGTTGGCTTTGGTTTTTCATAACTTAGAAAGCGAAAGACAAGCCTAAGTAATATGCACACCGTGATGCTAGACAATGGAGCACATCCTTGTGAGGGAGTTGCATTGCCTGAAGTAAGGTGGCCATGACCACATGTGAGGCGAATTTAGTGCTACATAATTTAGGAGTCCTTCTTAAAACATCTCAAAGTTTTTCTACCAGAGCTTTAAAAAGTTTCCTAACAGGGGAAAATTTGCCATATTTGCAAAAAAGGATGGCCCTTTTCTATACTTTAATTCTGGATCCACTGAATGCTACCAACTGAGAGAGTCGGCTTTTTAAAATATTTAATGATTACTTTTAACTGACACACAATTATACATATTTATTGGGTACAGTGTGATATTTCAATACATGTGTACAATGTGCCATAATCAAATAAAGGTATATATCCAAAAAAAACTATATCAATATGTTGAAAAAGATTCTCATGTTCATTGCAGCATTATTCACGATAGCCAACATGTGGAATCAACCTAAGTGTTCATCAATAGGTGAATAGATAAAGAAAATGAGGTACTGACACATAATGTTATACTATTCAGCCATAAAAAGAAGGAAGTCCTGTTATTCACAGCAACATGGATGAGCCTGGAGGACGTTATGTTAAGTGAAATAAATCAGACACAGAAAGATAAATACTGCATGTTCTCACACATATGTGGAAGGGAGCAGTTTTAAAGCAAAAATTGTACCACAATTTGGCTTTCATTACAGGGAGAGAGAAAACAAGTAATTGCAAATGCAAACACCCTGACAAAGAAGAGAACTTCAGTGGATCTGTCCAGCATCCCTGAACGTTTCGGATGAGAAGTTCTTTGGAGAATTTCATGAGAGCCATGGACTCACTTGCCAGAAAAATTCATGCTGTAGAGGCAGCCATTAGTATATTCAGTAAAATCTGCATGTAATTTCAGGGGATCATCGACCCTTTTATGTGCTTAAATAAGCCCTTGTCTCCCAAGTTAAGAACTCTTGGACTAAATAATTATCACATTAGAATGTAATTGTGAAAAAAAAAAACAGGCTTTCAGAACTTGGCATTGATAAGGAAACTGGGCTCCAGAAATAGATCTGCTTATCTGTAAGTAGTGGCCCAAATCCACTGATTTTTGCCTACAGGTGCAAATTGATTAGCTAATCAAAGCTGCTTTTTTACTGTAGATTACCTTTAGAATTCTTTCCCAGCTTCCAGGATAACTGGGTCCCTTCAGTTCTCCACAAACCTCTATATTTTCCACATTTTCGCATCAGGTTTCTGTAGCACCCTGTCATGTTTGGAATATAAACCAAACTCCTTTCATGTCCTAGTAGTGTCTGCTTCTTCTAGTTCTTGTCCGTTTCCTGTATCCCCTGCTGTAACTCCCTCCTTCCTGCATGAAGCTTTAGTTATGGAAACGTTGCACAGCTTCTTGAACATGTCAGGCTTGTTCCTGCCTAAGAACTTGGATCCTTGCTGATCTTAATGCCTGGAATGTTCTTTCCTATACTCCAGATGACTCCACCCCACTTTACTCAAGTCTCTCCTCCAATGTTAACTACTCACAGAGCCTTTCCTTGACACCTGAAACACGCACCACCCTCACTCCATGAATATTTTCCTCACCTTGGTTTTTCTTTATAATACTTAAAACTCTCTGGTAACTATCTGGCTCATTTGCTAATTGTATTGCACTCCAGTATAATATGCAGTTCAAAAGAGTGAGAAATATTAACTGCTGTATTTTGAGCACCTCGAACAGAGTCTATCACATCATAGGTTCTTAATGCCTATATCTTGAAAAAATAAGTGTATGATGAATGAATACATGCATAGTAACTACTGTGATGGCCAGCATTAATTTACATAAATTAATTTGAGGGAGGATACTAATTTCCCATTTAAGGTGATAGTTACACTTTATATAAGTTATAACTTTATATACTTATAACTTATGCATATAAGTTAGTCTGGATATTTCATTGAATTATTACTCAATAGAGAATAAAGAACAATATCATTAAAGTTTGTTGTTACCAGAAAATGTCAGGATGCATGCAGCTTTTTTTGGTAAGATTAAATAATCCACATTTACAACTCAGATGGATTATCTGATGCTTCTTCAGCAAAGGAAGGGTCAAGTTTGTCTTGGGCTGAAAAATATTCGTTTAAGTAATTCCAGGTATCGGTTGTTTGCTCAAATCCACATGGAATTTAATGATTTAAGGTCATGGGGAAGCGCATTTTGTTACACTTCTAATTTAAGTGAGGGAATTATCTTATATGGGTGCCTTTCTCATATAATCAACAATCTCTAAAACCTCGTTTCTTACAAGTAATCGATTTTGTTTTATTTTTATGACTTTATTTTATTTACATACATAATTTTACATAAATGCATTATCTGTGCTCATATTCACATATTCATTTTTTAAAATTCTTCTTTATGTTGTTTGATTTCCAATTCTCCCAACTTAGCATCTGCCTGGTAACCCAAATATGTGTGTATGTATTTGTGAGATACATACACACACACCATGGAAGCCCTTGTTAAAAACCGAATACATATTACTGCATATTTATTTCTGCTCCCCACACATATATAAAACTATATATATAGTGTGTGTATGTTTGTGTGTGTGTATGTATATATATAACAACACACAACATACATACATTCATTCATAAATAATGAGTGTGGCTGGGTTTTTTGGGGGGTTTATTTTTAAAAAATGAAATATTATCCTACACATTTTCCTGCATTTGTAGTTTCTCAGATTAGCCTAGCTTGTGGAAATTCTTCCAGTCACCTTGTGTAACTCTAATTCATTATTTTAATAGCTATATAATATTCCATAGTATGGTATATTACAAGTCATATGACTAACCCCAAATGAATGACCATTCGCTTTGTTTCTGTCTTTTTTTTTTTTCAAATTAACTTCCAAGACATCCTCGGGAACCCTAGAGCATTTTGTACCTATGAGACAGATTCCTCTGAATTAGTTTGCTAATAAGTGAGGGTTGTATCTTTCTATATTAATAAGTGTTATCAGATAGCTTTCCAAAAAGATTTTAGTGAATTGTGTATCTATTCTATTTGAAAGTTTCCTTTTGATTTGTATTTCCACCAAGCGCTGTCATTACTGATTATTTAATTGTTTGATGAGTGTAAAGTGATATCCATATTGCTTTAACTTGCATATCCCTGACTACTAATGAGTCTGAACATGCTTGCAGACTGTTTAGATTTACTTTTTTGTGAATACCCTATACATATCTGCTCACTACATTTTTATCTATTGAATTGGTTTTTATTAGCATCAGTAGGAGACCTTGGACATTACAGATATTAATCTTTTGTCCGTTATCTGTATTTTAAAAATATATATTCCAAAACACTTCTGATGCTACCAAAATGGCATAGCACCATTTATCTCATATCCTCCACCTTACAACTTAAAAACCCTGCACGTAACATTTCAAACAAACATCAAGTGACTCTAAAAGGTGGAATAAAGAAGGTAAACTACAGAGGGATTTAGGACTTAAGGAACAACATGACAGTGAGTTTTGGGGGTTTTCTTATTGTCTCCCCTATATCCCAGATAGGGCACTGCAGACATTTCCAACCCAGAGCTGTCAACAAAAAAGACAAAATTATCTTCCAAGGAAAACCTATTTCCCAAAGCCAAAAGAGAAGGAACGGCTTGGCCTAATGACAGAAAAGCTTTTTGCAATACGTGTCCTATTCTAGCCAAACATGAAAAGACAAAGCTCAATAACCTCTTCTGCCCTTCCCTCCTACCACTTAGTTTTATCAGGGAGGACTGGGAATATGATCTCACATCCCCTCTATTGCTGAAACTGCTGGTATTCAGATTCCCTTGTCAGGGTAATGCTGTCAAGGCTTAGCAGGGAGTTAGCCTTCCATCTCTACCTGGCAAAAGCAGGCAACAGTTTTCCTAAAGGATGGTGTAGATGAGCCTAGCAGAGAGCTGATCTTCCATCCCCCAGTTGGCAGAGGTAGGATGTGCTCTGATTCCCCTACCAGGGTAGTGTGAGCAGGATCCAAAGGCAAGCCAATCCAGTTCCATCACACTGATGACACTAATCTAGACAGTTCAAAACAAGTATAGTTGGCACTTTGCTCCCTCTTGATTCGAATAAATGGAAAGACAGCTTATGTTTATAAACATAAAATGATACAGTTTATGTGGAATAAAGTTTAATGGTTTCACAAAAAATTAAACATAAAATTGCCATGTGATCCAGTAATTCTACTTCTGAGTATATATCTAAAAGAAGTGAAAATGGCAACTCTAACAGATATGTGTACACCCACATATATAGCAACATTATTTCCCAAAGCAAAAATGTGGAAACAACCCAAATGTCTGCTGAAAGATGAGTGAATAAACAAGATGTGGTACAGACAACCCGTAGAATATTGTTCCTCCTTAAATATGAAGGAAATTCTGACACACTACAACATGAATGAACCTGGAAGACATTATGCTAAATTAAATAAACCAATCATAAAAGGACAAATACTTTATAATCCTACTTATGTGAGGTATCTAGCATAGACAAATTAAGGCAGACAGAAAGTAGAATGGCAAATGACAAGTTGTAGGAGTGGTGGTGGGGAATGTGGAGTTGTTTAATGGATAAAGAGTGTCAGTTTGGAATGCAAAGTGGTTCTGGAAGTGGATGGTGGTGATGGTTGCATAACAATGTGAATGTACTTAGTGCCATGGAACTGTATACTTAGAAATCATAGCATTCGCAGCAACCTGGATTGAGTTGGAGACCATTTGTAATAGTAAAATTGTTATTATATATATTTCACCATAATTAAAATGTCTTTATTTGTAAAAGTACAAAGATAATTTTGAAACTTTATATTTAAAGAAGGAATGTATGGATGTGATCTGGCCAGATGGATTTAATGCCTTGGATAGATATGATGAGCAAAGATGTCTATTGATTTTGGTATGTCTAAGGCCATCCGAGGACGCTAGATACACTGAATTGAAAGGGTATTAAAATTATGTCATTAAAATGGAGGTAAAAGATCTTTACAAGAAAAAAGATCTCTACAAAACATGTCAAAAATAATTGCAAAGGACACAAAGAAATGGAAAGACATCCCATGCTCATGCACCAGAAGAATTAATATAATTAAAATAACCATACCTGCCAAAGAAATCTACAGATTCAGTGCAATTTCCATCAAAATATCAATGCCGTTTTTCACAGAATTAGAAAAAAAATATGAAAATTTGTATGGAGCCAAAAAAGAGCCACAATAACCAAAGTAATCCTCAGCAAAAAGAGAAAAGCTGGAGGCGTAACACTACCTGACTTCAAAATATTGTATAAGCTATAGTAACCAAAACAGCATGGCATTGATATAAAAAGTAGACACAATGGAATGAAATGAAAAACCCAAAAACAAATCCATATATTTACAACCATCTGATCTTCAACAAAGCCATCAAGAACATACACTGGGGAAAGGGCAGCCTCTTCAGTAATGGTGCTGGAATATGTGGATAACCAGATGCAGAAGAATGAAACTGGACTCCTACTTTTTACCATATACAAAAATCAACTTGAGATAAGACAACTGAAGATTTTACTTAAAGGTAAAACCTGAAAGTATAAAACTACTGGAAGAGAATAAGGAAAGCTCTTCAGAACATTGGTCCAGGCAAAGATTGTATGGCTAAGATTTCAAAAGCAAATGCAACAAACACAAAAATAGGCAAATGGGACTATATTACACTAAAAAGTTTCTGCTCAGCAAAGGAACCAATAAACAAAGTGAAGAGACAATTCCCTTCCTTGAAAGGAAGAAAATATTTGCAAATGATTTATCCAACCAGGGACTACTACTGAGCATATATCAGGAAGTCAGACAACTCAACAATTTTTTAAAATCCCATTAAAAAGTAGACAAATGACACGAATACACATTTATCCAAAAAAGACATACTAATGGCCAACAAGTATGGGAAAAATGCTTAATATCTCTAAGCATCAGGTAAATACAGATCAAAACCCCAATGAGATATTATCTTACCATAGGTAGAATGCCTATTATGAAAAGACAAAAAAAAATCAGATGCTGGTGAGGATGTGGGAAAAAGGAAACTCTTATACACTGTTGTGAGAATGTAAATCAGTACAAATGCAATGGAAAACAGTATTGCTATTTCTCAGAAAACTGAAAAAAAGAACTATCATATGATCCAGCAAATCCACTACTGGCTATTTATCCAAAGGGAAAGGAATCAATATATCAAAGGAATACCTGCATATTCATGTTTACTGAAGCACCATTCACAACAGCAAAGATACAGATTCTACCCAGATGTCCACCAAGGGAGAATGGATAAGGAAAATGTGGTATATATCCACAATGGAATATTATTCTGCCATGAAAAGAAAGAAGTTTTATTTGCAGCAACATGGATGGAACTCCAGGTCTTTATGTTAAATGATGTAAACCAGGCACAGAAAGACAAATATCACATGTTCTTACTCATATGTGTGAGATAAAGTGTTGATCACATGGAGATAAAAAGTGGAATGACGGACACCAGAGACTGGGGAGTGTGAGTGAATGGTTTCAGCAGGGGTTGGGGTGGTGAAGAGAGGTTGGTTAGTGGGTACAAACATACAGTTAGGTAGAATTAATAGTTTCTAATGTTGACTGCAGAGCAGGGTGATTGTAGTAACAGCAATGTATTGTAATTTTCAAAATAGCTAGAAGAGAGAGCATGAAATGCACCAGCACATAGAAATGATAAAAACTTGGGTCACAGATATCCCAAATACCCAGACTTGTTTATTACACATTCTATACATGTAACCAGATTTCACATGTACCCCATAAATAAGTACATATATTTTTATAGCAAAAAAACTTAAAAATGATTCTTAAAAATCTTGAAATTGCAGAATCTGAGAAATGGATATACGGAGTTTCACTACTACCTTATCTATTTTGTTTATTTTAAAAAATTATTTATAAAGGTTTTTAAAGTGTGAAAAAATCCTACAGAGTATATCATACCAAATCTATGATATTCTAGAACAAGCAAAACTATAGAGACAATGCAAGGATAAGTTGTTGTTGGAGGTTCGTTGGAAGGAGGAAGAGGGATGACTAGATGGGACACAGGGGCATTTTAGGACGGTGAAACGATTCTATGTGATACTGTAAGAGTGGATACATGACATTATATATTTGTCAATATCTACAGAATGTAAAACAAAGAATGAACCCTAGCTAAATTGTAAATTTTAGTTAATAATAATATATTAACATACATTCATCAATTGCAGTACGTGTACCACATTACAAGATGTAAACAATATGGAAAACTGTGGGGAGGTTAGTGGATATGTGAGAACTCTGTATTTTCTTATCAATTTGTTTTGGTAAAACATAATAATATTCTAGAACATAAAGCCTATTCATTTTAAAATATGCAAGGTATTTGAAAATACACTTCAATAAAAAAGATATACAGATCACAAAATTATATGAAAAGATGCTCAGCATAATTTATCCTTGGGGAAGTGCAAATTAAACCACAATAAGATTCTACTACATACTAATTAGAGTGGCTAAAAATCCTAAAATATCAGATATAAGAGATAATGTGAAACAAAAGGAACTACTCTCATTTATTGCTGGTTGGAAAAAATATATAGCACTCGTTCGATGAAAGCATTGTATTATCTGATTTATAGACATTCCAAAAAAGGTAAAAAGATACGAAAAACAGATCACCATTACTAGGGACTTGGAGGAGGCTGTTAGTTGACTACAAAGGTGAGGCATAGGGGATTCAACCCAAATTGCTGTGCATGTCAATAGTTGATTCCTCCTTGTTGGTCTATAGAATTCCATTGTGTGGATGCACCTCAATTTGTTAATCCATTCACTTACAGAAAGACATTTCATATTTTTCAGCTTTTGGAAGTATGAATAGAGCTACTATAAACATTCATGTATAGGTTTCTGGCCTGGGCATGGTGGCTCACGCTTATAATCCCAGTGCTCTGGGTAGCTGAAGCAGGAGGATCTCTTGAGCCCAGGAGTTCAAGACCAGCCTAGGCAACATAGTGAGACCTCATCTCTACAAAAAAAAAAAAAAAAAAATTAAAATGAAAAAAGATAATAAAAATGAATGTACAGGTTTTTGTGAGAACATAAGGTTTGCAAATTTATTTCACACAGTAATGGTATTTCTGAGTCATATGGTAAGTGTATGTTTATAATGAGATCATGTTCTTTGCAGGAACATCGATGGGGCTGTAGGCGATTATCCTTAGGAAACTAACGCAGGAACAGAAAACAAAATACTGCATGTTCTCACTTATAAGTAGGAGCTAAATTATGAGAACACATAGATGCACAGAGAAGAACAACACACAGAGAAGCCTGTTGGAGGTTGGAGGATGGCAGGAGGGAGAGGATCAGGAAAAATAACTAATGGGTACTAGGTTTAATACCTGGATGATGAAATAATCTGTACAACAAACCCCCACAACACAAGTTTACCCATGTAACAAACCTGCACATGTGCTCCTGAACTTAAAATAAATTTAAAAAAAAGAAGTCTGGGGGAAATAAAAGAAATTTCCAGATAGTGACTGCACAATTTTACATTCACACAGGAAACACAATAGTGTTCAAGATGCTCTTCATCCTTGCTAGCAGTTAGTAATGTCAGTGGATTTTTCAGCAGTCCTCAAAAATATGATGCATCTACCTTGATTTTAATTTGTTTTTCTGTAAAATCTAATGATGTAGGATAATTTTTCAGGTGCTTATTTAACATTTGTATGTCAATTTTAGAAAAGTGTCTATTGGTGTATTTTGCCCATTTTGAAAATGTTTTCTAATTTTTGGATTTTGAAAGCCCTTTCTGTATTCTGGATACAGGTGCTTTTTGGATATGTAATTTATAAATTTTTTTTCAACCTGTTGTTTGACTTTTTCTGCTCTCAACAGTGTCTTTCTCAAAACTAATTTTTAAAATTATTGAGGATGTCTGATATATTGTTTCTTTTTGAATTTTGGTTTTATTTTTGAGGCATCTTTTCCTAATTCCAAGTCATAAGATTTACCTTATATTTTCTTATAAAATTTTATACTTTTTAATTTGACATTTTTTTTCTCTAATTGCTTTCACTCATCAAGGGAAAGACACTAAAGAAGAATAGAGTAGATCTTCCATCACAGGTAGAGGTTGCCCCAGCCTAGTCCTGCCCCTGATATTTGACCTGAGTAGCCCCGGAAAAAGGCCACAGATAAGGACTATTCTGCCTTTCATCTTGGGCATCTGAGGGAGGTGAGGCTTTTTCTGAGGGGTGGAACTTCAGATCAGCGAATGGATAGTCTTGTCCTCTGCCCCACATACTTCAAGGTAAGGACTCTAAGGAAAGACTGAGGGGACCTCCTGCCACAGATATAGGGAGTTTTAGCCCTGCCCTCCCTGTGCTGTTAGCCCTGGGTGGCCCAAGGCAGGTTTCCCCAGTTTTGATGTCCGTAGACTTCATTTTTGGGGCCTGAGGGAGGTGAGGCTTCCTCACCTTAGACTCAAGTCAGCAGAGAGAGAAGTTCCAGCTCCAGCATGCATTAAGGTGAGAATGCAGAGAAAGGACAAAGATAGCCTTCCTCTATAGATGGACTGAGCTTCAAAGAACCTTCCTCTTCGTGTGAATCCTGAGAGGTCCCATGCATGGGTATCAGGTAGCAACAACTCTCCCTATCCCCTGACATCCTTTTAGAGGATTTCATGGAGGTGATATCCTTGGTGTGAGGAAGCCAGCCTCAAGTCAGCAGAAGGGCCGGGGTGAAGACCCTGATCAAGAGTAAATATGATTACCTTGAGAAATTGAGAAGTACACAGGGACCTCACAGAATCCAGTCCGTTTCCACTCTTAGCCCTGGGAAGAAAAGATTTTTAAAATTGAGGAAGTCTAATATATCATTTTCTTAAATGAATCATGATTTAGTTTCAGGTATTACATCTCTTCGCCTAAGTCCAGTTCAAAAGATTTCCTCCTATGTTTTCTCATAAGTTTTATAGCTTCTAATTTAATTATAATCCATGGAGCTGTAATCCATGTTAAAAAAATTTTTATATTAAGTATGCAATTCAGGTAAATTTTATTTTATATTTTTGCATGTGGATGTCCAGTTGAACTCATAGCACTGATTAAAATACCACTTTACACACATTTAATTGTCAAAAAGTAGAAAAACAAACAATATCAAGTGCTGATGACAATGTGAAAAAACAAAAACACTCTTGTAGTGCTAATAGAAATGCAAGCTAGTGCAACCTTTTTGGAAAGCAATCAAGCCTACAGCGCTTGTACTCTACAACTTTGTAATTTCCTTCCTGGATATAGGCCCACAGAAACTCATATAAATGCACAACGAAACATGTAAATGAATATTAATTGAGCATAATTTCAAAGAGTAAAAAGTAACCACTAGGGGATTTCATAAGTAAAATGAAGTAACACATAAAAAAGGAATTTATCCAGGTATCTGATAAATAAACCAAATCTATATGCTGCAATGAAAATGAAGCTCAAATAAGGCTTACCTTCAAAATAAGAAATGAAGCAAGATTTCTGACCAAATACTACTTCTGTACATTTAACACACACACACAATAATATTACATACTTTCACGTATGCGTAAATTAATATATGAATAGTGAAATAGACATTCACAAAACAAGCAAGAATGGGTGCCTTTGAGTGAAGGACAATAGCCAAGGGAGGTTAGATGAAGAAGAGAGAAAGTGATGAAATAAAATATAAACAAAAGAAAGGTTTTCAGAAAAAAAAAAACCACCACTAATTTTCTCAATTCAGTTGTCTTGAGACATTTGTAAACACTGAATGGACCTCACTGGGGCCTTCCTTTGGATTATCTCTTCTGTTCCATTAAAAAAAAATCTATCCTTTAACCAATGCCATACTTTCTTTGTTATTACTGTAGCCTTACAGTTGTAAGAATCAAAGAAAGAAGAAAGAAACAGGAAAGGTGGCTTGACAGCTAAAGACAGATTTATTAACTTCACCTTCATACAGTGGGCCCCAGTAAAACAATGGGCCTTAATAAGCACATTCCTTTCCCTTCAGGTGCACTAAGAGAAGTTAAAAGCAGACTCAGGGAGTATGCCTGCAGCTGCAGGAAGATGTATGGGAACAGACCCAAAATTCTCCCTCCCAGATAAGCACAACAAAGAAACACAGAGGCAGTCCAAGTCTCTGATAAACTCTCCCGCCCTAAATCCTTAAAAACTCTTAGTCTGTAAAAACAAAACAAAACAAACAAACGAAAAGAGTGCCTCTAACCTAACTTGCCCAAAAACCCCTCTCGGGTGTATTTTTCTAAAATAAAACTGGAAAGGCCTATGCATTATTTTTTGTTAGTAACTGTTACTGCTGCTATGAGGATAATAATTGAGCAAAATGTTATAGTAACTGAGATTTTCTGTCTGATATTTTACCTTGAGGGTGTTACAGTATATAGTCCTCCTGCAAATAGTAGAGTGAGTAAAGCAATTCCTGCAAGGGTTGCATAGTAAATAATTTTTATTAAAAATGTTTTAATATTTGGCTTAAAAGGAGAGGTAGAGGCTGGGCATGGTGGCTCACGCCTGTAATTCCAGCACTTTGGGAGGCCAAGGCGGGCGGATCATGAGGTCAGGAGATCCAGACCATCCTGGCTAACACGGTGAAACCAAATCTCTACTAAAAATACAAAAAAATTAGCCAGGAGTGGTGGTGGGCGCCTGTAGTCCCAGCTACTTGGGAGGCTGAGGCAGCAGAATGGTGTGAACCCGGGAGGCGGAGCTTGCAGTGAGCCGAGATGGCGCCAGTGCACTCCAGCCTGGGCGACAGAGCGAGACTCCGCCTTCAAAAAAAAAAGGAGAGGTAGAAATGAAAAAAAGTATTTGGTGAGGTAGGGGTGAGATTGAGTAAAATGGGTAATTTTTACTCCATTACTTATTTTTTATGATTTTCAGCTTAAGATTTTTTATTTATTTACATTAATATTTAGGACTTTTTCTGGGCTGTTAGGGGTTGCTTTCTTAGCTTTTTAGGCTTTGATTTGAGTGTGATGTATCCAGGAGTTAATTTCTGTAACAGATATAGTTTAAACTGTAGCAAATAATAAAAATTGAAAAACATTAGGCCAGACTAGAATTTAACAACAGGTGAGCTACAGTTTTTGAAACATAATTTTCCTTTTTCAGTTTCCCATTTTTATTAAAAGACAAATTATGGTAGGATTGATTTGCTTTATTATACTTGGCTTAATTATTTATATACAGTGCAGCAAGAATTTGCTACTAGACCTTTTAAATTGGCTTTGATGGAACTTTGTTTCATGGAAGGAATTTGAGATAAGACTTTTAAAAGCCAAGCCTAGCCATGGATTTGTACCATTAAATACCTATGAGTTGGGCAAATTTTTTTTCTTGAGGTTCTAAGATCACTTGGGATTCCTGGCCTGTTAGAAAGTGACATTCTTTACTTACCATAGATTAGAAACTCTGTACAGGGACTGTGTACACAAAATACGAGGTCGATTTTTCAAGGGTTTTATTGGCTATATAAGTTCTTTGATTTTTTTTAAAATTTTTATTTTATTTATTTATTTATTTATTTATTTATTTTTATTTTTATTTTTGACATGGAGTCTCGCTCTTTCACCCAGGCGGGAGTGCAGTGGTGCTATCTCGGCTCACTGCAAGCTCCGCCTCTCGGGTTCACGCCATTCTCCTGCCTCAGCCTCCCGAGTAGCTGCGACTACAGGTGCCCGCCACCCCACCTGGCTAATTTTTTTTTGCATTTTTAGTAGAGATCGGGTTTCACCGTGTTAGCCAGGATGGTCTCGATCTCCTGATCTCGTAATCCACCTGCCTCGGTCTCCCAAAGTGCTGGGATTACAGGCGTGAGCCACCGCGCCCGGCCAGTTCTTTGATTTTTTAAAGGAGAGCATACCATTCCAGTTAAAGCCTTGGTAAAATAACCAGTTTTTTTTTTAATTGTGTTCTGTTACAAAAGAAAACAGGTTCTTATTGTGCTTATGCAAACAACTATATTGTTGTAATGTAAGAATACTTACAACTAGTTTTTAAATTTTAGAGGAACTAGGCAGAAAGAAACAAACAACCTTTAAATTCACTTTACAGGAGTATACTTTGCTTAGTTGTTAAAGGCTGTAGCTAGCTTAAGACAAGTTTTCTTGACTTTGAAAAGTAAAATAAGGATTAGCAGTGTTTTAAGCAAAAGGTAAAACTTGTTTCTGTTTTTTATTAGTTTAGTCCATTTTATTAACTTTTGTTTTGCTTGATATTTATAAACATTTTAGCTGTTCATGAGTTCTGTACATTTTTTGTTGTTGTTGTTGTGAGAAACCTCCATTTGAGAGCACTTGCTAAGGCGACACAGCTTGATTATAAATCATGTTTTGAAGAGAATTAAAAGAAAATAACGATTGTCTGTAAATAACAAAATGTCTAGTTTGGATACAATTAGAAACACAACTGACAAAGAAATTTGGTTATTTCTGTGGTTTACAATAACCTAACATAACAACTTTAATTATGATTAATAGCACATATTTGGACACGAGAACTTTAGACATACCATACAGTTTTGGAACATATATTATTATTCCCTAAAATATAACCTATTAGACATCATTTTTGCAATTGTATCTACCTAAGCATGTTAAATAATTCTGTTTACCTCTTTTCCAGATGCTTCAGGGGCCCTGTGCAGTACCCAAAAGCCAGGGGTTAGGAAAGACAACCTTGACACTAAAGTTTGATTTTGGGAAGCGTATTAAATATGTTTAAAATTTAAAACACTTGACATTATGAAATAGAATTTTAGATCACCCTAAGTTGGTTTTTGTTAGTTTGTTTTGTTTTGCCAAAATGATGAGTTAAAAATTTGGAAAAGCAAAACCCATTTATTAGCCTTTTTATTACATGAAAATCCTGTTTAAGAGAGAAAGTTAAATTTTACCCTTGCATTAGTTTGCTAGTAACGTTAACCTGAATTTTAATGAAACCTTATAGACAATCCTGTTTAATTTTAACCAGTTTGACCATGAAGTGCGATTTTTATATACCTGTTAAGACCCTTGACAAGTTTTGCTAAAGAGTAGATTAGCATTTTAAGAAAACTTTGTGGTGCTTTAATTTTAGTGTTTAATTTACAGAAAAAAAACCCATATAATACCCTTTTGAGTTTAGTTAATATGTTTACACAGGTTTTTTTTGCAAGATTAATTTTTACAATGTTTTTATAATTTGCTGAAACCATTCACTTTATTTTATTTAATTTTAAGACTTTTTTATTCTTAAGAAAAATGTGTATTTTTATGCCTTCTTATAATTTTTAACTAAAAACACTTTTTACTGTTTTTATACACCTTGCACCCAAATCCATGTTTAGTAGCTTTAATTACATGTTATAATGGTAACTTTTAGCAATTTTTAACTTTCATGTATAACCTGTTAAGTTTTTTAAATTATGTGCTAGATGCAGATGAAGTTGGACTTTTTCCAGCATAGTTAGGGGCATGGTTACTTCCATACCTGTCTGGCCTTACCAATTGTGACACAGGCAAGTTGACAGTTTTTAAAGGCCAAAGAAGCAGGTTACAACCTTGAAACATTTAGCAAACCTAATATCTGACCTGCATAATGTAGACCACATTTTTACACCTTGAAGACATTAGTATTTTACCAATAATTCCTAAGACTGTTTTTATTTTTAAATATTAAAGTTAGGTGAACTAAAAGGTACCACAACTTTTATTTTTGCCTTAAAGATGTTTGATTTAAGCACTTATTTTTCTTAGGCCAATTAATTAAAGCTTTTTTTAAATAGACATTGCACACATAACACATATATAACCACACGGGCAACAGAAGAAGATCTAGTAGTTATAAGATTTTTTATTTGGTAATTTCCCAATTGGATTATTGGCCTTCAGGTGAGGCCCTTTAAGAACAGAGCTAGGAATACAGTTTCCAGGGCCTAATAAACAAGCATAGATTGAAGACAAAGACAGATTTCGAGAGGTACTTATTTACGTCTAATTCCAGGGATTCCATAAGGAAAACAGAGATTTTTTTTCCAAAATGGGATTTGTGATGCCTTTTCTGTTTTCCCAAGGAGTCCCAGGCCACCAGAAGTCATTTTAGGGTTTCTTATGCATGCACCAAGAGTGTGGCAAGACAGAGTGGAGAGAAGTAATTCAGATGGCTGAGGGAAAACGTTTTCCAGGAAAACAAGATTTATGAAGAGATAAAGGTCTTTTGAATATAATTATAGCTTGGATATCCATTTTAATTAAGCTGAGCACTCTTTTTTAACAGGCGGAGGTTAGAATTATATAAATGTTATGCCAAGTTAAATTAAAGGATTAGGTTATGTGCAGGAATTCCCTGTGAAAAGGAGAGGGATTTTCAGAGAAAGAATCCAGATGCTGTTTGATTTGTGACAGATTAGACATGGAGAAAGGGACATGATTGTGAGCAATGCCTTTAAATCTAGCCACTTCCCAGAGAGGGAGAATGGCAGGGGTTGTCTGACTGGCTGGAGTAGTTTTTGAATGGGTAACAGGTGGAGAAGTAGGAGGGGCAAGGTTAGGGGCTAAAGGCTTGGGGACAGGAGGGGCTGCTGGGGCAGAGGGTTCACACGGGCAATGAGCGGGTGCAGGGGGTTGAGAATACAGAAGGGGTTCATCTGCAGGGTTGAAAGGAATTTTGGAGAAAGGGGTTTTAGGGGAAGGAGAGACCTGGGGAGGATTTTTATTAAGAAGAAGGATTTTATGAGGGGTGAAAGCTTGACATAGGGAGGGTCAGGATTTAAGGTAAAAATAAAAAAGGCTGAAAATAGAGAACCTCTTGCCATTTGCCATTCCTCGTTATGAAGTTGGTAAGGTCCCTGATAGTATGAACATTAAAGGTTTCATTTTTGGGCCATTGGCTGTCGTTATCTAATCTGTATTGGGGCCAAGCCATTTTACAGTAGAAAATTAAACGCTTTGGCTTTAGGGTCTCCGTAAACCAAGTTTGGTGAGGTTGCAAAGAAGACAGCCCAGAGGGAAGGACGTAGGAATGTGGGATTGTTTGTGACCCATGTGAGCTGGTGAGAGGAGGCCGAGGGTGTCTGTTTTGTTCTAGGCATCCCCAGACAGAAGACAGAGACCCAGAATCCTCTTTCTGAAAGAGGACAGTTAATCTGAGAAGAAACTGCACATCCCCAAGATTTCCTCTAGCTTAGTCCCACTGGTTCTCTGAGGACCAGGATGGCAGGCCAGACTTTCTCAGGTACCAGGAGAAAGCCAGGAGAAGGCAAATTTTACCAGCCGGCTGAATTAGTGTCCGATGTTGGATGTTCCAGTTGGAATTGGTAAAGGGCCTCCTAGACTGGAGCCACATGAGGAGGAGAGAGAGAGAGAGAAAGACGGAGGAAGAAGGAAGAGGGAGCAAGGGTTAGGGAGTGAAATATCCACTGCAGGTCATTGGTGGTGGAATCTTGAGACCTGAGGGTTTTGAGAGTCCACTGGGGAGTAGCCCCGGCCTGAGCCTCACAGTCCCCTTCAGGTTAGTTGTCCTCCTCACGCAAATCACTTGAAAAGTGAAGTGAGAGAAAAGATGGGGTGGGTGGCTAGAGACCCTCAGGATCCAGGAGTTAACTCAGGATGAACTGCCATTGCCCACTGCTTCTTGGGTTGCAAGAGAGCCTTTGCCCCCAACACCCATCCTGGGTTTTGGCACCAAATGTAAGAATTAAAGGAAAAGGAAAGAAACACAAAAGGTGGCTTGACAGTCAAGGCACATTTATTTTAGGGAAAACAAACCTGAGAGGAGCTTCTGGCCGAGTTAGGTGAGAGGCACTCTTTCTTACAGACTAAGAGCTTTTAAGGATTTAGGGTGGGAGAGGTTATCAGAGGCTTGGACTGCTTTTGTGTTTCTTTGTTGTGCTTATCTGGGAGGGACAGTTTTGTATCTGTTCCCATACCTCTTCCTGCAGCTGCAGGCATACTCCCTGAGTCTGCTTTTAGCTTCCCAATCTTAGTGCACCTGAAGGGAAAGGAATGTGCTTATTAAGGCGCACTGTTTTACTGGGGCCCATTGTATGAGGGTGAAGTTTGGCAGTTACCTAAGATACTCCCACCTCCTCCACCACCACCCCAACACCCATACCCAAGCTGTTTTATCTGTGTTTTACTGTCTGCTCTTTCTGGCTGCTTGTTGTCAAAAGAGAAGTGATTTCCTTGAAATGCATGAGGCTAGAAAGGGAGCTGGAACTTAAAGTGGCGATGTTTGTCCAAGATGACAGTGCTCCTGCTCTGTCAATAGTAAATAATATAATTGGGTTGTGTGATTCCTCCAACTTCACTGTCTTTTTAAAAATTGTTTTAGAAACCTAACACAGTAGGCACAAGGTCTGTATAAAGAAAACTATAAGACTCTAATGAATGGAATGAAGGGATATTCAATTTTCAAGGATAGAAAGACTCATTATTGTCAAGATGTCAATTCTAACTTGATCTATAGATTGCCTAAAATCCCAGTCAAAATCCTAGCATGTTGTTTTGTGGATACCAACAAACTTATTTTAAGGACTAAAATATGTTTTATGTGGAAAGGCAAAAGACTAAGATTAGCCAACACAATATTAAAGAAGAAGACAGTGGGAAGACTAACACTTCCCAACTTCAGGTCTTACTATAAAGTTACGATAATTAAGACAGTGTGATATTAAAGAAATAATAGACAAAAAAGTCAAAGAAATGCAATAGACATCCCAGAAATAGACCTACAGAAATATAGTCAACCAACTTTTGACAAGGAATCAGAGGCATTTAAATTAAGAATAATCTTTTCAGCTAATTATACCAGAACAAGTGGACATCCACATGGAGAAAATGAAGTTAGGCACAGACCTTAAACTCTTCACAAAAGCTCACATAAATTCAATCACAGACCTAAATGTGAAAATAAAATTTTAAAAAACCTATGAAACACATAGAAGATACCACAGGGGAAAACCTAAGTAACTATGGTTCGAGAAAACTTCTTAGATACAACCCAAAAAGGAACATCTGTGAAAGAAAAAATTGATAAGTTTGGCTTCATAAAAATGAAAAAATTCTGTTAAGAGAACAAAAAGGAAAAACGAGAAACGAGGATAAAAGTTTTGCAAAAAAAATCTGACTGAAGATGTGTATCAAAAATATATTCAGAACCCTCAACTCAATAACAAGAAAGCAATCCAATAAAAATGGACAAAAGATCTGAGTAGATACACACTACACCAAAGAATATATACACATTGCAAATAATCATGTAAAAAGATGATTAGCATCTTATGTCACTAGGGAATTACAAAGTAAAACAGGATACCACTACACATCTTTTAGAGTGGCTAAAATCAAAATGCCTGAAAATTTCAAACACTCAACAGGAGGCTGAAGAACAGGTACCCTCAGTCATTGCTGATTTTAATTTGAAAAAAAAATACACTCACTCTAGAAACAGAATTGTATTATTCTATGCATTTTAAATCTGGAAATGGTAAAAAAAAAAAAAGTAGATAAAGAAAACACACTAAACACACTGTTTTTGCTGTGATTTGGGTAGGGGGTGGTGGTTGACTATCAAGGTGAAGCAAGAGAAATTTTAGGCTAAAAGAAGGGATCTCTATGACATTTTAGTGGTAGATGTAAGACTCTATATTTGCTATGATAAATAAAAATGTTCATTATAGTGAACGCTGATCTATACAAAGTTTTAAAAATCAGCCATGCATTGGGTTTTCAAAAGGATGCTGAGAAAAGAATGGATTTTACAGGACTGAATGTGAAAGGAGAGGCACCAGCAAAAGAGGGTTTGTCTTAGTCTAGGTGAGAGATGAACCACAGAGGTAGTAATGGAGATCAATTGAAGTGGAGGGACTTCACATGGGTTTTAGAGGTTGGGGTAACAAATGCTGCTGTTGGATTTGATAAAAATTGAGAGAAAGGGAGGCATCAAGTATATCAAAACATGTGCCACCTATAGCAAAAAAGTCACATTGAGCTATTATTTTTTAATAAGTTGTCAGCCCTCATGTTTATTTTATAACTTCTCTGAACCACACACAAATGCTCCTTCTTCCTTGAACTCAGGGAATGCCCTCCCCTCCCCCAAACCTGTGCGCAAAACATCTATATTCATGGCAACTATGGTAAATCTTCGGTGACAGAGGCAGCATGTTCTTTGAAGGCTGAATCTACGTGAGAATAAGGAACTGAAGGTGAGTCATTTGGGGCATGTTTGGAAAATGGTTGTGTTCACTCCTTTAAAAGGTCCCTGACACTCCCCATTGATTGAATCCCAAGAACGTTAGTCCCTCTCTCTTCTGGACAGGAGACTTATTTCCAATACCAGGAGGTAAAAGAATAGGTTTCCATTTTCTTTTTATCATCCATAAGAAATGCTCCCTTCTTGGGACCTCAGAAGAACAACTCCATGAAGATAATTCCCGAGGGCATGGGACCAGAGCTGGAATTTACCCACCAGCTGCCTCCCAGTCTAGGAGAAGAGCTTCCTTGTCTGTGGGTTTCCACCTTGAGCGCTGAGGTTTGGTCCACCAATCCTGGCTATGAGCAGAGTCCCACTGCCCCGGGACACTGAGCCAAAGCTGAAGAAGGAAGTCAGCTCATGAACGGCTGAGTTGATCCTGGCCATAGTCAATGAAGAGGGCCCCAACCCTCAGGGAAGTCTCTGGCAAAGCCACAAGTCAGCCTTTTTTGGAATCTCAGGGTTCCTGAATCCTGCTGAGGGTCCTGTCAGGAGTAAGAACAGCTGAAAGGAAGTATGTGAATCTCCTATCTATGTGGAGAGGAAAATAAACCTCTATTCCCATCACATTTGGGCAAACTGGCACTGCCTCTTAAGTCAGTAAAGTATTTGTGGACCTGGTCAGGTTTCTGTCATCAACACAACATCCCCCATTCATGACTTTCTGGAGTAGAACTGCTCACATTATATTTCTTGGACCCCCAGAGTTCCAGAGGTCAGCAGGAGGACTGGCCAAGTAAGAGGGAATTAATGCAAAGTTGTCCCAGGTAGCCTTCCCCCAGCCACTATTGAGATTTCAAGTCCTGCTCTCAGGAAGCAAAGGTTCATGAAAGCAGTCAGGCCTTTTATGGCTGAGACAAGGGGGCAGAAGTAGCTGCTATTTCCTGTGCTCCTCTTTGACTCTTATCTTACTTCTCCCTGGTACTGAAGTGACCAAAGACCCCAGCCTCTTTCAGTGCTTTCAAATCCAGCCTTACAGATGCTCTAATTTACTCATACTGCGAACTTGCTTAAAGATAATTTATACAAAGACTTATTATTCTAAGAATGTCTGTGTATTTCTGAGGTTTTTTATAATAAACATATTTTAAGGTAGGTTTTGAATTTCCCTGTAATTGTTTTTTCTGTTTAATATGAAAAAGGGTTCCACTTACATTAGGGTTTTTGTATGGATATTCTGTTGTTCCACTGACACTTATTTCAAGAAGACTGTCTCCTGTTCTAAAGCTGCAAGTTTTAAAAATCAGTTAAGCACATGTTTATACATGTTTTGTTGGTTTTGTTTTTCAGAACTCTCCATTCAGTTCCTTTGGTCTATCTGTCAATCTCTGCACCCAAATCTCAAACTCTTCATTATAGTAGCTTTGTAATTCTTACTGTCTGGTAGACTAATGACTCTTTTTCAAGTGTATATTGACTATGCTTGTCCATTTGCATGTCTTTATATTTTAGAATCAGGTGATTCACACATGCCTTCATGTCCAAAGCCCTTTGGCAGTTTTGATTTAGGATTGCAGTCGATCTGTAGATTCCTTTTTGGGAAGAATCAACATATTTAAAATATTGAATCTTCATGCCCATGAATTTATTTTATTTTATGTTCAGGTAGGTCTTTGTTAATATGCCTCAACAGCATTTTAATATTTTTGTCTGTAAAAATTTTTTGGTTAAGCTTTTTTAACCAAAAAATATTTTAACCAGCCATCAGCTGCCTCCCAGTCTTATTTGGTTAAAATGTTTTTGGTTAAATTATTTTCCTAAGATACTTGATATTTTGGTACTATAGGTTAAAATTATATAGTCTTTACTTTCATTTTCATACTCTTTCCCTGACAAAAAACGAAGTTGATATTCTTTTGAATATTGACCTTATACTAGCAAACTGATATACTATTATATATTGAATAAATTATCTTTAGTTGTTTTGGATTCTTTTCATGCACAGTCTAATCATGCATGAATCACAAACGCTTTGTTTCCAACTGGCCAATCCTCATTCCTTCATTTACTGCTCTTTGGATTACTACACTGGCTACTACCTCTAGTATAAAAAGTAATAGAAGTACTTGTAGCAGAAACTCTAGGTTAGGTCTCAAGTTCAAACTAGAGGCTTCCAACATTTCCTTAAAAGATGTATCTGTTGTAGGTTTTTCATGCATATCCTTTTATCTAGTTTGGTAACATTTTTCATATTTGATAAACTTTATGTTTAAATAATTTTAGATTTACAAGAAAATTATAACAATAGTAAGAAAGTTCTCATATGTTCCACACTCAATGCCTCCTGTTATTAACACCTTACCTTGGTAAGGTTTCCTAAAACTAATGAGCCAGTATTTGTACATTGTTTTTAACAAACATTCTTTATTTATTATTGAACATACTTCAGTCACATTTTCTTACTTTTCACGAAATTCTATTTTCTATGCCAGGATCCCCTAAGGATACTCCATTACATTTAGTTATCATGTTCCTTCGATGCCCTTTGGCTGTACCGGTTGATTGAGACATTTCTCGATTTTGAAAACATTGACAGTTTTGACAGTTTCGTATGGTTAGGTATTTTGTAAAATTGACTTTGACTGGGATTTATGTGATTTTTTTCTGTCATGATTTGATGTAGGTAATGTTTCCTGGAAGGATGAACAGAGAGGTGAAGTGCCGTTCTTATCATACCGACAGCACATAGTACCAACAAAATTTGTCACTGATGATGTTAACTTGATTACCATGGCATCATCGTGCTTTTTAGCTTTATTCAGGGTAAAATTACATTATTTTTTGCCGTATGTTATACTGTCATCATGAGAAGAACAGGGAGACCCAGGACCAGCCAGTAGTCACATGAAGCCTCTGAGAGATAACTGCAAGACTCCCTGCCCACAAAGAGAAGGATCCACAGAATCCAGCTCCACTGCTGCTGTCAGCCCTGGGAGGCCCTGGGGCATGGTGGCCCACTGTGGTGTCCCCCTGACATTTTAGAGGGTAGAAAGAGGAGAAGGCTCTGCCTAGGTGAGTCTCACTTCAGATCATGAGAGGTGAAGGGACTCAGGCCCTTCCAGGCATCCCCAGGATGACACAGAGGAAGGACTGGTGAGACACCCCTCCCAAGAAACAGAAGGACACACAAATCCAGGCCCTGTTTTCACCCCTGGGAGGCCTTGGGCAGGGCCCTCAGTCAGAGATGCTAGCGCTTTTCACTTCGTCTTGGGGGGCGTCTCATGGAAATGGGGACCTTGATCTGAAGAACATAGTCTCTGGACAGCAGGGGAAGGGCTCCCAGGCCATGTCAGGAATAATAACTGCAGGAAAACAGAGAGTCCTGCCCACCCCATTTTAGAAAAAGGACACCAGAGTCCTGCCTTGGGCCTGGGAGGCCCCACCCCACTGTGGGTGGATGTGATTCTCCCTCTCTTGCACCTTGCAGGTCTCAGGGATGGGAGGGGCTTATTCGGAGGTGAAAGACTCAGTTGCACAGAGGCAGGAAGGCCAGGCGGTTTCCAGGAGTCCAGGCACAGCCTCTCGGGAAGGCAGGAAGGGAACACCCATGACTGGTAGTGCCCCTCCCCTGTCCCTGTGCCTGCTGCCAGCTCTGGAGGACCCTATCAGGGTCCCCAGGTTTACAACTTTCTGACTTGCATTTTGGGAGTCAGCCGGAGGGGAAGTTTTCTCTGAGGAGGGCAGTTTCAGTTAAGCAGAGGGAGGAACCCCAGGACTGGCCACTCAACGAGAAGAGAACTCTGTGGAAGGACAGTGACCTTCCAACATGGAGGAGAGGCACAGGCTACACCCTTTCCCTTCCTGCCGTCAGCCCTGGAAAAAGGTTGTGGGGGGAGAAAGCGGGGAGGTGGGCAGGGAAATATGGACGAGGGCTTTGAAGTGAGGAGGAAAAGGTGGAGGGATACCGAGAGGTGGGCAGGAAGGGGTGGAAAGGGTCGGGGAGGTAGGCAGGAAGGGGTGGAGGGGGCCCAGGAGATGGGCAGGAAGGGGTGGAGAAGGGCCGGGAGGTGGTCAGGAAAGTGTGGGAAAGAGGTAGAGAGGTGAGGGGTGGTTCCTCCATAGAGAGGAGACCTAGCCCCACTGGGAGTCTGAAGTATTTGAGGCATTTTGTGAGAAGGCTTAATTGAGATCAGCAGACAGAAGACTCTTAGAACTGGCCGATCCTCAAGGTAAGGGCCCTAAGGGAGAACTGAGGGACCTCCCACCACAGAAAGAAGAAGCTCTTGCCTGCCCTCTACCTGCTGTGAGATTGTAGGTCGCAGACAGGAAGAGGGTAACCGAGGGCTGAGGGACACGTCTTCATGACAGAAGAAGGGAGGAGGTGCCAGCTCTCTAGGGAATAAATAGGAAGACTTTGAGAAGGACAAGGGGAAACGCCACCTCAGAGGACAGACTCCCAGAGATTCCCAGCATGCTCCTCCATATCAGCCCTCGTAGAGCTCCCCAGTCAGCTCAGGCTGAGCGGCAGCCCTCTCATTGCTGGGTGAGAGGTGCAGGGAAAGGGAAGGCCTTGGTCTGAGGGTCCCGTGGCAAATCAGCACAGGGAGCTGCCTCCAGTTGGCAGAGGGAAGATTCCCAGGCCCTGCTGGGGATAAGAGTGAGGACTGAGGAGTCACATGTGCATCAGAACAGATGTGAGGCCAGCCCAACTGCCCCCGTGGTAGAGTGCTGGGAGGTGGCTGCCACCTCACTACCTCCCACTGCTCTCAGGGATGTGGAGTTTGCCCTGAGTTTTGGCTAGAAGAGTGGTAGGGACATGGCCCTGTCTGAGAAAAGGTGAGGATGCTAATTAAATTCTGATGGGACCATGCAGTCCAGAACTGTGGGGCTCTGGGAGTCTGGTCAGCCCCAGCTGTCAGCCTTGGGAGGCCCAAGACTCTGCTTGCAGTCTTTAGCCTGAGGGGCTCCCTCACTTCCTCTTGCAGGTGCTCCAGGAACCAGGAGTTGAAGACCTGGGTCTGAGGCACACTTCCTAAAGTCAGCACAGCAGAGGAGGCCCAGGCAATATCAGGAGTCAAGGTGAGTGCACGCCCTGACTGTGTACCAAGGGCCCTACCCCCACAAACAGAGCAGACCTGGCAGCACCTGGCCATAGCCACCTACTGCCATTCCTGGTGCCTCAGGCTCTGCCTGCCAGCTGTGCCCCGAGGTGCTTTCTCACATCCTCCTACAGGTTCCCAGGGGACAAACCCCCTAGGATGGCAGGTGACCCGTGAGGCCCTAGAGCACCACCTTAAGAGAAGAAGAGCTGTAAGCCGGCCTTTGTCAGAACCACCATGGGTGAGTTTCTCAGCTGAGGCCACTTGCAGTGTCCCTCTCTCCCTCAGGCCTGTTGGATGCCATCATCCACATCCCTGCTCACACATTTACCTCCTGCTCCTAAGGAAGACGTTATGCCTGTGTTTTGAAATGTTCCTAGCGGCAACTTTGAGAAAGACTTCCAGAACCAAACTGTGATAGAGAACTTGGCAGATGCACAGGATTCCACAGAGGAGGAAGAGGAGAAAACCTCCTCCATTTCCTCTTCCTCTTTCTACTTATTATTCCCCTCCTCTTCCTTCTCTTCTTCCTCCTTCTCCTCCTCTTTCTCCTCTTCCTCCTCCTCCTCCTCCTCATCCTCTACTCTGATTCTTGGTGCTCATGAGGAGGAGGAGGAGTAGCTGTCTGCTGGGATGCTGCCTCTTCCCCAGAATCCTCCTGAGAGTCCTCCCCAGGGTCCTCTCCAGGGTTCCCTGTCCTGCTCCTCCTCCACTTTATGAAGCCCATTCAATGAAGAGCCTAGCAGCCAATAAGATGAAGATACAAGTACCTGGCACAGCTTGCCAGAGAGCGAGCCCTTGTTCACTTATACACTGGATGAAAAGGTGGACAAGTTGGTGCAGTTTCTTCTCCTCAAATATCAAGCAAAAGAGCCTCTCACAAGAGCAGAGATGCAGATGAATGTCATCAACACATACACGGGCTACTTTCCTATGATCTTCAGGAAAGCCCGTGAGTTCATAGAGATTCTTTTTGGCATTTCCCTGACAGAAGTGGACCCCGACCATTTCTATGTCTTTGTAAACACATTAGACCTCACCTGTGAGGGGAGTCTGAGTGATGAGCAGGGCATGCCCCAGAACCGCCTCCTGATTCTTATTCTGAGTGTGATCTTCATAAAGGGCAACTGTGCATCTGAGGAGGTCATCTGGGAAGTGCTGAATGCAATAGGGGTGTGTGCTCAGAGGGAGCATTTCGTCTATCGGGAGCCCAGGGAGCTTGTCACTAAAGTTTGAGTGCAGGGACATTACCTGGAGTAGCGACATGTGCCCAGTAGTGCTCCTCCACGTTATGAATTCCTGTGGGGTCCTAGAGCCCATTCAGAAACTAGCAAGAGGAAAGTAGTGAGATTTTGGTCATGTGAAACAATACCGTCTCTAGTTCCTTTCCAATCTCTTCCAAGGATGCTTTGAAAGATGTGGAAGACAGAGCCCAGGCCATAATTGACACCAAAAATGATGCTACTGCCATGGCCAGTGCAAGGTTCCGTGTCATCTCCAGAAACTTCTCCTGTCCTGAGTGAAGTATAGGGCCGTTTCTTACGTCTGTGTTTGAAGAGGGCAGTCAGGGTCCTAGGTAGTGGAGGGCCCGGGTGGGGCTTGAGGGAACAATACAGTGTTCTTTGCATTTCTGTTCCATATGGGAGAGATAGATTTACCTCGTTTCCTTTTGTGTACTTTTTGAATGATTTTCCTTTTAATAGTAGGTTGAATTAGCTTCAGAATATTATTTTATAAATATTAGTCACACATATATTGCTGTTTATCTAGTTTAAGAGTAACAGTTTGATATTTTGTAAAAAAAAATGGAAAAAGCTTGTCTCTTATTTTGTGATCTATAACAGGATAACATGGTATTGTACTAGGAATTTTCTTTAAATTATGTAAGAACTCAGCAGTTAAATAGTGGAACGAAATAAAGGATGGTGAATAGTTACATTTCCTTATCCCGTTTATACTGTTGTTCTTGAAAATTAAAGAAATAGACCTGGCTTTGCTTAGCTCATTCAAGAAAGTAGCAGAAATTAAATGTTAATAAATAAAAGCATCTCTGACGGCTTTATTTGCCTAACATTCTGTGAGCATTTGCTTGCGGAGGGGACTCTTAATAGTGGGGATACAGTGAAAAGCAAGAGTTATGCCTTACCTATAAAACAATAGAGTCTAGGAGCAGAAGCCATGTCAAGAAGGTGGTAAGATGCTCTCTACAATCATAAGTTTCAAAAAAGTGGGGAGGTGAGACTCCAGATGGAGTCTTCAAGTATAAAGTCCCTGAGCTAAGGTAGTGTGGGGCTTCGGGAAACTGCAGGTGCTTCTGTGGGAGCTGATTGTTATGAAGCTGGGTGGTGGCAGGGGCCAGACTCTCAGAAGGTGAGAGAAAAGCCTGCAATGGAAAACTGCTCTGAGCAGTTCCTTCTGGGTGGATGATGAGGGAGAGAGGAGTCTCCATGTGGGGAAGTAATGGAAGCTGTCTTGCAGCTCTCTAACTGGTGAGCTTGAACACAGTGCAAGGACTAGGTGATTGATACCCATCATTTGCAAGTGTTTCCTGAGAAATAAGGCGATAATTCCTTGAAATGCTGCCCAGAAGCTTCTAGGCTGGCACTCATTTTCCTAGCCTGGGAGAGCCAGAGTCCATTCCATTGAAAGGTCATTTAATTAGGTTATTTTAAATGTAATGTGGGCAACTGTAAGCAAGGGCTAGATTTTTAGTGGAGGATAAATAGAAATAGTTGTTTGGATGGATGAGCAAAGGGGAAGGTGAAAAGGAGTTGGTCCTTGATTCAAATTCAGCACTTTGATGTAAATTTTCAGTTTGGATAGTGACAATTCCATATCTATCCTGGGCATCTTCAAACACTCTCAAAATACTCCCACATAGGGTGGTGAGTAGAATCTGATTTGCCACATAATATACTGGTTCTAGGGATGTAATCTTAGGGTAAGAGATAGAGTTTTTGAGATCATCCTAATATTTGATATTTGTATTGGGATTTTAATATATGATATTTGTAGTAACATTGTTTGAAGCAGGCCACTGAAGAGATACACAGATGAATGAGCTATACCAGGTGGTCAAAAAGCAAAGCTTCCTTCATAAACTTGGTATATGAGATAAAATTTTGGAAATCACTTTGTAAATAAATTACAAGGAGCTGAATTTCTAAAAACAGAACAATAACAAAATCCTTAATACTGCTTAGAAGGTGACAAGTGTTCCTTGACAGACAGGCTAGCTCTGATGAGAAAAGAAAATTATGGTTAACCATCCTTCCATTGTCTCTTTTCTGTGTACCTGCCCCACAGGAAAATCTTGGTTTGCAGTGTGCCACAGGCACATGTACAGCTGTTCAGGAATGTTCAGTCATGTAGAGGGTATTAGAATCTCTCATGGTAGGATATTTACCGTATACCAAAAGCAGTGAGAGAATTCTCAGTCTAAAGAGATTGTATTGTGTGATGGTTAATACTGAGTGTCAACTTGATTGGATTGAAGGATGCAAGTATTGTTCCTGGGTTTGTCTGTGAGGGTGTTGCCAAAGGAGGTTAACATTTGAGTCAGTGGGCTGGGAAAGGCAGGTCCACCCTTAATCTGCATGGGCACAATCTAATCAGCTGCCAGTAGGACCAGAATAAAAAGCAGGCAGAAGAATGTAAAAAGGCTAGACTGGCTTAGCCTCCCAGCCTACACTTTTTTTTCCTGTGCTGGATGCTTCCTGCCCTCTAACATCAGACTCCAAGTTCTTCAGCATTGGGACTCGGACTGGCTTCCTTGCTCCTCAGCTTGCAGATGGCCTATTGTGGGACCTCACGATCATGGGAGTTAATAAACTCCATAATACACTCCCCTTTATATATACCTCTATCCTATTAGTTCTGTCCCTCTAGAGAACCCTGAGTAATACAGATTTTTGTACCAGGAGTGGTTCTAGAGAAACAGAATATTAAGGATGGAGGTCTTTCATTGGTTTTGGGGTTTCTGGAGTTGGATGCTTAATGTGATTAGACCCAAAAATGCTAAGGACTCTAATTCTAATGGCGTGGAGAACACCGATAGCCTTTGGCGTGAACTGTTTAGAGAATTATGCAAAATAAATGCATTTGACACTCCTGATTAACTGCTTGTGAGAAAAAAGTTTAGTGACCCTATATTTAATACCTTTGACCATATGTGGAGAATCAAGGAACATAATGAAGTTGGTTGGTTGCTCCTAAATGCACTGGACAAAGGGATGAAAGAAAATGATGAACTCAGGGATTCTGACTCCTGGCTCCAGAAGCAGATACTGAGCCTCAAATCTGCTAGGATTGCCCTGAGTGAGAGTCTTATCTCCTGTAGAGAAAGACCTGAAATTTCCACCTTTGTCTGAGGAGATAAACCCTGTGCTGCCTGAGTCAACAGTGATGGCCTCCTCTGAGGCAGTTGCCAGGCAAGATAGTGTTGCTTCTTCTCAGGACCCACCCCCAAAATCCCTGTTGTTTTCTAGACCTATAACTAGACTAAAGTCCTGGCGGGCGCCTAGAGGTGAAGTTCAGAGTATGACCCCGTGAGGAGGTGCATTACACTCGAAAAGAACTGCTTGAGTTTTTTAATTTATATAAGCAGAAATCTGGAGAACAGGCATGGGAATGGATATTAAGGGTGTGGGATAATGGTGGAAGGAACACAGAGTTTAATCAGACTGAATTTATTGATTTGGGTCCACTAAGTAGGGATTCTGCATTTAATGTTGCAGCTTGGGGAGTTAAAAAAGGTTCTAAGGCCGGGCGCAGTGGCTCATGCATGTAATCCCAGCACTTTGGGAGGCTGAGGCGGGTGGATCATGAGGTCAGGAGTTCAAGACTAGCCTGGCCAAGATAGTGAAACCCCGTCTCTACTAAAAATACAAAAATTAGCTGGGCATCGTGGTGCGCGCCTGTAATCCCAGCTACTCAAGAGGCTGAGGCAGAGAATTGCTTGAACCCGGGAGGCAGAGGTTGCAGTGAGCCAAGATCGTGCCACTGCACTCCAGCCTGGGTGACAGAGTGAGACTTCGTCTCAAAAAAAAAAAAAAAAAAAAAAAAAGTTCTAATAGTGTACTTGCTTGGCTAGCTGAAATATGGATTAAAAGATGGCCCACTGTGAGTAATCTGGAAATGCCTGATTTCTTGCCTTGGTTTAATGTAGAGGAAGGGATCCAAATGCTTAGGGAAATTGGGAGGCTGGAGTGGATTAGTCATTTTAGACCTACTCATCCCAGCTGAGAGGGTCCAGAAGATACACCCTTGACCAATCCTTTGTGAAACAGATTTGTGAGGGCAGCACCTGCATCTTTGAAGAGATCTGCAGGGATTGGTCTTCTCTGTATGCCAGATCTAACAGTGGGAATTGTAGTCACTCAACTAAAAAATTTAAATGCAATGGGAATAATTGTATCCCGAGGTGCAGGGGTCAAGTGGCAGCACTCGACCATCAAAGGCAAGGCGGGTATAGCTACCATAATGGACAGCAGAGGCAAAGCAGCAATCAGAATAGTTTGACTCCTGTAGAGCTCTGGCATTGGCTGATTAATCACAGTATTTCTAGAAGTGAAATTGATAGGAAGCCTACTGCATTCCTACTTAATTTATACAAGCAGAAAACTTCCATGTTAAGTGGACAAAAAACTGATTCAAATTATAAAAACAGAGAATAACGGCCCCTCAATTTCCAGACTTGAGCCAGTTTGCAGACCCAGAACCCCCTGAATGAAGGGGAGGCTGGGTCCCCTTGAGGAAGGACTCCACTACACTATCAACAATTTATGCTGTTAATCTTTCTCCCATCCTTCCCCAAGGACACCTCTGGCCTTCTACTAGGGTAACTGTGCACTGGGGAAAGGGAAATAATTGGACATTTCGGGACTACTGGACACTGGCTCTGAGCTGACATTGATTCCAGGGGACCCAAAATGACATTTTGGTCCTCCAGTTAAAGTAGGGGCTTTTGGAGGTGAGATAGTTAATAAATATTTAGCTCAGCTTGGACTTACAGATGATCCAGTGGGTCCCCGGACTCATCCTGTGGCCATTTTCCCAGTGCCAGAATGTATAATTGGCATAGACATACTTAGCAGCTTGCAGAACCCCCACATTGGCTCCCTGACTGGGAGGGTGAGGGCTATTATGAAGGGAAAGGCTATTATGAAGGGCTATTATGAAGGGAAGGGAAAGGCCAAGTGGAAGATATTAGAGCTGCCTCTACCTAGAAAAATAATAAATCAAAAACAATATCGCATCCCTGGAGGGATTGTGGAGATGAGTGCCACCATCGAGGAACTGAAATACGCAGGGGTGGTGATTCCCACCACATCCCCCTTCAACTCTCCCATTTGGCCTGTGCAGAAGACAGTTGGATCTTGGAGAATGACAGTGGATTATCGTAAGCTTACCCAAGTGGTGACTCCAATTGCAGCTGCTGTACCAGATGTGGTTTCATTGTTTGAGCAAATTAACACATCTCCTGATACCTGGGATGCAGCCATTGATTTGGCAAATGCCTTTTTCTCCATTCCTGTCCATAAGTCCCACCAGAAGCAAATTGCCTTCAGCTGGCAAGGCCAGCAATATACCTTTACCGTCATACCTCAGGGGTACATCCACTCTCCTGCTTTGTGTCATAATCTTATTAGGAGAGACCTTGATCGATTTTCCCTTACACAAGATCACTGGTCGACTACATTGATGACATTATGCCGATTGGATCCAGTGAGCGAGAAGTGGCAAACACACTGGACTTATTGGTGAGACATTTGCATTCCAGAGGATGGGAAATAATCTGACTAAAATTCAGGGACCTTCTACCTCAGTCAAATTTCTAGGGGTGTAGTGGTGTGGGGGCAGTTGAGATATTCCTTATAAGGTGAAGGATAAGTTGCTGCATGAGGCCCCTCCAAGAAAGAGGCACAATGCCTAGAGGGCCTATTTGGATTATGAAAGCAACACATTCCTCATTTGGGTGTGTTACTCTGGTTCACTTATCGAGTGACCCAAAAGGCTGCCAGTTTTGAGTGAGGTTCAGAAGAGGAGAAGGCTCTGCAACAGGTCCAGGCTGCTGTGCAAGCTGCCCTGCCACTTGGGCCATATGATCCAGCAGATCCAATGCTGCTTGAGGTATCAGTGGCGGATAGGGATGCTGTTTAAACCTTTTGGCAGGCCCCCATTGGTGAATCACAGCAGGGGGCTCTAGGATTTTGGAGCAAGGCCCTTCAATCTTCTGCAGATAACAACTCTCCTTTTGAGAGACAGCTCTTGGCCTGTTACTGGGCTTTCATGGAAACTGAATATTTGACTGTAGGTCATCAAATCACCATGCAACCTGAACTGCCTATCATGAACTGGGTGCTTTCTGTCCCATCTAGCCATAAAATGGGTCATGCACAGCAGCATTCCATCATCAAATGGAAATAGTGTATATGTGATTGGGCTTGAGCAGGTCCTGAAGACACAAGTAAGTTACATGAGGAAGTGGCACAAATGCCCAGGGTCTCCACCCCTGCCACCCTGCCTTCTCTCCCCCAGCCTGCACTGATGGCCCCGTGGACAGTTCCCTATGATCAGTTGATGGAGGAAGAGAAAGCTAGGGCACGATATGCAGGCACCATCCAAAAGTGGACAGCTGCAGCACTACAGCCCCTTTCTAGGACATCCCTGAAGGACAGTGGTGAAGGGACTTCTAAGTGGGCAGAACTTCGAGCAGTGCACCTGGTTTTGCACTTTGCATGGAAGGAGAAGTGGCCAGATGTGCGATGATATACTTATGCATGGGCTGTAGCCAATGGTTTGGCTGGAAGGTCAGGGACTTGGAAGAAGCATGATTGGAAAATTGGTGACAAAGAAATTTGGTGAAAAGGTATGCAGATGGACCTTTCTGAGTGGTCAAAAACTGTGAAGATATTTGTATGCCATGTGAGTGCTCACCAATGGGTGACCTCAGCAGAGGAGCATGTTAATAATCAAGTGGATAGTATGAGCCGTTCTGTGGACACCACTCAGCCTCTTTCCCCAGCCATCCCTGTCATCTTCCAATAGGCCCATGAACAAAGTGGCCATAGTGGCATGGATGGAGGTTATGCATGGGCTCTGCAACATGGACTTGCACTCACCAACACTGACCTAGCCATGACCACTACTGAGTGCCCAACTTGCCAGCAGCAGAGACCAACACTGAGCCCTCGATATGGTACCTTTCCTCAGGATGATCAGCCAGCTACCTTGTAGCAAGTTGATTATATTGGACCTCTTCCATCATGGAAAGGGCAGCAGTTTGTCTTCACTGGAACAGACACTTATTCCAGATATGGGTTCGCCTGTCCTGCACACAGTGCTTCTGCCAAGATTACCATCTGTGGACTCACAGAATGCCTTATTCACCGTCATGGTATTCCACACAGTATTGCCTCTGGCCAAGGCACTCACTTTATGGCTAAAGAAGTGTGACAGTGGGCTCATGCTCATGGAATTCGCTGATCTTACCATGTTCCCCATCGTCCTGAAGCAGTTGCATTGATAGAACAGTGGAATGGCCTTTTGAAGTCACAGTTACAATGCCAACTAGGTGACAATACTTTGCAGGGCTGGGACAAAGTTCTCCAGAAGGCCCTGTATGCTCTGAATCAGTGTTCAATATATGGTATTGTTTCTCCCATAGTCAGGATTCGTGAGTCCAGGAATCAAGGGGTGGAAACACCACTCACCATCACCCCTAGGGACCCACTAGCAACACTTTTGCTTCCTATTCCCATGACATTACATTCTGGTGGCCTAGAGGTCTTATTTCCAGAGGGAGAAACGCTGCCGCCAGGAGACACAACAATGATTCCATTAAACTGGAAAATAAGGTTGTCACCTGGACACTCTGGGCTCGTCCTACTTTTAAGCAAACAGGCTAAGAAAGGAGTTACAGTGTTTGCTGGGGTGATTGACCCGGGCTATCAAGATGAAATCAATCCACTACTCTGCAAGGGAGGTGAGAAAGAGTATGCAAGGAATACAGGAGATCCATTAGGGCATCTCTTAGTATTACCATGCCCTGTGATTAAGGTCAATGGGAAACTACAACAGCCCAATCCAGGTAGGACTACCAATGGCCCAGAACCTTCAGGAATGAAGGTTTGGTTCACTCCACCAGGAAAAAAATCCACAGCCTGCCAAGGGGTTTGCTGAAAGCAAATGGAATACAGAATGGGTAGTAGAAGAAGGTAGTCATCAATACCAGCTACGACCACATGACCAGTTGCAGAAACGAGGACTGTAATTGTCATGAGTATTTTCTCCTTCTTTTCTTTAGTTAAAAACATGTTTGTGCGTGTACACACTTGTACTAAGAAAATATCTTTATTTTATTTCTTATTTTCCTTTATCATGTGACATAAGATGTGTTGACTTCATATCAGCATTTAAGTGTGTTAACTTTATGTAATAGCATTTGGATTGGGGATCGGTGCATTTCTGGTTGTATGAAGGAGAGTTGTATTAACTCCCTTAATAAACTCCCCTTAATATGTACATCTGTCCTATTAGTTCTGTCCCTCTAGAGAACCCTGACTAATACATATTGGTTATTTTTATTTTTATTTTTTGAGACAGAGTCTCGCTCTGTCACCCAGGCTGGAGTGTAGTGGTGTGAACTCGGCTCACTGCGAACTCTGCCTCCCGAGTTCAAGTGATTTTCCTGCATCAGCCTCCCAAGTAGCTGGGACTACAGGTGCGTGCCACCAAGCCCAGCTAATTTTTGTATTTTTTAGAAGAAACAGGGGTTTCACCATGTTGTCCAGGCTGGTCTCAAACTCCTGACCTCAAGTGATCTGCCCGCCGCAGTCTCCCAAACTGCTGGAATTACAGGCATGAGCCCCACCACACCTGGCCTATATTGATTGTTAAAAGGACAGTGCAGAAAAGTGCTGTTGAGAAATAAGGTTGCCCGTCCCTGCCAAGACATCTAAAATTGTTTTAAACCTAGATGCAATTCTGTATTTGAAACCTCCAGTCACCTAGTAGGTGCAAGAAAAAGTTGAAATATTTCAAGGTAATGTTGGCATTCCCAGAAACAATTCCAAAAATGAGGAGACTTACTATCATAAATTATAACAGTTGCTTTTAATTGAGCAACAGCTTATGGGAGAGAACACAAGCGCCCATCTCCATCTTGTATACCCTGTCTTTATGGTTGGTTCATTTGTAGTTAGATAGAAGCCAGTATATCATTCCAATGTTTTCATTTCTGTTCAGCAGTTAACATCTGTTGTGATGTGGAACTGCAAGGTGAAAGCAGCTTGGATTCCTGGGTGACGTGAGAGCCATGATCCGCTATGGATTAGTTTATTATTCCATAACTAAATACTACAGACTGTGTGATTAAACAATAGAAATGTATTTATTCACATTTCTGGAGGCTAAAAAATCCAAGATCAAGATGTTGACTGGTTTGAATTCTTCTGTGGGCTCTCTTTGGCTTGCAGATGGCCACCTTCTCGCTGAATTTTTACATGATTGTCCCTCTTTCCGTGTGTCTGTATCCTAATCTCCTCTTCTTGTGAAGACGCCAGTCATATTGAATAAGATCCTAACCATAAAACCTCATTTCCCCTTAATTACCTCTTCAAAGGCTCTATGTCCAAATGCAGTGACTTTGTATGTGTGCATTTTGAGGAAGGGGTATAATTCGGCCCATAACACCCTGCCAACTAAAATCAGAATTTCTATGCACAAAAATAAACTTGTTGTGTTAAATCATTTAAATTTCAGGAAATGTTTTCATTCCATTAGCTCACTGTTACTTTATCTGACTATTACACTGCTCCTCTTCCTTTTATTAGGCTTACTTTAATGCTTTTCTTACAAATAAATACTGCATATATTATTGTTGCAAAAAAAATGATAAAAATACATGGAAATCACAATTCTCTCCTCTGCAAAGTTCCTCCAAAATTCAGCCCCCTACTCAGAACTTTCCACAATGTGGTGTGTAAATTTTAAAAGCTAATTTCAAGTTTTTAAAAGATAGATGTGGTAATGTGTGTGTGTATATATATATGCATATATAAATATATATATTTATATATGCATATATAAATATATATATTTATATATGCATATATTTATATATGTGTGTATAAATATAACAAAACATGAGTAATGACATACATGTAAATATGCCACTTGCCTTTGCCACTCTGATAGGTTCAATTGCATTCCCCTAAAGTTCTATCTTGAAATTAAAAACGTGACATTATTTGGAGATAGGATTATTTCAGAGGCAATCAAGTTAAAATGAGGTTATTAATGCTGGCCCTAATCAAATATGATGGGAGTCATTTTAAAAAGGGGAAATTTGGACATAGAGATATGAGTAGAAGGATGATAATGTCAGCATACTTGGACTGAAGACAGCCATCTACAAGGCAAGGAGAGAGGCCTGGAATATAACTTTTCATCACAGCCCTCAGAAGGAGTCAACCTTGTATACACCTTGCTTTTTGACTACCAGACTCCAAAACTGTGAGACAATATATTTCCGTTGTTTATGTCATCCAGGCTGTGGTACATTGCTATGGCACCCCTAACATGCCAATATAATCATTTATTGAAATGGATCCAAGATCGTTCCATGACAGCACAAATGTTAATAAATCTATCTTACTTTTGCAACTACTTCCTAGAATTCCAGTTTATTTCTGTGCAATAATGAATTGAACAAATCTTCTGACAGACAAATATATGTTTATCTTTTGTGGCTATAATTCATGTAAATAAAATCAACATCTCTGAGCATAAATTCTGGGACAAGTACATATAATTACTTATAAGGAATGCATTTTAATGAGGAAACTGAGTCAGTATGAATATTTTCTATTTTTTAAATGTTACTGACTTTTTTCCTAAAATATTTCACCAATTAATTCTCTCACATTAACAGAGGAAATTATTATTATTTAATAATAATGATTATTATTATTCCCCATAATTGTCTATGGGGAAATGATTCATTTATTCACAAACACATTTTATCAGAGTTTTAAATGTTTGTCAAACTTATGGGGGCAAACCCTAGGTGACTTTGGGTTTGGTGATGACTTTTTTAGATGTAACACCAAAATTTGGTTAAACTTATGGGTGCAAACCCTAGGTAACCTTGGTTTTGATGACGGCTTTTTCAGATGCAACACTAAAAGTACCAGCTACCTAAGAAAAAAGAGATAAATTGGACTTAATTAAAACTAAAAACTTTTGCTCTGAAAAGTCACTGTTAAGATCTTGAAAAGACAAGCCAGCGACTGGCATAAAAGTTTTGTGAAACACATATCTGATAAAAGATGTATATTTAAATATGCACAAAACGCTGAAAACCCAATCATAAGAAAACAGAAAACCCAATTTAAAGTGGACAAAAACTATAAATAAGTACACAAACAATGAATATATAGGAATTTAAAATGAGCATATTAAAGAGTTCAATGTCATATGGCATTTTAGAGAAGTGCAAATTAAAGCACCTAGGAGATAGCGCTCTACACCCAGGAGAATGGCTGACGTCCAAAACACTGAAACATCAAATGTTGACCTGTATGTTGAGCAACAGGAGCTTTCAGTCATTGTTAGTAGGACAGACCTGGAGGAATCATAAAAGCATAAGGCTAAGTGAAAGAAGAAAATCTTAAAAGGCTACATAATGTATGATTCCAATCATACAATATTTAGAAACAGTTCATTATGAATACACTAAAAATATCAGTGGTTTCCGGAGGCTGAGGAGTTAGGGTTGGGGCAAGGGGGATTGATAGGTGGAGCACACAAGAGATTTAAAATGGTGTAACAAGTCTGTGTGATACTGTAATGATGAATACTCACCATTACACACTTATCAAAACCTACAGCATCCCCAACGTTGAGTGATTCCTGATGTAAACTGTGGACTTGACCTAATAATGAGGTATCAATACAGGTCCATCAGTTGTTGCAAACATGCCATAATAATACAAAATATAAATAATAGGAGACACTGTGTGTGTGTGTGTGTGTGTGTGTGTGTGTGTCTGTGTGCGTGCATAGGGCAGGGCAGGAGGGCAGGAATTGGGGGGGGGGGCGTAGATATGTGAGAACTCTGTAACTTTGATGAAGTTTTCTCTCTGTATTTTTGGATTAGCAATGCTCTAAAAATGATGTCTATTAGTTTTTAAAAAGACACAAATGATTTGAAGAGAATATACCAATCAGGAAAAGGCATATAAAAAGATGACCAACGTCATTTGTCATTAGGAAGATGCAAACAAAAAACAAAGGAGATTCAAATACAGGCTTATTAGAATGGCTGAAATCTGAAAATCTAAAATACTAAATGGAAGAGGGGATATGCAACAAGAGGAATTCTCATTCCTTGCTAGTTGAGATGAAAAATGATGCAGCCAGACTTTTAAATCCATGTTTTGTGGACCTACTCATATGACAAATTGTGAAAGTTAAAACTATATGAACTGCAAACAGAGCATAGTTGCTAGAGTCTTTGGAGAAGTGCCTTGACTGACCTCAAAAGAGATGCACAGGGGACTTTTCGGGTGATGGAACTGGTCAGTGTGACACTTGGTTCGTAGATATGGAACTCCACGCATTTGCTAAAATACATATAATTTCACATAATAGTTAAATCTGATGAGTGTATTTTAAAAATTAATAAAAATTATAATAAAAATTAATGACATTAAATTAATAAAATGTTAAAAATAATTTTTTTAAAAGATCACGCACAGGCTGCTGAAAAGACAATGGATTTTTCTGGGACAAGGATAGGGAAAGAAGAAAACTAAGGGAGCCTTTGACATAGGTCAGGAGAGAGATTCTATTAACTTCACACACGGTAGTACTTAAAGTAGAAGGTTTTGGAATGGATTTTAGAGGATGACAGAACAACTGTTGCTGTCGGGACAGGAGAAGGGGGGAGTGCCGGCCCTGGAAGGAGTAAAACCTTGAGGAAGACTGAGGGGCCTTCCCACCTCATTTCAGACACGGGGCAGCTTCAGTTAAGCAGAGAAAGGAGCCCCGGGGCTGGCCAACAAGCAAGAAGGGAACTCTGTGGAAGGATAGCTATCTCCCAACACGGAGGGAAGGCCCAGGCGTCGCCCAGCCACTCCTTGCTGTCACCCCTGGACAAAACAGATGGAGAGGTGAAAACGGAGAGGTGGGCAGGGAGAGGTGGGCGAAGGGCAGGGAAGTGGACAGGAACAGGTGGGAGTGGGGAGGTAGGCAAGAAGGGGTGGGAGGGGGCAGGTTGGTAGGCCCGAAGGGGTGGGAGGAAGTTGGGAGGTGGGTAGGAAAAGGTGGGAGGGAGTGGGAAAGTGGGCAGGAAGGAGTGGGAGTGGTGGGAATATGGGCAATAAAAGGTGAAAGGGGGCAGTAGGTGAACAGGAAAGGGTGGGAAGGGGCGGGGAGGTGGGCATTAAGGAGAGGAAGGGGTCAGGGAGGAGGGTGGGAGGGGGTAGGGAGGTGGGCACAAAGGGGTCGGGGGGCGCTGAGGAGGGCAGGAAGAAGTGGAGTGCGGGGAAGTGGTCAGGAAAAGGTGGAAGGAGGCGGAGAGGTGGGGGGTGGTTTTTCCATGGAGAGGAGGCCCCACCCCACGCTGCCTCTGCTGTCAGCCCTGGTCAGCCTTGGCAGGGTTCGCGGATGTGCTTTCCCGACTTGCACTGTGGGAGTCTGAAGGACCTGAAGCATTTTGCGAGGAGTCTGGACTCAGGTCAGCAGAGGGAAGCGTCTTAGACCTGGCCAATCCTCAAGGTAAGGGCCCTAAGGGAGAACTGAGGGACTTCGCACCAAGGACAGAAGAAGCCCCGGTCTGCCCTGCGCTGCCATAGGACTTGCAGGCCACAGACAGGAAGATGGCCGCCGAGGGCTGACCGAGGCGTCCCCACAACAGAAGAAGGGAGGAGGTGCCAGCCCTCTAGGGAATAAATAGGAAGACATTGAGGAGGACTGGGGGAACCCCCACCTCAGAGGACAGCTTCCCAGAGATTCCCACCCTGCTCCTCATATCAGCCCTCGTAGAGCTCCTCAGTCAGCTCAGGCTGAGCGGCAGTCCTCTCATTGCTGGGGGAGGGGTGGAGGGGAGGGGGAGGGGTGGAGGGGAAGGGGAGGCCTTGGTCTGGGGGGTTCCATGACAAGTCAGCAGGGAGAGTTGCCTCCAGTTGGCAGAGGGAAGATTCCCAGGCCCTGCTGGTGATAAGAGTGAGGACGGAGAGGTCCCACGTGCATCAGAACAGACGTGAGGCCACCCCGACTGCCCCCGTGGTAGAGTGCTGGGAGGTGGCTGCCACCTCGCTACCTCCCGCTGCTCTCAGGGATGTGGAGTTTGCCCTGAGTTTTGGCCAGAAGAGTGGTAGGGACATGGCCCTGTCTGAGAAAAGGTGAGGATGCTAATTAAATTCTGATGGGACCATGCAGTCCAGAACTGTGGGGCTCTGGGAGTCTGGTCAGCCCCAGCTGTCAGCCTTGGGAGGCCCAAGACTCTGCTTGCAGTCTTTAGCCTGAGGGGCTCCCTCACTTCCTCTTGCAGGTGCTCCAGGAACCAGGAGTTGAAGACCTGGGTCTGAGGCACACTTCCTAAAGTCAGCACAGCAGAGGAGGCCCAGGCAATATCAGGAGTCAAGGTGAGTGCACGCCCTGACTGTGTACCAAGGGCCCTACCCCCACAAACAGAGCAGACCTGGCAGCACCTGGCCATAGCCACCTACTGCCATTCCTGGTGCCTCAGGCTCTGCCTGCCAGCTGTGCCCCGAGGTGCTTTCTCACATCCTCCTACAGGTTCTGAGGGAGCAAACCTCTTAGGAAGACAGGCGACCTGTGAGGCCCTAGAGCACCACCTTAAGAGAAGAAGAGCTGTAAGCCAGCCTTTGTCAGAACCATCATAGGTGAGTTTCTCAGCTGAAGCTACTCACACTGTCACTGTCTTCCTCAGGCCTGTGGGATCCCATCATCCCCATCCCTGCTCACACGTTTACCTGCTGCTCCTGAACAACAGGCCTCATGCCTCTCTTTCCAAACCTTCCACGCCTCAGCTTTGAGGAAGACTTCCAGAACCCGAGTGTGACAGAGGACTTGGTAGATGCACAGGATTCCATAGATGAGGAGGAGGAGGATGCCTCCTCCACTTCCTCTTCCTCTTTCCACTTTTTATTCCCCTCCTCCTCTTCCTTGTCCTCATCCTCACCCTTGTCCTCACCCTTACCCTCTACTCTCATTCTGGGTGTTCCAGAAGATGAGGATATGCCTGCTGCTGGGATGCCACCTCTTCCCCAGAGTCCTCCTGAGATTCCTCCCCAGGGTCCTCCCAAGATCTCTCCCCAGGGTCCTCCGCAGAGTCCTCCCCAGAGTCCTCTAGACTCCTGCTCATCCCCTCTTTTGTGGACCCGATTGGATGAGGAGTCCAGCAGTGAAGAGGAGGATACAGCTACTTGGCATGCCTTGCCAGAAAGTGAATCCTTGCCCAGGTATGCCCTGGATGAAAAGGTGGCTGAGTTGGTGCAGTTTCTTCTCCTCAAATATCAAACAAAAGAGCCTGTCACAAAGGCAGAGATGCTGACGACTGTCATCAAGAAGTATAAGGACTATTTTCCCATGATCTTCGGGAAAGCCCATGAGTTCATAGAGCTAATTTTTGGCATTGCCCTGACTGATATGGACCCCGACAACCACTCCTATTTCTTTGAAGACACATTAGACCTCACCTATGAGGGAAGCCTGATTGATGACCAGGGCATGCCCAAGAACTGTCTCCTGATTCTTATTCTCAGTATGATCTTCATAAAGGGCAGCTGTGTCCCCGAGGAGGTCATCTGGGAAGTGTTGAGTGCAATAGGGGTGTGTGCTGGGAGGGAGCACTTTATATATGGGGATCCCAGAAAGCTGCTCACTATACATTGGGTGCAGAGAAAGTACCTGGAGTACCGGGAGGTGCCCAACAGTGCTCCTCCACGTTATGAATTTTTGTGGGGTCCAAGAGCCCATTCAGAGGCCAGCAAGAGAAGTCTTAGAGTTTTTATCCAAGCTATCCAGTATCATCCCTAGTGCCTTTCCATCCTGGTACATGGATGCTTTGAAAGATATGGAAGACAGAGCCCAGGCCATAATTGACACCACAGATGATGCTACTGCCATGGCCAGTGCAAGCCCCAGTGTCATGTCCACCAACTTCTGTCCTGAGTGATGTCTGAAGCAGATTCCCCCTCTGTGTTTGAAGAGGGCAGACAAGGTTCTAGGCAGTGGAGGTCCAGAGTGGAGCCGGAGGGACCACAGTGGTTTTTGTTTCTGTTTCATATGAGTGACTTAAGAGTTTAACATTTTTTTGTGGGGGGTATATTTTACAAATGCTTCTCCTTCCAATTGCTTTAATTCACTTCAGAATCTTAGTTTATGAATATTATTCACACTTGTATTGCCGTTTGTCTGATTTAAGAGAAAGAGTTTGATATTTCATAAAAAAAGGGAAAATCTGTCTTATTTTATGAACTGAAACAGTATAATATGGTGTTCAGATAAGAATTTTCTTTAAAATTTGAAATAACTCTGCAATTAAATGGTGGAACAGAATAAAGTATGTGATATTTGCATATCCTTATCATGTTACTCTGTTGTTCTTCCAAATTAAGGATATATACCTGGCTTTGCGTGGCTTATTCGAGAAAGTAGCAGAAATTAAATCTTAATAAATAAAAGCTTCAGTGACTATTTGCTAAACATTATTTGAGCAGTTGCTTGTGGAGCGTGCTCTTAGTAGTGGGGATACTATGAAAACCAAGACTTATCTCTACCCATAAAATGTTAGAGTCTAAGTTCAGAAGCTGTATCAGGAACATGGTAAGATACTCTCTACAATCATAAAAACAAGTTTAAAAAGGAGTGGGCAGGTGAAACTCCAGATGGAGCTTTCAAGTAAAAAGGCCCAGAGCTAAGGCAGTTTTGCCCTTCGGGAAACTTCAGGTGCTTCTGTGGGAGCTCATGGTTATGAAGCTGGTTGGTGGCAGGGCCCAGACCCTCAGAAGGTGATAGAAAAACCTGGAATGGAAAACTGCTCTGAGCAGTTCCTTCTGGTGTAGGATGAGGAAGAGAGGAGTCTCCACATGGGGAATTAATAGAAGGTGTCTTGCAGCTGTCTAACTGGTGAGCTTGAATACAGTGCAAGAACTAGGTGATTGATACCCAACATCTGCAAGGCTTTCCTGAGACATAGGGCGATAATCCCTTGAAGTGTTGCTCAGAAGCCTCTAGGCTGGCACTTATTTGACTGGCCTGGGAGAACCAGAGCCTACTCCATTGAAAGACATTTAATTAGGTTATTTCAATTGTAATGTGGGCAACTGTAAGCAAGGGCTAGATTTTTACTGGAGGACAAATGAAAATAGTGGTTTGGAAGGATGAGCAAAAGGCAAGGTGTAAAGGAGTTGGTGTTTGACTCAAATTCTAGCATCTTTGAGTTGCATTCTAGCTGAAGATGCCTTGCCTTTTCCAAATTATACAATATACCGTTTCAGAAAAAAATGTACTGGGTTTTATTTATGAAGCCAAAGTTTTGGTTAAGCTGGTATTCCATGACGCATTCACCTACATATTCTCTGAGATGTTATGGATAACAAAACTAAGAGCTGAATATTTCACAAAAGACGGTAACCTTTGGTGTGGTAATCATTGATAACAACTGCCATTTATTAAAATTCCAACATATGCCAGGCACTCTGGCAGGTGTTTTACTCACATTACATACACTCCAGCAATTCTATAAGACAGGGCTTATCAAACTCATTTTGCAGGTGAAGAACCCAAGGCTCATAATGCTTGATAAATTCCCAAGACCACATAGCTAGAATGTGACAAGGTTTTGACTTGAGCCCTGGTCTGAATTCATTTAGGCCCACACTGTCCCCACTCCTCCCAGCCTGAGGAAGGCCTTTGCCTGTTAAGTCACTTCTTTTCACACTTGTTAATGTCTCTGAGGTGAAATAAAGATGAACTGTGTGGCTAAGGTATTAAGTTAGGCCACAAGATGGAAGGTCAAATGGGAATAAAATACACTTCGGGGAACATTATTGGCTTTCTTTACCTAAAGTCCTCTTGTTCTGAGCCCTAGGTTTCTTGAGAGCTGAATGTCCAGGTGCTGACAGATTTGTCCATGCCCAACAATTTTTCCCATTGCAGCTCCCCCCAGCTCCTTTTGATCTCCCCTGTGTGGTCTCTTGTGCAACTCTGGAACCTGGCCTGCTGACTAACTTCTCATTACGGTCTCACCCTCTGAAGTGTGAGGACTGAGGAGTCACATGTGCACCAGAATAGATGTGAGACTAGCCCCTATTTCTCCTGGTGTAGAGTGCCTGGAGGTGGCTGCTGAACTCTCAGCGCAAGAACCTAGAAGCAACTGGCCTTCCCCTGAGATAGACCATTCCTACTGCCTGCAGAAGTTCCCTGACTCATCCATCTCTCCCCCAGGTTCCTCTATGATAATGGCCTTTCGATGTGACTATTCGCTTTGGATAGTGACATTTCCATACCTAGGCTGGGCATCTTCAACACACTCTCAACGTATTACCAAACAGGCTGCAGAGTAAAATCTGATTTGCCAGATAATATATGGGTTTTAGGGATGTAATCCTAAGGTCAGAAATAGCCTATTTGAAATCTTTCTAATATTTGATACTTGTAGTATGATTTTAATGAGATGCATTATTTGAAACAGGGCACTGAAAACAGAGATGAACAGGCTTTTGTAGATGATCAAATGCCAATCTTTCCTTCATAAACTTTGTAGATGAGGAAAGGCTATAGACGTCACTTTGTAAATGATCCACAAGAAGGTGAATTTCTAAAAAACACAAAACAATATCTTGAAGACTGCTTAGGAGGTGACAAGGATACTTTGGGGGACATGCTGGTTTTGATGAGAAATAAACAGTAGTTAAATATCCTTCCACTCTCTCTTGTCTGTGTACCTGCCCCACAAGAAAATCCTGGCTTGCAGTGAGCCACAGGCCCATGTATAGCTGTTCAGGTATGTTCCGTCATATGGAGGGTAGCAGAGGCTCACAGGGTAGATTATTTACCGTACACGAAAAATATGACAGAATTCTCAGCCTAAAGAAATTATACAGGTTATTAAAAAGGACAGTGCCAAGTGCTGTTGAGGGAATAACGTAGACCCTCCCTGCCAAGACTTACAGAATTGTTTTAAAACTGGATGTAATCCTGAATTTGAAACCACCAGTCACCTCGTAGGTGCAAGAAAAAGTTGGAAGATTTCAAGGCTACGAGGACATTCCCAGAAACAATTCCAAGCAATGAAGGCACTTACTGTCATCAATTATAATAGTTGCTTTTCATTGAGCACCGTAATAACATATGGGAGAGATTGCAAGTGCCCATCTCCATCTTGTCTAGCTCGCCTTCCTGGCGGGTTCATTTGTAGTTAGACAGAAGCCAGTGTATCATTCCCATGCTTTCATTTCCGTTCAGCACTTAACATCTGTTGTGACGTGGAGCTATAAGGTGACAGCAGCTTGGATTCCTGGCTGAGGTGAAAGCCAGGACCCGCCGTGGATTAGTTTCTTATACCATAACAGAATACCACAGACGGGGTGACTTAAACAATACAAATGAATTTTCTCCCATTTCTGGAGGCTAAATATCTAAGATCAAGATGTGGGCCAGTTTGATTTCTTCCCTGGCCTCTCCGTGGCTTGCTGATGGCCACTTTCTCACTAAATTCTTACATGGTTTTTCCTTGGTCTGTGTGTCTGTATCTTAATCTGCTCTTTTATGAGGACACCTGTCATACTGAATATGAGCCTAACCTTAAGACCTCATTTTACCTTAATTACCTCTTTAAAGTTTCTATCTTCAAATACAGTCACATTCTGGGATACTGGGTTTTAAGACGGATATATGAATTTTGGGGGAGATTCAAAATTCAGCCCATAATACCCTGCCAACTAAATTCAGAATTTATGTACAAAAAAGTAAACGTGTTGAGTCATGTAAAAATGAAGGATTTTTTTGTTGTTGTTCCAAGAGCTTACTGTTATTTTATCTGCCTCCTGGACTGCTCCTCATCCTTTTCTTAGGCTTATTTCAATACTTTCCTTACAAATAAATACTGCATATATTGTTGTTGCAAAAACTTAAAAAAAGAGGTAGAAATCACAATTCTCCCTTTTGGAAAGTTCCTCCAAAATTCAGCCCCCTATTCAGAAGTTTCCACAATTAACCGTGTGGTGTTTAAATTTAAAAGCTGATTTAGAATTTTGAGAAGATTGATGTGGTTTTTAAAGTAAAATTTATACATATATGAGCTTATGTATGTGTTTATAACTACACATGGGTAATAATATACATATAGGTCTGCCACTTCCCTTTCCACTATTATAGATTCAATTGCACCCCCACTGAAGTCTTATGTTGAAATTAACATGTGGCATTATTTGGAGACGGGATTATCTCAGAGGCAAGGAAGTTAAAATGTGGTTATTAAAGAAGAGCTGGTACTATTCCTATGCAAACATCCTTTGTTTATTAATAAACATACTTTATTCACATTTATTTCCTTGTCACGAAAGTCTATTTTCTGTCCCAAGATACCCTGAGGATACGCCATTACACTTGTTCATCATGTCTCTTTAAATGCCCTTTGGCTGTGCCAGTTCACTGAGACTTCTCTTGATTTTGAAAACATTGACAGTTTGGAGGTGTATGGTCAGGTATTTTGTAAAATAGCCTTTGATTGGGAATTAAGTGATTATTTTTTATGATTTGATGTAGGTTACGTTTTCTCGGAAGATGAACAGAGAAGTGAAGTGCCATTCTTATCATATCATACCGACGGCACATAATACCAACACAATTTGTCACTGATGATGTTACTTTGATCACCATGGTGACCTAGTGTTTGTCAGTTTTCTTCAGGGTAAAGTCACATTACTTTTTTCCCTGTGTCATACTGTCATCTTGGGAAGGATAGGAAGACCCAGGACCAGCCAGTAGTCAGATGAGGCCTCTGAGGGAAAACTGCAGAAACCTCCTGCCCACAAAGAAGAGGATCCACAGAAACCAGCTCCCCACCTGTTGTCATCCCTGGGAGGCCCAGGGGCATGTTGACCCACAGTGCTGTCCCCTGACGTCTTAGCGTGTAGAAAGAGGAGAAGGCTGTGCTTAGGTGAGTCTCACTTCAGATCATGAGAGCGGAAGATCAGGAGGGGGGCCTTCTAGGCATCCCCAGGCTGATACAGAGGATGGACTGGTGAGCTACCCCACCACGGACACAGGAGGATCCCCAAAAACCTGCCCGTTTTCACTGCTAGGAGGCCTTGGGCAGGGCCATTAGGGAGAGACGCTAGCGTGCTCCAGTCCCTCTTGGGGGGTTCATGGAAATGGGAACCTTGATCTGAAAAACAGTCCCTGGAGAGAAGAGGGAGGGAGTGGAGGCCGTATCAGGAATAATAGGTTGAGGAAGACTGAGGGTCCCTCCCATGCCATTTCAGACGGAGGGCAGTGGAGCCCTACCTGGAGTCTGGGAGGCCATACCCCACTGTGGATGGATGTGATTCTACCTCTCTTGCACCTTGCAGGTCTCAAGGATGGGAGGGGCTTATTCGGAGGTGAAAGACTCAGATGCATAGAGGCAGGGAGCCCAGACAATGTCAGGAGTCCAGGAACAGCCTCTCAGGAAGGCAGGAAGGGAACACCCATGACTGGTAGTGCTGCCTGTCCTGTCCCTGTGCCTGCTGCCAGCCATGGAGGAGCCCATCAGGGTCCCCAGATTTACAAATTTCTGACTTCCATTTTGGGAGTCAGCCAGAGGGGAGATTTTCTCTGAGGAGGGCAGCTTCAGTTAAACAGAGGGAGTAGCCCCAGGGCTGGCCACTCAACAAGAAGAGAACTCTGTCGAAGGACAGTGACCTCCGAACACGGGGGAGGCACAGGCTGCACCCTGCCACTCCCTGCTGTCAGCCCTGGAAAAAGGTGGGGTGTGAGTGTCAAGGACTGGGGAGGTGGGAGGGAAGAGGTCAGCAGGGCTTAGGGAGTGAGCAGAAAGGTTTGGAGCACATCCTGGAGGTGGGAAGGAAGGGATGGAAAGGAGGCTGACAAGCGGGCGGCGGGGGGGGGGCGCCTTCCTCCTCTGAGAGGAGGCCCCGCCCCACGCTATCCGGGCTGTCAGCCCTGATCAACCCTGACAGAGTTCCCGGATGTGCTTTGCCGGATGTGCTTTCCCGGCGGCCATCTTGGGAGTCTGAAGGACCTGAGGCATTTTGTGACGAGGATCGTCTCAGGTCAGCGGAGGGAGGAGACTTATAGACCTATCCAGTCTTCAAGGTGAGGGCCCCGAGGGAGAAGTGAGGGACAACCCCACCACAGAGAGAAGCAGCCCTGGCCTGCCCTATCCCTGCGGTGGCACTTGTAGGTGGCGGAAACGAAGATGGTAGCCGAGGGCTGAGGGACGTGTCCTCACGGCAGAAGAAGGGAGGAAATGCCGGCCCTCTAGAGAATAAATAGGAAGGCATTGAGGAGGACCGGGGGAACCCCCACCTCAGAGGACAGATTCCCAGAGATTCCCACCCTGCTCCTCAAATCAGCCCCCATAGAGCTCCCCAGGTGGCTGAGGCTGAGCGGCCACCCTCTCACTGCTGGGTGAGGGGTGTAGGGGAGGGGGAGGAGGAGGCCTTGTTCTGGGGGTCCCATGGCAAGTCAGCATGGGGAGCTGCCTCCAGTTGGCAGAGGGAAGATTCCCAGGCCCTGCTGGGAACAAGAGTGAGGACTGAGGGGTCACATGTGCGTCAGAACAGACGTGAGGCCACAGGGACCGCCCCCGTGGTAGAGTGCTGGGAGGTGGCTGCCACCTCACTACCTCCCACTGCTCTCAGTGATGTGGAGTTTTCCTGAGGTTTTTCCTCAGGCCAGCAGAGTGGTGGGGGCCTGGCCCTGTCTGAGAAAATGTGACAATGCTAATTGAATTCTGAGGGGGTCACGAACCTCAGAATTGTGGGACTCTGGGAGTCTGGCCAGCCCCAGCTGCCGTCTTAGCTGGAGGGGCTCCCTCCCTTCCTCTTGCAGGTGCTCCAGAAAGCAGGAGTTGAAGACCTGGGTGTGAGGGACACATACATCCTAAAAGCACCACAGCAGAGGAGGCCCAGGCAGTGCCAGGAGTCAAGGTGAGTGCACGACCTGACTGTGTACCAAGGGCCCTACCCCCAGAAACAGGGCAGACCTGGCAGCACCCGGCCTGTAGCCACCCACTGTCATTCCTGGTGCCTCAGGCTCTGCCTGCCAGCTGTGCCCCGAGGTGCTTTCTCGCGTCCTTCTACAGGTTCCCAGAAGACAAACCCCCTAGGAAGACAGGCGACCTGTGAGGCCCTAGAGCACCACCTTAAGAGAAGAAGAGCTGTAAGCCGGCCTTTGTCAGAGCCATCATGGGTGAGTTTCTCAGCTGAGGCCACTGGCACTGTCCCTCTCTCCCTCAGTCCTGTGGGATCCCATCATACCTATTCGTGTTCACACGTTTACCTGCTGCTCCTGAACAATATTCATCATGCCTCTCTTTCTAAACCTTCCACGCCCCAGCTTTGAGCAAGGCTTCCAGAAGGCAATTTTCATACTGGAGTTGGTAGATGCAGAGGATCCCCCAGATGAGGAAGAGGAGGAAGCTTCCTCCATTTTCTCTTCCTCTTTCCACTTTTTATTCCCCTCGTCCTCCTCCTGTTTTTCTTTCTCATCCTCATCCTCCTCTCTGCTTCTGCGTTCTCCAGGGGACAAGGATATGCCTACTGCTGGGATGCCGAGTCTTCTCCAGAGTTCCTCTGAGAGTCCTCAGAGTTGTCCTGAGGGGGAGGACTCCCAGTCTCCTCTCCAGATTCCCCAGAGTTCTCCTGAGAGCGACGACACCCTGTATCCTCTCCAGAGTCCTCAGAGTCGTTCTGAGGGGGAGGACTCCTCGGATCCTCTCCAGAGACCTCCTGAGGGGAAGGACTCCCAGTCTCCTCTCCAGATTCCCCAGAGTTCTCCTGAGGGCGACGACACCCAGTCTCCTCTCCAGAATTCTCAGAGTTCTCCTGAGGGGAAGGACTCCCTGTCTCCTCTAGAGATTTCTCAGAGCCCTCCTGAGGGTGAGGATGTCCAGTCTCCTCTGCAGAATCCTGCGAGTTCCTTCTTCTCCTCTGCTTTATTGAGTATTTTCCAGAGTTCCCCTGAGAGTACTCAAAGTCCTTTTGAGGGTTTTCCCCAGTCTGTTCTCCAGATTCCTGTGAGCGCCGCCTCCTCCTCCACTTTAGTGAGTATTTTCCAGAGTTCCCCTGAGAGTACTCAAAGTCCTTTTGAGGGTTTTCCCCAGTCTCCACTCCAGATTCCTGTGAGCCGCTCCTTCTCCTCCACTTTATTGAGTATTTTCCAGAGTTCCCCTGAGAGAACTCAGAGTACTTTTGAGGGTTTTGCCCAGTCTCCTCTCCAGATTCCTGTGAGCCCCTCCTCCTCCTCCACTTTACTGAGTCTTTTCCAGAGTTTCTCTGAGAGAACTCAGAGTACTTTTGAGGGTTTTGCCCAGTCTTCTCTCCAGATTCCTGTGAGCCCCTCCTTCTCCTCCACTTTAGTGAGTCTTTTCCAGAGTTCCCCTGAGAGAACTCAGAGTACTTTTGAGGGTTTTCCCCAGTCTCCTCTCCAGATTCCTGTGAGCTCCTCCTCCTCCTCCACTTTATTGAGTCTTTTCCAGAGTTCCCCTGAGAGAACTCACAGTACTTTTGAGGGTTTTCCCCAGTCTCTTCTCCAGATTCCTATGACCTCCTCCTTCTCCTCTACTTTATTGAGTATTTTCCAGAGTTCTCCTGAGAGTGCTCAAAGTACTTTTGAGGGTTTTCCCCAGTCTCCTCTCCAGATTCCTGGGAGCCCCTCCTTCTCCTCCACTTTACTGAGTCTTTTCCAGAGTTCCCCTGAGAGAACTCACAGTACTTTTGAGGGTTTTCCCCAGTCTCCTCTCCAGATTCCTATGACCTCCTCCTTCTCCTCTACTTTATTGAGTATTTTACAGAGTTCTCCTGAGAGTGCTCAAAGTGCTTTTGAGGGTTTTCCCCAGTCTCCTCTCCAGATTCCTGTGAGCTCCTCTTTCTCCTACACTTTATTGAGTCTTTTCCAGAGTTCCCCTGAGAGAACTCACAGTACTTTTGAGGGTTTTCCCCAGTCTCCTCTCCAGATTCCTGTGAGCTCCTCCTCCTCCTCCTCCACTTTATTGAGTCTTTTCCAGAGTTCCCCTGAGTGTACTCAAAGTACTTTTGAGGGTTTTCCCCAGTCTCCTCTCCAGATTCCTCAGAGTCCTCCTGAAGGGGAGAATACCCATTCTCCTCTCCAGATTGTTCCAAGTCTTCCTGAGTGGGAGGACTCCCTGTCTCCTCACTACTTTCCTCAGAGCCCTCCTCAGGGGGAGGACTCCCTATCTCCTCACTACTTTCCTCAGAGCCCTCCTCAGGGGGAGGACTCCCTGTCTCCTCACTACTTTCCTCAGAGCCCTCAGGGGGAGGACTCCCTGTCTCCTCACTACTTTCCTCAGAGCCCTCCTCAGGGGGAGGACTCCATGTCTCCTCTCTACTTTCCTCAGAGTCCTCTTCAGGGGGAGGAATTCCAGTCTTCTCTCCAGAGCCCTGTGAGCATCTGCTCCTCCTCCACTCCATCCAGTCTTCCCCAGAGTTTCCCTGAGAGTTCTCAGAGTCCTCCTGAGGGGCCTGTCCAGTCTCCTCTCCATAGTCCTCAGAGCCCTCCTGAGGGGATGCACTCCCAATCTCCTCTCCAGAGTCCTGAGAGTGCTCCTGAGGGGGAGGATTCCCTGTCTCCTCTCCAAATTCCTCAGAGTCCTCTTGAGGGAGAGGACTCCCTGTCTTCTCTCCATTTTCCTCAGAGTCCTCCTGAGTGGGAGGACTCCCTCTCTCCTCTCCACTTTCCTCAGTTTCCTCCTCAGGGGGAGGACTTCCAGTCTTCTCTCCAGAGTCCTGTGAGTATCTGCTCCTCCTCCACTTCTTTGAGTCTTCCCCAGAGTTTCCCTGAGAGTCCTCAGAGTCCTCCTGAGGGGCCTGCTCAGTCTCCTCTCCAGAGACCTGTCAGCTCCTTCTTCTCCTACACTTTAGCGAGTCTTCTCCAAAGTTCCCATGAGAGTCCTCAGAGTCCTCCTGAGGGGCCTGCCCAGTCTCCTCTCCAGAGTCCTGTGAGCTCCTTCCCCTCCTCCACTTCATCGAGTCTTTCCCAGAGTTCTCCTGTGAGCTCCTTCCCCTCCTCCACTTCATCGAGTCTTTCCAAGAGTTCCCCTGAGAGTCCTCTCCAGAGTCCTGTGATCTCCTTCTCCTCCTCCACTTCATTGAGCCCATTCAGTGAAGAGTCCAGCAGCCCAGTAGATGAATATACAAGTTCCTCAGACACCTTGCTAGAGAGTGATTCCTTGACAGACAGCGAGTCCTTGATAGAGAGCGAGCCCTTGTTCACTTATACACTGGATGAAAAGGTGGACGAGTTGGCGCGGTTTCTTCTCCTCAAATATCAAGTGAAGCAGCCTATCACAAAGGCAGAGATGCTGACGAATGTCATCAGCAGGTACACGGGCTACTTTCCTGTGATCTTCAGGAAAGCCCGTGAGTTCATAGAGATACTTTTTGGCATTTCCCTGAGAGAAGTGGACCCTGATGACTCCTATGTCTTTGTAAACACATTAGACCTCACCTCTGAGGGGTGTCTGAGTGATGAGCAGGGCATGTCCCAGAACCGCCTCCTGATTCTTATTCTGAGTATCATCTTCATAAAGGGCACCTATGCCTCTGAGGAGGTCATCTGGGATGTGCTGAGTGGAATAGGGGTGCGTGCTGGGAGGGAGCACTTTGCCTTTGGGGAGCCCAGGGAGCTCCTCACTAAAGTTTGGGTGCAGGAACATTACCTAGAGTACCGGGAGGTGCCCAACTCTTCTCCTCCTCGTTACGAATTCCTGTGGGGTCCAAGAGCTCATTCAGAAGTCATTAAGAGGAAAGTAGTAGAGTTTTTGGCCATGCTAAAGAATACCGTCCCTATTACCTTTCCATCCTCTTACAAGGATGCTTTGAAAGATGTGGAAGAGAGAGCCCAGGCCATAATTGACACCACAGATGATTCGACTGCCACAGAAAGTGCAAGCTCCAGTGTCATGTCCCCCAGCTTCTCTTCTGAGTGAAGTCTAGGGCAGATTCTTCCCTCTGAGTTTGAAGGGGGCAGTCGAGTTTCTACGTGGTGGAGGGCCTGGTTGAGGCTGGAGAGAACACAGTGCTATTTGCATTTCTGTTCCATATGGGTAGTTATGGGGTTTACCTGTTTTACTTTTGGGTATTTTTCAAATGCTTTTCCTATTAATAACAGGTTTAAATAGCTTCAGAATCCTAGTTTATGCACATGAGTCGCACATGTATTGCTGTTTTTCTGGTTTAAGAGTAACAGTTTGATATTTTGTAAAAACAAAAACACACCCAAACACACCACATTGGGAAAACCTTCTGCCTCATTTTGTGATGTGTCACAGGTTAATGTGGTGTTACTGTAGGAATTTTCTTGAAACTGTGAAGGAACTCTGCAGTTAAATAGTGGAATAAAGTAAAGGATTGTTAATGTTTGCATTTCCTCAGGTCCTTTAGTCTGTTGTTCTTGAAAACTAAAGATACATACCTGGTTTGCTTGGCTTACGTAAGAAAGTAGAAGAAAGTAAACTGTAATAAATAAAAGTGTCAGTGACTCATTTATTTGATGAACATTGTATCAGCATTTGCTCATAGAAATTACTGTTAGTAGTGAAGTTACCATTAAAAGCAAGACTCATCCCTAACCCTAAAACGGTAGAGTGTAGGTCCAGAAGCCATATCAGGAATGTGGTAAGATTTTCTCTACAATCTAAAGAATAAGTTTAAAAAGGAGTGGGGAGGTGAGACTCCAGATGGAGCCTTTGATTAAAAAGGCCCTGAGCTAAGGCAGTTTTGGGCTTTGGGCAACTGTAGGTGCTTCTGTGGGAGCTGATCGTTATGAAGCTGGGTGGTGGCAGGGCCCAGACTCTCAGAAGGTGAGAGAAAAGCCTGGAAAGGAAAACCACTTGAGCAGTTCCCTCTGGGTGGAGGATGAATCAGAGAGGAGTCTCCACACGGAGAATTAATGGAAGGTGTTCTGTGGCTCTGTAACTGGTGAGCTTGAACACAGTGCAAGGACTAGGTGATTGATACCCATCATCTGCAAGTTTTCCTGAGAATTTTGGTTATAATTCCTTGATGTGGTGCTCAGAAGCCTCTAGGCTGGCACTCATTTGCCAGGCCTGGGAGAGCCCAAGCCCATTCCATTGACAGGACTTTTAGTTGGGTTCTTTTGAATGTAATGTGGACAAGTCTAAGCAAGGTCTAGATTTCTCGTGGAGCTTAAATAAAACTAGTGGTTTGGATGGATGATCAGTGGGGAAGGTGAAAAGGAATTGGTCCTTAACTTAAAATCTACAATCTTTGAGTTGCATTCAGTTGTGGAAGCCTCTTCTTTCTTGAATGATACAATATATCCTTTTAGAAAGAAAATGCCCTGAGGTATATTTATGAAGCCAAACTTTTGGTTCAGTTCATATTCCTTGACATATTCAGCTAGATGTTCTATGAGACGTTTTGGATAATGAAAACAAGAGCTGAATTTTTCTCAAAAGACAGTAGTAGACTTTGGGGTTATAATCATATTGATGACAACTGCCATTTATTAAAATTCCAAGGTATGCCAAGCTGTGTGCCAGGTGTTTTGCTCACACTACATACATTCCAGCCATTCTACAGAACAGGGATTATCAAACCCATTTTACAGACGAAGAAGCTGAGGTTTATAGTTCATGACAAATTCCCGAAGATCACGTGATGATCACATGATTAGAAAGTGACTGGGCTGGGACTTGAGTTCTGAATTCATCTAGACCCACACTGTCCCCACTCCTCTCAGCCTGAGCATAGCCTTCTTCCTGTTAAGTCACTTCTCTTCACACTTCCTAATGTCTTTCAGGTAACATAAAGGAGAAACCTGTGACAAAGTATTTAGATAGGCCTAGAGAAGAAAGGTGACAATGAGAATCAATACCTTTCAAGGATCGTTTTGGGCTTTCTTTACATAAATTCTTCCTGTTATGAGCCCTAGGTTTCTTGAGAGCTGACTCTGTCTGGGTGGCAGTACTTTTGTCCAGCCCCAGGGCTTTCCCACCTTACAACACCCTCCATTTGATCTCCCCTGGGCGCTCTCCTGTGTAACTCTGGACCCTGGCCTGTTGAGTAACTTCTCACTGTGGTCTCGCACTCTGAAGCCTGTGCCCAGCCCTCAGTGCAAGAGCCCAGAGACATCTGCCCTTCCCCTGACATAGACCACTGTTTGTCACTGGAGAAGTTCCCTGACCGATCCATCCCTCCCGCTGGCTCCTCTGTGATAACGGCCCTCGATGTGAATATCCACTTTGGATAGTGACATTTCCATACCTACGCTGGGCATCTTCAACACACTCTCCACATATTTCCAAATAGGCCGCAGAGTAAAATCTGATTGTCACATAACATATGGGGTTTAGGGATGTAATCCTAAGGACAGATATAGCCTATTTGAAATCTTCCTAATACTTGATACTTGTAGTATGATTTTAATGAGATGCATTATCTGAAACAGGGCACTGAACACAAACAGAGATGAATAAGTTTGTGTAGATGATCAAATGCCAATCTTTCCTTCATAAACTTTGTAGGTGAGGAAAGGCTATAGACATCGCTTTCTAAATGATCTACAGGAAGGTGAATTTCTAAAAAAACAAAACGGTATCAAAATCTTGAAGACTGCCTAGGAGGTGACAAGGGTACTTTGGGGGACATGCCATCTCTGATGAGAAATAAACAATAATTAAACATCCTTCCACTGTCTCTCATCTGTGTACCTGCCCCACAGGAAAATCGTGGCTTACAGTGAGCCACAGGCACGTGTATAGCTGTTCAGGAATGTTCCGTCATATGGAGGGTAGCAGAGGCTCACAGGGTAGGTTATTTTTCACACACCAAAAATATGAGAGAATTCTCAGTCTAAAGAAATTATATAGGTTATTAAAAGGACAGTGCCAAGTGATATTGAGGGATTAAGGTTGACCCTCCCTGCAAAGACTTACAGAATTGTCTTAAAACTGGATGTAATCCTGAATTTGAAACCACCAGTCACCTCGTAGGTGCAAGAAAAAGTTGGAAGATTTCAAGGCTATGCGGACATTCCCAGAAACAATTCCAAGACATGAAGAGAATTACTGTCCTCAAGCATAATAGTTGCTTTTCTTTGAGCACCATAATGACATATGGGAGAGACTACAAGTGCCCATCTCCATCTTGTCTAGCTCGCCTTCCTGGCGGGTTCATTTGTAGTTAGACAGAAGCCAGTGCATCATTCCCATGCTTTCGTTTCTGTTCAGCGCTAAACATCTGTTGTGACATGGAGGGGCAAGGTGAAAGCAGCTTGGATTGTTGGCTGAGGGGAAAGTGAGGGCCTGCTGTGGATTAGTTTATTATGCCATAACAATACCACAGACTGGGTGACTTAAACAATAGAATTGTATTTTCTCCCATTTCTGGAGGCTAAATATCTAAGATCAAGATGTGGGCCAGTTTGATTTCTTCCCTGGCCTCCCCGTGGCTTGCTGATGACCACTTTCTCACTGAATTCTGACATGGATGTTCTTTGGTCTGTGTGTCGGTATCTTAATCTGCTCTTTTATGAGAACACCAGTCATCTTGAATATGATCCTAATCATAAGATCTCATTTTACCTTAGCTGCCTCTTCAAAGGTTCTGTCTCCAAATACAGTGATATTCTGCAGTACTGGGGGTTGAGGCTTGGATATATGAACTCGGAAAGGGGCGCAATTCAGCCCATAACACCCTGCCAACTTAAATCAGAATTTATGTGCACAAAAATCAACTCGTGTGAAGCCATTTAACTTTCAGGGAGTTTTTTCTTTTCCATCAGGTTACTGTTAATGTGACTACTGGAGTGCTCCTCTTCCTTTTCTTAGGGTCATTTCAGTATTTGACTTAAAAGTAAATAGTGCATGTATTTTTGTTGCAAAAAAATTCTAAAAAGACATAGAAATTGCATTGCTTTCTTTACAAAGTTCCTCCAAAACTCAGCCTCCTACTCAGAAATTTCCACAAGTAACAATGTGGCCGTGTAAATTTTAAAATATGATTTTCGATTTCAGGCTTTCATAAAGATAGATGTGCTATTTTATATATACACATATATGTACATATATACACACATGTGTAATGATATAATGATATACATATAGATCTGCCACTTACCTCTGCCACTATAATAGATTCAATTGCCTCTTCCACAAACGTCTACACTGAAATAAAAATGTGGCATTGATTTCGAGATAGGATTATTTCAAAGGCAATCAAGTTAAAATGAGGTTATTAATGCTGGCCTTATTGGAAGCCAGTATAAACAGGGGATATTTGGACATAGAGATATGAGTATGGAGATGACAGTGTGAGTAGACATGGAGGGAAGACAGCTAGGTACAAGGCAATGAGAGAGGCCTGGAAAGCATCCCCCAGTCACAGCCTCATAAGGAATCAATCTTGTGTACACCTTGCTCTTGGGCTACCAGATTCCAAAACTGTGAGACAATGAAATTCTGTTGTTTTGTCATCCAGGTTGTGGTACTTTGCTATTGCAACCCTAACATGCCATGATACTCACTTATTAAAATGTATCCAGCATCTTTCCATGTCAGCACATAGAGATCTGCCTTACTTTGGGGACTTTTCCCGAGAATGCCAATTTATTTCTGTGCATTAACAAACTGAACCAACCTCCTCCTGATGAACACATATTTGCTTTTTCTTTGTGGCTAAAATTAGTATAAATATAATCAATATATTTGACCATAAATTCTGGGACAAGTGCATAAAATTCCTTATAAGGAATACATTTCAATGTAGAAGTTGTGTAGAAGTGAACAGGGTATGAATAATTTTATACTTTTTCAAATGTTGCTGACTCTTTCCACCAAAGGTCTCACCAATTAGTTTCCCTACACATTTGTTGATGTGGAAATGATTCATTTGTTGACAAACATATTTTATCAGAATTTTAAACCTTATTGAAACTTATGGGTGAAAATCCTAGGGGAGTTTGGTTTTGGTAATGACATTTTCAGATGCATCACCAAAATTTTGGTCAAACTTATAGGTGCAAACCCTAGTTGACCTTAAGTTTGGTGGTGACTTTTTCAGATGCAACACCAAAAGTGCCAACATCTAAGAAAAGAGATATAAATTGGACTTCATTAAAATTAACAACTTCTACTCTAAAAGACTGCTAAGAGAAAAGACAAGCCAGAGACTGGGATAAATGTTTTGTGAAACACATATCTGATAAAAGTTATATATTTAAATATGCACAAAACGCTAAAACCCAATCATAAGAAAACAGAAAGCCTAATTGAAAATGGCCAAAAATTCTAAACAGGTACCCCACCAAAGATATATATGAATAGAAAGTAATCGGACACAACTGTCCAATTTCTGATATGGTTTGGCTCTGTGTCCCCACCGAAATCTGAACTCAAATTTTAATCCCCACATGTCGAGGGAGGGAGATGATTGGATCATGGGGGCAGTTTCACCGATGTTTTTCCCCTTGTAGTGAGTGAGTTCTCACGAGATCTGATTGTTTTGTACGTGTTTCAAAGTTCCTCCTTTATGCTTCTTCTTCCTGCCGCCTTGAGAAAAAGGTACCTGCTTCCCCTTCGCATTCCATCATGATCATAAGTTTCCTGAAGCCTCCCCCAGCCGTGTGGAACTGGGAGTCAACTAAACCTCTTTCTTTTATAAATTATTCAGTCTCAGGCATTTCTTTATAGCCATGTGGAAACAGAATAATACAATGACATATATCATTAAAGAATCGCAAACTGAAACAACTAAGATATAACACTACAGACCCAGAAGAGTGGCTGAAACCCAAAACACTGAACCAACAAATGTTCACACGTGTGTTGAGCAACAGGAACTTTCAATCATTGTTAGTGGGACAGACCTGAAGGAATCGTGAAAGCCTATTGCTAAGTGAAAGAAGAAAATATAAAAAGGCGACATAATATATGATTCCGGTCATACGATATTCTGGAACAGGCAAGATGAATACACTAAAAATATTAGTGGTTTCCAAGGGCTGAGGGGTTGGAGTTGAGGAATGGAGGATTAATCAATAGGTGGAGTACACAGGAGATTTAGGTTGGTGAAACAATTCTGTATGATACTGTAATGATGAATACTTGCCATTGCACACTCATCAAAAACCATAGCATCCACAATGTGGAATGAGTCCTGATGTAAACTGTGGAATTTACTTACTAAATAGGTATCAATACAGATCCATCAGTTGTAGCAAACATGCTATAATAATACAAATTGTAAATAATAGGAGACACTGTGTGTGTGTGTGTTCGTGTGTGTGTGTGGGTGTGTGTGTGCGTGAGGCAGAGCAGGGAGGGGGGTATAGATCTGTGGGAACTCTGTAATTTTGACGAAGTTTTCTCTCTGTATTTTTGGATTAGCAATGCTCTAAAAATGAAGCCTATTTTAAAGAAAAATCATGTAAATAATTTGAACACTTTATCAAAGAGGATATACATATTGGAAAGAGGCACGTAATGTCATTTGTCATTAGGGAGATGCAAACAAAAACCAAAGAAGTTTGCAATACACTCTTATTACAATGGCTAAAATCCAGCAGTCTAAAATATCCGATGTAGGAGAGGATATGGAACAACAGGAATTCTCATTCCTTGCTAGTTGTGATGAAAACTGATACAGCTGCACTTTTAAATCAGTATTTTATGCACCTCCTCTTATGACATGGTGAAAGCTAAAAGTACAGGAACTGAAAGAAGAACATAGTTGTCAGGGGCTTTGCAGAAGTGCAGTGACTGACCTCAAATGGGATGCACAGGAGAATTTTAGGTTCATCAAACTGGTCATTACGATACTCGGGTGGTACCTATGGGCCTCCATGCATTTGTCAAAATACGTATAACTTCACAAAATAGTTGCATTTGATGTGTGTTTTTGAAAAAACATTTTAACTTTTACTTTCAGAGATAGAAGTGCAGGTGTGTTACATAGGTAAATTGTGTCATGGGGGTTTCTTGTACAGATTATTTCACCACCCATCTATTAAGCCTAGTACCCATTTGTTATTTTTCCTGATCCTCTCCCTCCTCCCACTCTCCACCCTCTGAAAGGCCCCAATGTGTGTTGCTCCCTTCTATGTGTCCATGTGTTTTCCTCTCTAGCTCCCACTTATAAGTGAGAACAGGTAGTATTTGGTTTTCTGTTACTGTGTTAGTTCACTTAGAATAATGGCCTCTAGCTCCATCCGTGCCATGGATTGGGATTTTTTTTAAGTAGCAACAACAAAGAAGACTTTAACCTAGTCTAGGTGAGAGAGAATGTTAACATCACATACAGCAGTAGTAACGGAGATTGAAAAAGTGGAAGGATTTGGAATGGATTTTAGAGGTTGAAGGAACAAAAGTTGTTGTTGGATTGGATTTGGGATAAGATGAAGGGAGAAATCAAGCACAAAAGTAAGAATTGTGCCCCTTTGATGGTAACAAATATCAAATGAAGACATACTTTGTTTTTTCAATTTTTTGACAGCCTTCATGTGTATTTTATAATCACCCTGACACATGCACAAACGTTTCTTATTCCTTGAAATCTGGGAATGCCGTCCCCTCCTTCAACCTGGTGCCCCACAATTCTACAATCATGGCAACTATGATACACCTTCACTGTCAGTGGCAGCATGTTCACTGAAGGCTGAATCTAAGTGAGAAATAGGAACTGAAGGTGAGTCATTTGGGGCATGTTTGGAGATGGGTTGTGTTCACTCCTTTAAAAGGTCCCTGACACTGACCCACTGCTTCAATCCCAAGAACATTAGTACCTCTCTATTCTGGACAGGAGACTTATTTCCAATACCAGGAGGTAAAATGATAGGCTGCCATTTTCTTTTTACCATCCATAAGAAATACTCCCTTCTTGGGACCTCAGAAGAAAAGCTCCATGAGGATAATTCCCAAGGACATGTGGGCCAGAGCTGGAGTTTACCCACCAGCTGCCTCCCAGTCTGGGAGAAGAGCTTCCTTGCCTGTGGGTTTCCACCTTGAGTGCTGAGGTTTGATGATCCACCAATCTTGGCTGTGAGCAGAGGCCAACTGCCCCTGGGAAACGGAGACAAAGCTAAGGAAGGAAGTCAGCTCATGAACAGCTGAGTTGATCCTGACCATAGTGGGTGCAGAGAACCCCAATCCTCAGGGTAATCTCTGGCAAAGCCACAATCAACTGTTTTTGGAATTTCAGGGCTCATGAATCCTTCTGAGGGTCCTACCAGGAGTAAGAACAGCTGAAAAGAAGTATGTGGATCTCTTATCCATGTGGAGAGGGAGATGGGCCTCTACTCCTATCATGTGAGCAACCTGGCACTGCCACTAAGTTAGTAAAGTGTTTGTGGACCTGGTCAGGGTGTCTGTCATCAACACTCCATCATGACGTTCTGGAATAGAACTGTTAGGTTATATTCCTTGAATCACCAGGGTTCCAGAGGTCAGCAGGTGGATGGGTCAAGTAAGAGGGGGAATAAATCCACCATTGTCCCAGGTAGCCTTCCCCCAGCTACTACTGAGATCTAAGTTCTACTCTCAAAAAGCAAAGGCTTATGAAAGCAGCTAGGCCTTCTGTGGGTGAGATAAAGGGGAGAGAGGAGGTGCCATTTCCTCTGTTCCTCTTTGACTCATATCATCTCGCTCCTCTTGTTATTAAAGTGACCATTGACCCCAGAGTCTTTCAGTTCTTTCACCTCCAGCCTTACTGATGCTCTAATTTACTCATATTGCTGTCTCACTAAAACATAATCTATACAAAGACTTATTTATTATTCTGTGCATTTCTGTGTTTATGAAGTTTTTATAATAAACATTTTTGGAGTAGATTTTGAATTTCCCTATAATTGCATTTTTAGTATAATATGAAAAAGGGTTCCAGTTACATTAAAATGTTTTATATGGATATTCAGTTGTTCCACTGATATTTATTTCAACAAGACAGTCTCCTGCTCTAAAGCTGCAACATTTTTTAATCAATTAAGCTTGCATTTATACATGTTTTGTTGCTTTTGTTTTTCAGGACTTTCCATTCAGTTCCATTGGTCTATCTGTTAATCCCTGCACCCAAACCTCAAACTCTTCATTATAATAGCTTCTTTGTAATTCTTACTATGTTGGACGAACTGCTCTTTTTCAAAACTGTATTGACTATGCTTGGCTATTTGCATGTCTTTATATTTTAGAATACGGTGATTCATACATGCCTTCATGTCCAAAGGCATTTAGTTGTTCTGATTTGACTCCAGGCTAATCACTTTTAACTTCATTTCTGGTATTCCACACACACTGGGGTGGGGAGTGTGTCCCCCAAGATGTCAGGCAACCTCGCTGCTATGACTTTGCTGGGTTCAGCCCACATGGATGCTCTTACAGGTTGGAGTTGCCCATTGGTGTCTGCAGCTGTTCCGTGTGCATATTGCAGGCTGTCAGTGGCTCTACAGTTTGATGAGAATGTAAATTAGTCCAGCCACTGTGGAAAGTAGTCTGGAGATTTCTCAAAGAACTCAAAACAGAGCTACCAGTCGACCCAGTAATTCCACTGGTAGATATATACCTAAAGGAAAAGAAATCATTTTCCTTTGAATAAATTGCCAGAATCCTTGTGGTGATGGAACTATTCTGTACCCTGACTCTATCAATGTTAATATCCTGCTTGTGACATTGTATTATGGTTTTGCAACATGTTACTAGTGAATACAATTAGATATGCTCAATCTCTATAGTTTGTTTATAAATTTAATGATATTTAGTTGCAGAGTCTTCTGTGTCTATCTTTTGATTATCATCCTGGGCTTGTAGTCTTATTATTAAGCGTTCATCCTCCCTTTGATTCTACATATGGGGTCCTCGGCTTTCTTCTAAGAAACTATTAGTACAGCTGTAATTCATTTGGGAGAATGACTTAATACATGAATCTGATTTGTTTTTCCACATGGATATCAAGTAGAACAAGTCCCTTTTATTGAAGTAGTAATCTTCTACTCTTTACTATCCTTTTTATGTTACCCTTTCGTTAGCTGATCTTGAGCATTCATTTTTTCAAATAATCATTTAAACCATCTCCTCTTACTGAAATTTTTTATTTGGCTTATCAGTTGATTGCTGAATGTCAAATGATTAACCTCAAAGATATGGATACTACTTTGTAACATGTTAGGCCTATTTTTCAAGTTTAATTCTCCCATCAAAAAAGAAAACTTAAAGAAAAAGAATGTTTTTGATGACATGACATTCCGTATTCAACTAATGTGTTTTAATCGATTTTCTGATGTCAAAATGTATGTTCTCAATCTTTTCTTGTTTTTTCCTCTACCGAAAACTGGAAAAGCTCCTCATTATCAGCTCAAATCCAGACTGTGTTCTAGCATTGAAAATTGTATCATCAAGCTGTGCCAAACTTGTCACTTAGAACTTTCAGAGTCTCAGCAGTAATTCTTGCTTTGACAACCCCATTCTTTACCACTCCCGGTGCACACCTACTCCCTCTTAAGCAATCCAATTGTGAACAGAGCTTTTGGCACATCCCTACTCACAACTTGGCCCACCTTGAGGCCAGATTCCTTGTCAATTTCCATCAGGCCAAGATCCTCAATGGTCGGAAGTTTGTATTTTCTATCATTTATCTCCAACCCTGTACAGTGTTCTTCATGAAACAGACATTTGATGAATGTAGTATTCTATTATCAAAAATTTTCTTTTGAGTTGAAAAGAAAATATGACTGTATATACTCCCTCATTTTGCTGATTGAGAAACAAAGACGAGAGTGGTGGTGTGAATGTTTAAGTTTGCTTAGATGCGCAGAGCCTAAATTAAAATCCAATTCTGCTGGGCTGCCAGTGTAATGTACTTTAGAGGACTTCAGGCCGCTGTTATCCATCAGTGTTCTGCTAAATCACCCTCCGTCTCTTTCTCTTCTACCCTCTTTGCTCTATAATCATACGCCTTTTTTAGATTTTAAATTTTTATTTTTATATCTGTTTTTTTGTAGGTGCATATAGGTGTATACATTAATGGATTACATCAGATATTTTGATATAGGCATGTAATGCATAATAATCACATCAAGATAAACAAGATAACCATCACCTTAAGCATCTATCCTTTGTATTACAAACAATTCAATTCTTGAATTTCTTTTTTTCTAGGCTTTATCTTTAGTTTTCTTACATTTGTATATATTTTAAATTCTCTATGGACTTTCTCCTGCGCCATATCCTCTTATCAATTATTGTAACCTTTAACATTTTTGTATAATTCTTTCCAAAGCATATTTAAAAGCAGGTACATATTCTCTCCATGGCTGTGCTTTGAGATAATAATATTGGAGATGAAATCCTCTTAGCTGAGAAAAGGAAAGACTGGCGATATGACATTCCATCAAAAAAATTGCAAACAAATTTTTCTTTTAAAATATTCAATTTTTAAAATGTTTTTGATTACTGTACTTCTTAAGTGTGAAAAATTGTCTCCTGGACCCATTTTTCTCAGAAGGAAATGAATTGCAATCAATATTTGAGATATTTCCGGCTCCTGAGAACTATGGCTCCTATATGGGAAACAGGAGCCTGGGTTGGAGAAATGAAATCATTGAGCTATTTAGTTTCCTTACAATGCTTCTAAACCATCTAAGCTTTAAAAACTTCTTTCAAGGTATCTGCTTTTCCGCTATTCAAGTATAATTAGGGTTGATTGACTGCCAGAGATTAAAGGAGCTGTAACTTTTCTGTAATTTTCAAAAGTGTTACAAGAATTAGAAGGTGAAGCCATCCCTTGGTTGGCAACAACACACTTATAGATGATCTAAAAGAGACGAATGAGTGGACTGCTTTAAATTAAATGAAAATACTTAAATACCTGTGTGGCTATCATCAAAATAAATATGGCAATTTTACTCAGTAGTGCTAATCACAGAGGTTTCATTAGTTTTAAAACAAACAAACAAACAAACAAACAAACAAAGATTTCATTGGTGACCTGGATATACATGTTTTTCAGCATGCCATATTTATATCCACAGATAATTTTTCCTCAAAAAGAAAAGCTTGCTTTGCTATATGTGCATTTTTTACATATGAATGTTGATTTCTGCTTCAGAGAATGTAGCTTTTTGACAGTAGCCTCTTCATAAATGTCCATGGTAGCAATAGCATTTATTGAAGAGACTTTAGGATTTATAGGACAGCCCTACAAGATCTGTTTTCATGTGCCTTCTGTGATGACTTCTCAATGCTCTTTTGCTAGATTAATGGTCATATTGCCTCGTGAACATATTGATTTTGTATTATTTTGTGAATTATTTTGCATTCCCTTATGCCATCTCGTTTTGACTCTTTTTTAACCTCGTTTTTCTTCAATGGAGTTCTTCAAATTATACGACATATGACTCAACCAAAATGCCAAAAAAATTAAAAATCAAATTATGTGGATATTAAGCATTTGTGGTGAAACAAGACTTACTGCAATTCCTCATCTATGAGCTCCATATGTGTCAATTCATCACTATAGAAGTCTTGTCAGTTTTTACCTTGGTACATAATTATTTCCACATCTAGTCTTCTAGGGGGCTTGGCAGGGCATCTTGCCAGCTGGTCCACATTAATGAATACACAAACTGCTTATGAACTGTGGCTATGCTGCATTTTCGGCTAAGTGATATCACACTTATATGCAGAGTGATTATACTGTTCGAAGCTCCATTTTCACATGAAGGCATTTTCTTCACACTTTGTCGAAAACCGTTTTTAGTTTGTCAGGAAAGGCCAGCAGATTGCCAGCCTAACAAGTGAGGAAAGGATGGTTATTTGTTTATGTCTGGGGCCACACTAATATTAAATAGATGGCTTGTCAGAATCATCATCTTTGGGTTATTTTACAGCTTATGACTAATATTTATGGGCATGCAACAATCAGAATATCATGACCAGATGCCAGTAAGGAAGCCATTCTATTTCTTTCCCTGGGAAAATTGTTTCTGTGTCTACACATCCAATAAGGTCATGTTGATATGGTTTGGCTCTGTCCCTACCCAAATCTCACCTTGAATTGTAATAATCTCCACACGTCAAGGTTGGGACCAGGCGGAAATAATTGAATCATGGTGGTGGTTTTCCCCATACTGTTCTCCTGGTAGTGAATAAGTCTCGCTAGATCTGTTGGTTTTGTAAATGGGAGTCCCTTTGCTCTTCATTCATCTTCCACCATGATTGTGAGGCCTCCCAAGCCATGTGGAACTGTGAGTCCATTAAACCTCTTTCCTTTATAAATTACCCAGTCTCAGGTATATGTTTATTAGCAGCATGAAAATGAACTAATACACATGTCAAAACAAAAATCAGTGTTTGTTATTCTCCACAACCCTATGTATCACCTAAGTATGGCTTCTTTTGATATTAATAGAAAGCTCTTTTATAGAAAAGGTATGAACATATGACTACTTAACACTGTGATGCTTTAATGTGTGTGCATGCAAACACATACATACATTTGTGTTTATTTTCAAAGGAAGAATGGACTCCAGTTATGTACATTTGTTTTTAAAATGTACATCTGATTGTATGATTTCTTGAGTGGGTATCATATAAACATCCATTAAGAAACCAAAAAGCCACAGTGATCTTACCTTTTGTGAATACAACATAACCATGAGGTTTCTTGCTATCTAGACAAATGCTGTTACCATCTCATTTCTGTGTCAGTTTTATGTAGGCAAGGCATACAGACACACACTGACAATTGTCTCTGGCAGATGCTGGCATTTCATTCATATCACCTTTCGTTTGAATTTTTAAAAAATAAGGCTGACAGTACTGCTTATGCATAACACATTGGAGGCTTCTGAAGAGTTACAATACAGGTATACATTCTTACTTCTCTGTCTGAGAGTGTTCTCTGATCATCCTGGACAGGGGCAGACTGGAAGTGCTATGTCAGTATCATCCCAGGAGTTACCCTCAACAAATGAGGAACAGAAATCATTGAATAAATATCCCAGCTTCCTCATTTCTTGGTAGAATAATTCTGAGACATGATCCACACAGCCCCTCAGAGGATGGCCAACAGGATGGAGTCCCATTTGCCCACACTGGTAACCTCGTCATCAACATAGATTTTATTGACTCTCCTCCCTCCCCTTTCTCCTTTCCTCATTGTCTCCAGTGCTTTCTGTGATGACTGCCCAAATAAGCAACTTACAGTGAAATCTTTGCCTCAGAGTTGACTTTTGTAGGAACCCAAATTAAGACATTGACTTTAGCCAATAAAATAATGAAGACAAACACCTAGTGAAAAATTCTTATTCTAGTTGCCTAAGGTGTAGTATTTTCATTTTATTGCTTTCACCAATGTTAGCTAAATAATGCCCCTTTCATTTGAATAATTAAAAAATAAAGCTGACTGTACTGCTTGCGCACAATCATTTGCTAATCTCTTTTTGGAGATTTATTCTATTAATTTTATTTAAGCTACCTTCTCTATGCAGATAACTCCCAAGTTTACAGCTCCATTAAACCTTCTCCTGTTTTCCATTCTCCACTTGTCCTTGGTCTGTGTTTACTGGGATCATGTTTTTGACTGAAAAATCAAACATTTCTAAGGTTTAATTATTCATCCCTTTTCCCTTTCTCCAAACTAGCTATCCTTTCTAACTCACCAGCAGTTCCTTACCTCCAATCTTCTATCATCTGCTGTCAACTCTATCTGTTCTATCCAGTCAACAATCAAGTGCATATCACTTCATAACACCTTGCATGACTGTCTTTATATTTTCCTGTTGCTCACTTAGTTCCAGCTTAGGTTCAGACTATGATAATAACTTCATAACTGTTTTTTTCTGCCAATTTCCTGGCCCAAATCCTTATTTACCAATATGATTTCATCTTCCTAAAACTCTGCCCACTGCATATGGAATGAAGTCCAGACTTCTTAGAAAGACATTCAAATGCCTCCAGAAACTAAATTGTCTGCTTGAGTTCCCAGTATTTTCCCACGTGAACACTGCATTCTAGCCAGCAAGATTTATTCACTCTATCCTTGATACATGTGATATTTTCCATCTTTAATAATTTCCTCTAACTTTGTGGTCTGATGGCAGTTTATTCATATCTGAATCTTTGTCTAATTCTAACAAAGACTCCTAGAAGTTTATTTCTAGAAAATTCCAATCACTTCATTTACAGGTGGGTAAAACCAGGCCTGGAGAAGTGGTGCGATTTGCTTAAAGACATGGATATTAAGTAACAGATGCAAGAGAGAGTAGAACAAAGTTTTCAAGGGAGTATTGTATTAATTATTCCAAGCCATCTCCTCCTGACTTGCCAGGGCAATGATTTTCCGTATGATTTGTGTTACAATTAATAGTATGCCTCAAGCTCACTATTGCTTTAATTATTTGAAATGTAGACCAAAGCTATTATTTCAATTTAATATAATTTTCTCCCAAGGTTGATTCAAAACTCTTGAAGAACAGGGACCATATATTTTACTTCTTTATAGAGTTCAAATAATGGTAATGAGGTAATGATTATGGAATTCTAACAATTTTTTTAGTATATATTATGTGTCAGACACTGTGATAAAGTCATTTTATATACAATTCCATTTAAGTTTCATAATAACTTTATGTGGCAATACCATTATCATTGCCTTTGTATATAAAACAATGAATCACAAAGAAGTTAAATAACTTCAAGTTCACAAAGCTAGTAATTATCTTGGACAGCCTTTAACATTATGCTTGTATAAATAAAATTCCTGAAATATTTCTTTAACTTGCAAAAGCAATTCGATAATTTGGAATTTTTGGCTATCGAATAATCATAGTTTCTTCACTGCTTCTCATTTTGTTCACAATGTAAAATTTAACGTGTGCACTACATTTACTGCTTTACTTTGACAATTCTGTAATCCTTGGTTTAGCATGTAATCACAATTCTCCAACAAAACAAACATGAAGGAGATAGTTCTCACCAAGGATGACCTACCAAGGTCACGTTTACCGAAGTCACTGCTTCTGGAAATCAAGATTTTTTCTGCTTATGGGAATGTTTCTCTTTTTTTAATCTTGTGGATATATAGTAGATGTATATATTTCTGGGTTACATGAAATATTTTGATGCAGGCATGCAATGTGAAAAAGTCATATCGGGGAAAATGGGGTATCCATCACCTCAAGAATTTATCCTTTGTGCTTCAAACAATCCAGTTTTACCACTTTAGTTATTTTAAAATGCGCAATTAAATCATTTTTTACTATAGTCACCCTGTTGTACTAGCAAATACTAGGTCCAATTCATCAATCTAACTATACTTCTGTACCCATTAACCATGCCCACTCCCGCTGTCCCCATTACCCTTTCCAGCCTCTGGTAATCATTCTTCTACTCTCTATCTGCATGAGATCAATTGTTTTAATTTTTAGCTTCCACAGATTAGTGAGAACATGTGATTTTTTTTTTCTGTGCTTGGCTTATTTCACTTAACATAATGACCCCCAGTTCCATCCATGTTGTTGCAAATGACAGAATCTCATTCATTTTTTATGGGTGAATAGCACTCCATTGTGTATATATGCCACATTGTCTTTATCTATTCATTTGGTTGATGGACACTTAGATTGCTTCCAAATCTTGGCTGTTGTGAACAGTGCTGCAAAAAACATGGGAGTGCAGCTATTTCTTTGATGTACTGATTTTCTTTCTTTTGGGAATATACCTAGAAGTGGTATTGCTGGATCCTATGATAGCTCTATTTTCAGTTTTGGGGGAAACTCCAAATTTGTCTTCACAGTGGTTGTACTAATTTACATTCCCACCAACAGCGTACGAGGGCTCTCTTTTTGTCCACATTCTTGCCAGCTTTTGCTGTTGCCTGTCTTTTGGTTACAGGCCATTTTAACTGCAGGGACATGATATCTAATTGTAAGTTTGATTTGTATTTCTATGATGATCAATGTTTTTGAGCACCTAGTCATATACCTGTTTGCCATTTGTATGTCTTCTTTTGAGAAATGTCTATTCAAATCTTCTGCCCATTTTTTACTGGATTATTAGATTTTTTCCTGTAGAGTTGTTTGAGCTCCTTATATATTCTGGTTATTAATCCCTTGTCAGATATGTAGTTTGCAAATATTTTCTCCCATTCTGTGGATTGTCTCTTTGGTGACTGGTTCCTTTGCTGTGCAGAACCTGTTTAACTTGATGAGATCCCATTTGTCCATTTTTGCTTTGGTTACCTGTGCAGGTGGGGTATTATACAAGAAGTCCTTGCCCAGCCAAATGTCCTGGAGAGTTTCTCACCATGTTTTCTTTGAGTAGTTTCATAGTTTCAGGTCTTAGATTTAAGTATTTAATCCATTTGTATTTCACTTTTATATGTGGCAAGAGATAGGGTTCTAATTTCGTTCTTCTGCATATGAATATCCAGTTTTCCCAGCATAATTTATTGAGGACACTGCCCTTTCCTCAATGTATGTTCTTGGAATCGTTGTTAAAAATGAGTTCACTGTAGGTGCATGGATTTGTTTCTGGGGTCTTCATTCTGTTCCATTGATCTTTGTGTCTCTTTTTATGCCAGAACCATATTATTTTGGTTATTATACTATAGCTCTGTAGCATAATTGGAAGTCAGGTAATGTGATTCCTCTAGATTTGTTCTTTCTGGGATAGCTTTGGCTATTCTGAATCTTGTGGGATTTCATATCAATTTTATGATACTTTTTTTTCTATTTCTTTGAAGAATGTCATTGGTATTTTGAAAGACAGTGCATTGAATCTGTAGATTGCTTTGGGTAGTATGGACATTTCAACAATATTTATTCTTTCAATCCATGAATATGGAATACCTTTCCATTTTTGTGTCCTCTTTGATTCCTTTCATCAGTGTTTTGTAGTTTTCATTTTTCAGGTCTTTTACTTCTATGGTTAATTCCTAAGTATTTAATTTTATGTGTGGCTATTGTAAATGGGATTACTTTTTTTTCACATTGTTCACTGTTGGCATATAGAAATGCTACTGAATTTCGTATGCTGATTTTGTATCCTGCAACTTTACAGAATTTATTAGTTCTAGTAGTTTTTTAATGGAGTCTTCAGGGTTTTTTTTCAAATATAAGATGACATCATCCTCAAAGAAGGATAATTTCATTTCTTTCTTTTCAGCTTGGATGTCATTTATTTCTTTGTCATGTCTGATTGCTCTAGATAGGACTTCCAGTACTATGTTGAATAACAGTGGTGAAAATGGGCAACCTTGCATTCCAGATCTTAGAGGAAAGGCTTTCAGTTTTCCCTCCACTCAATATGATACAAGCAATACAAGCTGTGGGTCTGTAGCATATGACTTTTATTATGCTGAGGTATGTTCCTACTATAGCAAGCTTTTCGAGGGTTTTCACCAACAAGTGATGTTGAATTTTATGAAATGTTTTTTCAGCATCAATTGAAATGATCATATGTTTTTTTTCCTTCATTCTGTGATTTGATGTATCACATTGATTGATTTACATATGTAGAACCATCCTTGAATCCCTGGGATAAATCCCACTTGGTCGTGATGAATGATCTTTTTATTGTGTTGTTGAATTTGGTTTTCTAGTATTTTGTTGAGGATTTTTGGATCAATATTCATCAGTTATATTTGCCTATACTTTTCTTTTTTCGATGTGTCTTTTTCTGTTTTTCCTATCATGTTAATACTAGCCTTGTAGATTGAGTTTGGAGGTGTTCTCTCCTTCTTTAGTTTTCTGAATAGTATGAATATGATTGGTATTAGTTCTGCTTTAAATGTTTGGTACAAGTCAGCAGTGAATCCCTTGAGTTCCAGTATTTTCTTTGTGGTGGGACTTTTTATTAAAGCTTCAATCTCATTACTTGTTATTGGTTTGTTCTGGTTTTAGATTTCTTCATGGTTCAACCTTCCTAGGTTGTATGTGTCTAGAAAGGTGTCCATTTCTTCTAGATTTTTCAATTTATTGGCATATAGTTTCTCACACCAGCCACTAATAATCTTTTAAATTTCTGATGTATTAGTTTTAATGTTTTCTTTTTCATCTCTGGTTTTATTTATTTGGAGCTCTCTTGTTTTTTTCTTAGTCTGGCTAAAGTTTGTCAATTTTGTTCATCTTTTCAAAAAATGTCTTTTTGTTTTATTGATCTTTTGTATTTTGTTGTTTCAATTTCACTTATCTCCGCTCTAGTTTTTATTATTCATTTTCTTCTACTAATTTTGATTGATTTTGATTGTCTTAGTTATTTTAGATTCATCATTCGATTATATATTTGAAGTTTTTCTTTTTCTGATATAGGCACATATACCTGTAAACTTCCCTCTTAGTACTGCTTTTGCTGTATCTCATAGGTTTTGGTATGTTGTGTTTCCATTACCACTTGTTTCAAGGATTTTCTTCAATTTCCTTTTTAATTTTTGAATTGACCTTCTGGCCATTCAGGAACATACTGTTTAATTTCCATGTATTTGTATATTTTCCAAAATTCTTCTTGTTGTAGATTTGTAGTTTTAATCCATTTGTGGTCACAGAAGATGCTTGATATTGTTTTAGTTTTTTGAATGTTTTAAGACATTTTTGGGACCTAACATACGGTTTATCTTTGAGAATGATCCATGTACTGAGGAAAAGAATGTGTATTCTGTAGCTGTTGGAAAAAAACGTTCTGTAAATATCTATTAGGGCCATTTGTTCTATAGTGCAGAATAAGTTCCATGTTTCTTTATTTTCTGTCTGGAAGATCTGTCCAGTGCTGAAAGTGGGGTGTTGAAGTATCCAGCTATTATTGTATTAGGGCCTATCTCTCTCTTTAGCTGTAATATTATTTCCTTTATATGTCTGGGTGCTTCAGTGTTGGGCGAATGCATACATACTTATATATAGTTGTTATATCATTTTGAGGAATTGACCCCTTTATCATTATAGGGTGACTTTGTCTTTTCTTATAGTTTTTGTCTTGAAATCTGCTGTATCTGATATAAGTATAGCTACTCCTGCTCTTTTTTGGTTTCCATTGGCACGGAACATCTTTTTTCATTCCTTTATTTTTAGCCTATGTGTGTCTTTATAGGTGAAGTGTGTTTCTTATAGGCAATAAACCATTACATCATGTTTTATCATCCATTCAGCCACTGTATGTCTGTTCATTGGAGAGTTCATTTACATTCAATGTTATTGTATTATTGATCAGTAAGGACTTACTCATGCCTTTTTGTTATGTGTTTTCTGGTTGTTTTTGGTATTCTCTTTCTTTTTTCCTTTCTTCCTGACTTCATTTTAGTGAAGGTGATTTTCTCTGGTGATACAATTTAGTTTCTTGCTTTGGATTTTTTGTATATCCGTTATGTTTTTTTTTTATTTGAGGTTACCATGAGGCTTGCAAATACTATCTTATAACCCATTATTTTAAGCTTTTAACAAGTCAACACTGCTTTCATAAACAAATGAAAAGAAAACTAATACAAATTGTACATCTTAACTTTAACTTCTTGCTTTTAAACTTCCTGTGATTTCTGTTTATATCTTATTTTACAGTGTATGTCTAGAAAAGTTATTATAATTACTATTTTTGATTGGTTAATCTTTTTATTTAAGACAAGAGTAGTTTACATATCATAGTTACAGTTTTATAGTATTCTGTGTTTGTTCTGTGTACTTACTGAAAGCAGTGCATTTTGTACCTTCAGATAATTTCTTATTGCTCATTAATTTCCTTTTCTTTCTGATTGAAGTACCCCCTTTAACATTTCTTGTAGGGCCTGTCTGGTGTTGATGAGACCCTTCAGCTTTTGTTTGTCTGGGAAAGTCTTCATTTCTCCTTCATATTCGAAGATTATTTTTTGCTGGATATACTATTCTAGGGTAAAAGTTTTTTTCCTTCAGCAATTTAAATATGTGATGCCACTCTCTTCTGGCCTGTAAGGTTTCCACTGAAAAGTCTGCTGCTGGACATATTGGAGCTTCATTGTGGGTTACATGTCTCCTTTTTCCTGCTATTTTTTAGGATCCTTTTTTTTTATCCTTTGGGAATTTGATTATTTAATGTCTTGAGGTAGTCATTAGGTTAAATCCACTGGGTTTTCTGTATCCTTCTTGTCCTTGGATATTAATATCTTTCTCTAGGTTTGAGGAGTTGTTATTATCCCTTTGAGTAAACTTTATACTCCTATCTCTTTCTCTACTTCTTCTTTAAGGCCAATATCTCGTAGATTTTCCTGTTTGAGGCTGTTTTCTTTATCTTGCAGGTGTGCCTCATTCTTTTTTGTTCCTTTTTGCCTCTTCTGTGTATTTTTAAATAGCTTGCCTTCAAGCTCACTAATTCTTTCTTCTGCTTGATCAAATCTGTTATAAAGAGACTCTGATGCATTCTTCAGTATGTCAGTTGCATTTTTCAAGTGCAGAATTTCAGCTTGATTCTTTTAAATTGTTTCAATCTCTGTTAAATTTATCTGATAGAATTCTAAATTCCTTCTCTGTGTTATCTTGAATTTCTTTGAGCTTCTTCAACGCAGCTATTTTGAATTCTTGGTCTGAAAGGTATATCTCTATTTTTCCTTGGTTGTTCTCTGGGGCCTTATTTAGTTAATTTGGTTAGGTCATGTTTTTCTGGATGATGTTGATATCTGCAGATGTTTGTTGCTGCCTAGACATTAAAAAGTAAGGTATTTATTGTAATCTCCATAGTCTGGGCTTATTCATATCCATCTTTCTTGGGAAAGTTTTCCAGGCATTCGAAATAACCTAGGTGTTGTGATCTAAGCAATGTCTTCATTGGGGGACACCCCAATTACAGTAAAGCTGTGGTTCTTGCAGACCCATACAGGTACCATCTTAGTGGTCTTGTTTGAGATCCAGAAGAATTTTTTGGATTATAAGGCAGAAGATCTTGTTCATTTCCCTTAGTTTCTTCAAGACAAATGGAGTCTCTTTCTCTGTGCTGAGCCACTTGACGTTGTGGGAAGGGAAAGTCTTTGACACAAGCATCCCTGTGACCACTGAGAACACACTGGGTGAGACCTGAAGCTAGCAGAGCACTGGGTCTCACTCAACGTTCACTGTAATCATTGCCTGGCTACCATTTGTGTTCACTGAAGGCCCTAAGGCTGTAAAATCAGCAGGCTGGGAAGCCAGACAGGTTATTCTTCCTTTCAGTGAGACAAGCTCTCCTAGGCCCCAGGTGGTTCCAGAGATGCTATTCTGGAGCTAAAAACTGAAGTTAGTAACCTTAGATTTCTATCTGGTGTTGTATTGCCCAGTGGCTGAGCTAGCACTCAAACCATGAGACACAGTCCTGCATATTCTTCCTTTCCCTTTCCACATGCAAAGGAGTCTCACCTCATGTCCAGCACCACCACAGGCCCGTGGGGTGTACTGCTAGGCCTCTATCAATGTTCACTTTAGGCCCAAGGGCTTTTTAATCATCTTTTGGTGAACGCTGCTTGTGGTGAATGCTGCCTGGCCTGGTCTCACCCTTCAGGGCACTGGGGTCTCCACCTGCCCAGGGCAGATCCAGAAATGTCATCCAAGATTCAAGTCCTGGAATTGGGGACCCTAAGGGCCCACTTGATGCTCTGTGCTCCTGTGGCCAAGCTCATACCTAAGGTGCAAGACAAAGTTTCCTTCACTTTCCCCTCCTCTTTCTTTCAAGCAAAAGGAGTCTCGCCTTGTAACCACGAGAGCTGGGAATGTGCTGGGTCTCACCTGATTCCAGTAAGTCTCAGAGTGCCAAGTCCCATGGCGTACTGCTTGGTTATTGCTGCTGGTTATTCAAGGCCCAGGGGCTCTTTATTCAGCCAGTAATGGGTCCTGCCAGGACTGTGTCCTTCACTTCAAGGCTGTGGATTCCCTTCTGGCCCAGGATGTGTCTTGAAATGTCATTCAGGAGCTAGGGCCTGGAATAGGGGCCTCATGACTCTGCCCAGTACACTATCTTACAGTGGCGGAGTTGGTATCCAAGATGCATGACAAAGTCTTCTCTCCTCTTCCTTCTCCTCTCCTCAAGCAGAAGAAAGGTGTCTCTTTTGACCCATGAGACGTGCAGCCTGGTGCTGTGGTAGAGGTTGCACAAGCCTTCCCTTAGCTACCCCAGCTGATGTCTCAGTAAGTCGTGTGCCCACCCCCCAAGTCCACTGGCTCTGAGCCCAGCTGTACACTTGGGCTCACGGAGGAGTTGCAGTCCTTGTGGCCTAGACTGCCCTTCAAGTTTATTTAGGGACCCGGGGCACTCAAGCCTGAGGTTGCGAGGCTTGCTGGAACTCAAGTTCCCACTGCTGGGATCGGTGATTTCCCTCTGGCTTGGGCTGATCCATATGCTTTCTCCCTGGGTAGGGATCAGTTATGTACATCACAATTCTGCTTTCTGCTGTGACAGGACAGCACTGAGTTCATTGAAGAAAATCTCACAGTTGCTGTGTTCTCCCTTTCCAAGTGCACAGATTTTCCTCACCTTGCAGCCACTGTCAAGGTATGGGGGAGGGGTGGTGTCCACAGTTCAAGATGTCTTTCCTCTTTTTTCCAGTGCTTCTTTCGGTATTACGAAGTTAAAACCAAGTTATATGAATGCTTACCTGATTTTTGTTTTTTATAAACGTGATTTTTTTTGTGTAGATAGTTGTTAAATTTGGTGTTCCATCTATTCTGCCTTTTTGCTCTGCTCCCAACAGTATTTTTTTTGCATTAATGGTGAAAGCCATGCATCATGTAAGATGATAGTTATGAAATGAGTATGTCTCCATTAAGATGCTGTAGTGGAGTATCATTAATTCAATAGCTTTAAGAAGTCTATGTTGCTTGGAAGATTGAAAGAATTTTTCTGAAAGAAATATCATGTTGCTTCCTAAACTTTCACAAGCCACACTTTCATGCATTGTAAATTCTAGATAAAAAGTTTAGGATATCAGTGAATATCCACTCTAGCAAAGTTCAAAATATATGCCTAAATTGTTCAGTTAAAAACACAGTGCCCAAACTAGTTGAATGACCTAAATTAGTAGTTCTTAACTCTGATTGCACATTAGAATAAACTTTTTAGCTTTAAAATAAATCCCATGTACAGATGTCTCACCAAGTCTGACAAATCATAATATCTTGGTAGGGGACCACAGGACTGATATTTTTTAGAAACTCAGTCATTTGTTGTGCAGTGAGAGTTTAGAACTACTCATTTCAAACAATATTCTGTGCTTAGTTAGAATATTTTCATTATAGCATCTTTAAAAAAATATTTTGTATATGTGTGTATATTGTAGTAATGCATTGATTTTCTGTACACATTAGGCAATGTTTTACCCAACGATTGTATGTTTCTTGACTTTTTTTAACTGTAAACTCTTCAATTCCTGTTCTGCTTTTCCGGGCTTAATTAATAGGTAGCTATTGACATCCTACAGCAGACCTAACACAACTGTTTTATCCTGGTAGGTAGCAAACATCTGAAGCCCTAATTTTGCATGCTAAAAAAGCTAACAATTATTGAGTATCTTAGTATGTTGCAGGCCTTGTTCAAAACACTTTTCCTGTATTAAAATATCGACCACAGGTAACCATCTAATAAGATTTTTACAGATGAAAAAATTGTGACTCAGAGAAATTAAGTATCTTTTAAAGTCATATAGTTAGCCAACTGAAGAACAGGTATCAGAAGTTAGGAAAACAGACAAAAGAATCCATAATATTAATTGCGACCATGTACTTCTCTTTAATGCATTTTTTTTTTATAAATTAACATGATTGTTGGAAGACCAGAGAATGAAAGAAATTAGTTACATTCCTAAGACTTGACTATCTGTACTGGCAGTGATAGAATTCCTAAGATTCTCGGAGAAACATTTAGATACATTTAAAACTTCTTGGAGTGTTAGAAAACTCAAAAAGAGCAGTTAGGCATGTAAATTTCACATGCTTGTTACCTAGGATTTGCCTTAAGCATAGGAACCAGTGGCAAACTACTTGGGCAATGCATTCTGTTTCTGAAAGTCGCACTAAAAGATATGAGTTTGCTGTTTCCTTCCCTTATGGGACCTTAAATTAAGCTACTCTATAAAATCTGTTGGAGAGCTTTGAGAAATGCTGATATCCAGGGATCATCTTCCATAGATGTTGATTCAATTCGTCTGGGATTAGGGCACAGGCATAGGCATTATTTTTGAAGCTCCCACAGGTGATTCTAACATTTGGCCAGAGTTGCCACACACTGGTATAATTCATCAACCTGAAAAAATAAGAAATGCACATTAGTATTCCTAAATTCTCTTAACAGTCTTGTGCTGCTTCAAAGCATGAATGATCTTTAGGTCAATTGTATTTATGTTGATCTTGATAACTTATACTTCCTCAGCTTGTTGCATTTTATGGAGCTCATATTCACTATTACATAACATTTATATAACTATGACGGTGATAGAGACAGGAAGACAGCCAAAGATCCCCAGGAAAACCCCACCTTCAATCCTAAAACAGCCTGAAGGCTGAAAAACTGGACTGCTGGTTCCAGATGAAGCCTGCCCTTTCCCAACTGATTATTTCTGAATAAAGCCCACCTGCACACTGGGAGGACAGGGTGGAGCCTCAGGAAGTTCATACCATTTGTAGGGGGTAGGAGCCTGGCCTCTCCTGTTCCTGTGTGGTGACCTGAGAATCAATTTGTGAGGCAGGAAACCTGCTAGCAGGACTCTCGCTTTGCTGAGTTAATTTTTCCTTTTTCCTTTCCACCCAATAAGTTCCATTTTCCTCACCCTTCTATGTATCCACAAGCCTAATCATTCCTGGTTGTGTGACAAGAGGCCAGTTTTAGCTGAACTAAGGAGAAAGTTCTGCAACATTTTTGGCATCCAGATATGGGGCTCGAGGAAAGGTGAGTAACATGCAAAGAAAAAATCTTTTTTCCTTTCGCTTCTAAGCCTTTTTGTGCTCAGATATGTTGGGAGAGTGGAGGAAATTATGCCTTCCCCCACATCACTCCTGGGGGTCAGGAATGTCGGCCTTTTCCTTTTCCTTCTCTTTTCAGGGTGCACGGGTGAACCGATGGCTCCCCATCTCCCGTAAGTTTCTCTCCCTGTTAGAGGAATCCATTGGCATAAGAATAAGAGATTAGGCTGAGCGTGCTGGCTCACACCTGAAATCCCAGCACTTTGGGAGGCTGAGGTGGGTGGATCAGCAGGTCAGGAGTTCGAGACCAGCCTGGCCAATATGGTGAAACCCTGTCTCTACTAAAAAAAATACAAAAATTAGCCAGGCATGGTGGCATGCACCTGTAGTCCCAGCTACTGGAGAGGCTGAGGCAGGAGAATAGCTGGAACCTGGGAGGCGAAGGTTGCAGTGAGCCGAGATGGCGCCACTGCACTCCAGCCTGGGTGACAGAGTGAGACTCCCTCTCAAAAAAAAAAAAAAAAAAAAAAAAAAAAGAACAAGAGGTTCTTACCCCAGGCATCTTTCCAACCCTGAACTTTAACTTGTTTTTCTTTACCCTGTCAGAAGTTAACTTTTATGTGACACTTTTTTTTTCTTTTTAGAAAAAGTTTTACTAGGCCAGGACCCAACTATCACTGTTTATATTCTCTGTAAAGTTTTAATTATAAAAAAAGATTTGTCAGGTTGGTCTTAAGCTGTAGCCAATTTGGTGTGCTCTGCATGACTTTCTGTAAGGTCAGTAGCAAACTTTGCTGCAGGCCTCCATCTTGTTTTACATCCTCGGGAGAGTGACCTGTAACCATGTAGCAATGTTTTGTTTAGCCTCCACCGTTTTATAGTAACAGCCAGGTTCAAACCTGACTTAGGGAATGAGTACTTTTGGACTGATATCTGTGTGACTTTTGCTACTTGCTGATTCTCTTCCCCTCCATGAACAACTTCTAGTTTTTTTCTTAAATCTTCCTTTCTCTGGGTTACCTTTAAAGGTTCTAAATTTTGTAAGAACTGCTTAGCCCCTTTGAAAATACCTCATACACTTGTGGTTAAAGCATAACCTTAATTGAGGCGTGTTGGTTTCACCTGTGTAGTGACCTTCAGTAGCGTTTGAAAGCCAGAAATATTGGCTGCTTGTTGTGGCTGAAGTTGGGTAATAAGGGAGTTAAAAGGATTTTCTTAGAGAGTGCTCAGCTTAATTTAAAGTGAATATCCAACTTATAGATATATTGAAAAAGCCTTTATGTTTTTCTTTTCTTGGATCCTGTTTTGCTGGAAAAAAAGTGTTTTGTTTTTTTTTAGTCAACTGAATTATTTTTCTCTATTTTGCCTTGCCACTTTTAAGGCATGCATGAGACGGGAGAGAACTCTGTTTCCCTCATTAAACCCCAGGAATTAAAAGTGGATGAATCCCTCTCAAAAACCTGTTTTTGCCTCCTACCTATGGCTGTTTATTAGGCTTTAGAAGCTGCATGTTCTCCTAGCTCTGTCTCTTAAAGGGCTCCACCCAGAGGCCAATAATCCAAGTAGGAGAATGGCAAATTAAAGATCTTATGTCTGCTGGATTTTCTTCTGCCTGTGTAGTTATATTTTGTGTTGTGTGTGTGATGTCTATAAAAAAAGAGTTTTAATTGGCACAAAGGAAGACAAGCACTTGGATCAAATATTTTGTAAAGGGAAGATAAAAGCTGTGGTACCTTTTAATTAATGTGACTTTAATCTTTGAGAAATAAAAACAGCCTTAAAGATTTTGGTAGAATGCAGATATCATCAAAATGTAAATAGGTGAACTAAATTATGCAGGACTGATACTAGTCTTGCTAAAGATTTTAAGGTTACAAAGTGACTTTTTGGTTTTTTGAGAACCTTTCAACTTGCCAGCTTCACAATTGGTAAGGCCTGGGGACATATGGAATTAACCACACCCTTAATCATGCTGGAAGGAGTCAAACCTTGGCTGCACCTGGCACGTAATTAAAACAACTTACCAGGTTTTACATTAAAGTTAAAATTGCTAGGAGTTACCATTATAACATGTAATTTAAACTACTGGAAATAGATTTACCTGCAAGGTGTGTAAGAACAGTACGATGTGTTTTTAGTAAAAAATTATAAGAAGGTGCAGAAATAGGGTTCTTGCCTAAGGTTAAAGGATTGTTTTGAATTAGGTAAAGCTGGAGATTTAAACAAATGATGGAAGGATTGTTAAAATTATTCTTGCAAAAGAAATTCTGTGTGTGAATATATTGACTAAATTCAAAAGGGTATTATATGGTTTCTCCATAAATTTAGCATTGAAATAAAAGCACAACAAAGTACTCTTAAGGTATTAATCTGCTCTTTAGCAAAATTTGTAAAAGATTATAAAAGATTTTTGCTTTTTTAAATTTCGAAGTCATTTTGGCAAAATAAATAACATGATAATCTGGAATTCTATTTCAAAACATCAAGTGTTTTAAACATCTAACATATTTAACAGGATTCCCAAATTCAAACTTCAATTTCAAAATTGTCTTGCCTGACACCTCACTTTTGGATGCTACAGAGGGCCTCTGGAGTATCCAAAAAAGCAGTAAACAGGATTATTTGATATGTTTAGTTACATCAGATTGCCAACATAGCGTTTAATCTTCTTTAGGTTATATTTTGGTGAATAATACTAATATATGTTCCAAAACTGTTCTAAAATTCTAATGTTTAAAGTATATGCTATCATAATTAAAGTTGTGATTTGAAGTTATTGTAAACCACAGAGATAACCAAACTTCTTTGTCAATTTTGTTTCTAGCTGTAACTACCCTGGACATTTTGTTATCCACAGACAACTGATATCTTATTTTAATCCTTTTCAAAAGGTGGTTTATAATAAACTATAGGACTCTGATAGGTGCTCTCAAATACAGGTTTCTCATAACTTTGGAGATTGTGACATTGGAATAAAGGAAAATGTACAGGACTTGTGAAGAGCTAAAATCTTCATGAATATCAGGCAAAACAAGAGTTAACTAAATGGACTGAACTCAGAAAACTGAAGCAATCTTTTTGACTTTTGCATGGAATATTGCTGATCCTTGTTTTGTTTTTCAGAGTCAGAGAAACTTATTTTGAACTATTTATAGCTTTTCATAATTGAGTAAGGTATACTCCTGTGATGAAAATTTGGAGCATGTTTGTCTCTCTCTCTCTCTCTCCTTGCCTGGCTTCTCCAGAATTTGGAAACTAGTTGTGAGCATTCTGAACTTATGGCAATATAGTTGTTTGCATCAGTGCATAAGAATCCATTTCCTTTTGCAACAGGACTCAGTTGTAGAAATTGGTTGTTTTACTGAGGCTTTGACTGGAAGGGTGTGCTTCCCTTTAAGGAGTCAAGCTCAACTTGCAGAGCTGATAAAAGCCCCTTGGGAAAACTGGCCTCATACCCTTGTCTATGCAGTTACTGTACTGGGTTCCTGACCTGTGGTAAGTAAAGAATGTCACTTTCTGACAGGCCCAGGAGCTCCAAGTTTATCTTTGGACCTTAATAGGAGAGGATTACCCAACTCACAGGTATTTGAGGATAAAAACCCATTGCTGGGCTGGGCTTTAAAAGGTTTTATCTGAGATTCCTTGTGGAACAGAATTCCATCAAAGCCAATCCAAAAAGCCTATGTAGAAATAATTATTCTTGCTGTACTTTATGCAAATAATCAGGCCAATATAAGACTGAAGTCTATTTTGTAAATAACTCAGTCCTATCACTCTGTGTTTTTTAACAAAAATGAGGACTGGAGAGAGAGAAATTATATTCAAAACTTATCATACATCTGTCATTAAATTCTACACTCAGTTATTTTTAGGTTTTTGCCTACATTTTAAACTAACTCTGCTTGTTCCAGTGAACAAACCAGCAGTCTCCAGATGCAGCTCAAAAAGAACAAAAGGGATGGGTGATGTAAAAATCTGGATCAATATTCTACTTCTGAGCAATTTTTCTGCAAATCCTGCCAGGTGATGGGAATAAATAGAATGCCCATCAAACAGAGGTTTCCTTTTTGGGAAAGTAAGACCAAGTGAGCTAACCAAAGCCAAGCCCCATGCATCTAAATCTTAGCAAGCATAACTATAGCCACCAGTTGTCTGGGCATGTCGTAAGATATCCTTTTTTCCCCCTTGTTGTTGGAGGACTCAATTCCACAGCTTCACCTTAGCATTTGGCTTATGATAAGCAGTCTATGTAACCACCCTGAGACACATTTTTGTCCCAAACTCAATTCCAAGCTTCAGTTCAAAGCTCTAGGAAAGAAAATGGGATCTGAGGGATCCAGAGACAGATGATAATGGAAGTTAAAAGGCACAGAACAGGGAAGCATGACTGATTCCTGACCATTAAGCCAAGCTTCCCATTTCATGGATAAAGATCATGCTAGTATCTATGGCATAATTCCCAAGGTCTATGGAATTCAAAGGATACTGACAGCAGGTGAGATAGGGCACATGTGGATAAGAGTGGGTACTGCTACCCTCTAGGCCCCCCTGTTAATATGGGTGAAAGCCACTTTGACACCCATGGATGCACCCTGTTGTGGTCTCTGGGACTTGGGAATATAAGGACGAAGGAAAGAAACAGGAACACTTTGCTTTTCTTCCCTCACATACCCTGTGAGGCTGCGCATTGTTAAAATTTTGGAATTTATTTAGGTAATGTTTACTCAAATACATATGACTATCATAATGAAAACAAGTTTTCAGAAACAGCAGTGAAGACAACCTGTTCAGTAATAATTTAGATTTATTCTGCAAAAAAAAAATAGTGGTTTTCTTCTTTATTTCTTTGTTTCTGCACGTTGCACATATTAAAAGTACTAGGCAATTGTTGTTATTTCCCTGTACACTATTAAACCTGCTCATTAGGGATGGGTGCATTGGGTAACCCAGGGTGACGGCTAGGTTTAATAGTGTGATTTATTAAACATTTCATATTTACCTAGTTTATGAGCTAGAGGCAATCCAAATTAAAATCGATGAAGATAAAATTAAATGATAATCAATGAAGGTATTTACAACAAAAATGAGGTATTTACAAATGTTATTCATAGATGTTAATCAAATGCCATTATTTAATTGTTAGTGGATCTGAAATGTATTTCATAGTCATTGTGTTTTCAAGCCATGCTTTCTTCTGTGTCCTGACTCTTCGAATCTGAAATGAGGAGATTCAGGAAGGGGAATTTGAATCTGTTTGTATTTTCTCCTCTTGACTTAAAATATAGGGGAAGAAAGTGGTTGGCCCTGATCATGTCTGCTTCGCTCTGTCATTTGTATTCCTCTAGAGTCCCTAAAAGAGAGTCACTCCTAGGGTCTGGATTAGACCTTATTTTTGCCTTCTAAATACCAGGAAGCCATTGCTCATTTCTGGTGATGAAATATGCTCTTATTTATTTTCCCTAGTTGTGGAGTAGATTTATTCTTACTATCTTCCTAGCTCATGGTGACCTATGGCATGCTATGTAAGATGATTGGCTGTAAACTTGCTAGAGGGGTCTCAAAAGCATGGGTTCTGGTATCAGGAAGCCTTGTGTCAAATCCTGGGTAACTTTGGTCAGATCACTTAACCTCTCTGTGCCTCCATTTCCTTATCTGTAAAACAACTCTAACAGTCACAGACCTCTCACAGGATTGTAGTAAGAATTAAATAACCTAGGACATGAAAAGCACTTATAATTGTGCCTACATCATGGTAATTACAAGTATATCATTTTTATGATAATAATACAGGAATACATTCAATGACCTTGTCTTCCTCATCTCTGTCTTCCAAACCATTATCACATCTTGAAAAACTGTGTTTCAAACTTTAGGTGGCAATGCATTAGTGATTTGAGAGATCAGTTTTTTGGCGTGTGGCTTATATTATTTTTTCAGTTGAAATAGAACAGAAAAATACCAGAGCTCATCACACATAGGACAAATATCATTCCATGACATGTTTGGTTCAACTCTGTGTGTGTGTGTGTGTGTGTGTGTGTGTGTGTGTGTGTGTTTGTGTGCGTGCGCACGTGCGCTAACTCACAATTTGAAACGGATTTTATGCCATGTGCACATTTTATCTGTCTCACTAAACCAGAGGAAAAGGAAAAACTTCAATGGAGTCTACAGCCATTTACCCAGTCCCAACAAGCCCAAGGTGTATGTCACTCTAGTTGATACATGCGACTCGATAGAGGAAAAAAAAAAAAAAAAAAGCCTACCTCCAAAGTCTGTGATATGTATTCCTGGTAGCTCTTCAGGGAAGAGGGGCAGAGGAGGCTGACGTAAGTTCCATGCACTTTTGAGAATCACTGCACTAGACTATAAACACCTTAAGATCCAGCACTCATCATTGTATTTTTTATAGTGCCCTCCATGTTTGAGATGTGTAATATATATTTATCTAATAAATTGCCATGATTTACACAGAGTTCTGTTTAAAGAATATTGATAATGCTTAAAGAGCAAATGCATTTATTAAGCAACTACTCTTGGGGGCAAGATGTATTTTGCAATATCATCCAAAGGAAAGAGTTGTCAAATTTGGACATGAGTGAATATTTGACGGGAAGACTTTCTTTCTAAGGATGCTATTATAATGAACGTTAGCAGCTCTCCTTTGCTAGATATGACAGTCTAATGATATGACATTGCTAAAGTCAGCAATCTGTCTGCCTGCTGTCTTGGTTGGATGCAAACACAGTTGTATTTTGCTTTATACAAGAGATAAATATACAAGAATCTTTATAATTTACAGGAGGATTTACAAAAAACTTATTGTAAAATAAAACAACTTGGTGTATTGTGAATACCTTTTGACAAATTTCTCAGAATTTCCCTCTACTCACCAGAAAATTTCCTCCATGTCTCATCACAATTTGAATATAAATGAATTCAAATTCACAAGCATCACACAACATTAACTGCTTCATATTCTTTCCTAAATAATGCACAGCCTTCCATCCAAGTCCCTCCAAGACATATCTTCGACTTTCCCGAAAGATGCCTTAGTTTTTCATAGATATAATACTATAAGGATCTTCCCATCAAGTTGCTCTGATTGATGTAGAATATTCCAAAAGCCAGTTGACAGCAGTGCCTCACTCTTGCCTCTGCTACCAGCCCCTTCATGAGAATGTGGTGATTTGTGGCAGGGTGGAACCCTGGGTGCTTCCAAAGTGGCAAACCCTATGTGTAATCAAGCACTGCTGGATTACTGCCGTTTCTCTTGCACTGGAGCCATGTCATCCTCCACGAGAAATGCAGAGGTTGTCTCTCTTTCCAAACAGGTCACACTATCAGATGTGAGGTTTCATGCAGGGCTGCTTTTATGCTTTTGTGCGTAAATCTTTTGCCAAAAGACTTCCTTGAACTTTTGTCTGAAGCTTCTTCCTCCTTATGTGACAAGCAGGAGTCCATGAGGCTGGCGAGGCCGCTGATTTGTATTAGCCACCACAGGAATGATACCTAGGTGTCAGAAGCTTTGTAAGGGCCTACAAAAATGCTTGACATCTGAATCTTTAAAAAAACTTCAAAAATACAAAAAGTGATATACTTTGGATATTTGTACCATCCAAATCTCATGTTGAAATGTAATCCCAAGTGATGGAGGTGGGTCCCGGTGGGTGGTGTTTAGATCATGAGGGTGGATCCCTCATGATCAATCATGTAAGGTTCCGGAGACCCTTACTAGAAGTAGATTCTGGAGCAATGCTTGTACAGCCCATAGAACTGTAGGACAATTAAATCTCTTTTCTTTGTGAATAACCCAGTCTCAGATATTTCTTTATAGTAATGCAAGAATGGCCTAATGCAAAAATCATACTAAAAATAAAAATTAATTTACAAAATGTAACCTCATAAAAGTATGGATTCCGGCTCAGACTATCTGGCCAGTGCTACAAAGGAGCTAGTTTTTCTCATCTGGAAAACAAAGATAAAGTAAATGCTAGCTCATAAGGTTGTTATGAAAATGAAGTATGTTAACAAAAAGTTCTTAGAAGCGTGCATGACACATGGTATTTGTCTAATAAATGTTACCTGCTAGTATACTTAATTTTCATCAGTAGAAAACAACTTTTAAAGTTGTTATTGTGACTTCACAAGAATTCCTGATTATAGAACACAAGTGTAGAATTATAGCCACTTTAAAATGAATGACTTACTTTCATTAAAATAATTTAAAAATCTATATTGCAAAATTAATGCAAAATGTGAGTGTCTTTAACATATTTGACATGATATAGGTAGTGTAGGACCAACAAAAGTGTGCACATCACCCACTCTCTTAACAAATGGTGATGTTATGGCCTGTGGAGAGGCGCATCCAGAATACATCCAGGAAGGTGTATTTTTCGTCATTCACCTTTCCTTGATTTAGACATAATAATGGGCTCTTGGTCTAGATCATACTTTCTAAGAAGAGAAAAAAAGTTGCATTCTTTCACTAAAATATCTCCAATTCAAATTCTGTTTAAGTGGCTGAAGTTCCAAAGTTCAGGATTTCAGAGGACTCTAAAAATGATTGATTATGTCCTAGATCGCTATTCTCCCAAAGAGTTTTGAAAGGTGAAAAGGTAAATCTCCAATGGAATACTTATCAAACTCCAAGAGAAAATGAATACAATGGAGAACAAAGTTGAAAAAAAATGAAGATGAAAATGAAGAACTAATGGGGAGAATCATTTGTGCTTTTACAGCCTTTACATGCCATTACTTTAATGATAACATATGACATGTCAGTCATAGTTTTCAGAGCACCTTCTCACTTGCAGTCACTGGGTGATCACCACTCTTTCTGAAGGTGAGAATAATACAATACTAAAACCAAACATTCTTAAGTGATTATAATGAAGCAGATACTATTCTAAGCACATTAAGCTCATGGCATCCCTATTAGGCGGTTCATATTATTAGAAAACCTTTGCAGATGAAGGGACTTAGGCGTATGGCTCAAGTCAGCAGTGATGGAACTGCCACCTATACTCAGGTCACCTGACTGCATATCCAGGGTTCCTTCTTCCAGAATGCACCAACTTGAAATGTTTAGAAAGTAACCAGCCAGTTAGGGTGATTTTGTTGTAATGATACTATATTTATTCTGCTGTTACATAATACAGGATTAGGGAAGTCAGTGAGTCCAACCCCTACCTCCAGGCAGGACAAACTAGAAATAATTCCTGACATATGCAAAACCCATCTTCCTTTTAAAGACATCAAGAGGAAGTGGTCTCATGACCTCCTATATTAACACCCAGGATATAAAGAAGAGTTTGTATAGCTCTAGCACTATTGCACATTCTTAGGGAATGAGAAAAATCTCATTAAAATTTCATTTCACACCACTGAGAAATGCAAAGAGGACTCTAACTTAATTCAAAATTTTAAATAAATATCAAGACTTCTGAGATAGCTAAAGCTCAGCAAAGCTTGCATAATTTTGTTTGGCGATTAACAGAGATGGGGAGCAGTGTGGTCTTTCAACAGAAGCACCCCAGTCAAATTTATAAGTAATAAAGTTAATTCACTACTTGACACTACAGAATGTGTGTTTACCTTAGGGTAGTAATCTGCAAACTACACACCATGAGCCAAATATAGCCAATGACCTGTTTTTGTGTGGCAGACAAGCAAAGATGATTTTTATAGTTTAGGTGGCTGAAAAACCCAGATAATATGTCATGTGAAAATCATAGAGAACTCAAATGTCATTGTCCATAAATACAGTTTTTTGGGAATACAGCCATTCCATTCTATTATGTATTGTGTATTGTGACTTTCATGGTATAAGGGCAGAGGTGAGTTGTAGTAACAGATACCTTATGGCCTAAAAAGCCCAAAATATTTACTATCTGGCCTTTTACAGAAAAAGTTTGTTAATCCCTGGTAGTGAGGCAAATGAAAACAAGTATCTTTTTTCTTTTACCCACTTCCCCTCATTCAGGTGAAGGATGGTATGAAACATTTGGAATCAGGATGCTAGTAAGCATCTGTAAGGCCTCACTGGGCCTTGAGGATGAACCCTGATCTGGTTTCATTTACATGAGGGCAGTCATGGTCCCAGACTAGTTCCTGTCTATATTAGTCCTTTACAGTCTACAGCTAGGAGTCCTTTGGAATTGCTTGACAGGGATTAGAGGAAAAACACATGACCTCAAATGTCCTTAGTGCTTTTGGAAGATTGGAACACAGCAGTCCCCATTTATCCATGAGGGATATGTTCCAAGACCCCAAGCAGATGCCTGAAAGCATGGATGGTACCAAATCATATATATGCTGTTTTATTCTATACATGCACACCTATGATAAAATTTAATTTATAAATTAGACACAGTAAGAGATTAAAAACAATAATTAAAAATAAAGTAGAACAATTAGAACATTATGTCAACATCACTACTCTTGCACTTTAAGGCCATTATTAAGAAAATAAAGGTTATTTTCTTAATAACCTTTGGGCTGGGCGTGGTGGCACATGCCTGTAATCCCAGCACTTTGGGAGGCCGAGGCAGGCGGATCACGAGGTCAAGAGATCGAGACCATACTGGCCAACATGGTGAAACCCTGTCTCTACCAAACATTCAAAAATTAGCTGGGCGTGGTGGCGAGCACCTGTAATCCCAGCTACTTGGGAGGCTGAGGCAAGAGAATCGCTTGAACTCGGGAAGCAGAGGTTGCAGTGAGCCAATATCACGCCACTGCACTCCATCCTGGCGACAGAGTGAGACTCCGTCTCAAAAAACAAACAAACAAACAAAAAAACGGTTATGTGTACACAAGCACTGCAGTACCGGTATAGTCAATCTGATAACCAAGGTGTCTAGTAGGTGACTAAGCAGCAGGTAATGTGTATGTTTGAATATGCTGGACAAAGGGTTGATTCAGATCTGGGCAGGAAGGAATGGCATGGCACAAGATTTTATCATGCTACTCAGAGCAGCATGTAATTTAAAACCTATTAATTGTTTATTTCTGAAATTCTGCATTTAGTATTTTCATACGACAGTTTTACTCTGGCAACTGAACTGCACAAAGTGAAACCATGGATAAGAGGAGGCTACTCTATATAAGTAATACATAAATATGCATATTTAAGTTTATTTTTCTCACTTTAATAGTTGTATGTATGGAATCTGCTTTCAGTATTTTTAAAACATTTAATTGACAAAAATTTTATGTGTTTATTGTATATAACATGTTTAAGTATAGTCACTGTATTATACAATAGATCGTTTAAACTTATTCTTCCTAAGTGAAATTTGATATCCTTTATCAAGTATCTCTCCATGCCCAACCCACAGCCCTGATAACCACCATTGTACTCTCTGCTTCTATGAGTTCATCATTTGAGATTACAAATATAAGTGAGATTATAAGGTGTTGGTGCTTCTGTGCCTAGCTCATTTCACTAAATTTAATGCTTTCCAGGTTCATCCACGTTGTTGTACATGACAGGATTTTCTTCTTTTTTAAGGCAAAAGATTATTTCATTGTGTATCTATACCACATTTTCTTTCATTCATCCATTGATGGATACTTAGATTGATTCCATATCTTGGCTTTTGTGAAGAATGCTGCAGGAATATGGAATACAGTTATCTCTTTGATATAATGATTTCATTAATTAATTGATATAATTGATTTCATTCATATAATTGATTTCATTTCCTTTGGATATATACCCAGTAGTGGGATTACTGGATCATCTGTTTATAGTTTTTTGAGGAACCTCCATACTGTTTTCCATAATGGCTATAATAATTTACACTCCTGACAACAGCATTGATTCCCTTTTATCCACATGCTTATCAACACTTGTTATCTTTTGTCTTTTTGATACTAGCCATTATAACATGTGTGAGACAATAGTGCGTTGTTATTTTGGTTTACATTTCCCTAATGATTAGTGACATTGAACACTTTTTTATATCCCTGTTGGCCATTTGTATGTCTTCTGTTGAGAAATGTCTATTCAGGCCCTTAGCCCATTTTTTAATGTGGTGATTTGTTTTCTTTTTATAAAGTTGTACAAGTTCCTTATATTGTGGGATATTAACCCCTGATAAGATATACAGGTTCCAAATATTTTCTCTCATTCTGGAGGTAGTATCTTCACTCTCTTGATTGTTTCATTTGCTGCAAAGAAGCTTTTTAGTTTGATGAAATCCCATTTGTCTATTTATGGTTTTGTTGCCCGTGCTTTTGGGGCCATATCCAAAAACTCATTGTCCAGACCAATGTTATGGAGATTTTCCCTTATGTATTCTTCTTGTAGTTTTATAGTTTCAGTTCTTACATGTAAGTGTTTGATTTATTTTGAGTTAATTTTTGTATATGGTGTGACATAAGGGTCTAATTTCATTCTTCTGTATACATGGATATCTAGTTTTCTCTACACGATTTTTTGAAGAAACTGTTCCTTCCCCATTGTGTATTCTTGGCACCTTTGTCAAAAATAAATTGACAGTAGGCTGGGCATGGTGGGTCATGCCTGTAATCCCAGCACTTTGGGAGGCCGAGGCGGGTGGATCACCTGAGGTCAGGTGTTCGAGACCAGCTTGACCACCGTGGTGAAACCCCATTTCCACCAAAAGTACAAAACTAGCCAGGCGTGGTGGTGCATGCCTGTAATCCTGGCTACCTAGGAGGCTGAGGCAGGCGAATCACTTGAACTCAGGAGGAGGAGGTTGCAGTGAGCTGAGATCACGCCATTGCACTCCAGCCTGGGCAAAAACTTCATCTCAATAAATAAATAAATAAATAAATAAATAATAATAAAATAAATAAATAAATAAATAAATTGCCAGTAAATGTACAGATTTATTTCTAGGTTCTCTATTCTATTCCATTGATGTATGTCTCTTTTTTATGTCAGTAGTACCTTGCTGGTACTACTATACTTTACTATATTTTATAGTATATTTTGAAGTCAGGTACTTTGAGGCCTCCAGCTTTGTTGTTTTGCCCAAGATTGCTTTGGTTATTCTGAGTCTTTTGTGGTTCCATAAGGTTTTTAGAATTTTTTTTTTCTTTTTTAACTTATGTGAAAAAATGTCAGTGGAATTTTGATAGGGATAGCATGGAATCTGTAGATCACTTTGGGTAGTATGGACATTTTAACAATATTAAATATTCTAATCCATGAGCATGAGATATCTTTCCATTTATTTCTATATTCTTTAATTTTTTCAACAATGTTTTTTAGTTTTCAGTATATAAGATTGTCACCTTTTTTTGTTAAATTTATTCTTAAATATTCTATTTTTTTGCAGCTATTGGAAATGGGATTTTTTTCTTCATTTCTATTGTTATCAATGATAATTAATTGTTAGTATTAGAAATGCTACTGGTTTTTATATGTTGATTTTGCATTCTGCAACTTTATTGGATTTATTTGTTCTAACAGCTTTTTGGTGGAGTCTTTAGGATTTTCTACATATAAGATCATGCCATCTGCAAACATGAACAGTTTAACTGCTTCCTTTCCAGTTTGGATGGCTTTTATTTATTTTTCTTGCCTGATTTCTGTAGGTCAGACTTCTAGTACTGTGTTGAATATAAGTGGTAAGTGTGGACCTCCTTGTCTTTTTCCTGATCTTAGAGAAGAAGCTTTTAGGTTTCCTCCATTAAGGATGATATAAACTGTGGACTTGTCATATATGGCCTTTTTTTTGTTTGAGGTACGTTCTTTCTATACCTAATTTGTTGAGACTTTCTCTCATAGAAATATATTGAACCTTGTCAGATCTTTCCACATTTATTGAGGTGATATTTATTTTGTTCTTCATTCTGTTAATGTGGCGTATCACTTTTATAGATTTGTGTATATTGAACCATGCTTGCATCCCTTGGTTAAATCCCACTTGATCATGGAGAATGATATTTTTTATGTTGTTGAATTCAGTTTTCTGACATTTTGTTGAGAATTTTTGATTCCATGTTCATCAGAGATATTAACCTGTCATTTTCTTTTGTTGTAGTACTCTTGTCTGGTTTTATTATCAGAGTAACGTGGGACTCATAAATTGAGTTTGCAAGCTTTCTCTCCCTTCAATTTTTGAAAGGCTTTGAAGAGAATTGGTATTAGTTCTACTTTACATGTTTGGTAGAATCACCACTTCTTGGTCTTTTTTTTTTTTTTAGAGTTTTTTTTTCCTGTTTGTTCAGTCTCCTTACTTGCTATTATTCTGTTAAGTTTTATATTTCTCCATGACCCTCTCTTGATAAGTTGTAAGTTGTATCTAGAAATGTATGTATTTCTTCAGTGTTATCTCATTTGTTGGCATATGGTAGTTGTTAATGGAAGTCGGCTATGATCCTTTTTTAATTTTGTGGTATCAGTTGTAATGTCTTTTCTTTCATTTTTTATTTTATTTATTTGAGGTTTTTTTGTTGATTAGTCTAAGGTTTGTCAATTTTGTTTACCTTTTCAAAAAACAACACGTTGATCTTTTTTATTGTCTTTCTAGTCTTTCATTTATTTCTGCTCTGATTTTTAATATTCTTTAGTTCTACACACTTCAGGCTATGCTTGCTCTTCTTTTTCTAGTTCCTTGAGGTGTAAAATTGGTCTATTTACTTCAAATATTTCTCTTTTTTATGTAAATGTGTATTGCTATGAACTTCTCTGTTGGAACTGCTTTTGCTAAATCTTATACATTTTGGTATTTTGTGTATCTATTTTTATTTGAAATTTCTCTTCAAATTTCTTCTTTAAACTATTAGTTGTTCAGGAGCATGTTGTTTAATATTCATGCATTTGCAAATTTTCTGAAATTCATTCTGTTACTGATTTCTACTTTTATACTATTGTTGGTTGGAAAAGGTATTTGTTATGATTTGCTAAGATCTTTAAGTCCTAGGTTTGTTAAGACTTGTTTTGTCTCCTAACATATGATTTATCTGGAAGAGTGATCCGTGTGCACTTGAGACTAAGTGTATGCCATTGTTGGGTGGAATGTTCTTTATATTTCTGTAGTTTCCTTTTAATCTAAAGTCTGAGGTTTCCTTATTGATTTTCTGTATGGACAATTTATGAATAGCTGAAAGTGGGGTATAAAATCTCCTACTATTGTGACATTACAACCTCTCCAGATATATTAAAATTTACTTTATATATTCAGGTGCTTTGCTCTTGGCTGCATATATATTTATAATTGTTATAATTTTTTTGATAATTTGACTTCTTTTTCAATATATAATGACCTTGTCTCTTTTTACAGGTTTTAACTTAAAATGTATTTTATCTGATATGACTACCACTGGTTTCCATTTGCATGAAATATATTTTTCCATTCCTTCATTTTCAGTCTAGTGTGTCCTTAAAGGTAAAGCAAGTCTCTTGTAAGCAGTATATTGTTTTGTCTACTTTTTTATCCATTCGGACCCTCTATGTCTTTTGATTCATGAATTGAATCCATTTACATTTAAGGTAATTATTGACAAGTAAGGACTTAAACCCATTTTGTTTTGTAGAGCCTTTGTTTCTTTTTCCTTCTCTTGCTGTCTTCTTTTGTAATTAAATAATTTTCTTTAGTGGTATGTTTTGATATCTTGCTTTTTATCTTTTGTGGATCTACAAAAGGTTTTTGCTTTGTGGTTACCATGAGGCTTACATAAAACATCTTATAGTTAAAACAGGCTATTCTATTTTAAGCTGATAACATATTATGTTTAATCTCATTTTTAAAAATTTATTTACTTTACCTTACCCCTTACAAATTTTATGTTTTCAATATAACAATGTGCATCTTTTTATTTTGTGTGTGTGTCTTAAAAATTATTACAGCTATTATTATTTTAATAGTTTTGTCTTTTAACCTTCAAGCAAAAGATGTAAATGGTTTGCACAACACCATTACAGCCTTAATTTTCTGAATTTGACTGTGTACTTTTATGAATGAGTTTAATATTTTCATGTGTTTTTGTGATACTAATCTGCATAGTTTTCTTTCAGCTTGAAAAACTACCTTTTGCATTTTTTATAAGACAGGTCTGTTGGTGATAAACTCCCTCAGCTTTTGTTTAAGAAAGTCTTTATCTCTTCATTTCTGAAGAACAGTTTTTTTCAGGTAAAGTATTCTTAGTTGGCAGATTATTTTCCTTCAGCACTTTGAAGTATGTTGTTTATATATCATCTTTGGGCTGAGCCTCCTGACCCAATGCAGAGCCAGTCCAGTCAACATAGACTCAGGCTTAAAGACTGCAGCAGGGTAGGCCAGGATGGCCCCTGTAGTTCTGGGCTCTGGATTGGAAAGAAAAATATAATCTCACTCTCCCCTTACATGTGAGGTTTCTGCTGAGAAATCTGCTGCTACCCTTATTGCAACTCTCTTATGTGTCACTTGCTCCTTTTCTCTTGCAGCTTTCGGGATCCTTTCTTTGTCTTTGAGTAGTTTGGTTATAATACGTCTTGGTATAATCTTGTTTGGATTGAATCTGAATAGAGACACTTGATATTCCTGTACCTGGATATACCTTTTCTCATCTTTGGAGAATTTTCTGCTATTTTTTAAAGTTTTGTTCTACCCCTTTGTTTTTCTGTTTTTCTTCATCAACTCCTAAAATCAAACATTTGGTGTTTTGGTGCTATCCCATAAATCCTGTAAACTTTCTTCTTTCATTTCTTTATTTTTTTTTCTCCTCTTGACTATATACTTACAAATAACCTGTCTTTGATTTTACATATTCTTTCATTTGCTTAATTAATTCTGCTTTTGATGCATTCTACTGTATTTTTCATTTCATTAATTGTTTCAACTCTAGGATTTCTGTTTGATTTTTGTTCTAAGTTCAATCTCTCTGATAAATTTATTTTATTGGCCATTTATTATTTTACTGATTTCATTGAATTATTTCTCTCTTCTCAAAGTTTAATGAACTTCCTTAAACCAATTATTGTGAATTATTTGTTAGGCAGTTCATATATCTCCATTTATTTAGTGGCGCATCTACTGGGTGATTACTGTATTTTTTGGTGGTGTTATAAGTTCTTGGTTTTCTTGTTTCTTATTGCCTTATGTTGATATCTGCACATTTGAAGAGGTAAGGAGTTATTTTAACCTTTGCAGACTGACTGCCTGGGAAAGTCCTTCACCAATCAGCTCATTCAGAGAGTTTTGGCAGGATACCTGTTGTGATCTGTAGGCAGACTTGCTGTTGGACTTCTTGGACAAGCTGGCCTGGTGTCTGGGTCAGCCTATGAATGGGCCTAGCACCTAGGTCCACATGGTTGAGCCTAGAGTTTGAATCCTCTGGGGTGGATCTGATGATTAGATTCATGGCAGCAGGCCAAGAGCCTGTATCCATGGTAAAGCCTGAGGTGTGGGTCTACAGGTGTTGACTTTGTGCTGGGGTAAGCATTGAGACTGAGTCTGCCATGGTAAGCCAGGCACTAGGATGAACTTTGTTCCTGGGCTGGGTCTGAAGCCTGGGTGCTTGGAAAGTGGCCTGGCCCTGGGGAAGGACTATGTCCTGTGTCCGTGGAGACATATTTAGAGGCTGGGTCTACAGGGGTGGTTATGGAGTGTCAGTCCATGGAGTTCTGCCTGGCACTGGGGTCCATTGGGGTGGGTCTGGATCTTCATTCTGCTGAAACAGGCCTTGACCCTAGATCCACTGGAGTCTGAAACTACTGGCACTGACCTGGAGACTGGAGTTGGCCTAGTGCTGGGACAGGCATGCAACCTTAGTCTTTGGGGGCTAGTCTGGAGCCTGGGATCTTGGGTGCTGGCCTGATGCCTGGAGCCACAGGGTCTGGCCTGGAGCCTGGTATGGTAGAAACAAGCCTAGAGTATGAGTCTGCAGGTACTCTCCTAAAGGGTTACTGTGTGGATGCTGGCCTGTAGGTTATGCCTGTGAATGTTGGCCCAGGTACTGGGGCCATAGGAATCAGCCTGGAACCTTCGTCCCTAATAGTGGTCTTGGAGCCTGGGTTCTTGGGATGAGCACAGCACTGGGGTCCACTGGGATGGACCTAGACCAATTGTCTGGTAGAGCATGGGACCACAGGAGCTGGCCGAGAGGGTAGAGCTGCAGGGCCCAGGCTGGTACCTGGTAGGCCTGGAGCCTGCGTCCATGGGTGTTGGCCTGATGCCTGACCTGGGCTGTGGAATGCCTGAAGCCTGAGATTGTATACACAAACCTGATTCTTGACTCGTCTGGAACCTTGAAGTCTTGGACCCTGTGGCCACAGAGGCTGCCCCAGCAGTTTGGCGTACCTAAAACCTGGGGATGTGGGGCAAGTCTGTTTCTGAGAGTGGTACAGGTCCCAGGGATACTGTAACCAGCCTGGGCCTGGTGCAGGCCTGGAGCCTAAGTCTCTGTGGTCTGGCCTGGCTCTAGGATGGCTCAAGAGGCTCAGTCCACAGTTACCAGTCTGGAGTCTTGAACTCTGGGGGCCTGTTCAGTGCTGAGTTTTATTAGAATGGGTCCGATGTTGGGGACGAGGACAAAGTCCATTGTTCACTTCCCTCTACTTACCCTAAGCAGAGGGTATTGCCATTCATGCTGTGCGACCTGGGGTTATGGAGGGGTGATGCAAGTAATATGAAACTTTCCTACCCTCTTCAACGTGTCTTCTTATTTCTGTGCTACTTCTAGGTACTGCAATCTCTCACTTCATTTGCTTAGCTCTTGTCCAGGTATATTTGTGTGTGCATAGTTGTTCAAATGGATGTTTCTGCAGCAGGAGGAGATGAGTCCTGGAAAGTTTTATTCTACCATCTTGCTGATGTTCAGACCATTCCTCTAGTTATTTGTGTCATTGAGATCTGCATTTCTCTTTGGGCAATAGCAGTAACAGGTCTAAACCAAATTGACATTAATTTTGAGTAATAGAGTTTCCTATTTTTAAAATTTATTAATTTCCTAAACCTGCGTGGCTGCAAGCATGTGTGTCATCTCTATTAATTGCCAAGCTCAGTGTGGTCTTCAGAATATAGGAATGGATAAAGACACAGTCCCTGTCTTCAAGAAGCTCATAGTCCGAGGTGTGGGGAGGGGTGGGGCAGAGAGACATGTATCTTTTATTACCTTTTATGTATGAATTGCCTTGTTAAACTTCCTCATGCAGCTTAATGAGACCAGAGAAGAGGGAACAATTACATCTCCCTGGGGAATAGCATTGGAGCTGGGTCTTTGTGTATTAATAGAAATTTATAGGGAAGACAGAGAGTGAGGGGAGGTGAAGGAATCCAGAAATTTGTAATGGCATTAAAAAATGTATAGGCATGTGAAAGGGCCTGGATGAACCTAGAAATGGCCTGACCTAGTGTTCACTGTGTGCATATCTGAAGGTGGAAAAAGTGGGAGAAAATTGGGAAAGTGGAAAGGATATGATACTCAAAAGAGAAAAATTATTAAGGCCAGGCTATAGAAGGCCTTGAGTGCCACCAGGATGAAGAGTTTAGACTTTAGGCTTTACTACTTTATCATTGCATTAATGAAAATAATAATAATTTAAAAAAAAAACCTCAGGAGATTTTAAGCCAGGCATGAAGTAATTCAATGTTAGAAGCTGGCTTAATAGTTCAGAATAATAACATTGGCAGTTTGAAGTGCATTCTACTTTGGTGGTTATATCCATTTGTGGTTTTTTTTTTACTAGTTTTTATACTGCTACAGCAAACAACTTCAAAATCTAAGTGGTTTACAACAGCCAGAAAAACCACATTTCTCATTATCAGTACATGTCTTCCACGATTGGCTTTGACTTTTCTTTCTGTGCCTTTGTTTTGTTTTGGGAGCCAGGCTAAAGGAACAGCCCCTACCTGGGCCATCCTAGGCTGATATGAGATGGCAAAGGGAGTGATGACAGAACCAAGCAATAGCTTTTAAAGTTTCTCTTTGAAAAATGGCATGTATCATCTCCACTTATTATTATTTTACTGGCAAAATCATGTCACATGACTTACACAAACTGGAGGGCATAGTGCAGTCATCTCACAGAGAGGGAAACAAATATTAGAAACAAACATTAGAAGGAATAGTAATGTAATCCATTGGAATAGTAAGTGTACAACCTTACCACCTAGGTTTATATCCCAGGTCTGCTACTTCCTAGCTATGTAAACTCTGGCAATTTACTTAACCTTTCTGTAAGTGTTATTTACTATTAGAATAATCTTAATGAAAACATGGAAGTGAATATTCATATATATGCTTGTAACATTTGCCTTTTAAAATTATTGTCTAACCTTATTTTTACAAAGATTTCCCAGGTCCTGGATCCCTTATACCTTTGTCAAATTTTGGACCTGCAGAAGGCTATGCTCACCTATGTCTCAAAATACCAAATACAACTCAGATTTACCCTCATAGTTTCTACTCTACCTAACAGAGCACTTTGCTTTGAGGAGGCCCTCAACAACATCTGTTCTAATGAATGGAATTAGATCTGCTGAGGCTCTGTGGGAAGCTGCCAATAGCAGTGATTTGGAAATTGCATTCAAATGGTCCTTAGATTGGCAAAGTGAGTGAATAAAAGGGTTTAGGACATTGTGGTTGAAATAACTCTTTTAGGACACTAATGTCACCAATTGACATTTATACGGAGCTTATATGTGGCAGGCATTTTACATGCACTATCTCATTTAATATTCACATTTCTTCCCAGGAAGATGTTTCATCATCTTTATATTGTAGGCAAAGAAATGGAGGTACAAAGATTCTAGGAAACTTTCCTAAGGTTATACAATAAGGAAGCAGCAGAAGTAAGGTTGAAATCATGACAGCCTACTTTCTGAGCCTATAACCTGAACTGTTGTATGATCCTATTCCTGCAGCAGTAGCCATCACCAACTCAATATTAAAACCAGAATGGCCTTTCAAAGAGATAGCTCTAGTCCAGGAGTTTCCAAGCTGTGTTTCACACAACTTTAGGTTCCATAGAGGAATAGCCTTTGATTACAAGTTTCTGGGTACTTAGGGTTATTGCTGTAATTGGAAGCTATGATTTCAAATTGTTGTATGATCAAAAGACTTTTACTATTCTGTTTGGCCCACATTATAATATATACATATTACAAATTCCAATTTACAAAATAAATTAATATATACCTGCATTTTTTTAACGTCAGAGAGCTACATAGAGTTTATTTGGGGAAAGCAAATGTTATCCTGAAGAAGAAGTTAGAGCCACTGATCAATTCCAACTTTTTTTTCCTAGACAGTTAAATAAATTGAAGGCTCAGGAACAGGGGAAGAAACATTACAACCAGACTTTCATATTAGGATTCTTGACTCTGTCCCAGTTGTTTCTGCTGTATCTTGCTGCTTCAGATAGCAAAATGCTACATTGAATCGTATGCAACATGCTACAGCAAGAAATAACCAATTCAACTCACTCTTCCTTTTTGTGTATTCCCAAACCCTGAGAGATCCATTTTCATAAAATTTGATTGATCTGTTTAGATTGTCTTTATCGTACTCTAGGATTTGCTTTTTTTTCCTTCTCATTGATAATATTTTAATAGCTACCCCTAGGCTGCAGTGGATTCTTCAGTTTTATATTGCACAATATATATGGCTTTTCAATAATTTATCCTTTAATGCTTATAAAAAGTGCATATGTGTTAAAAATTAACAAAGAATAAATAATACTCTAACAGCAAGACTGTTTAGATATAACTATTCACCAAGGAATAAGACTGTCAAAAACTGTGTTAAATGTCTTGTTTAGAGCAACATTTTAAATAGTTTTGTTTGATAATTTTTTAAAGAAGTGGGTTATGTGTTCTAAAAAAATTCTAAATTAATTCTCCATTGTGACAGCATGCTGCCTAATAAAAAGGATCTTTTAGATTATAACAAGACTGAGGCAGGGAGAGAAGATAGGTAGAAGATCTCTACTTACTACTCAATTTTTCTGTAAGCCAAAACTTCTCTAAAAATAAAGTTTATTAATAATAACTTTAAAAGACCCTGAGGATCAGCACAATATATCTATGGCTTTCAAAAATAATTATTTACTTCATTGAGAAGGAATACTTTAAGATACTCATTAGATTGGCAAAAAGCTTATAGTAGGATAATACCACAAGGCAGTAAACATATTAGTCAGAATGAGCTATGCAATGCTACAGTAATAAGCATCCTCAGAATCTCAGTGATTTAAAACAAGGCTCAGAAAACTTTTTCTGCAAAGGGACAAATAGTAAATATTTCAAACTTATCTCAACTACTCAACTCTTCCTAGACAATATGTAAATAAATAGGCATGTCTGCGGGCTGTGTTTCTATAAAAGTTTATAGAAATATGCAGTGGACCAGATTTGACCAATAAGCCATAGTTTACCAAACCATGATATAAAACATTGATGATTTATTTATGGCTCATACCTAATGTTTATTGCAAGCCAACTAGAGGCTTTATTCTGTCATCATCATTGAGTCCCAATGTGATGAAGTCAGTATATGGATCATTAAAGTTCACTGAGGCAGAGGCAAAGAGAAAACATGGTGAATTCCTCACTAGCTCTTAAGGCTTGGCTCACATTTCATTGCCTAAAACAATTTGTATGTCTATGACTAACTTCAAAAGGGATGGCAGAGGGCAATGCCTCCATGTGTGTAGAAGACAGAGATCTAGAAATAGCTGGTGAACGATAATTACTACAACCGAGAGGATGTGGGGAAATGTGAATTCTGATACCCTGGTGGGGAGAATGTAACTTGAAAAACCACTATGGGGAGTAATTTACCACACTGAGCAAAATTAAATATATCCTACACACCAAAATTTCCACTCTTCATTGAGTGACCTACAGAATCTCTTATATAAGTGTTCTAAAAAATACATACAAAGATGTTCATTACAGCATAGTTTATAATAGAAAAAAATGAACACAACTTCAGTGTCTTTCAATATTAGAAAAAATAAATTATGATATTTTTCATAAAAGGAAATCATACATAGCAGTCCAAATGAACAATATATATATCAATTAAAATGAATTACAGTGTCAAATATATTTAGATAAATTTATTTGGGGTGGAAAAGGAAAGTTGCAAAATAATACATACACAATGATTTTACTTATGTAAATGATTAAAAACTATGTTGTTTGTAGAAAAATAATATAAAGAAATGGGCACATATTAACATAAAGACAATGCTTGTCCCTGAGGAGATGTGGGGATTAATGTATTGTAGTGTTTTATTTCAATTAAAGCATCTGGAGAAGCTATGGCAAAATGTTAGTATCCATTAAATCTGGATGGCAGATAACATAGGTTTCTGTTATGCCCTTCTTATACTTATTTGTATGGTCAACATCTTTTTAAATTAAAAAGATTAAAAAATTGGGTGGGCGTGGTGGCTCATGCCTGTAATCCCAGCACTTTGGGAGGCTGAGGTGGGCAGATCACGAGGACAGGACTTCGAGACCAGCCTGGCCAACATAGTGAAACCTTATCTCTACTAAAAATACAAAAATTAACCGGGTGCAGTAGCACGTGCCTGTAATCCCAGCTATTCGGGAAGCTGAGGCAGGAGAATTGCTTGCACCTAGGAGGCAGAGGTTGCAGTGAGCCGAGACCACACCATTGCACTCCAACTTGGGTGACAGAGTGAGACTCCATCTCAAAAAAAAAAAAAAAAAAAAAAAAAAAAAAGATAAATTACTACAGCTAGAGTGTGGCTGTAAGCAGAGAGAGAAGTGTCATGGTGATAGTAAATGACACAGGAAAATAGGCTGAGCTGAGAACAAGACAATGAATTGGCTTCTGATAGCATAACAGGTGCAAAAAAATGAGCCATGAAAAAGAATAAACCAACATTACTTGCTATACGGTCTGAAAGCAAACTTTTCAGGACTCAGCTTTCTGATTTATGGAGAGTTAATTGTGAATAAAACCCTCAAAATTAAAGTTCAACTTTTCATGCCCATATACTATCTATCTTTCTGTCTGTCTGTCTATCTATTATCTATCTATCTATCTCAAGCAAAAATACGAGGTTGCAGGATATAGTGGAAAGGAGTTTTTGAACTGACCCTGGTTCAGTTATTTACTAGCTCTTTGACGTAAAGCAAATTACTTTAGCTGAATCTGTTTCCTTATCTATAAAATGTGAGGGAAAATCCCTGTCCTGTCTGTTCCTTGGGGCTGTTATAAAGATCAAATGACATAGGTATGGTGGTATTATTTGAATTTCTAAAGTGCTAAACAAATAAATGACAGCCCTAAATGTTGAGAAATATCAGAAGTTATTTAACTTGCTAGTTTTCTCTGTTATATGGGACTGTGTCTTTCTTGTTGCTCTATAGTCTGACTACCTTGTGGAATGAAGCATTGTGCCAGGTGTTTTTAGGACCTGGTTGATTTAGACCCTTCTTTAGATGTTTCTTGTCTCCAATTTTCAGGAGCTTGCAGGACTATCAGAGTTTATATTCTAAAAATAACATCTTTGGCTTTGGTAGATTTTTCTAATGGAGTTCTGGAACTGTCATTCAGTATAAAATGTGTATAGCAAAACATGTTTACTCACAATAAGTAAATATTTTGGAGGACAGGGCTATTTAGATAATCTGGTTAGACCAGATCATTCACCTAAACTACTGTTTTTCTTATTTTGTGTGGTATAAGATGACACATAAAGCAGTTGATAGAGAAAAGATATAAGGATATTTTTAGGGACACTTTTTTTAGATCTTTCCCAAGCTGGTTAGTTTTTCCTTTCAACACAGACCTCACTGTTATTTTGGCATACCCTTGGCTAAGTATCTGAAAAATGATAGCTTTTAAATATATTGCTTTTCATTTCCTGTTCTATGTTTCAGAGGCACAAAATAACTTACATGCTTGAGATACAAACTATTTTTGGTAGACTTTATTTACTTGGTTTGGGCGTTGCTAAGTAAGGGCTGAATTTTTATATGTCCTGGGATAGACTGTTCTGGTCCATCTCCATTATATATGACATTAGCATGACTATACTAATGTCATGCTCTAAAACAGTAAACTCTTAGCCAGCTCTCCCATTACCCCCATGCACATCTCAGCTCTTTCACCACCTAAAAGCCAGAAATTCACACCATCTCTTTTTCAAGGCTACATTAAAGCATCTATGAGTTCCTAATCATCTGTCAACTTTACCTCTTTTCTCATCTCAAACCTTCAATTTCCACTTTTTTTCTAATTATTAACAACAAATATATTTGTGCACATTATTCCTTAGGTTACTGCGGCATCTATACTCATTCATCAATGTGCAGCTCAAATGTCATTTCTGATGTAAAGCCTTTCCCACCAGTAGAACCAGGAGATTTTCTTCTCTTATTCATTCTGACATATAAGTTTGAGTATGTTCTAATTAAATATTTTACATAAAGTTTTCTTGCACCTCACATGTTAGACTGTGGGAACTTTTAGGGTAGGGATTGTCTTATTCTGCTTTGAATCATTGGTACCTTTCACAGTACTCAATATAAGTTATTTGTATTGTAATTCCCTTTATCCATCAAGATCCTTATGAGAAGCAAAAACTTAAAGTTATGACCCAAAAAAGTATTTACTATCAGTCCTGTGAGGAAGAAAATGGAGTTTATATCTCCAAAAACATTTAGGTTGGTTTTAATTTTCAGAGAGAAGAAAGATTTCCTTTCAGAATTTTTGCCAGATCAGTGAAGAGCTAATTCTGTTCTAGGAGAAGGTATTTGCAGGTGTTATCTTTTTTAAAACTAAAGTCCAAAACTTAATCAAGTTTTCTTAGATTTTACCGAATGCCCTTTTTCAGTTTCAGAGTCTCATCAAGGATAGTACACTGCCATTAGTCATCTTGTCTCCTTAGGCTTCTCTTGCCTGTGACAGTCTCAGATATTCCTTGTTTTAGATGACCTTGACAATTTTGAAAAGTGCTGGTCAGGTGTTTTCTAGAATCTCCCTTAATTTGGATTTTTCTTATGTTTTCTACATGAGTTAGACTGGGGTTATGGGTTACTGGGAGGAAGACCACAGAGATAAAGTGCCATTTTCATGACGTCATATCAAGGGTACGCTATCAGCGTGACTCATAACTGTTGGTGTTGATCTTCACCAATTGAGTGAGGAAGTATTTGGCAGTTTTCTCCACTGTAAACTCACTCTTGTATTCCCTCTTTCCATACTATCCTCTTTGGAAGGAAGTCACCTTGGACAGCCTACACTTAAAGAGCGGTGAATCATTCTCCCTTTACTTGAGGGTAGAATATTTGCATAAATGGTTTGAAATTCTTCTACAAAGGAGATTTGTCTTTTTTCTTCCATTTATTTATTCAAATAGTTATTTATATCATTATGAACTCATGGATATTTAATTTACACTTTGCATTCTAATTCAATACTACTTTATTTATTTTCTTCCTCAAATTGTTTCAGTTTTGGCCATTGGCATCTCTTTAAATTGACTCCAATGTGTCTTTGATATGCCCCCTTCACTGCATTTTTTGTTTGTTTTGATTTCTTTTGCTTAGAATGTCCTTACTGTCAAACCCTACAAGATATTCCAGGCTTATCTTGTATATTTCCTAGCCCAGTCCTAAAATGAGCTATTTTCCAAGGAGCCCTGATGCCCTTTATTGGAGAATAGTATGGCACTATCTTTTCAGAAACAGTGGCATGATGATAATAGTGGAAAGCTTATGTGAAACAATTTGTGCTTAGATGAATTCTGATAAGTATATGCCACACAGTGTGACACTGGATAAGAATTGAGATTCTCATACAGCTCACCTGTAACACAAATAGCATAAAGAGATTCCTGCAGGTTCTAAAAGACTTTCTAGTTTCCCATTTTTTCATTCTTACACTAGTCATTTTGAATCCTTCACATTTGCAATGAAGCCACAGACAATTAAACTTTGAGATAAAATATGACAGAAAATGGTACTAACCTTATAAACAGACTACTTAGCAAAACAATCTCCCAAATAATAGTAATTATATGCTTTGCCATTTGCGTGGTGAGTATACTTACGTTGACTAAATAACTCTGTGTCAGTTATGATGCCAATTTTAGTTTTTAGATGTTGTAGCATTGTGCAAATTTTAGCTGAAAGGCAAAAATGATTATCTGAGCAATCTATTGCTCCATCTAGTATTTATAGTGCAATTAAAATGTTCACTGCTGCACTTATCAAAAGTAGCATAAATCTTATAAGACATTAATATATATGCTTTAAATAAATGTTACCGCTAATTATTCTAACATGACCTTTTCTATAAAGGTATCCATTGGGACATAAAACATATGAAGGACAAATGATTCCAAGACATTTTAGGGACACTGCTTTTTTTTCTTTTTTTCTTTTTGTCAAAATTCTCTCTGACTCATAAGGATTTCCTTCCAGCAATGTTATAAAGCAATATGATAATCAACAAATGAAGGTTAAGTACTCTTCCCACTTTCTTATGCTTAAAATAAAATTAGCCAGATGACCTTTTCACAGTTACATGAAATTACTATATTTTTATCTTTAGCCTAAAAGTATACAGCCAAAAGGAAAACAAATACTGTACTCTGTTTAATCAGATGTTGAACCAGTCCCCCAGTGCTATTTATTTTCCATCGTTTCTTTCAGCCTTTGTCATTTCTCATTAGTACAGTTGCAGAGAAATCTCGAGTGCTTTTTTGACCTCACATATGCTTTATTTTCCAATAAGGAAAGCCAATGGACCTTCTGTCTGGAACCTTTAACATATTGTCTGAAGCATTTCCTAAAATAAATATGTCAACCAAGTAGCAAAATAAATTCCAGTAATGTACAGTATCTCATATCCTGCAAAGTCACCGTGCAGACAGTGCTGCCAATCCTTTGCAGGAAGTGGGGTTAGAGTGGAGGAGTGCTTGACTTTCAGGAAACATTCTATGCAAAAGCAATTGGATCAGGGTCACCTACAAGAAAGTATGGTGATCATTTTCTAATACTTATAACCAGGAGTTAGAACATGTGACAATGGATCAGGCCACTAAAAATGATCATATTACTTGATATGGTTTGGCTCTATGTCCCCACCAAAATATCATCTCTAATTTTGTAACAATCCCCACATGTTGTGGGAGGGACCTGGTGGGAGGTAACTGAATCATGGGGTCAGGTTTTTCCCATGCTGTTCTTGTGATAGTGAATAAGTCCCATAAGATCTGATGGTTTTATAAAGGGGGTTCCTCTGCACATGCTCTCTTGCCTTCTGCCATGTAAGATGTGCCATCATCCTCCTTGATTTCTGCCATGATTGTAAGGCCTCCCAGCCATGTGGTACTGTGAATCCATTAAACCTGTTTCCTTTATAAATTTTCCAGTATTGAGTATGTCTTTTGTATTAGTCTATTCTCACACTGCGAATAAAGACATATCCGAGACTGGGTAATTTATAAAGGAAGGAGGTTTAATAGACTCACAGTTCCACAGGGCTGGGGAGGCCTCAGAGTTATGGAAGAAGACAAAGGAAGAGCAAAGGGACATCATACATGGTGGCAGGCAAGACATTGTGTGCAGGGGAACTCCCCTTTATAAAACAATCAGATCTTGTGAGACGTATTCACTATCATGAGAACAGCAGTGGAAAAACCTGCCTCTGTGATTAAGGTACCTCCTACTGGGTCCCTCCCACAACATGTGGGGATTATTGTAATAATCAGATGAGTCAAAGTCTCATCTGAGACAAAGCAAGTCCCTTCCACCTATGAGCGTGGAAAATCAAAAGCAAGTTAGTTACTTCCTAGATACCATAGGGGTACAGGCATTGGGTAAATACAGCCATTCCAAGTGGGAAAAATTGGCCAAAACAAAGGGGCTACAGGCCCCATGAAAGTTTGAAATCCAGTGGGGCAGTCAAATCTTAAATCTCCAAAATGATCTCCTTTGACTCCATGTCTCACATCCAGGTTGAATGGATGCAAGATGTGGGTTCCCATGGTCTTAGGCAGATCCACCCCTGTGGCTTTGCAGGGTACAGCCCCCCTCCTGGCTGCTTTCAAGGCTAGCATTGAGTGTCCGTAGCTTTTTGATGTGCACAGTGCAAGCTGTCAGTGTATCTGTCATTCTAGGGGCTGGAGGATGGTGACTCTCTTCTCACAGCTCCACTAGGCAGTGCCCTAGTGAGGGCTCTGTGTGGGGGCTTGCATCCCACATTTCCCTTCCACACTGCCCTAACAGAGGTTCTCTATGAGGGCACTGCCCCTGCAGCAAAATTCTGCCTGGAAGTCCAGGCATTTCCATACATCCTCTGAAATCTTGGCAGAGATTCTCAAACTTCAATTATTGACTTCTGTGCACCCACAGGCCCAACACCACATGTAAGGTCCCAAGGCTTGGGGCTTGCACCCTCTGAAGCAACAGCCTGAGCTGTACATTGACCCCTTTTAGCCACAGCTGGAGCGGAAATAGCTGGGATAGAGGGCATCATGTTTGGAGGCTGCAAAGAGCAGGGGCCCCCTGGGCTCAGCCCAGGAAACCATTTTTTCCTCCTAGGCCTCCAGGCCATGATGGGAGGAGCTGCAATGAAGACCTCTGACATGCCCTGGACATATTCTTCTCATTGTCTTGGTGATTAGCATTTGGCTTCCTGTTACTTATGCAAATTCCTGCAGCCTGCTCTAGTTTCTACCTAGGTAATGGGTTTTGCTTTTCTAATGCATCATCAGGCTACAAATTTTTCACACTTTTATGCTCTGCCACCTCTTGAATGCTTTGCCACTCAGAAATTTATTCTGCCAGATACCCCAAATCACCTCTCTCAGTTCAAATTTTCACAGATCTTTAGGGCAGGGGTAAAATGCCACCAGTCTCTTTGCATAGAAAGAGTGACCTTTACTCTAGTTCCCAATAATTTCCTTATCTGCATCTGAGAGCACCTTAGCCTGGATTTTATTGCTCCATATCACTATCAGCATTTTGGTCAAAGCCATTCAACAAGTCTCTAGGAAGTTTCAAACTTTCCCACATCTTCCTGTCTTCCGAACCCTCCAAGTCTCTAGGAGTTCCAAACTTTCGCACATTTTCCTATACTCTTCTGAGTCCACCAAACTGTTCTAACCTCTGCCTGTTACCCAGTTCCAAAGTTGCTTCCACATTTTCAGGTATCTGTACAGCAGCACCCCACTCTACTGGTACCAATTTACTGTATTAGTCTCTTCTCGTGCTGCTAATAAAGACATACCTAAGACTGGGTAATTTATAAATGGAAGAGGTTTAATAGACTCACAGTTCCACATGGCCAAGGGACCTCACAATCATGGGGGAAGGTGAGTGAAGAGCAAAGTCACTTCTTACATGGCGGCAGGCAAGAGAGCATGTGTAGGGAAGCTCCCCTTTATAAAACCATCAGATCTCATGAGACTTATTCACTACCACAAGAACAGCACAAAAAAGACCCACCTCCATAATTCAATTACCTCCCACCGGGTTCCTCCCATGACATGTGGCAATTATTGGAGCTGTAATTCAGGAGGAGATTTGGGTGGGGACACAGCCAAACCATATCATCTTTATTAGCTGTGTGAGAACAGATTAATGTAGTAAATTGGTACCAGGTAGTGAGGTGCTGTTTTAAAGATACCTGAAAATATGGAAGCAACTTTGGAACTGGGTAATAGGCCAAGGTTGGAACAGTTTGGAGGGCTCAGAAGAAGACAGGAAAATGTGGGAAGGTTTGGAACTTCCTAGAGACTTGTTGAATGTCTTTGACCAAAATGCTGATAGTGACATGGACAATAAAGTCCAGGCTGTGGTGGTCTCAGATGGAGATGAGGAACTTGTTGGAAACTGGAGCGAACGTGACTTTTTATGCTTTAGTGAAGAGACTGGTGGCATTTTGCCCCTGCCCTAGAAACCTATGGAACTTTGAACTTGAGTGAGATGATTTAGGGTATCTGGAAGAAGAAATTCCTAAGCAGCAAAGCATTCAAGAGGAAGTAGAGCATAAAGTTTGGAAAATTTACAGCCTGATGATGCAATAGAAAAGAAAAACCCATTTTCTTGAGAGAAATTCAAGCCTGCTGCAGAAATTTGTGCAAGTAATAAGGAACTGAATGTTAATCACCAAGACAATGGGGAAAATATTTTCAAAGAATGTCAGAGACATTCATTGCAGCCTCTTCCATCACAGGCCCAGAGGACTATGAGGGAAAAATGGTTTCATGGGCTGGGCTCAGGGCCTCACTGATATATGCAGCCTCTGAACATGGTGCCCTGCATCCCAGCTTCTTCAGCTTTAGCTATGGCTAACAGGGATTAACGTATACCTCAGGCTATTGCTTCAGTAGATGCAAGCCCCAAGCCTTGGCATCTTACATGTGGTGTTGGGCCTGTGGGTACACAGAAGTCAAGAATTGAGGTTTGGGAACCTCCGCCTGGATTTCAGAGGATGTATGGAAATGCCTGGATCTCCAGGCAGAAGTTTCCTGCAGGTGCAGTGCCTTCACGGAGAACCTCTACCAGGGCAGCGTGGAAAGAGGAGTATGGGGTGCAAGCCTCCACACAGAGTTTCCAATTGGGCACTGCCTACAGGAGTTGTGAGAAAAGGGCCACTATCCTCCAGACCCCAGAATGACAGATCCACTGATAACTTGCATCATGCACCTGGAAAAGCTGCAGACACTCAACGCTAGCCTTGAAAGCAGCCAGGAAGGCAGCTGTATCCTGCAAGTCAAAGGGGCAGATCTGCCCAAGCCTGTGGAAAGCCATCTCTTGCATTAGTGTGACCTGGATGTGAGAGATGTAGTTAAAGGAAATCATTCTGGAACTTTAAGTTTTAATGACTGCCCTATTAGATTTTGCACTTGCGTGGGGCCTATAGCCCCTTCCTTTTGGCTAATTTCTCCCATTTGGAACAGCTGTATTTACCCAATGGCTGTACACCCATTGTATCTAAGAGGTAAGTAACTTGCCTTTGATTTTACAGGCTCATAGGCAGAAGGGTCTTGCCTTGTCTCAGATGAGACTTTGGACTGTGGACTTTTGGGGTTAATGCTGAAATGAGTTAAGACTTTGAGGGACTGTTGAGAAGGCATGATTAGTTTTGAAATGTGAGGACATGAGAGTTGGGAGTGGCCAGGGGTGGAATGGTGTGGTTTGGCTCTGTGTCCCCACCTAAATCTCACCTCTAATTGTAATAATCTCCATATCTTGTGGGAGGGACCCAGTGAGAGGTAATTGAATCATGGAGGTGGATTTTTCCCATGCTGTTCTCGTTAAAGTGAATAAGTCTCACAAGATCTGATGGTTTTATAAAGGGGAGTTCCCCTGCACATGCTCTCCTGTCTGCTGCCATGTAAGATGTACCTTTCTCCTCCTTGCCTTCCACAATAATTGTGAGGCCTCCCAAGCCATGTGGAACTGTGAGTCAATTAAACCTCTTTCCTTTATAAATTACCCAGTTCTAGGTATGTGTTTAATAGCAGCATGAGAATAGACTAATACATTACTGGAGCAGAGGCAGGGTGTCAGAGTGTTGAGGATGTAATTTCAGCACAGGGTATGAACGTGTCTGTATAAATGCTATCAATTGTCATGTGTGTGTGTTCATTTTTAGAATGCTAGTAAATTATAGATATTGAAAATCTGGCTTTAGAAATGAGCTCTTGGTAGATCTAAATTTTACCACTTCTTGTATATGATAATTTAAGCCACATTACTATGTTGAGAAAGACTTCACCAGATCACTGTTCTTTTACATAAATGTGTGTGTGTGTGGTGTCTTGAACAAAATGAACAAAATACACAAGATACTCTGTCCATTTATTTTGTACCTAACAACCTTAGTAATTAAATGCAAGTCAACTGCTTTAAGTCAATTATTTAACCCTTTTGCCAATTCTATTAAAGGAATGCTGATTGAGCATATACTGTGTGCTTCAACTTCTCCTGAATTGTGTAGAGATCAGATACAATATGATCTACACATTTGAGAGTCTGCAATTTAGTTAATATTGAATATATATGTCCATAAAAATACCATATGGGATATGACTTCTAAGTTCTTCCATATATGTTTGAAAATATGAAGATTTCACAGTGGAATGACATAGCCATTATGTTATCATACAATAGATAATTTTATAGGAAGGGTGATACCTGATGACAAAAAAAGTTGTTTGTCAATATTAATAGTTTTTACAAGCTTGTGCAGATGGATATTAGCATGGCATTTAGGGGGAAACTAGGTCAAAGTGGGATCATTGGAAAGATAATTATTTAAGCAGTTGGGCCATGGAGAGTTCCTATTTGAAGTTTTAGTCAGTGAAGAGGCACTGCATATATATATATATATATGTGTGTGTGTATATATATATATATATATATATATATATATATATATATATGTTTTTTTTTTTTTTTAGATTGAGTCTCACTCTGTTGCCCAGGCTGGAGTGCAGTGGCACAATCTCAGCTCACTGCAACCAACCTCCACACCCTGGTTTCAAGCGATTCTCCTGCCTCAGCCTCCCCCTGCGTAGCTGAGATTACAGGTGTCCACCACCACGTCTGGCTAATTTTTGTATTTTTAGTAGATATGCGGTTTCACCATGTTGGCCAGGCTAGTTTTGAACCCCTGACCTCAAGTGATCTGCCCGCCTCGGCCTCTGCACCCGGCAGGAGCCGCTGAAATGTTTGAAAGTCAGTAAGTACAGTTTAGTGTTTGCTTCTCAGCCATACAGTCTGGGTAAAAATCCTGACTCGTTCACTAGCTTTGTAACTGCAAATTGTTTAATTTTTCTGAACCTCAGATGTGTCTTTAGAATGAAAATATAATAGTTATTACTTCACCGGACTGTGTGAAAATCAATGGAAGTAACACATATTTATCTCTTACCATGCTGTCTGGGATGGATTAAATGCTCCATAATTGGTAGCTGTTGTTATTATTAATAGCATGAGCCTAGCAGTTAGAAGAAGAATTTCAGAGCAGCGTAACTAAAGGATGCAAAGTTACTTTCAGGCTTAGTGTAGTGATCCAAACTGTATTAATGTACAATAAAATATAAATGTGAAATAGGTTAAGCCTATTGATTATCAAAACCTATTGCAAATGCTTTTTTGTAGGGAGAATAGAGCAAAGCTGTGCTTTCAGTACAACTCATAGGTTATTTTTGGATTTGAATAATTTTTGTATAATGTTCTGGATTACCGTAATGTAAATTGTGTACTGTTTTAGGGGATAAAAGTGCATATTGAATATCAGGTCATAAAAATGTTATTCAGATCTGTCTCATAAAACTATGAAATCTTCAGAGCCAGGGATTTGTACAGCACCGAGGACAAGGCCACTGAGAGGAATGCAAAGATACATGTGGGCAGGGAACTGCCGTAGTGACAATGTTCCCAGACCCCGACATGGTGTCTGACTTAAAGTAAGTACTCCATTAATGTTTCTTTGTGGTAGTGCCTTACTTTTATTTTCTAAAGGAATCCATGCGTATTGTTGAGATAACAAAGTGGTACCAACAGACATAACAACATATAGCAGTCCCTTGTCACAGCCCTCTTCAATCTAAGCCACATACCTCAGAGACTTTTGACTCTTTCTTCTGGTATGTACTTCTAGTTTTTGTAAAGAATAAGCATGTGCTGATATTTCTGGAATTATCAATCATTATTTTTATTTTATTTTATTATTTTTTTATATTTTTAATTTTGGTGGGTACATGGTAGGTGTATATATTTACAGGATACATGAGATGTTCTGATACTACTGGCAAGAATGTGGACAAAAGGGAACCTTTGTACACTGTTGATAGAAATATAAATTATTTTTATTTTTATATAAATTGACAATTTGAAATTTTGTATATATGGGGTACAAAGCAATGTGATGACTTATGAATACAATAGGAAATAAGCCAAGCTAATTAGCATATCCGACACATCACATCTTTTTTTTGTGATGAGAACATTTGAAATGTACTCTCTTAGCTTGAAATGCACAATACACTGTTATGAACTGTATTCACCACATTATGCAATAGATCCTAAAAACCTTAATTCCTTAAGTCTGAGGCTTTGCACCTTTTGACCAATATCTCCCTATTCTCCCCACTCCCCAGCCTCTGTAACCAGCATTATATTCTCTGCTTCTACTGGTTTCATTGTTTTAGATTCTACATATAAATGAGATAATGTAGTAATTGTCTCTCTGTGCCTGGCTTCTTTCATTTAGCATAATGTTCTTGAATTCCATCCATGTTGTCACAAATGACAGAATTTTCTTCACTTGTAAGGCTGAATAGTACTCTATTGTGTATATGTACCACATGTTCTTTATCCATTCTTTTGTTGAAAGACACTTAGGTTGATTTCAATTCTTCACCATTTGAGTAGTGCTGCAATGAATATTCCAGAATGTGCAGACATCTCTTAGACAAATTAATCTTTCTGGCAAATACCCAAACACAGGATTACTAGATCATATGAAAATTATATTATTAAACTTTAAAAACCTCTTCGCTGTTTCTCTAGTGACTGTACTAATTTACATTCTTACCATCCGTTTACAAGGGTTCAGTTATTGGCATAATCTGTACAATTCTTTATGTTACAACCTCCACTCCTCACCTTTATCTTCCCAAAATACTTATGTCAAAATTTTTGGTTAAAGTAGCAGTGAATTATTACATTTTTACCATGTAAATATTACTCACTGCTGAACTATGAAGTGTACAATTATTTTATTCCTTTTCATGTATCATTTTGTGTTGTCTGGTATGGAATATGCCTGATTTTTTTTTACTAGCTTAATTTTCCATGTACCTTTACCTAATTTTCCAAAATCCCAAACATTACCGTAGCATTCTGCTCAAAATTGTATTCAAATTCATGAATAGTTTGTCACTCTATCAGTTCTTCTTTTCTACTTTTTAGGAATTCTTCCTCACAACTCAAGCTCACCATCTCTTGGGCTTCAGTCTGTATTAGTTGCTCCCTAAACCTGCAACCAAACTGTTATTCTGACACTTCCCTTCACCACCACCTGGGACTTCTCTCATCTCACTCTTAGGTTGGATGGCCTCTTGCCTAGATCTCATGTGTTCCTATTGCCTAGTTTATTATCTTGTTAGGGTTAAGCCATATGCTCAGTGGAAGTGGGGAAGGTGAATTTCTAGAGATTTTGCAGCTCTAAAAATCTCTTAATTTATAGGTTGACTGAGCATGAAATTCTACTTCAGAGTCTTTCTCCCCACTTCCAGGTTTCAGTAGTACAGTTGCAAGTTCTGATGATGTTCAGATTTCTGGTTCTTATTACATTTTTTGACCATCTATCCCATCCCTAGAAGGCTTTAAAAATATTTTTCATTATGGCTGTATGGTAGGCTGAATAATGCTCTCTAAAAGTTGCCCACATCCTGATTCCTGAATCATGTAACTGTTATCATATTAAATATATGATAAAAGGGACTTGCAGAGGTGATTTAATTAAGGATATTGAGATGGGGAGATTATTCTAGATTATCTAGGAGGGTCCAATATAATCACAAGGATCCTTATAAGAGGTAATTAGAGGGATTTTTAATTTAGCTTAATTTCTTTTTTATTTTTCATTTTTATAGAGATAGGGTCTTACTATTTTGTCCAGGCTTATCTTGATGATTTTGAACTCCTGGCCTCAAGTGACTCTCCCACCTTGGCCTCCCAAAGTGCTGGGATTCCAGTTTTGAGCTGCCACACCCAGTCAAAGAGATGTGCCTAGAGAAATAGGAGATGTGATTACAGAAGCAAGAAGTTGGAGTTAAGGAAGAAAAGGGTCATGAGGGAAGGAATGTAAACAGCATCCAGAAGCTAGAAAAGCTACGGAAACAAATTTTCTCTGAGAGACTCCAGAAGGTAAAAGTCCTGCCAATATCTTGAACTTAGCCCAGTGTAACCGATTTCAATTGCTTCCCAGCAGAGATATGAGAGAATAATTTTTTTTTGTTTTAAGCCATCAGGTTTGTGACACTTTGTTACAATTAAAGTAGGAAACTAATAGAAGTGGTGATCTAAAATTCCTCAATGTGCCTATCTATAAGCCTTTTGGATTTATTACATTGGCCACTTTCAATCTGAAAAGGCAAGCCCTTCAGTTCTAGGAAATACTCTCAATTATATATGTTTGACAGTTTCCACTCCTCCGTTTTCTTTCACCTCTCTAGACTTATTAGGAAGATATTGTGGCTCACAAATTGATCCTTTAATTTTTTAATCTTTTCTCTCCTGTTACCCAGGCTTATATTTTTACCCTACTTTTTGGCAAAAAATTTGAACTTTATTGTCTTATATTTCGAAGAAATTTTCAATTTATATATATAATATATATTAAATAAAAAATAAATAGTATAATAATAAATTAAATAATATATATTAAATACACACATTGACATACATGCAAATACACACAAGCACACACATTCCTAAGAGTTATTTCTTGTTCTCTGATCACTTTTTATATCATCCTGTTCTAGTTTCATGAATGATTTATACAATATCTTCTACTCTTTCTTCGAGAATAGCATTAATAGGTTGCTTTTTTACCTTTGAAATGTTCTGTTTTGAAGTCCTTTTCTTTGTCTCTTTCATGTGAGATAATTTCATTTCATTTTATACTTAAAATAATTATTAAAACATGAATTGGGAGTTCTGTGGGCATGGGCAAGCTTTGTCGAATGGTGTTTTTCATTCTAGGATGATCGTGTGTGAACTTTGCTCTTTATTTAAAGGGTACCCCCAAGTCAGTATGTATAGTAATCCTGTCCAAGGGAAGGGTGTGTGAGTTGAAGAGTAGAACAGGATATGTGAGGAGCTTAACTCTGCTGTACACAAAATTTCATACAATTCTCCTACTTTCAGCCCTGTTCCTTATACCACCTTCTGCTATAGGTGTTGCCATGAAATCTGAGCTTCTCGGGGTTCTGCAGTCAAATTGACTGACTTCTTGCTGCTGCTCTTTCTTGTCTGCAGATATTTCAATTTCAGCTCCCTGGTCTTTACTAAATCACTAACCACTTTGCTACCAATCTTTAAAATGCAGTGCCATCTTTATCTGTTGTCTCCTTTACCATGTTCTTTGTCTTTGTGGATTTGTACCATTTCCATTTGTGTGTACCATAACTTTAGTGAGATTTCAAGGAGCAGAAACAAACACAAGAGCTCAGTCTGCTATGACTAAATGAATGTTGTACAATGAATATTTGATGAGTAAATGAATAGCATACCAATAAATGGTGACATGATTAAATATTATGAAGCTATACAGCTGATAATTGACTATGGTTCATAATGTCCTTCATGCATATTAAGTTTTTATTTCTTAAACAGTAGAAGACAGTTAATGGTATCAAGGAAACATTACATGTCATTATGTAATTGCAAATTGTTCCTTCAGAGAAAATTTCAGTCCCACACATTTGCTGGTGAAGCAAAGTTAATAAAATATATTTATTACTCTTACTTTTTATTCAAATAGAAACCTTAGAAGGTAGATATTAGTAACCCCATTTTAGAGACAAGTAAACAGAATCCAAGAGTTAGAGCAATCTGTTAAATGTTACATGTGAAGGCAGGGGCAGGCCTAGACATTGAAACCAAGTATTCTTTCTGACTCTTGGCTAATTATTTTTTCCTCTCATTACACCCTGAAGACCCCTCAGAAGAACATATCTGGCTGCAACTACTTTATCTGCATGATTGTTAGCATTCCCCAAAAGAAATAAGAAATGTATTAATAAGCCAGAATAGTGTAAAGATTGGAGACAATTTTATTAATTTGAAGGAAAAGTTTAATGATTTTTCAGTTTTATCTAATACAAATTGGCTGACAATTATAATTTTTATTAAAATAGTAATATATTTGCAATTATGCTTTGCCACACTGCTTCATCTATTCTTATAACAATTAATATTAAAAGACATTTTCCTTCAAAAGGAAGGTATAAATGTTGTACCGCAATTGCCGCATTATTCTGTGATTAAAATGAAATATGTATTCAGGCAAAATCATACAATATTTAGTGGTTCCAATAAGAGCTATTTGGATCAAACTAGTTAGTAATATGCTATTTAAGCATCTTTTCTCTCTATATTTTTCATGGATTTTCTCCTGGTTATTAATATCATTTGAGAACTATTATTTTAATTTCATCATATGATAATATACGGCTTTAAAATAGAAAGTGATGTGGCATGCTCTGAATATTAGGCTTACTTCATTTGCATAATGAGCTGAGTGTCCCAAGGCTGGTAACTATAGTCATTTACTTAGCTTGCTACTCAAAACTTTCTAGACAAATATGATAGAGGTGCAGAAGGGAGAGAAGATTATGATATGAAAGCACAATACGGTACATTCTTTGGGATCTGAGAAATGTTTGTAGTTATTAAAAGATGTCTCCCAGAGTCATGGAACAAAGCAAAAATGTAGTTTTAGCATGTAAGAAAGAGGATGAAATTGAATTAATATCACTATAGCTTAATCAATTTTTTAATTTATAAACTTCTTTATTCCTGCTGTGACTTACTTCAGTCATTGGCTTATTTTATTCACTCATTCATTTAACAAATATTTCTTGAGCATTTGTTACGTGCTAGGCAGCATAATAGGAATTGGGGATATGGTGCTGTAAAATGGACATGGACTCTGTCTTCATGAATATCACATTATAGTAGGAAGACTCATGAGAAACAAGTAAATTATTTAAAAATATAATCTCAGAGGATGTTAAACTCTATGATAGTAATAAATCAGAGTAAGACAATATAGTGTACTACCGGAGGGAGGAGCTATTAGGATGATCTGGGAAGATATATGAGGCAATGAATGACATTTGAGCAGAACTGAATGATGAGAAGTTATCAATCGTGAAAATCTTGGAGAAGAGCTATCCATGAAGGAAGACTGTGTACAAAGGCCCTAAGGTAGGAATGAACTTGTTATGTATGGAGAACAGCAAGAAAGCCATGGTGGCTAGAGTGGAGTGAGTGAGGGGTATAGTAGGAGATGATGTCAGATTAGGGAGTCAGGGGCCAGACTGTGTGGGGACTTGTAGGTCATAGTTAGGGCTTGGAATTTTCTTCTATGGTGTTAGAGGACTTTGAGCAAAGAAATGGATTGCTATGACTGTTTGAAATGGTAATTTTGATATCTGTGTTAAGAGAGGAAAATATAAGTATGGAGATAAGTTAGGTAGCTTCTGTAGTATTTCAAGTAAGAGACGAAGATGGTTCAGACCAGGGTAATAGTGATGCACGTGGTGAGAAAAGGGCAGATTAGTAATAAAGTTGAAGGTAGAACTGACAAAATCTCCTATTATTTGTTTGCTTTAGGGTTTGGGGGCACACAGGAAAGGAGGCAGTATGTGATGATTAAGAACGCAGTAAATAAAACTGATTTATTTTCTATGTTTAATCTAGTTGCTGGGTGAGTATTTGAAAGAAGTGCAGAAAACTTATTTGTACTTTATCAAGTCATTAAATAGGGCTCTCATAATCTTATAGATAAGATAAAGATATGCAATCTGAGTGCTTATACAATTGGCTACTTACTGGAAAATAACTGGAAAGTTACTGGAACATAACTGATAGAAAATACAATGACACCATGGGGCAAGGTTTTTAGTAGCATGATGTAGGACATTGATCTTGGTTTGGTTGTGGTTATTGACGTTATCAATGACTTGAATGAAGATACAGAAATAACATTGCTGGTTTTTATGGGTGACAGGTAAAGCAGGATTACACTAGAAGACAAAATCTATGGTTTTTCTTTTGATTAAGAGTTTTATACTGAATTATGTAGCTACATGTAGCTATGCCGTCCTTTATGCATTCTTGGTCTTCTGTGTTGTGTTTAAAAAGTTCATCAGTAGGCCGGGAGCGGTGGCTCACACCTGTAATCCCAGCACTTTGGGAGGCCGAGGCAGGCGGATCACGAGGTCAGGAGATCAAGACCATCCTGGCTAACATGGTGAAACCCCGTCTCTACTAAAAATACATAAAAATTAGCCAGGCATGGTGGCGGGCGCCTGTAGTCCCAGCTACTTGGGAGGCTGAGGCAGGAGAATGGTATGAACCTGGGAGGTGAGGCTTGCAGTGAGCTGAGATCGCGCCACTGCACTCCAGCCTGGGTGACAGAGCGAGACTCCATCTCAAAAAAAAAATTAAATAAATAAATAAAAATAAATAAAAAGTTCGTATTTTAAAACCACACATTGTTTTCTAGCATTTTATTAGTTGTATGCTAGTATAAGTAGTGAGGTAAGAATTCGTTTTATTTGCTTCTTAAATTATTAGTCACTTCTACCAACACCACTTAGTAAGAAATTCCTTTCCCTCTCTGATTTAAAATGCCACTTTCAACATAATCTAAATTCCTATATATATAGTGAATCAAGTTACATATATGTCTCAATGATTTATGCTGCACTATTGCTCTGCCTATTCTTGTGTGTGCACTCATTATTTTAAATTTTTATTTGTATATCACAATTTTATTTTTTTCTATTTTTAATTTTTATTTTTTATTTCAGTAGGTTTTTGGGGAACAGGCGGTGTTTGGTTACATGAACAAATTCTTTACTGGTGATTCCTGAGATTTTGGTGCACCCATCACTCTAGCAGTATACACTCTACCCAATGTTTAGTCTTATCCCTCATCCCGCTCCCACCCTTTCCCCTGAGTCCCCCAAGTCCACTGTATCATTCTTATGCCTTTGCATCCTCATAGCTTAGCTCCCACATATAAGAGAGAACATACAATGTTTTTTTTTTATCCAATTCCTGAGTTACTTTACTTAGAATAATAGCCTCCAATTCCATCCAGGAATGCTGTGAAAGCTATTACATTGTTCCTTTTTATGGCTGAGTAGCATTCGATGGTATATACATATACCACACATTCTTTATCTACTTGTTGATTGATGGGAATTTGGGCTGGTTCCATATTTTTGCAATTGTGAATTCTGCTGCTATAAACATGCATGTGCAAGTATATTTTTTGTATACTGGCTTCTTTTCCTCTGGATAAATACCCAGTAGTGGGATTGCTGGATCAAATGGTAGATCTACTTTTAGTTATTTAACGAATCTCCACACTGTTTTCCATAGTGGTTGTATTACCAGCAGTGTAAAAGTGTTCTTTTTTTTTTTTTTTTTCTCCACAACCACACCAACATCTATTATTTTTTGATCTTTTGATTAGGGCTATTCTTGCAGGAATAAGGTGGTATCACATTGTGGTTTTGATTTGCATTTCCCTGATAATTAGTGATGTTGAACATTTTTTATACACTTGTTTGCCATTTTTTAAATCTTGTTTTGAGAATTGTCTATTCTTGTCCTTTGCTCACTTTTTGATGAGATTGTTTTTTTCTTGCTGATTTGTTTGGGTTCCTTGTAGATTCTGAATATTAGTACTTTGTCAGACGCATAGTTTGCAAAGATTTTCTCCCACTCTGTGGGTTGTCTGTTAACTCTGCTGATTATATCTTTTACTGTGCAGAAGCTTTTTAGTTTAATTAAGTCTCATCTATTTATCTTTGTTTTTGTTGCATTTGCTTTTGGGTCCTTGGTCATGAAGTCTTTGGCTAAGCCAATGTCTAGTAGGGTTTTTCCAATGTTATCTTCTAGAATTTTTTGGTTTCAGGTGTTAGATTTAAGTCTTTGATCCATCTTGAGTTGGTTTTTTGATAAGGTGAGAGATGAGGATCCAGTTTCATTCTTCTGAATATGGCTTGCCAATTATCCCGGCACCATTTGTTGAATAGGGTGTCCTTTCCTCCACTTTATGTTTTTGTTTGCTTTGTGGAAGATGAGTTGGCTGTAAGTATTTGGCTTTATTTCTTAGTTCTCTATGCTGTTCCATTGGTCTATGTGCCTGTTTTTATATCAGTACCATGCTATTTTGGTGACTATAGACTTATAGCATAGTTTGAAGTCAGGTAATGTGATGCCTCCAGATTTGTTCTTTTTCTTAGTTTTGCTTTGGCTATGTAGGCTCTTTTTCGGATCCATATGAATTCTAGGATTGTCTGTTTCTAGTTCTGTGAAGAATAATTGTGGTATTTTTATGGGAATTACATGGAATTTGTAGATTGCTTTTGGCAGTATAGTCATTTTCACAGTATTGATTCTATCCACCCATGAGCATGGGATGTGTTTTCATTTGGTTGTATATTCTATGATTTTGTCAGCAGAGGTTTGTAGTTTTCTTTGTAGACATCTTTCACCTCCTTGATTAGGTATATTCCTAAGTTTGTTTGTTTGTTTATTTAGCAACTATTGTAAAAGGAGTTGTGTTCCTTATTTTTTTCTCAGGTTGGTTGCTGTTGTTGTATAACAGTGCTACTGATTTTTGTACGTTAATTTTGTATCCTGAAACTTTACTGAATTCATTTATCAGTTCTATGAGCTTTTTGGATGAGTCTTTAGGGTTTTCTAGGTATAAGACCTTGTAATCAGTGAACAGCAACAGTTTGACTTCCGCTTTACCTCATGTGGATGTATTTTATTTTGTTCCTTTGTCTGATTGCTCTGGCTAGAACTTCCAGTACTACACTGAATAGAAGTGGTGAAAGTGGGCATCCTTGTCTTGTTTCAGTTCTCAGGGGAAATGCTTTCAACTTTTCTATTCAATATAATGTTGACTGTGGGGTTGTCATAGTCGGCTTTTACTACCTTAAGGTATATCCATTTTATGCCTATTTTGCTGAGGGTTTTAATTATAAATCAATGCTGGATTTTGTCAAAAGCTTTTTCTGCATCTATTGAGATAATTATGTGATTTTTGTTTTTCATTCTCTTTATGTGGTGTATTACATTTATTGACTGGCATATGTTAAATGATCCCTGCATCCCTGGTATGAAACCCACTTGATCATGGTGGATTATCTTTTTGATATGCTGTTGGATTTGGTTAGCTAGTATTTTATTGAGGATTTTTGCATCTATGTTCATGAGGGATATTGGTCTGTAGTTTTGTTTGTTATGTCCTTTGCTGGTTTTGGTGTTAGGGTGGTACTGGCTTCATAGAATAATTTAGGAAGGATTCCCTTTTTCTCTATCTTGTGGGAAAGTGTCAATAGGATTGGTACCAATACGTCCTTGAATATCTGACAATTCAGATGTGAATCCCTCTGGTCCTGGTTTGTTGGCAAATTTTTATTGCAATTTCAGTGTTGCTGCTTCTTATTGGTCTACTCAAAGTTTCTATTTCTTCCTGGATTACTCTAGAACTAGAGTTTTATCTTTCCAGGAATTTATCAATCTCCTCTAAGTTTTCTGGTTTGTGTGCATAAAGGTGTTCATAGTAGCCTTGAATGATCTTTGTATTTCTATGGTATCAGTTGTAGTATCTATCTCCCATTTTGTTTTTAATTGAGCTTATTTTGATCTCTCTTCTTTTCTTGGTTAATCTCACTAATGATCTATCAATTTTGTTTATCGTTTCCAAGAACCAGCAATTTTTCCTTTATCTTTTTTACTATTATTTTTTGTTTGTTTCAATTTCATTTAATCCTGCCCTGATCTTTGTTATTTCTTTTCTTCTGTTGGGTTTGGGTTTGATTTGTTCTTGTTTCTCTAGTTCCTCGAGGTGTGACTATAGATTTTCCATTTGTGTTCTTTTAGACTTTTTGATGTAGGCATTCGATGCTATGAACTTTCCTCTTAGCACTCCTTTTGCTGTATCCTAGAGGTTTTGATAGGTTCTGTCACTATTATTGTTCAGTTCAAAGCATTTTTTCAATTCTATGTTGATTTCATTGCTGACCCCATGATCATTCAGGAGCAAGTTATTTAATTTTCATGTATTTGCCTGGTTTTGAGATTTCCTTTTGGAGTTTATTTCCAATTTTATTCCACTGCAGTCTGAGATAGTACTTGATATAATTTCAATTTTTTAAAATTTATTTAGACTTGTTTTGTGGCCTATCATATGGTCTATCTTGGAGAATGAGCCATGTGCTTATGATTAGAATGTATATTCTGCAGTTGTATAGAATGTTCTGTAAATATCTGTTAAATCAATTTGTTCTAGAGTATAGTTTAAGTCCATTGTTTGTTTACTTTCTGCCTTGATGATCTATCTTTCTGCCTTGATGATCTGTCTAGTGCTATCAATGGAATATTGAAGTTTCCCACTATTATTGTGTTGCTGTCGATTAGAAATTGTTCTATAAATTTGGGAGTTCCAGTGTGTTAGGTGCATATTTATTTAGGATTGTGATATTTTCCTGTTGGACTAGTCCTTTTATCATTATATAATGTCTCTCTTTGTCATTTTCAACTGTTGTTGCTTTAATGTCTGTTTTGTTTGATATAAGAGTAGCTACTCTTTCTTGATTTTGGTGTCCATTTGCATGGAATACTTTTTTCTGCCCCTTTATCTTAAGTTTATGTGAGCCCTTATGTGTTCGGCAAGTCTCCGCTGAAGACAGCGGATACTTGATTGAGGAATTCTTATCCATTCCGTCACTCTGTATCTTTCAAGTTGAGCATTTAGACCATTTACAGTCAATGTTAGTATTGAGAATTAAGGTACTATTATATGAATTGTGCTAGTTGTTTCCTGAATACCTTTTTTTTTAAATTATGTCATGTTTTTATAGGTCCTGTGAGATTTATACTTTAAGGAGGTTTTATTTTGGTGTATTTTGAGAATTTGTTTCAAGATTTAGAGCTCCTTTTAACAGTTCTTGTAGTGCTGGCTAGGTAGTGGTGAATTCTCTTTTTCTTTTCTTTTCTTTTTTTTTTTTTTTTTTTTGACAGAGTTTCACTCTTCTTGTCCAGGCTGGAATACAATGGCATGATCTCAGCTCACTGCAACCTCTGCCTCCCGGATTCAGGTGATTCTCCTGCCTCACCCTCCTGAGTAGCTGGGGTTACAGGCATGTGGCACCATGCCTGGCTAATTTTTTTGTATTTTTAGTAGAGACAGGTTTCACCATGTTGGTCAGGCTGGTCTCGAACTCCTGATCTCAGGTGGTCCACCCACCACTGCCTCCCAAAGTGCTGGAATTACAGGCATAAGCCACTGCGACCGGCCCATGACTGTATCTTTCCTTCATTTATGAAGCTTAGTTTATTCTGGATATAAAATTCTTTGCTGATCATTGTTTTGTTTAAGGAGGCTAAAGATAGGACCACAATAAACACTAGCTTATAATGTTTCTGCTTAGAAATCTGCTATTAATCTTCTAGGTTTTCCTTTATAGTTTACCTGATACTTTTGCCTCACAGCTCTTAAGATTCTTTCTTCATCTTGACTTTAGATAACCTGATGACTATGTGCCTAAGCAATGATCTTTTTGTGATGAATTTCCCAGGTATTCTTTGAGCTTCTTGTATTTGGATGTCTAGATCTCTAGAAAGGCCAGGGAAGTATTTCTCAATTATTCCCTCAAATATGCTTTCCAAACTTTTAGATTTCTTTTCTTCCTTGGGAACACCAATTATGCTTGGGTTTGGTCATTTAACATAATCCCAAACTTCTTGGAGGCTTTGTTCATTTTTTTAAATTCTTTTTTCTTTGTCTTTGGCATATTGGGTTACTTTGAAAGCCTTGTCTTTGAGCTCTCAAGTTATTTCTTCTATTTGTACAATTCTATTGCGGAGATTTTCCAGTATATTTTGCATTTCTCTAAGTGTGTCCTTCATTTCCAGAATTTGTGATTGTTTTTTATTTATGGTATCTATTCTTCTGGAGATTTTTCGGTCCATATCCTCTATCTTTTAAATTTCTTTAAGTTGGTATTCACCTTTCTCTTGTGCCTCTTTGAGTAACTTAATAATCCACCTTCTGAATTATGATTATTATTTTTTTTGGCAATTCAGAGACTTCTTCTTGGTTTGGATCCATTGCTTGTGAACTTGTGTGATCTTTCAGTTGTGTAAAATAACCTTCTTTTGTCATATTAACATAATTGTTTTTCCGGTTCCTTCTCATTTGGGTAGACTATGTCAAAGGGAAGATCTAGGACTCAAGGGCTGTTGTTCAGATTCTTTTGTCCCACAGGGTGCCCTCTTGATGTGGTACTCTCCCCATCCCCCTAGGGATGTAGCTGTCTGAGAGCTGAACTGCAGTGATTATTTATCTTGTGGGTCTAGCCTCCCAGTGAAGCTACAGGGCTCTGGGCTGGTACTGGGGAGTATCTGCAAAGAGTCCTATGATATGATCCATCTTCAGGTCTCTAAGCATGGATACCAGCACCTGCTCTGGTGGAGGTAGCAGGGAGTACAGTGGACTCTGTGAGGGCCTTTGGGTGTAGTTTTGTTTAGTGTGCTAGTTTTGTGTTGGTTGGTCTCCAGCCAGGAGGTGGTACTTTCAAGAAAGCACCAGCTGTGGTAGCATAGGGAGGATATAAGCTTGCCCTAGGGTCTCCTGGATAAGTATTTGGGTTTCTCAGACAGTGGGCAAGGCTGTAGAGCTCCCAAGAGATTATGTTCTTTATGTTTGGTTACCAGGGTGGGTAGAGAAAGACCATCACGTGGAGGCAGGTTTCCGTATGTCTGTTCTCAGGCTCTTTTTGGGTGGGGCTTGCTGCGGCTGCTGTAGGGGAGGGGTTGTGTTTCTCAGGAGTTATGTTCTGAGGGGGATTATGGATGCTTCTGCTGCATCATACAGGTCACAAGGGAAGTGGGATAAAGCCAGCAGTGACAGGCCTCACCCAGCTCCCACACAGCCTGAATAGCTGGTCTCACTGCCACTGTGCTCGCTCCTCCAACAGCACCAAGTTTATTTCCAGGCAGCTGCTAAGCAGGGCTGAGAATTTGCCCTGGTCTACAAGCCTCCCTGCTGAGAAGCAAGCGTGGCTTTCAGGTTTCATGCCTCCCTTTTTGCCGTGGTTTCTGTACTCATATCTGTACCCTCTATTCACCCTCTACTCAGGATTCTGTCTAGGAAACTTTGTGTTCAGTCAAAACTGTTACAAAGTTGAGCTGCAAGTTTCTTTCTCCCTCTGGTCTTCCTCCAATTCCACTGGCAGGCCTCCCCAGGGACCCCTATGAGACAAGTCAGGAATGGCTTCCCTGGGGACGGAGAGTGTCCACAGAGCTCTTTCCACTGCTTCCTCTACCCTTATATTTCGCTCAGGTCTCTAAATTCATCTCAGCTCCAGGTAAGGTCCAATCCTTCTCCCATGATCTAAACCTTCAGGCTTTGCAGTGAAGATGTGTGTTCGAGATAGACTTTCCCCTTTCAAACTTGGGCATTCGTGGTTTTTTGGCTGTCTCATGGAGCCTGCAGTGGGAAGCCACTTCCTCGAAAGGATCTGTGGATTCTCTCGGCTTTCCTGATATGTTCCTGCAGTAGTTCTTGGAACAATAGTTTACGATGTGAGTCTATACAGCCCATAAGGAGACTTAAACATTCTAAGGAATTTGACAGTTTGGAATCATTGACAGATTAGAAGCCAGAGAGTGACACAATCAGACCTCTGTGTAGAAAGATTATTCCTGGTTGAGTTGGGCAGATTACAAGGTCAAGAGATCGAGACCATCCTGGCCAACATGGTGAAACCCTGTCTCTACTAAAAATACAAAAATTAGCTGGGCATGGTGGCATGTGCCTGCAGTCTCAGCTACTTGGGAGGCTGAGGCAGGAGAATTACTTGAACCCAGGAGGTGGAGGTTGCAGTGAGCTGAGATCGCGCCACTGCACTCTGGCCTGGCAACAGTGCGAGACTCCTTCTCAAAAAAAAAAAAAAAAAAAAAAAAAAGAAAGAAAAAGATTATTCTTGTGGCAAAGTAAAGGATTGAGATTGGCTGAATATAATGAAAAAATTGCAGAATAAAAGTTCTGTCAGTGTGTGTGCATGCGTGTGTGTTCCATTTTAAAAAATTCTTATTAGGAAACAAATATTTCATGTATATAATCATTAAGTGACTTTGGACATTTTGATTTCTGTCTTTGCCCATAGAATTATAATTATCTCTTCAGAAGATAGTGCTTTTTTGACATTAGAAAGACTTTTTAAAAATGTGAGCTAACTTGATGACCCGTAAAAGTAAGAACAAGATCGTGTCCTTTGCAGGGACATGGCTGGAGTTGGAGGCCATTATCCTTAGCAAACTAACACAGGAACAGAAAACCAAATACCTCATGTTTTCACTTATACATGGGGGCTAAATGATGAGGACGCATGGACACATAGAGGGAAACAACATACACTGGGGCCTATTGGAGGGTCGGAGGAAGGAGATGATCAGAAAAGTAACTAACGAGTCCTAGGCTTAATACCTGGGTGACAAAATAATGTGTACAACAAACCCCTAAGACACAAGTTTACCTATATAACAAACCTGCACATGTACCCATGAACTTGAAATAAAAGTTAAAAAAAAGTAGGTTCTTTGGCAAAGTAGAATATACTCTCTCTCTCTTTTTTTTTTTTTTTTTTTTGGTTCAGAATTGCCTTTTGCTCAATGTGTCAGGAAAATCCTTCTGGGATTTTCATAGCATGGTGGGCTATCACCTCAATAGTGCTCTGAAGGAAACCTGCTAGAACAGAAAATTTGAAATGCCTTTCAAAAGGGGATGGCTTTTCATAACTAAATGTGACATCACAAACTGGTTTTTTATCTTCATATTCCCAAGGTAGCAATGTCAAAAATATTTTTTTTTCAAAGTCTCTATCTGGAAAGCAAGAACACAATTATCAGGTAGGATAGGAGCTGTAAATTACATATTGAAAATCTCTCAGAACATGAGTTTTATTTCAGAGGAAATTTATAATATCTGGCTTTATTGACATTTCAACAATGCGTATTTTAGTTTCATGGCTACAGTATTTAACTAAGATATTTTATTCTAATACCTCAGAAAACAGCATTAACACTTTAGTTTTAAAAATAAGATTTTTTTAATGAACAAATAATAATGGTATATACTTATGAGATATAATATGACATTTTTATCTATGTATACATTGAAGAAAGAGTCAACCAAGCTAATAATGTGTCCATTATCACGCTAACTGATCTCTTTTTGTGATGAAAATATTTAAAATATGTTATTCTAGCAACTTTGAAATATACATTTTTATTAACCATGGTCTCTCCCACTGAGTGTGAGCTAAACTTATTGACTCACTCCTAACAAAATATAGCAGAAGTTATGGTATGTTACTTCTGAGGCTAAGTTATTAAAATATTGTGACTTCTGACTTAGTTGATTTATCTCCATGCAGTGCAATATATTTACCTTACTCCTCCAGTCAAACTGAGAGTTTGTACTCTTGATTAACAGCTTCTCTTTCCTCAGCCCTCTCCATTCCCCACTCCTCAGCAACTGGTAATCACTTTTCTAGACTCTGTTTCAATTAGATCAGCATTTTTAGGTTCTGCATATGAGATCATTGATATGGTTTGGCTCTGTGTTCCCACCCAAATCTCATCTCAAATTGTAATCCCCACATGTTGAGGGAGGGACCTGGTGGGAGGTGATTGGATCATGGGGACAGTTTCCCCCATGCTGTTCTCCTGATAGTGAGTGATTTCTCATGAGGTATGATGGTTTAAAAGTGTGGTACTTCCCTCCTCTTGCTCTCCTGCTGCCATGTAAGATGTGTCTTGCTTCCCCTTAGCCTTCTGACATGATTGTAATTTTCCTGAACACCCCCCCGCCCCCCGCAGTGCCATGCAGAAATATACTTCAATTAAATGTCTTTCCTTTACAAATTACCCAGTATCAGGTAGTTCTTTATAGCAGTGTGAAAACAGACTAATAATTGGTACTGGAGTTTGGGGCACTGCTCTAAAGACACCTGAAAATATGGAGGCAACTTTGGAACTGGGTAATGGGCAGAGGTCGGAACAGTTTGGAGGGTTCAGAAGAACACAGGGAGATGTGGGAAAGTTTGGAACTTCCCAGAGACGTATCGGATGGTTTTGACCAAAATGATAATAGTGAAATGGACAATGACATCCAGGCTGAGGTGGTCTCAGATGGAGATGAGGAAGTTATTGGGCACTGCGGTAAAGGTCACACTTGCTATGTTTTAGCAAAGAGACTGGCAGCATTTTGCCTCAGCCTTGAATATCTGTGGAACTTTGAACTTGAGAGAGATGATTTAGGGTATCTGGCAGAAGAAATTTCTTTTTCTTTTTTAATTTTAAGTTCTGGAATACATGCGTAGGACGTGCAGGTTTGTTACATAGGTATATATGTACCATAGTGGTTTGCTGCAACTATCAACCCGTCATCTAGGTTTTAAGCCCCACATGCCTTAGGTATTTGTCCTATTGCTGTCCCTCCCCTTGCCCCCTACCCCCCGACAGGCCCCAGTGTGTGATGTCCCCCTCCCTGTGTCCATGTGTTCTCATTGTTTTACTCCCACTTACGAGTGGGAACGTGCAGTGTTTGGTTTTCTGTTCCTGTGTTAGTTTGCTAAGAATGATGGCTTCCAGCTTCATCCATGTCCCTGCAAAGGACATGAACTCATTCTTTTTTATGGCTGCATAGTATTCCATGGTGTATATGTGCCACAGTTTCTTTATCCAGTCTATCACTGATGGACATTTTGGTTGGTTCCAAGTCTTTTCTATTGTAAATAGTGCTTCAATAAACATACATGTGCATATGTCTTTATAGTAGAATGATTTATAATCTTTTGGGTATATACCCAGCAATGGGATTGCCGGGTCAAATGGTATTTCTTGTTCTAGATACTTGAGGAATTGCTACACTGTCTTCCAAAATGGTTGAACTAATTTACACTCCCACCAACAGTGTAAAAGCGTTCCTATTCTCCTCAGCCTCGGCAGCATCTGTTGTTTCCTGACTTCTTAATAATTGCCATTCTAACTGGAGTGAGATGGTATCTCACTGTGGTTTTAATTTGCATTTCTGTAATGACCAGTGATAATGAGGTTTTTTTTCATATGTTTGTTGGCTGCATAAATGTCTTCTTTTGAGAAGTTTCTGTTCATATCCTTTGCCCACTTTTGGATGGAGTTTTTTGTTTTTTTTTTCTTGTAAACTTGTTTAAAAGTTCCTTGTAGATTCTGGATATTAGACCTTTGTCAAACGGGTAGATTGCAAAAAAAATTCTCCCATTCTGCAGGTTGCCTTTTCACTCTGATGATAGTTTCTTTTGCTGTGTGGAAGCTCTCTAGTTTAATTAGAGCCTTGTCAATTTTGGCTTTTGTTGCCATTGCTTTTGGTGTTTTGGTCATGAAGTCTTTTCCCATGCCTATGTTCTGAATGGTATTGTCTAGGTTTTATTCTAGGGTTTTTATGGTTTGGGGTTTTACATTTAAGTCTTTAATCCATCTTGAGTTAATTTTTGTATAAGGTGTAAGGAAGGGGTCCAGTTTCAGTTTTCTGCATATGGCTAGCCAGGTTTCCCAGCACCATTTATTAAATAGGTAAGCAGCAAAGTGTTTAAGATTTCACCTGGCTTTCTCTGAATGTATACAGTCATATGAATTCACAAAGAGATGGTGTGAAACTGAGACTTATGTTTAAAAGGGGAGCAGAGCATAAAAGTTGGGAAAATTTGCAGCCTGACCATGTGGTAGAAAAGAAAATACCATTTTTCTGGGGAGAAATTCAAGCCAGCTGAAGAAATTTGCATGAATCAAGAGAAGCCGAATGTTAATAGCCAAGACAATGGGGAAAGTGTCTCCCAGGCATTTCAGAGGTCTTCACAGCAGCCCCTCCCATCACAAGCCCAGAGGCCTAGGTGGAAAAAATGTTTTCCTCAGCTGGGTGCCTCACTGCTCTGTGCAGTCTTGGGACATGGTGCTCTGTGTCCCAGTCACTCCAGCTACAGCCATGGCTTATAGGGGGCTAAGGTACAGCTCAGGCCTTTGCTTCAGATGCAAGCCCCAAGCCTTGGTGGGGGGTTGTATCTTGGAAGTAGCTAACTTGTTTTTTATTTTACAGGCTCATAGGCAGCAGCAAGGACTTCCCTTGTCTCAGATGAGAATTTGGACTTGTACTTTCGAGTTAATGAATAAGTTAAGACTTTAAGGGACTGCTGAGAAGGCATGATCAGTTTGAAATGTGCGAAGGACATGAGATTTGGGAGAGGTCAGGGGCAGAATAATATGGTTTGGTTCTGTGTACCCACCCAAATCTCTTGAATTGTAATCCCCAAGTGTTGGGGGAGGGGCCTGGTGTGAGGTGATTGGATCACTGGAGCAGTTTCCCCCATGGTATCCTCGTGAGAGTAAGTTCTCATGAGATCTGATGGTTTAAAAGTGTGACACATTCTCCATCTCACTCTCTGTCTCCTGCCACCACATAAGACATGCCTTGCTTCCCCTTAGCCTTCTGATGTAATTGCAGGTTTCCTGAGGCCTCCCCAGCCATGTAGAACTGTGAGTCAATTAAACCTCTTTAGTTTATAAATTACCCAGTCTCAGGTAGTTCTATATAGCAGTATGGAAATGGACTAATACAATTGTATACTGTGCCTGGCTTATTTCACTTAGCATAATGTCCTCCAGTTTCATCCATGTCATTGTAAATGACAAACTTTTTCTCTATTATTAATCCTGGATAGTACTCCATTGTATAAATATACCACATGTTCTTTATCCATTCATCCATTGATGGACAATTAGGTTGATTCCATAACTTGGCTATTGTGAAAAATGCTGAAATAAACATGACATAAACATGAAATAAAAATGCACACATCTCTTCAGCATATTGACTTTAATACCTTTGGATATATACCCTGAAGTGGGATTGCTCCATGATATGGTAATTCTATTTTGAATTTTTTGAGGAATGCCCATACCATTTTCCAAAGTGTCTGCGCTATTTTACATTCCCACTAACAGTGTGCAAGGGTTCCCTTTTCTCCACATCCTCACAAACACTTGTTATTACTTGTGCTTTTTATCATAGCCATTCTAACAGTTGTGAGGTGATATCTCATGGTTTTAATTTTCATTTCTCTGATGACTAGAGATGTTGAGCATTTTTTCATATATCTGTTGATCATGTCTATCTCTTCTTTTGAGAAACGTCTGCTCAGATAGTTTGCCAATTTTCTAATTGGTTTTTGTTTTCTTGCCGTTGCGCTGAGTTCCTTATGTATTTTAGATATTACCTCTTTCTCAGATGTGTAATCTGCATATATTTTCTCCCAGTCCATGAGTTTTCTCTTCACTTTGTTAATTGCTTACTTTGTTGTATAGAGCTTTTTGGTTTGATACAATTCCCTTTGTCTATTTTTGCTTTTCTTTCCTGTGCTTTTGGGGTCTTATCCAAAACATACTTGCTCAGTCCAATGTCATAAAGAATTTTCCCTGGTTTCTTCTAGTGGCTTTACAGTTTCAAGTGGTACATAAATTTTTAAAAAAATTTTGTAAAGATTTTGTTTTAAAAATTACTAATATACAGCCTCCAAGATATATCTCCAATGACCCCATCCTCCTAGCATTAATTTTCATGTGTTATAATCTCCTGTTGTGTGTGGGCTGGACTTATTGTTTCACTTCTAACAAATAAAATATGGTATACATTATGGTATATCGCTTCTGAGATTAAGTTATTTAAATACTATGACTTCTGACTTAGTTGATTTATCTCATTGTCTTGGATCAGTCACCCTCAGGGAAGCCAGTTGCCCTGTTGTGATTTAGCCCTGCAGAAAGGTTTATAGTTTCAAACAATTAAGTACTGCCAACAATCACATGAGTGAGCTTACAAATATCTTAGGCTCTTTCCCTGATCAAACATTCAGCTAAGACTCCCAATCCCAGCTAACAGCTTGACTGCAACCCCATGGAATAGTTGAATCATAAGCACCCAGTTGTTGCCAGATTTTTGGGCCACAGAAACTTTAAGATGTTTGTTTACTCAACCTGTTAAATTTTGGAATAATTTGTTACATAGCAGTAGACAACTAAAACATTGATCTTAAGGTGGTTGTCAATTATTTTACTTTCATTTTCTTAAACTGCCATTTTCTCTCCATCACATATAGAGAGAGTGGGACACACTGGTTCATACTTAAATTTGATTGTGAAAGATATTAAATAAGATTTAGAAAATCTTTCTTACAACATTGTAATAAACAATAAATAAAATCACATTTTAATAAGAAAATAACAGTAAAATAACATTGACAGAAACTCAAAAATATCTTGTTCTCTACCGTATTTCTATGACAAAGGCAAGTCTATTCATGAATCATATTCTTGGCCTCTCCTTGTCTCATGTGAAAGGGAATGTTAGTGCTCACTGATAACCATCTTCACTTTTACATTTTTAAGTCTCCTTTGCAATTAGATTGGCCATGTGCCTGGTTCTGGCCATTAGAATGTGAGTGGAAGTTATAAATGTCACATACAGGCCAAAGTTGATGGGACTGGTGTGGCTCGTCCGCATACTGCTGCAACCTCCCACTGGCTATATGATGCCAGGGAAACCGCAAGCCCCAGGATAGAAGCAGCTTGAGCTCCTACGTAACTGCTTATCAGAAAACTTTCTAGCTTGCAATTAACTGGTCTGAGAGCAGATCATATTTGTTAGCAACATTGCCTCTCCTATCTTGACTAATCCACCCCTGTCCCATCCTTCACTCCAATCTCTTAAGTATAAAGGATCTTTTGTTATTCTAGCAAATAAATTGTCTTAGCATTTGTTGCAACTGATAGGGGCAATGTGCTTGAGCTATTAAATTGTGGCCGGTAAAGAAAACCTAGAATTACCTGGAGTTATTTTCTTAAGAGTGGAAGGTCTAAAATAGGAAAGAAGGCAGAGAAGACACAAAGGAGAAAAACAGATGTAGATTGCTTGGTTGGTTGCTTGGTTTTGGTTTAGTTAGGATTATTTGCTTTTCTTGTGCAAAACAAAAGGAGAATAGTGAACATTAAACATTGATTAGTGATACTCAGGACAGTTGTGTGAAGATTTTTAGAACATAGTTCTGAATGGTATGCAACATAATTCCCTATCACTTCTTTTAGGGCTTCAGTTAATATTCTCTTTGTTTTCCGGTATTCCTTTAGATAGCAAAGTAATATAGCTTTTGAATTAGAAAATAATTTGGTTACACTATTACTGTTTTATTGATGACCCACTGTGATTCAAAGATAATGCTAGGAGTTGCATAATCAAAACTAAACAAGACAGATGTAGTTTTTGAAACAGACATGCCCTCATCCTCTAGAAGTTTATAGTCTAGAGGAAGACAAAAATTAAATAATTACAGTAAAGTGTGATAAGTGCTATGATAAGTGAAAAAGATACTAAGGAAACATAAAGGTTGGGCTGGCAGGCAGGACTTCTAAGGGGAAATGACAGGTAAGCTGGAACCAGATATGTATGTAGGAGCTTTCCAGGCAAAGCGTGAAGGGAGTAGGGTAGACAGCTCAGGGGAAATGTTTGTGCCTGGTGCACAGGAGCTCTTCATGGAACAATTATTTTAATTTCTTCCTGCAGACTATCCATAGGGCTCAATCTAGAGTCCATGGATCCAGGATAAGACATAAATGCAGATTTTTATGCTATCCTTTTTGGGAACTTGTCCCTCTTCAAAATTTCCAGGCAAATATATCTTCAGAAAGCCCTCTTGAGTGTATATAATTCAACTGACTCATTCAAAGAGACACCAAATAGTACCTACCCTACCACCTCCTGAGACATTTTTAAATTCCCATAGTGGGCTAAATGTAGCTTCAAACTGGTACTATCCCACACATGAAGTATTTGTTCATAACATACCATGTAATCTGAATACATGTAAATCAAGAGGATGATACGCTTCAGTCAAGAGAAGCCGAATGTTAATAGCTAAGACAATGGGGAAAGTGTCTCCAGGGCATTTCAGAGATCTTCACCGCAGCCCCTCCCGTCACAGGCCAGGAGGCCTAGGAGGAACAAAATAGTTTCCTGGGCTGGGCCCAGGGCCCTGATAGTTTCATATTAAACCATCACAATAGAGTTGATAGTTTAATATTTTATTATATCAATATATTCTGATTTATTTAACCATTCTTCTGTTTGGATACCTTTAAATTGTTGCTGAAATTTCCCAATTATAGTGAATATGTTAATGAATGCCTTCAGACATCTATTTTGTGTAACTTTATTTTCTCACACAAAGCCCTAATAATGAAATTACTAGATTGCTCAAGCTTCAAGGCCCCATGGAAGGAGTATGACTAAGATTGTTGTACAATTTCTCCTTGGCCAGATTACCTCACGTATCTGAGCATTTATTTCATTATCTGTAAAATGGGAAGAAAAGTAGAACTTATCTCATAGGGTTGTATCAAAATTGAGTTAATGTCGGTAAAGCACGTAGAACAGAGTCTTACGTGTAGAAAACACTACTGCAAAAAGAATGCTGTTTAGATGGCCGGAACGCAAGCTAGAAATCAGTGGTAGAGTTAATTGCAGTTGTCCAGATGACAGATAATGGTAGGTTGGGCTCACATCCTAGTGGTGAGAATAGTGAGAAATTTATGGACTCAAGAAATATCTCATTTGTAGAATTGAGAATGTTTGTTCATGAGTTAACATGCAGGGGAGTGGTGGGAAAAGAAGAGTCAGGATGACTAAGGATTTTGGACAGATCAATGGAAAGGATGCAGTTGCAAATTCTGAAGTAGGAAAGATTGAGAAAGGAGCAGATTTGAAGGGAAAATCAGGAACTTGGTTTGAATATTTTATGTTTGAGATACCTATTGGATGTTCAAGCAGAGGTGTTAACTAGGCTATTGGGTATACTAGCTTGGTGTTTAGGAGAACAACTGGCAAGATTATAAATGTGGGAGTCTTTCAACTATAGATTATTCTTAAAGCCATGCAATTGGACAAGATCACCAAAGGAGCAAGTGTAGATAAAAAAGCAAAGAGGTCCAGGGAGTGAGCTCTGGGCCCTTCAAACACTTATTGTGCAGGCATATGAGGAGAAGCCAGCAAAGGACACTGAGGAGGAACTGGTGAGATAGGAAAAGAGCCAGGTAAACTTAGTGTCACAGAAACCTTGGAAAGCAAATTAACGTCGCACTTTGAGGCTTGACTATGAATGCCTTGGAGGAGATTGTAGGCTCTCAAGTTAGGGGAAGTCATTGACACTGATAGGTGGTTGTTGGAAGTATGGACTCTAAAGTCAGCAGAATTGGATTTGAATCCAGGCTCTACCAGTCACCAGATGTATTATTAATACCTTAAGCAAGACACTAAACATCTGTCTACTTCATTTTTTCTCATGCAATTAAGCAGACATAGTGACAGTACATAACACAGAATGTAGTTTTGAAGATTAATGACATAATTCATGCAGAGCAGAGCACTTACTATAACACAAGATGCAGAGTAAGCACTTAAGAAACATTGACACTTGCTATTTTACTAACAGTCATTGTTATTATCAGTATAATCCCTTTTATTATGCAGTTGAATAAAATTATCTGTGAACAAATCATTAGTGAATAGTGAACAAAATCATTTGTTACATTTTAAACATAGTGCCTGGTGTATGACAGGTTATCAAGAAACAGTTTGTATGTATGTGTATGTGCACAAGCACACATGTAGGTACTCTTGTAAAATTCTTGAGGTAATTTCTGGGTCAGTAGTGATTATGTAATAATTATGGTTATAGCTGACAATGCAGTCATGTGTTATCCATGATTCTAATCAACTAATATGTAAAAACAGATTAATAGGCTTAATTACTCTTAGGAACTCATTACTGCCCCTTTTCATAGATAAAGAAACTAAAGCAAAGAGAAGTTAAATTTCTTGCCCAATTTTGTATTGCTAGCAAGACTTAAATCCCACCTTCTGGCTCTAGCACCATACTCTTACCCCCTACATTGTAGTATCCCTCAATAGTAATGTCAGTGTTCATAACAAGCTATAAATATCCAAAAAAACAATGGGTAAACTTTCAGAAATGGGAGGTGGTTGTGACTATGGCAGGAAGCTTGCTTATCATGGTAACAGTGTCTTTGGGGACCATCTCTGTGTTTTCCCGCCCAGTAAATTCTCTCTTCTTGATGTGTGTTGACCATTAACACAAGCCTGTGCTGAGATCTCAGACCTTGTAAGAAATGAATCTTTGTCTTAACATGAAAAGTAGTGCTCTGCTCATTGCTTCTATTCTTTACTCAATTTTTCAGTGAGATTTGTTTTCTTGCTTACTACAGATCTCAGATTTCCAACCATCTGCTTGTATTTTTACAGTAAGTCACCTAACAGTCTCCAGAAACAATAAGACATGTTTCATCACCTCCTGCCTGAAATCTTCAGAATAAGTGATGTCTTGTCTTTTATTCATTGTTTCGTATTTTGAATTTCTTCTAATGTTTTGATTGTAGTTTGCTGAGCCATGTTTTACTGAATTAGTATTATTTCACTGATATAATTTATGCTGTTTCGTATATGTCCAGAAAAAGATGGATATTTTTTCTGTGCTCATAATAAACCTTTTTACAAAGTAAAAGTACACATTTTGAAGTCTTTGCAGTACACTTTTCCAAATCAGAAGAAAAATAAATCCTCAGACCTTCATTATATGTGTACAACTCTTCAGAAACAGTTCATAATGAATAATCCAAAAAAGTTGCCAGTTATGTCCTTTGTTTCTCTATTATATTGGAATAATAATGAGGTCATGGCAAATTAGAAGGAAGTGAATAACTATTCAAAGATGTATTGAAGAAGAAACTATATTTAACATATACTAAATATACACTACCTTCTGCCCTTTGAAATGTTGGATAATTTAGTTCACATCTAAACACCTTTATGGAAATTTCTTTTATAATCCATATATTAAACCAAATATATGTCATGTTTTTCTATTTCCTAAACAAGACAAAACACAGTACAACAAAATCCTTATTGTTTCACTGACAGTTTGCAATGACTTTATATTTATAGCTACTGAGAGTTTTATACAAAATATTCTTTGATGCATACCACAGTCTGTGGTTGTGGAAAGAACTCAAGAGTAGGATGAGAGACAATTGGGTTTTGATTCTGACTTTTCCTCTAACTGAGTGGGTACTTGAGGCAACTGCCTTTGCTTCCCACGGCCTTCTCATCTGGAAAAGGGAGCAAAAATTAAACTAGATTAATGGCTTTTAAATTGTTGTTTGATAGTGCGGCCTCTTTTAAACAGTGGATACTTACATTATAAATAACTGAAATTGAAGTCCCTATGGTAATAGAATGATGAAAGGAAAGAATCACGGGAATTACAGGAATCCATTTTAGGAGTAGAAATCAAATTCTACTTTTTATATGAGGTAGATGAAGCCAGAAAGTATAGTGCAAAGGCTCTGGATTTTACCAGTTCCCTTTGGTTTGGAATATTCTCTGTCCAGTGCCATTTTGTCCCAACAAGGAATCTGGAGTGGGGCTGGGTTGACTGATGCACTTGAAATTACACCATCAGGGAAAGAGGTGACATTTAAGCTAAGACTGAAATCACTAGGAGTCACTCCGTGGATTTCTGAGGGGAGAACCTTCCAGGCAGAGATCCAGCACTTACACCCAGATCCAAGGATGTGAATAACTGTGTTATGTTTCATGAAGAGCAAGAAAGTCTGTGTAGCTGGAAAAGAGTAACCAAGTTAGAGAAGGGTGGGTGATGAGATGGGATAGATGACAACACACTGAATCTCATAGCAGCTTATAGTCTACTTTCAGGCTTTTGTGATTTATTCTAAGTTTACCTATAAGTCATTGGAGGGTTTTAGACACAGAACTACTTTGAGCTTATTGCCCTTTTTAAAAGGTCACTTTGAACTGAGCATGAATGTATGCCTGTAGTCCCAGCTACTCAGTAGGCTGATGTGGGAGGGTTGCTTCAGCCCAGGAGTTCAAGGGTGAGCCTGGGCAACATAAAGAGACCTTGTCTCTTAAAAACAACAACAACAAAAAATCCCTCTTCCTGCTATATAAAGAATAGACTTCTGGCCAGGCGCAGTGGCTCACGCCTGTAATCCCAGCACTTTGGGAGGCTGATGTGGGCGGATCACCTCAGGTTGGGAGTTCAAGGCCAGTCTGACCAGCATGGAGAAATCCCGTCTCTACCCAAAATACAAAATTAGTCAGGCATGGTGGCACATACCTGTAATCCCAGCTACTAGGGAGGCTGAGGCAGGAGAATCACTTGAACCCAGGAGGTGGAGGTTGTGGTGAGCCAAGAGCGCGCCATTGCAACAAGAGCGAAACTTCGTCTCAAAAAAAAAAGAATAGACTGCTTCAGGGTGGGGGTAGGGGACGATAGAAACAAGGAGACCAGTTGAAAAGGCTACTGCCATGGTCCTGATAGTCAGGAGGTAATTTTTCCATCCACGATTCCTGCATACTATATTTCTTATGGGCTGGCAGAGGCAGTGAACACACGTGGAATAAGTTGAGAGTTGCCCTCTCTGCATCTCTGGAAGAAATGTGACTATCATTACTGATAAGCTACTCCTTTGGTAACCGAAGGCCTGCCAGGAGCTGTTTCTTAGTCCAATCACAGCCGTGTCCTACTTTGCATTATCATATCGACACCTAATTCAGGCCAGTGAAAGCAGAATGGAAAAAATAAACCAAAAAGAAATCTGTCACCGTGTACAACCCTACTCAAACCACCTAACTATCCTGAATCACACTCTCTAACTACCCTATCTCCTGTCATATTTATTATGTGAATTCAAAGTCAGCTCAGGAACATCTCTGTTGATTTGCTTTTGTTAACTTGGCTTGATCTTGCTGTGAGTATCCCTGAACTCTCTGTAAAAGTTACTCATTCCTAAATGTGTGCTCCTCCTAGAAGAAGGTCGCAACCAGACCGTGCTCAAGCCTTAGCACTTTTAGAGCACAACAGAGAGGCAGGTCCCAGTGAATGCTACACAGGCTTCCCTTGGCTAAAGGAGGGAGTTCCCCGACCCCTTGCACTTCCTGGGTGAGGCGACGCCCCACCCTGCTTCTGCTCACCCTCTGTGAGCCGCACCCACTGTCTAACCAGTCCCAATGAGATGAACCTGGTACCTCAGTTGGAAATGCAGAAACCACCCACCTTCTGCCTTGATCTCGCTGGGAGCTGCAGACCGGAGCTGTTCCTATTTGGCCATCTTGCCCAGGAATCCCATGAAATCTTTATTTAGATGATATGCGATGACATCATTTGGCTTTCATTTGGCAAGAAGGCATCAACAAAGCATCAATTCTGCCTTATTCCTCTGCTCTACTATTTGGGCTATTACAGTTAAAGTTGGTGCCAATGACATAATGACCACAAACCCACACAGGAGGGCTGACATAATATGGCCATACCTAGGTATAAGATTATATAGATAATAAGTAGTGGAGTATAATTACATGGCATGCTTAAATTATTTATTCATAGATAACCATAGAAATAAACACACACACAAACACAAACACACATACACACACAATCTTACAGCACATTTTGAGGCCCATGAGAATAAAATGTGAGAGTGTAATTTTATAAATCTGATATTATACAGTTGACAATTATGCCTGTAAGACATAGTGTTATTAAATTTCATCCTTGCAGAATGTCATAGAATTTCAGGTCTGTGACACTTTAGGAAATCAGAGTGTTAGGGTAGAATTGCTTAACAAAATAACATTGTAAGCACTGTACGTTATTTGTTATGTTCAAGCACTGTGATAATGGTCCATATTTTGGAGTGCTAGTCTTGGCCTCAGTCCCGATTGTCACATTAAACAAATGAACTTCTGGAGCTTCAGTGTTTCTTTTCTGTGAAATAAGGACCTTAAACTCTTTTCTGCCATACTTGAGAGAGAATATAGAAGCCAGTTGAAACAGTAGATGTGAAACGGCTTTGCAAGTCATAAAGGACTGTGTACATGTGAGGCCTCATTATTTCTTTACCTTATTGATAAAATTTTTCTTGGAAATAGAAACAAGCAATGAAAAAAAAGGTTTCAATCTTGGTTTTGCCAGTTATCCAACATCTGAGATGATCAACAAGAGGACTGGAGTTTACTCAGTACTAATATTTAGCATCACCTTCTTCAAAGGGTAAGTAAACTTTACACTGGAATGAAGTTTATTTTGTTTCTATCCACTTGAGTTTGCTAAAATATACATAGGAGAATTTGCCAAATGGCTACCTAGCCCTGAGGTTTTAAGTTTTGCTCTGAAAGGCTCTTATAACCATATTGACTTTGAAATAACAAATGAGAGAAGGTAACAAGGAAAAGGATAAATAATTCTCTAACCACCATCATCAACATTGCTTTATTAAAAACTTTTAATATCCCTATATTTGAGAGGTTTTGTGTGTTAGTGAATTCTGCTCAGTCCAAATGATTCGGGCTGGTATCCACATATATTAATTTTTCCCGGAAGCATTTCAGAAATTTAATGAAGCTGGCGGGTTGTGTCCCCTTCGTGATATTTCTTGAATATAATTCCATTTGCAAAAGTTAAAGGCAAGTTGAAAATTATCTTGGCACAATACAATGAATCAAAATATTTTTGTCTAAATGCTAGTTTTTAACGTACCTAATAAAAATGGTTGTACTCCTACTCTTGTTTCCTAAAATACTCCATACTCTCTGTGTCTCTTCCTAGAACTTCCACAAATTAATACATTGACTTGAATAGTTCCCTTCTTCACATTACCACCCCTCCAATCTTTATATAGCAAAATTATCCTTATTCTCTACATTAAGGTAGATAGATATACCCTCTTTCAATTAGCTTTCAACAGCACTTCTGATTTTACCCAATGAGTGGTTATGTATTCTTTCATGTGTTTCTTTCTATTCATATATTTCTTTATTTTTCTCCATCCATGGGTAAATGTAAAATACAAAGTATCATTCATCCTTGTATCCAGCATGTCTAGCACTGCATTCTGGTGTTTAGAAAGTATGCGATGTATAAGTAATTAAAATAAATGTATTATAATGTCTAGAGATGATCTTAAAACTATGGCTTGGAAAATAATTATGTATCCCCTGAAAAGCAAAAAGGAAATAAGAAAGGCCCATAATCTTAATCTCCCTTGGCCTTTACTAGCACTATAAAATATCTATTCTTGATCATTGTTTACATAGCCCCATTACAACTGAGACCATTGTCTACCTTGGTTTATCTTAATTCAGAGCAAGACTATAAACTTTCCAAACATGTGAGAAAAAAATATGACAAGCCAAATCATAATGTAGCCTCTGGTAAGTAGCTTCGTGTCTGGAATCTAGTCCAGAAACTATTGCTTTTCTCCATGAACTTTATATGTTGGTGGATGATCCACATATTTGTAACTTTCACCGAAGCACAGAAAATTTGAGTTGAGAGTCGTGATGTTTAAAGAGTCTATCCCCTTCCCTTCTTATTTGTGTAAATTACGTTCCCATAGAAAATAATTTTCCGGATAACACAATGTGAATTACAGTGGGATCTCTAATCACAGCCCCAATTTCCTGACTGAGTCCAGTGAGCTTTCTATTTTGCTGCAGATTTTCGATTCCCACAATATTTTCAGAAAATGAGCTAGAAAATGAAAAGCTAATCTGGATTTTATTCTGTTTTGATTACCACCTCTGTGCTGATGATTCCCAACTTTACATTTCCAGGACTGGTTTTTCCTCATAGCTGTGGACCTATGTATCTAGTACTCTCTCAATATCCTTTCTTTTCCTCAAATTTAACATATCCTTTTTTAAATCTAAGATTTCCCCCACCTTCAACCCTGACCCTCTCCCACCGTTTCTCATCTTTGTGAATGATACCTATATCTATCCATTGACTCAATCCAGAAAACTGAGTCATCTTTTGCCATCCTTCTCATTCAGTCTTAACATTAAATCTGTTATCATATTATCACAATTTTACCTCTTAAATATTTCTTAAATCTATCTACTGTTCTCTATCTTCTATTATTTCTGCACTATTACAAGCTACTCTTACGATCTCTTACAATAGTTTTTTAATCCCTTGTCATGCTTCTAATTTGGTTCTTCAGTGATCAATTTTCTTCACTACAGCCAGAGCGATCTTCCAAAATAAAAATATCACACTACATATCCTCCCCAAACCCCTTCAGTAGAATCTCATTCTCTTAAGATAAAGATTGAAAGTCTTCGTGTAGCCTGGAAGCTATTTGTTACCTTCCTGCTTCCAACCTTGCAACATGCCCCTTCTGTTTCTCTAAGCTTCAGTTATACTAAAAACTCAGGTTCTTGACTGTACTTTGGCACATGCGGTTACATCTGTCTAGAACTTTCTTCTTTTCACCTAGCTCCCATTTCAGTCTTTCCATAATTAATACCTACTCACTCTTTAGATATAATTCAACTAGTTTCCAGGGAAGACTTCTCTCATCTCAATCTAGGTCAAGTTCTCGAGTTACAAACACTTATCTAATTATTACTTTTTTTCTTTCAGAGAACTTACCTTGGTTTAAAATTATCCATTTATAGATGTAATTTTTTGTTTCACTTGATTAAATACAAGCTCTATGAAAAGAGTAGTATGGTTTATTTTACCACTATTTGAATCACTAGTCCTTAACACAGTGCATGGTACTTAGCCTGTGTTCTGTAAATATATTTTGAGTAAATGAATGTTTCAAAAAGAGTTATACTGCCAGCCTCCTGTTCTTGCTTTAGGAAGATAATTCAGGACTAGCTATGAGTGGGAAAAGTATAGTATGTTGGTTAACAGCAAGGCTTCTGGTGTCAAATATATCTGAATCCTAGTCCAAGCTCTGCTAGTTTACTGCCCCTGTGATCTTAAATATTTTGAGTCTCAGTATTCTCACATAGAAAATAAGAATAGCAATACTAACCTCGCAGAGTTATTGCGAGGATTAAATGACATAATGCACCATTTTGAGTTGAATTCTTTCCTCCTAAAAATGTTTATGTTGATGTTCTAACCCCCAGAACCTCAGAACATGACTGTATTTGGAGATATTGTCTTTACAGAGATAATCACGTTAAAATGAGGTCTTTAGTGTGGGCCCTAATCCAGTACAACTGGTGCCCTTATAAAAAGTGTAAATTTGGACACAGATATGCATAGAGGGAAGATGACATAAGGAGACACAGGTTGAAGAGGACCATCTACAAGCCAAGGAGACCTAGAACAGATCCTTTTCTCTCAGCCCTCAGACGAACTCTATCCTGCTGACACCTTGATCTTGGAAATCCAGCCGCTAGTTAAGGAGACAATAAATTTTTGTTGTTTGAGCCACCCAATTTGTGGAAGTTTGTTACAGAAAGTTCTAGTAAACTAATACATGTATGTTAAGCTTATGGTATGGTGTTGTTGGCAAATGGGTCCAATTGGTTTGAAAGTGATCTTTACAGTGAAGCCTTTCCTGACCTTCCTTCTTAGAGATACAATCTCATATTCTGTCAGTCTGCCACCTCCTTCCCTGCTTTATTTTTCTTCATTGCATTTATCAACATTTATGTACAACCTCTTTTACTTCTTTTTTGTTTGTTTTCTTAGCTCCCTCAATGTAATCTCCATGAGGCAGATATTTGTGTCTGTTTCATTCATTGTATCATAGACAAGGATGCCTTGGCACATAGTAGGCATTTGATAAATATACATTAAGTAATTGATAGCTATCACTGCTGTTGTTGCTGTTAAAAATAAATTGTCTTCCACTACCCCATCCCTAAATACATACATTTTATTCATTCAGCTTTCTAAGTACCAGTCACTTGGCCAGGTGCTAGGCACACAGAGATAAATAGATACAGTATCTCTTTACAAGGGGATTAATTTCAGTAAATGGAGAAAGATACATAAACAAATCAATGTTCCAAAGATGTTTCTTTGCCTTTAAAAGAGTCTGTCCAAGGTAGAATGGTGGCATATTAACCCTTGAGGATCCTTCAAAAAGTGAGTGGTTGTCTTCTGACGCTCACGACTTCATGCTCTATTTATTTTATTTTAAACTGTCCACAAACTAGATTAATAGATTTTAAGTTCCCACATTGAAGGGATCCTTGTTGCCTCTACACTGCTTTCAGTGTTATGTTTCTAGTCTTACAAGTGTTCATAGTATTCTCTTCTCTACCACTAGCTTTTGGTTTGCACAGAGAAAGCTATAGTGAAAAGTCAGTCACAGAAAATAGCAATAATTATATTTTCGTATACGTGAATATAGACCTTAATCACATAAGAGAGTACTATTATAGAGCCCAGACAATAACAGATTGAGCTTCAGAGGGTTCTGGTTCAGAATCTTTGCTTCTCTGCTTCCTAGCTGTGCCACTAAGTCCCAATTTTCTTATCTATAAAGTATAGTTATAATATCTGCCCAATTACTTTCATGGTAGTTGTTTTTATTGGTAGTTGTTTTATTGGGGGTCTACAGAATGTTAGAGCTGATAAAGAAGTCATCTAGTCATACTCCTCATTTTGCAAATGAGGAAATTGAGATTCAGAGTGATGAAACATATTTACCCTGGACGTACAGCTAATGAGTTTGGAATTTAGTCACACATTTCTTCAAACACTCCAATGACTGTCCATGCTCTACCAACAATTCAAATGGCAATAAGAAGCAGGTTTAGATATTTTTAAAAATCCTATCTAAGACTGAGTTGAAAGTGCCTCTTGGTAACTGGTAAGAAAACCACAAAACAGTAAATCTGCCTTTTTTAGTCTACAATGATTGAATGTTTATACTGAGCCAAGTTTTGAAAGGTTTAATTTGGTTTCAGGCCAATAACATGACTTACAAATACTAAAATTAATCCCCAAATTTACAGATTGGATAGATCAAAACAAGGGATTTTTTTTAAAAGTCTTTGTCCCTTATTGCTCATATTTAAATGACAAATTCCCTTGTATCCCAAAGGAGGATTTAGCTGAAAGAAAGGTATTCCCTATTCGTAACAGGGAATATGTTCTATTCATAAAACAATGTTTGAAATTGAATTAAAATAATTTAATTACACTATATAATTACCTTCCACAATCTTTACAGTCAAGAGGCCCATGGGATCTGGCTATTTGTAGAGATGTTTAATCCGATTTTACTTTAGTATTCATTAAACAATGGTAATTTCTTCGTAATTCCCCTCTGACACATATTATGCTTCTGAAGAAGAAAAGACCTTAAACAGAGTCATTTCTTTAAACAGAGCTGCTGAGTATGTCAAATTATTCAGGCAAGGACTCACTGAACAACCAAAACAATAGTTTCAAACAGATGACACTGTGTTTCAAGAACCAAAAAAAATGTTAAATAAACTATTGGCGCATGAAATAAGCTACCAATGGGAAGTCTTAGTGAGCTGCAAATGCATGCCTAACTGAGATTTCAACATTATTTCCAAGTTTGGCAATCAGTTGAAAAGCCCTTTATGCAAATCTATGCCCAACTAAAGGAAAGAAAAGTAGAGGTGACTATTTGAGAGATGCATATTCAGTTTTGAAAAACATAGTTCACAATTTCAAAACCTCTTAGTATCCAACAGATTCACATGAGTAGTAATGTTTTTTCTTTTAGATCTATTGCCCCTAGCCACTGAAACTGTACTTTGGTTAGGTGCCTAATCTAGCTCCTTCTTTAGCTACAAAACCTAGATAGACCAGGTCAGAGGAAATCTGAAGGAGAACATTCTAGGAAGATGACAGCCATAATAGAGTGTGTGTGTGTTTGTTGTGTCTGTGAACAAGGAATCGTTTCACAAGGCAGGGTAACTTGGACACGAATATTTGAAACTCACAAACAAAATCTATAATAAAATCAGGTGACAGGACTTACCATGAAACCCAAAATAAGAGTGGGTGGGAAGAGCCATCTCATGAAGAAACATTTGATAAGGCAAACTCTGCAGGAGTAAGCAGAAAAATGTCCCTGATCACCAAAGGGTAGTCATTACAATGCTGAACTCAGTAAACTAATTAATACTGACCAGGAGCTACATTGGCTCCAATTCACAGGTGAGAGTGCAAAGGGACCATAGAAAGATCTTATTGTGCTAGAGTGATATAAGCCCTATGAAATCTCAAAAATAAGCAATCAATATGTTCACTAACAACAATAACAAAAAGCTACACACTGAGAAGGAACTTCTGGAAGTAGAATCCAAATTGAATAGGACAGAGATTATAGTGACAAAGAAAACAGTATATCCAATCCAAGAGGGAAAGAGGAACAGAGTCAGCAGTTATCAGAAAGGATGGGTTTACATCTAATGTTTTTCTATTTGTTTTACATGTATCTTATGCCTGTTCATTCTCATTCCAGTACTGCCTTATTTCATATTTATTTTTTGCAGTATGCCATTTTTATTCTCATTCCTTTGTGCATAATTTTAGATACTTTATTTGTGGTTACCTTGGAGATTAATGTTAACATTCTAAGTTGATAAAGACATAACTGGCATTGATATTAACTTAGCTTCAATAGCTACAAAATATACTTTCATACACCTCAATCCTTCCTTTCCCTTCATACTGTGGTTGTCGCGAATTACATCATTACATATTGTGTACCCACTGACATGGATTTATAATTATTTGTATGCATTGTATTTTAAATCACTTGGGGAATACAAAGAGTTATGAACCAAAAAATACGATAGTATTGGCTTTTATATTTACCCATTAGTTACCTTTTGCTACAGTTTTACATTTTTTCCTATAACTTCAAATTTCTCTTTAGTGTAGGCTAAAAAACACTCCTTTTAGCATTTCTTATAGGGCAGCTCTACTAGCAATTACCTTCCTCATCTTTTGCTTATCTGGGAATGCCTTCGTTTCTTCATTTTTGAAGGACAGTTTTGTGGAACAAAGAATTTCTGGTTCAGAGGTTCATTTTTTTTTTCTTTTTCAGCACTTTAAAAATGTCCTTTTCATTGTTCAATTCCCACCTATGAGTGAGAACATGCGGTGTTTGGTTTTTTGTCCTTGTGATAGTTTGCTCAGAATGATGGTTTCCAGCTTCATCCATGTCCCTACAAAGGACATGAACTCATCCTTTTTTATGGCTGCCTAGTATTCCATGGTGTATATGTGCCACATTTTCTTAATCCAGTCTATCATTGTTGGACATTTGGGTTTTGTGCACATGTACCCTAAAACTTAAAGTATAATAAAAAAAAAATGTCCTTTTACTGCCTTCTGGTCTCCATTGTTTCTGATAAGAAATCTGCTGTTAATATTATTGAGGATGGTTTGTAAGTGGTAAATTGCTTCTCTCTTACAGATGTCAAGATCTTTTTTGAGCATAGCCTTTGACACTTTTTAAAGTAACTTTTTAGTTTTGGGGGGGTTACACTGTAGGTATATATATTTGTGGGGTACATGAGATGTTTTGATATAGGCATGCAACGCATGATAATCACACTATGGAAAATGGGGTATCCATCCCCTCAAGCGTTTCTCAAGCGTCTATCATTGATGTTACAAATAATCCAATTATATTCTTTTAGTTATTTTAAAATGTACAATTAAAATATTATTGACTATGGACACCCTGTTGTGTTATCAAATACTAGGCCCCGTTCATTCCTTCTAACTATTTTTTGTACCCATTAACCATTCCCGCCTCCCCGCCATACCCCTTTGATTATAATGTGTCTTGTTGTAGATCTCATAATGTTTATCCTTGTTGGAGTTCATTAAGTTTCTTGAGTGTGTGGCCTTTTATACAATTTTGCAATTTTCTCACTAAAATATTTTAAAGTATTCTTTCTTCTTCTATTTGTCTCTCCTCTCTTACCTGGATTCCTATTGTGCATGTAAGAGTGTGCTTGATGATGTACCAAAGGTCTTTCAGCCTTTGTTTATTTCTCTTTATTCATTTCTTTTTAATGTCTGTGCCTCAGACTGAACAAAGTCAATTGTCGAATCACATATTTCACTGTTTCTTTATTCTCCATACTCAAATCTGTTGTTGAAACCTTCCTGTGATTTTCCACTTCAGTTATAGAACTTTTAAGCTCCAGAATATATTTTGATTTATTTGTATAATTTCTATCTTATTAATATTCTCTGTTTGCTCATACAGCATCTGCCTGGTGGTTTCCTTTAGCTCTTTGTACATAGTTTAGTTTAGCTAATTCAGCATATTTAAGACAGCTGACTTGAAATATTTGCCACATACGTCAAATGGGTGTGCTTCCTCAAGAACAGTTTCTATTCATTCTTCTGCAAATGGGCCACACTTTCTTGCATCTTAGTAGGCTTCATAAAGATTTGTTGAAGAGCAAGCATTTTTAATATCATAATGTTGTATGTGTGTAAATCAGATCCTCTATTTATTTATTTATTTATTTATTGCTTTTTGTAGACTGTAGCTGACTATTTAGAAATATTCTAAAATGTCTTCGTGAAGTCTGCATGTTTTATTACTCATGATTTCCAAAGTCTCTGTTCCTTTGTCTTAAATTCAACTAGTATTTTGATGGAGATTTCACTGAATACCAGAAAGGAAAGATACACACACACACACACACACACCCCAAAACAGATGAAAGGCTGTACAGATTGGCTCTGTGTAGGGGCAACCTCTCAGGACATTCACAACTTTGCTATAGCCTTCCCTTCTTTGAATCCAGCCTAGAAATCAGCCAGAGGTGAAAGCCTAGAGTCTTCTCGGGTTTATTGTGACAATGCTTCCTGTGCTGGACGTGGGCATGGCTTTCTCAATTTCCTGGCTTACGTGGGTGTTTTTCAGTGCCCCAATATCTGCAAAAACATTATCTCCACAGATTTTCCTCCCAGGCTTTTGGTGCTCAGGAATAGTTTTTAACCAAGGCAGCTGCAGATTGTTCATTTCCCTCACAGTATTTTTGAGAAATGACCACTGATTTTCTGCCCTGAAGGAGGTCTTAATTTGGCAGAACAAATTAGTCTGGAAGGAGAGGAGAGACAAAAAAGAGAAGACAGAATGTTTAAAAAGATAATCGTGAGAAACCTCAAGATAATGACTTAGCTGAGCAGAAGGACAGGGCAAGGCAAAATTAGAACGCTAAAAATATTTCCCACTGTTTTAAAAGTGGCTTTTTAAATTGATTCAGCACATGCTTGGTTGGTCTAAATCTTTGATTATTTTCCAAAGTTGTGACAAAGTTGATTCTGAGGGTTTTTATTTAATTTTCTAATGCTTTTGTAATGGGATGGCCCCTTGGAGTTGCCTACTCTACCTTTTTCTTCATCTTTCCATTTTTTCTTTTAAGAAAAAAAGACCATCACTTAAACATCAGCAACAGAAATTTAGTATGGTAGAATCACATAAGATGCTATTTATAAGAAAAAAAGATAATAGTGAGCAGAATAATGTCCCTGTGGACAATGAAGGCACACTAAGAAGGCATGCTCACAGAACAGATAAAGTATAAGCAATTTTCAAAAAAAAAAATCTGTAGAAAATATTTTTAAAACAACATAAGGTAGAATTTTCAAAAGCAGATATAACATATTTAAGAAAGGAAAATTAGTAAAAGCTATCATAAAGTAATTCAAAATGAAAAAGAAAACTATACTAGAATTGAATAATTAACTGGAAATAATAGAAAAGAAGTCATAAAAATCCTTTAAGAAAAAGAAAATATGAAAATGAGGATTTTTTTCTTTTAAAAGAAAGCAAGATAAAAACATTTTCAAGAAACAGTGATACATATAGACAATAATAACAGATATTTTATGTATAAGATTCTTCCACATCTCCACAACAAATGGAGAAAATTAATATAAATCAAGATAAACCAGCAAAAATTTTAAATCGAGAGATTTTATATAATAAATTAAGATTTGAAATTATTATTGAAAAGACACATAGTTTACATAGGAAAATCAACTGAAAGTGGTCAGGAACATAATACACACTAGTAAAAATGAGAAGACATTAAGAGGAAATAAAATAATCAGATATCCAGGTAGCAAGATCTCTAGTAAGAACAAGAAAATTGAACTGTCATCAAACTTCTCAACAGTAATTGTTTATAACAGACAGTAAGAAAGTAATATATTTCTTATACTTGAGAAAAGAAAATATGACCTGGGCACTTTGTACCCAACCAAACTGATCTTCAATGAAAAAGGCCAAAGTAAACTTTTTATGGCCATGGAAGAAATCATAGAATATTGTTTCCATGAGCCCTTAAAGAACCTATTAGAGAAAAGCTGTAACAAACAAAATAAATGGAAAGGCATTGAGATGAAAACAAGAAATTTGTCTTTGGAATTATGTAAATGGTTTACATAATTAATAAATCATTAACATTTTCAAAGTTTTTAAATCAAGGTATAATTTACATATATTCAAATGCAGAGACTGTAAGTGTATAGTTAGATAAATTTGGGGAACGCTTGCATTTGAATAATAATCACCCACATCAATATATAAAACCTTCATTTTTCTTCCATCTTTTAGGTTCAGGGAGTTCATGTATGGGTTTGTGTAAATTGCATGTCACGGGTGCTTGGTGTACAGATTATTTTGTCACCCGGGTGATAACCATAGTACCCGATAGGTCATTTTTCAAACCTCATTCTCCTCCCACCCTCCACCCTCAAGTAGGCCCTGGTGTCTATTTTACCCTTCTTTGTGTCCATGTGTATTCAATGTTTTCTTCCAACTTAAAAGTGAGAACATGTAGTATTTGGTTTTCTTCTCCTACATTAATTCACTTAGAATAATGGTCTCCGGCTCCATCCATGTTGCTGCAAAAGACATGAGCTCATTCTCTTATATGGCTGCATAGTATTTCATGGTGTATCCGTATCAAGTTTTCATTATCCAATCAACTGTTGATGGAGGTTTATGTTGATTCCATGTCTTTGCTCTTGTGAATAGTGCTGCAATGAACATGCATGTGCATATGTCTTTATGGTAGAATAATCAGTATTTCTTTGGGTATGTACCCAGTAATTGGATTGTTTGGCTGGATAGTAGTTCTGTCTTAAATTTTGTAAGAAATCTCCAAACCGATTTCCCCAGGGGCTGAACTAGTTTACATTCCCACCATCAGTGTCTGTGTTCCCTTTTTCCCACAACCTTGCCCACAACAGTTATTTTTGGCTTTTTAGTAATAGCCCTTCTGAATAGTGTGAGATGGTAGCTCATTGTGGTTTTAACTTGCATTAGTCTAATGATTAGTGATGTTAGATTTTTTTCATATGCTTGATGACTGCATGCATGTCTCCATTTGAGAAGTGTCTATTCATATCCTGTGCCCATTTTTTAATGGATTTTTTTTTTGCTTATTAATTTAAGATTCTTATAGATTCTGGATATTAGATCTTTGTCAGATGCATAGTTTCCAAATATTTTCTTCCATTCTGTAGACTGTCTGTTTGCTCTGTTGATAGTTTGTTTGTTTTGTTTTGTTTTTCTGTGGAGACACTCTTGAATTTAATTAGGTACCACTTGTCAATTTTTGTTTTTGTTGCAATTGCTTTTGGTGTCTTTGTCATGAAATCTTTGCAGGGCCTGTGTCCAGAATAGCATGTCCTAGGTTTTCTTCTAAGGTTTTTATAGTATTAGGTTTTACATTGAAGTCTTTAATGCATCTTGAGTTAATTTTTGTATATGTTGAAAGTAAGTGAGCCAGTTTCAATCTTCTGTACATGGCTAGCCAGTTATTCTAGTGCCATTTATTCAATAGGAAGTCTTTTCCGGATTGTTTGTTTTTGTTAACTATGTCGAATATCAAATGTTTGTAGGTGTGTGGCTTTACTTCTGTGTTCTTCAACCTATTCCCTTGGTCTATGTGTCTGCTTTTGTGCCAGTACCATGTAGTTTTGGTTATTGCAGCGTTGTACTATAGTTTGAAATCAGGTAATTTGATGCCTTCAGCTTTGTTCTTTTTGCTTAAGTTTGCTTTGACTATTAAGCCACCTTTATGGTTCCATATGAATTTTAGCATAGTTTTTAATTCTTTTCATTACCATACTTTAATTTCTGGGATATATATGCAGAACATGCAGATTTGTTACATAGATATACATGTGTCATGGTGGCTTGCTGCACCCATCAACCTGTCATGTAGGTTTTAAGCCCCGCATGCATTAGGTATTTGTCCTAATGCTATCCCTCCCCTTCCCCCCGACTCCCCGACAGGCCCCGGTGTATGATGTTCCCCTCCTTGTGTCCATGTGTTCTCATTGTTCAACTCCCACTTAGGAGTGAGAACATGAGGTGTTTGGGATAGTATTTTTCTAACTTTGTGAAAAGTGTCATTAGTAGTTTTATAGAAACCACATTGAATGTATAAATTGCTTTGGGAAGTATGGCCATTTTAACAATCTTGATTCTTCCTATCCATGAGCATAAAATGTTTTTCCATTTATGTCATCTCTGATATCTCTCATCAGTATTTTGTAATTCTCATTGTACAGATCTTTTACCTCTCTTATTAGCTGTATTCCTAGGTATTTCATTCCATGTGCGTGTGCCTGTTGTGAATGTTGTGATTGGGATTGCATTATGATTTTTCTGTCACCTTGTACATTATTCCTGTATAGAAATGCAACTGATTTTTGTACATCGATTTTGTATCCAGAAACATTACCAAAGTTGTATATCAGATCTAGGAGCTTTCAGGCAGAAACCATGGGGTTTTCAAGATATAAATAAACATTTTCTGTGAAGAGAGAGAGTTTGACTTCTTCTTCTCCTATTTAGATGCCTTTTATTTCATTCTCTTGCCTGATTGCTCTGGCTAGGACTTCCAGTACTATGTTGAGTATGAGTCGTAAGAGTGGTCATCCTTGTCTTGTTCCAGTTCTTAACAGAAATGCCTCCAGCTTTCGCTAATTCAGTATGATATTGGCTGTGGGTTTGTCATAGATGGCTCCTATTATTTTGAGGTATTCCTTCAATACCTATTTTGTTGAGGGTTCTTATCATGAAGAGATGTTAAATTTTTTCCAAACCTTTTCTGCATCTATTGATATCATGTGGTTTTTGTTGTTAGTTCTGTTCACATGATGAATCACATTTATTGATTTGTGTATGTTGAACCGATCTTGAATAAAGATCGAGTAGGAATAAAGCGCCTACTTGATCATGGTGGATTAGCTTTGTGATGTGCTGCTGGATTCAGTTTGCTAGTATTTTGTTGCTGATTTTTGCATCTATGTTCATCAAGGATATTGGCCTGAAGTTTTCTTTCTTGTGTCTCTGCCAGGTTTTGTTATAAGAATGATGATGCCCTCGTAGAATGAGTTAGGCAAGAGTCTCTCCTTCTCAATTTTTTGAAATAGCTTCACTAGGATTAGTGCCAACTTTTCTTTATATGTCTGGTAGAATTTGGCTGTGAATCCATCTGGGCCAGGGCTTTTTCTTTTTGGTAAGCATTTTATTACTGATTCAAATTCAGAACACATTATTGAACTATTCAGGGTTTCAGTTCTTCCATGTTCAATCTTGGGAGGTTGTGTATTTTCAAGAATTTATCCATTTATTCTAGGTATTCTAGTTTGTGTGCATAGAGATGTTTGTAATAGTCTCTGAGGGATTTTGTATTTCTGTGGAGTTGGTAATGTCCCCTTTGCCATTTATGATTGTAGTTATTTGTATTTTGTCTTTTTCTTTATTAATCTAACTAGTGTTCTATCAATCTCATTTATTATTTCAAAGACCAGCTGAGGCTCACCTGTGCTTGCATTCTCAAAGCAATTGTTGGGGGGTGGGGGGGCGGGCGCTGTGGGCAAATGCATGCCAGCAAAGAAGTGGTGATAGGCTGCAGTGAGGGTAGGCTGTGGGTGATTTGGTGCACATTGGACAGAGCCTGTCTGTTGGAGCCCTCCAATGGTGATATGCTTGGGCTTTGTATCCCCACCCAAATCTCATCTTGAATTGTAATCCGCATAATCTTCATAATCCCCACATGTCAAGGGAGAGAAAAGGTGAAGGTAATTGAATCACGTGGGCAGTTTCCCCTATGCCGTTCTCATGATAGTGAGTGAATTCACGAGATCTGATGGTTTCATAAGTGTCCAGCAATTCCCCTGAATGTAGTTCTTCCTGCTGCCTTCTGAAGAAGGTGCCTTTCTTTCTCTTCGCCATCTACCATAATTATAAGTTTCCTAAGGCCTCCCGAGCCATGCTGAACTGTGAGTCAATTAAACCTGTTTCCTTTATAAATTACCTAGTCTTTGGTAGTATCTTTATAGCAGTGTGAAAACAGACTAATACAGTAAATTGGTACCACGGAGTGCGGTACTGCTATATTGATACTTGAAAATGTGGAAGCGACTTTGGAACTGGGTAACAAGCAGAGGTTGGAACAGTTTGGAGGGCTCAGAAGAAGACAGGAAGATGTGAGAAAGTTTGGAACTTCCTAGAGACTTGTTGAATGGTTTTGACCAAAATGCTGATAATGATCTGGACAGTGAAGTCTGGGCTGAGGTGGCCTCAGATGGAAATGAGGAACTTGTCAGAAACTGGAGGTTCCTCCCCTTTCAGTCCAAGGTCAGCATCTTTCCTCCATCCACTCTCAATGCCCTCCTTCCGATGTTCTGCTTGGAGTGTGCCAGTCTTCTTGATGGTCTGGTCTCTCAGTGGGAGATGTTCTTTTTGCTGCATCTGGTCAGCCAATTTGGTTCTTTTCTTAGAAACTTTCTAATGCTACAGAAATGTATTTCTGTCTTTTTACGGTCAACCACTGTCCCCAGAAAGAGCTACTGTTATATTCATTGCCATAAATTAGATGCATCTTTTCTTGAACTTTAATAAAATCATGGCATATGTACTTCATTATTTTGTTTCCTTTGCTTAGAGTAAAATTTTGTGATTCATTCATGTATGATTACTTTGTTATTTTACTGCTGAGTGGTATTCAATTCCATGAACGCACCAGATGGACATTTGCGCTGTTTTCAGTTTGGGGCTATTATGAGTAATACTGCCATAAATATTTCTGCACAAGTCTCTAGAACTATATCGGCATTCACTTCTCCTGGGAGGAGAGCTGCTGTCATAATGTCAGATATAGCTTTAACTTTATTTGAAATTGCTAAACATTTTTTTCCAATATGGACTCCCAGTAGCAATGTATGAAAGTTTCACTTATTCCATGTCTTTGCCAAAATCTTCTATTTTTATTAATTTTAATGTGTGTCATTCCAATGTGGGTATAGTGATATCTTTTTGTGGTTCAACTTACATTTTCCTAAATTAATATAATCTTAAATATTTGTTGATAAACTTATGGGCTATTCTTCTATATTATTTTTTAAAGTGTTCAAACTTTTTTTCCATTTTTGTTGTTATTAATTTTCAAGAATTTTTTAAACATTCATACACTTTGTCAGATGCAAGAATTTCAAATATTTTGCCTAGTTTATGATTTAACTTTTTCTTTTCCTTTTTTTTTTTTTTTTTTTTTTTTTTGAGATGGAGTCTCATCCTGTTGCCCAGGCCAGAGTGCACTGGCAAGACCTTGGCTCACTGCAACCTCTGCCTCCTGGCTCAAGCGATCTTCCTGCCTCAGCCACCCAAATAGCTGTGATTACAGGCATGCACCACCACACCCAGCTAATTGTTGTATTTTTAGTAGAGACAGGGTTTCATCATGTTGGCCAGGCTGGTCTCAAACTTCTGACCTCAAGGGATCCACCTGTCTTGGCTTCCCAAAGTGCTAGAAACAGCTTTTTTTTTTTTCTTAATGACATCCTTCTATAAGCAGGGATTTTTTTTTTTTTTACTGTGTCCAATTTATTTCTTTTTATATTATTTTCAGCACAATGCCATTTGTGTCCTAATAAAGATTTGCTAATCATAATATCAAATATGTATTTTCTTCTAACAACTTTATTTTAACTTTTACATGTAAGTTTGTAATCCATCTTAAACTAAGTTTTCTATAAGGTGTAAGGTAGGTGATGTTGTTGATTCATTAATTTTTTAGCATTAATATCCAGTTCATCCAGCACCATTTGTTGAAAACACTTTCCTCTTCCCATTTAATTTTATTAGGACTATTGTTGGAAATCAATTGACTGTGTATGTGTGGGTCTGCTTCAAGAATGTCTATTCTCTTCTTTAATCTATTTGTTTATCCTTACGCCAGTGCTACATTTTCTATATTATTATGCCTTTAAAATATATATTGAAGATGGATGGATGAAGTCCTCTAACTTTCTTCTTCCTTGTCAAAATGGGTTTGGCTGTTCTAGGCCCTTGAATTTTAATTTGAATTTTAAAGTGAGTTTGTTAATCTCTGTAAAAATGCCTGCCTAGGCTTTGGCTGGGAATACATTGAAGCTACAGATTAATTTGGGAAGAATAGAAATCTTAAGAAGATTGTCTTCCAATCCATGTATATTTTATATACAGCTAATTTTTCTAAGTAACATTTGTAATCTTGCATGTAGAGTTCTGCCACATTTTTTCCTTAATTTTCTTTTTTTTATTTTTCATTTATTACTCATATAATTATTTCTAATATATCGATATTGTTATAAATGTACTTTTTAAGATTTCATTTTCTAATATCTTATTGACTATTTATAAAAAAGCAATTTTTGGCCGGGCATGGTGGCTCACACCTGTAATCCCAGCACTTTGGGAGGCCGAGGTGGGCGGATCACGAGGTCAGGAGATCGAGACCATGGTGAAACCCCGTCTCTACTAAAAACAGAATACAAAAAATTAGCCGGGCGCAGTGGCGGGCGCCTGTAGTCCCAGCTACTCGGGAGGCTGAGGCAGGAGAATGACATGAACCCGGGAGGTGGAGCTTGCAGTGAGCCGAGATCACGCCACTGCACTCCAGCCTGGGCGACAAAGCGAGACTCCGTCTCAAAAAAAAAAAAAGGAATTTTTATATTGACCTTGTATCAAGTGAGCATGCAAAAGTTTATTAGTCTAGTATTTTGTTTGTAGATATCTTTAAATTTTCTATGTATACAGTCATTTCTTCTGTAATTAACGACAGTGTTAATTAACCCTGTTCCATCCCTATGTCATCTATCTCTTTTTCTTGCTGTTTAAGCCATCCAATAAAATGCTAAAGTTGGGAAATTAGACATTCTTGTCCTATTTCTGATATTATAAGAAATCATTAAATAAGTTATCATTGTCAAGTTAAGCTGAACATTTTTATAGATATATTTCATCAAATTTAGGAAGTTAACGTTTATTCTAAGTTTACTGAGAATTTTATCACAAAGAGGTGTTCAATTTCATAACAATCTTTTTCTGCATCTATTAAAATCATCATATGGCTTTTCTCCTTTATTCTGTTCATCTGGTCAATTAATTCATTTTCAAATATATATATATATATATATATATATATATATATATATATATATATATATATTTTTTTTTTTTTTTTTTTTTTTTTTTTTTTTTTTTTGAGACGGAGTGTCGCCCTTTCGCCCAGGCTGGTGTGCAGTGGCACGATCTCGGCTCACTGCAAGCTCCGCCTCCTGAGTTCACGCCATTCTCCTGCCTCAGCCTCCCGAGTAGCTGGGACTGTAGGTGCCCGCCACCACGCCCAGCTAATTTTTTGTATTTTTAGTAGAGATGGGGGGTTTCACCGTGTTAGCCGGGATGGTCTCGATCTCCTGACGTTGCGATCTGCCCACCTCAGCCTCCCAAAGTGCTGTGATTACAGGCATGAGCAACTGCGCCCGGCCTCATTTTCAAATATTAAGCAAACTTCTCATTCCTGGGATCATCCTACTTGGTCATAACATATTGTCCTTTTAGTAGATTGCTGCATTCAATTTTCTAACATTTTAAATGGATGTTTGTGGCTATCTTAATGTGATGAATTTATTTTAAATTTTCTTTTCTTAATTGGATTGTGTAAAACTTATTTGGTTACTGTTAGAAACTTAAGATAAAAGAAACATTTTGCAGATAAGTGGGAAAATTGAAAACTGACTGAATTTCTGACGATATTAAAAATCAAATATTTTTACACTTTCATTTCTTCTTGTGTTACATTGTGGTTCAGCCTTTAAAAACAACCATTTTTTTCTGAAGTGTTTTGATTATTCTAGTTCCTTTACCTTTCTGTATATATTTCAGAATCAGCTTGTCTATATCTACAAAAAAAATCCTATTGGGACTTCGAGATTGTGTTAAACTATAATCAATTTGGGGACATTGACATCTTAACTATATTAAGTTTTACAATGTTTGAGCACAGAATTTCTCTTCAGATAGCTCCCAGTACTAGTGATGACAGGCAGAAACTGGATCATTCAGACATTGCTGACAGAAAGGCAAAATGATCCAGTGATTCTAGAAAAAATCAGCTTCTTAAAAAGGTAAACACACAATTACTGAATGACTGGACAATCCCAAAAATGTGAACAAATGTTTAGAGCAGCTCTATTCATAACTGCCAAAACTGGAAAAAACATCTCATTTCCATCACTTGTTGAAGGGATCAACTGACTAGTACGTCTATTAGTGGAACTCTAACCACTCAGCAATAAAAGGGAACAGGCAATTGATATATACAACTAGTTGGATAAACCTTAAAATATTATTCTAAGTGAAAGAAACCAGTTTCGAAAGGATATATACTGTATGATTTTGTTTATATGCCATTCTGGAAAAGGCAAGACTGTAGGGAATGGAAGAGATTAGCAATCTCCAGAGATAACTGCAAAGAACCCGCATAAGGGAAATTTTATGGCATTGCATACATAAGTCAATTATATAGTATTTAGCACATAATGCAAAAAAATGCTTTTTTATTTTTTAACATAAAAGGTTTGGGCATGTTTCAAGTAACCTTGATACTTTGTCCATGCAAGAAGGGAGTATCATAACAACTTGATATTGCAGGCCAACAGCTCCCCTTTGTTTTAATTTATGTGTAAGATTCATGGAAGCAGTCCTTTCCTAAATTATTTAAGTACTTTGCCTTCTGACACAACGTCCAAGGATTATTAGCCTTCTGCACAGATCTTGTGAAAAAAAGTAGCATCAAGCAGTCTAGGAGTTGGCCCTTTAGGAAGACAAACTAATCTAAACCATAAAGTAAGAAAAGCTCTGATTCTAGAAGGAATACATGGAAAAACAAAAGAACACATTATTAAGAAAGAGCAGCAGGTAGAGTACTATTTTTGAAAACATAAATCAAATTATGTTAATGTTTTTCTCAAACTCTCCCATGGTTTCCCATCACATTTAATAAAAAATTTAAATACCTTATCATGTCTATAAAATTCAACTCGGTCTGTTCCCCTTTTACCTCACTGACTTTACCTTGGCAGCTTTTGCTCCTTTTTCACTACACTTAGTTCATCTTGATTGCTTCATTTATTAAACACCTCGAACTCTTTGTTAACTTTCAGTTTCAGGTCAAATATTACTTATCTAAAGATTTTCTTTGATTGTCTAATTTTGCGTCCTCCCTCCCGTTGTTCATGATCTTATCACCTATTTACTTCTTTCGTAACATTTTCTCACAGTCTGTAATTACCAGTTTTTTTATTCATTGTCTTCCAGTAGCTAGTGGTCATTGCCTTTTTTCCTCTCCACTCCACTTCCTTTAAAAATGATGTTTCTTCTGGGTAGCAAAATAAGATGTATCTATTATCACAGTGTGTTGGGTGAGTCAGTAGTCCTTGAATATGGATTTAAAATTTACTGCAGAAAAGGCCACATAAGTCATTTCATTCCTGACTTCTACTTTTGTGGTTAGCTTGCTTTAGAGCAATGGAGCATAGTTATGTGAATAGTAGTAAAAATTAACCTCTTTTACATACCCTGCCACATCACAACCTACTTTACATTCAAAGTAATTATTGATAGATCACAACTTACTATTGACATTTTGTTTATTATTTTTTGTTTTGTAAATCTCTTGTTCCTTTATTTCTCTTGTATTTTTCTACAATTTCACATGCATTATTTCAATTACCCTTCATAATAACTCTGTGAGATGGGCTCTATTATTATCCCATTTAACAGATGAAGAAACGATGAAACTATTCAAGATCATATTACAACCAGAAAACAGCAAGTTGAAGATTCAACCTAGGGCTCTCTGTGTGCCTATGAAGCTTAAACTTCTTTTTTTACTTTTAAGTATTTCATCTAAAAACAATCAAAGAAATAAAAACAAATAAACAAAGAAAACTTAATCACAAAAAGAGAAGCCCACAGGAAATTCACAAAAGGAAATAAAGTAAAAAGAGAACTACCATAGTAACTACAATTCATAATTTTTTGATTTTTCACAATGATCCTCTAGCCCCTGATCTGTGCATGATGTGGTAGTATGTACTAAAGATGTCACACCAGGGAAAATCAAGAATTAAGGTGTCTATTCACATAGGCTGGAATTTTTTTCGAAGTCACCCTGAGTGTGTGATATTCAGGGGCACGTACAGTGAAGGGAATAGAGCAATTTGAGAAGGCTTAATATGGAGGACTTTTAGATTTGTGTGCAGATATAAATATGCATATTGGGAATGGCTTTAAACTCAGCTGATGGATTCTTTGCTCCTCAAAGTTTTTAATTTTTAACCAGCCACTACCTTTGAGATAATATGTTGGTGGGACAGGAACAATGGATTTTTACCCCCATATCTTTTTATGAAATCCTCTCTTCAAAAGATATCTACCAACGAAGCACCTATTGTTGACATAACTTGGGCAGTTAGGAAAATTATTTTTAATTTTTACATATGGATGACACACGTCATATGCACACACACACAAAGACACACAACCACATTAAGCTTTGTAAAAATCAATGTTGCATTTGCGTTGAGTGTATGAATACAGGATGTTCTGAACTTTTAATTCTCCTGATCATATTGCACATCCATACTTTTGAAATCATTCTTTGGTCTGCTCACTTTAAGAATAAACTGAGCATTGATTTTTTTATTGTATTGATTTCCCTGTGCATTTAAGTTTCTATTTGTGAGGCATATAAGTAATTGAGATATCATCTTATTGGGCATTGTAATTGTCTATCTACAAACATTTATTTCACATGTGTTACTGGCAACATTGTTATTATATTGATAAAACATGGGAGGAAGCTAAAATTATGAGTTTACTAAATGTCTTCATTTCCAGGTTTAGGCAATCTGGGGTAGGTTTAACGTTGTGTGTAAGACGGTCTACACAATGGCAAATAAATGTAGTTTTGTGAAATTGCTCTGTAAGGACAATTGCTTCATTTCTTTTCTATGTCATTTTCTGAAGATGGAAGTACCCAAATTTGGCTCTCAGTTACTCTGATTCTCACTTGGATATAGTATTATTATGTAACTTTCTAGCTTGCTTCAAATAATTAGTTTTAATCTTCCAACTGTAAATTTGGGAATACTTGTTAAATTTGGAGCCAGAGACCTGGCCTAAACCTGTCCTTTGACCCAGTGCTGGGGGCCTCAGCCTCTGTGAATACAGAAGAACTAATAAAGCAATGTTTCTCCAACCTTGATAAGCCCTAGTTCATTCAAGGGACATGATGTAGAGCTGCACATAGAGATGGACCGCTAAGACAGTGACTTGTACTGACAGTGCTGAGGGTCTGTCCCGCAGCTGACGTATTAGAATGGAGAGGGGGTATACTTATTAGGAAGTCCCAAGAACACAAGCACCCTCTTATATCATTAAAGGAAACGTGAATTGCTACATATATTTTTTTAGAAAGAATCTGGCAGTTTCTATTAAAAGGTAAAAATGCACATAATTTTTGACTCAGCATTTTCACTGTTGCATATCTATCACACAAACATAAGAAAAATGTTACGTATGTTGTCTAACCGTGTTCTTTGTAGTGGCCCAAACTCACACAGAACAACAGCGACAACAACAACAAACAAAACAACTGCCAAAGACTTAAAATTAGGAAAAATTGATATGATACTATGTAGGTATTTTTAAAATGAGCTAAATCTGCAGCTATCGACTAAAAGGGCTCTCTGTGAAGCATGATTTAGTGCAAACTCAGTGAATAAAAAGGAAAATAGGCTGGGCGCGGGGGCTCACGCCTCTAATTCCACCACTTTGGGAGGCGGAGGCAGGTGGATCATGAGGTCAGGTGTTCAAGACCAGCCTGGCCAAGATGGTGAAACCCCGTCTCTACTAAAAATACAAAAATTAGCCAGGTGTGATGGTGAGTGGCTGTAATCCCAGCTACTCAAGAGGCTGAAGCAGGGAATTACTTGCCTGGGAGGCAGAGGTTGCAGTGAGCCGATATTGTGCCGTTGCACTCCAGCCTAGGCGACAGAGCGAGACTCCATCTCAGAAAAAAAAAAAAAAAAAAAAAGGAAAAGAGTGTACGGTGCACACGTAGATAGATAGATTGATAGGCAAATAAAAATCTATATCTGTATACAATCATTTAAAAAGTTGTTTTTTTTTTTTTTTTTTTGAGATGGAGTCTTGCTCTGTCGCCCAGGCTGGAGTGCAGTGGCATGATCTCGGCTCACTGCAAGCTCCGCCTCCCAGGTTCACACCCTTCTCTCACCTCAGCCTCCCGAGTAGCTGGGACTACAGGCGCCCGCCACCGTGCCTGGCTAATTTTTTGTATTTTTAGTAGAGATGGGATTTCACTGTGTTAGCCAGGATGGTCTCGATCTCCTGACCTCATGATCCGCCTGTCTCAGCCTCCCAAAGTGCTGGGATTATAGGCGTGAGCCACTGCTCCTGGCTAAAAAAGTATTTATAGTGATACAGAAGGAGATTGGGTTTTTTTGTTTATATATCTGTGAATTTTTTTAACTTGATAGGCTAAGCTTATATTAATTTGGAATTTAAAAGTAAATTAAAAAGGATAGCAGCCTCCATAGTATTCTGCACTACCTCCTTTACTATGCCCCACATGCTGTATCAGAATGTGTTTGGAAAAGACTCCAAATGTTTAGGAGGCTATTCATAAAAGAATATAGTATTTATCAATCCTCCTACTGAAAACAGGTTTACAGATTATTTCATGAAATCCTCTTAATATCCAGATGAGGATGTAGAGTTTCCTTTTTGCTATAACAGTCTCTATGATTTTAGAGGCATTCTCTCTCAAATTCACTCTCAATGTTCCTATCTATGATGGCTGTCTTCCAATAGTATATATCCAGCCCAATCATTTCACCTGAATTTCAGACTACTTTAAAAGCTCACTCATGTTACCTAGAACTCCTCAAAAGAGTTGTCTTCTACCCCCTCACCACTTCTTTCTTGAAACCACTACCATCAGATTTTTTTTCTTCACAATCCACTGAAATTATTCTTGTTGTGGTCATCAAGGATTTTTGTCTTTAAATCCAATAATCAGTTCTCATATCCCATTTTGCTTGAACAATGATTAATATTTAGTACAGTTTATCACTCCCTTTTCCTGAAACATTCTCTTTCTCTGCTTTTAATATGTTCATCTGCATATGACACAACTACTGTAGTCATCTTTTAACTATGGCACTATAAATCACCACATTGAATATGGTAAAGCAGAAAAAAAGAAACTTGGATCTTGATGATTCGGTGAATTGCTGAACTTATTAAATCTGAAACTTCTCATCTCTTAATTTCTTGTTGTACAAGAGAGTAACTTCTCCTGATTGTTAGAAATATGTTCAGTTGGCTATTCTGTTACTTGCAGCTGAAGTTACGTTAATTGATACACTTCCAAATATATCCTTCTGGCCCAGTCTTCCCTGCTATACTTCACACTCTGTATTCAGCTGTCTACTTGATATTCCCACTTGGATGTCTAATAAGCATTTTAAATTTAACATGTTCAAAACTACTGTTTAACACAGCCTTTTGAAACGTACCCCTCCCCCAGCTTCCGTTCATTTAATAATGGTACCAACATTTACCTGGATATCGGAGTTTCTTTTCTTTATTGCCTCATGTACAATTCATCGGCAACCCTGTTGACTTTATATTTAAATTATAATACTCCTCTCTTGTTCCCATGGGATAAATCCCAGGACCCCCATGAGATGCCTGAAACCACAGATAGTTACAAACTTTATATACACCATGTTTTTTCCTGTACATACACACCTATGATAGTGTAATTTATAAATTAGGCATGCTGAGATGAACAGCATAACCAATAATAAAATAGAACAATTATAGCAATATATTGTAATGCAAGTTATGTGAATGTGGTATCACTCTCTCTCTCTCTCAAAATATCTTATTGTACTCTACTCACCCTTTTTCTTGTGATGATGTGAGATGGTTAAATGACTACATGATAAGATTGAGGTGAATGACATAGGCATTATGATATAAATGGAAAATTCCAGAAATAAACATCTCATAAATTTTCAGTTGAGTGGCATTCTTAGTAGCACATTTAAATTTAACACCACCCTGCTCTGTCCTGCTCAGATTGTCATTAATCACTTATTAACAGTCTTGGTTTATCAGATTGACTGTGATGGGCTCACAGTGTTTTTAGTCAAGTAACTTATATTTTACTTAATAATAGATGGTCCCGAAGCACAAAAGTAGTAATGTAATATTTTTGACTGTGATTGACTGCTGGTAACAGAAGCTGTGGAAAGTGGAACTGAGGATAAGGGAAAACTACTGTATGTCCTGAGTCAAATCACTTGTCATCATGTTTATTACCATTATATTTTAGTCAAAAGCTATATGATCTCCAGCCCATGATCATAGAATGTGTTTCCATGTTTGTGTGTGTGTGTGTGTGTGTGTGTTTGTCTCCTCTTCAATTTTTTCATCAGTGTTTTATAGCTCATATTGTAGAAATCTTTCACCTCCTTAGCTAGACTTATTACTAGTTATTATTTAAGATATTGGAAATGTGATTACTTTCTTGATTTCTTTTTCAGCAAGTTTACTATTGTTATATAGAAATGCTACTGATTTTTGTATGTTTATTTTGTATCCTGCAACTTTACTGAATTAATGTATCAGTTCTAACAATATTTTTGGTAGAGATTTTAGATTTTTTATATATAAGATCATATTCCTCTGTTGATGGACCTTAGGTTACTTCCAAATCTTTGCTATTGTGAATAGTGCTACAAGAAACACGAAAGTGCAGATACATATTCAAAGAACTGTTTTCCGTTCTTTCAAGTATACACCTAGCAATGGGATTTCTTGATCATATGGTAGTTCTATTTTTAGTTTTTTGAGGAACCTCCAACTGTTCTCCATAGTGGTTGTACTAACTTCCATTCCTACCAAGAGTCTGCAAGGGTTCCCTTTTCTCCACATCCTCACCAGCATTTATTGCCTATCTTTTGGCTAAAAGCCATTTTAAATGGGGTGATAATATCTCATTATAGTTTTGACTAGCATTTCTCTGGTAATAAATGATGCTGAGGACCTTTTCATATACCTGTTTGCCATGTGTTTGTCTTCTTTAGAGAAATGTCTATTCAGAAATTTTGCCTATTTTTAAATTGAATTATTATATTTTTGTAGTTGTTTAAATGCCATATATATTCTGGTTATTAAACTCTTGTCAGATGGAGAATTTGTAAATATATTCCCCCATTCTATGAATTGTTTCTTCACTTTGTCTCCTTTGCTTTGCCAGAGCTTCTTAATTTCATGTAATCCCATTTGTCCATTTGTGCTTTGCTTGCCTGTGATTGCAGGGTTTTACTGAAGAAATCTTTAGCCAGTACAATGTGCTGGAGTGTTTCCCCATATTTTTTTTGGCATTTTCATACTTTGAGGTCATCTATTTAAGTATCTAAATCACTTTGATTTTTGTTTATGATGAATGATAGGGCACTAGTTTCATTCTTCTGCATATGCATATCCTGTTTTCTCAGCACAATTTGCTAAAAAGACTGTCCTTTTCACAACGTGTGTTCTTGGTATCTTTGTCAAAAATGGGTTCACTGCAGATGCATGTACTTATTATTTTTGTTTAGTTCATCATTTAATTTTTCTGCTTAAAATATGAGTAGTTTATACACCACAATTACACTATTATACTATTCTGTGTTTTTCTGCATCTTACTATTACCAATGAGTGTTATATATTCAGATTGTTTCTTATTGCTCATTGTATTAGTCTGTTCTCACACATCTAAGAAAGACATACCCAGTACTGAGTAATTTATGAAGGAAAGAGTTTAACTGACTCACAGTTCCACATGGCTGGGGAGGCCTCACAATCATGGGGGAAGGCAAAGAGGAGAAAAGCACGTCTTCTATGGTGGCAGGCAAGAGACCATGTGCAGGAGAACTCCCCTTTATAAAACCATCAGATCTTGTGAGACTTACTCACTACCACAAGAACACTATGTGGGAAACTGCCCCCATGATTCAATTACTGCTACCTGGCCCCGCCCTTGACACATGGGAATTATTGCAATTCAAGGTGAGATTTGGGTATGGTCACAGCCAAACCCTATCACTCAATGTCCATTTATTTCAGACTATAAATTTCCTTTAGCATTTCTTTTAATATGGGTCTCATGGTGATAAAGTAACTCAGCATTTGTTTGTCTGGGAAATACTTTATTTCTCCTTCATATCTGAAGGATATTTTCACCAGATATACTCTTCTGGGTTATAAGTTTTGTTTTTCTTCAGCACTTTAAATAGGTTGATACAGTTTGGATCTGCGTCTGCACCCAAATCTCATGTCAAATTGTAAACCCCAATGTGGTCTGATGGGAGGTGATTGGATCACAGGGACAGTTTCTGATGGTTTAGCACCATCCCTACTGCTGTTCTCATAATAGAGTTCTCATGAGATCTGGTTGTTTATAAGTGTGTAGCACCTTCCCACTCTCCGTCTTTCTCCTGCACATGTGATAAGTGCTGGCTCCTCCTTCACCTTCTGCCATGATTGTAAGTTTCCTGAGGCCTCCCCAGAAGCAAAGCAGATGATCATCCTTCCTGTACAGACTGCTAAACTGTGAATCAATTAAACCTCTTGTCTTTATTAATTATCCAGTCTCAGGTATTTTTTATAGTAGTATCAGGATGGATTAATACAGAAAATTCATACCAAGGAGAGGGACATTATTATAAAGATACCTGAAAATGTGGAAGCAACTTGGCAATTTTGTAGCAGGCAGAAGTTGGAAAAGCTTAGAGGAATCAGAGGAATACAGGAACATGAGGGAGAATTTGGAACTTCCTAGAGACTTGTTGAATAGTGACCAAAATACTGATAGTGATATAGACAATGAAGTCCATGCTGTGGAGGTCTCAGATGAAAATGAGAAACTTATTAAAAACTGGAGTGAAGGTCACTTTTGCTATGCTTCAGCAAAGAGACTGGTAGCATTGTGCCCCTGCTCTAGGGATCTGTGGGACTTTTACCTTGAGAGTGATAATTTAGGGTTTCTGGTGGAAGACGTTTCTAAGCAGCAGAGTGTTCAAGATGTAGCCTGGTTGCTTATAACAACCTATGCTTATATAAGTGAGCAAAGACATTACCAGAAACTGGAACTTATATTGAAAACGGAAGCAGAGTGTAGAAATTTGGAAAATTTGTAGCCTGGCCATGTATTAGAAAAGAAAAGCTCATTTTTATATGAAGAGTTTAGGCTGGCTGAGAAATTCGCATAAGTTAAAAAGCCAAATACCTATTTCCAAGATAATGGGGAGGCCTAGAAGGCTTTTTAGAGAACTTTGTAGCAGCCCCTCCCATTACACGCCTGGAGGCCTTAAAGGGTAGAATGGTTTTGTGGGCCAGGCCTAGGGCCTGCTGTCCTATGCATCCTCGAGACACCGCTCCCTGCATTCCATCCACTATAGCTCTAGCCAGGGCTCAAAAGCGCCCAGGTATAGCTCAGGCTGCTGCTTCAGACAATGCAAGCCCTAAGTCTTGGAGGCTTCCATGTGGTGTTAAGTCTGGTTGTGCCAAATTCAAGAGTTGAGGCTTGGAAGCCTAGATTTTAGAGGATGTATGGAAAAGCATGGATGTCCATACAGATGCCTGCTTCAGGGATGTCCAGATAGATGCCTACCTACTTCAGAGAACCTCTACTAGGGCAGTGCGAAGGGAAAATGTGAAGAATCCCTGCATAGAGTTCCCACTGGGGCACTGCCTAGTGAAGCTACAAGAAGAGGGCCACTGTCCTCCAGAAATTGAAATGGTAGAGCCACCAACAGCTTGCACCTGGAAAAGCTGTAGGCACTCAATGCCAGCCAATGAAACTGCCATGGAGGAAGTACTCTACAAGTCCTCACGGTGAAGCTTCCCAAGGCCTTGGGAAATCACTGTGACCTGAATGTGAGACATGGAATCAAAGAAGATTAGTTTGGCGCTTTGAGATGTAATTATTGTCCTGCTTCATTTTGGACTTGAACACGGCCTGTAGCCCCTTTATTTTGGCCAACTGCTTCCTTTTGTAATAAGAGTACTTACCCAATGCCTGTATGCCTGTATTGGTCTGTTCTCATGCTGCTAATGAAGACATACCCGAGACTGAGTAATTTACAAAGAAAAGAGGTTAAATTGACTCACAATTTTGCATGGTTGGGGAGGTCTCAGGAAACTTATAGTGATTGCAGAAGGGGAAGCAAGCACATCTTTCTTCATATCATGACAGGAGGGAAAAAATTGTGCCAAGCAAAGGGGGGAGCCGCTTATAAAACCAACAGATCTCATGAAAACTAACTCACTATCATGAGAACAGGGTGGAAGAAACCTCCCCCTTGATTCAATTATCTTGACTTTGTCTCTCCCATGACACATAGGAATTATGGGAGCTACAATTCAAAATGAGATTTGGGTAGGGACACAGCCAAATCTTATTATTCTGCCTTGGGCCCCTCCAAAATCTCATGTCCTCACCATTTAAGACACAATCATGCCCTTCCAACAGTCCCAAGAAATATTATCTCATTCCAGCATTAACTAAAAAGTCCAAGTCTGAAGTCTCATCTGAGACAGGACAAGTCCCTTTTGTTTGTGATTCTGTGAAGTCAAAAGCAAGTTAGTTACTTCCTAGATAAAATGAGGGTACAAGCTTTGGGTAAATACAACTGTCCCAAATAGGAGAAATTGTCCAAAACAAAGGGGCTACAGGCCCCCTGCAGGTCCAAAATCCAATAGAGCAGTCATTAAAACTTAAAGTTTCGAAGTGATCTCCTTTGACTCCATGTCTCAAATCCAAGTAACTCTGATGCAAGAGGTAAGCTCTCACGGCCTTGGGAAGCTTCACCCCTGTGGATTTGGATGCTACAGCCCCCATCCTGTCTACTTTTCTGGGCTGGCATTCAGTGTCTGTAGTTTTTCCAGGTGCACAGTACAAGCTGTCTGTGGATCTACCATACTGGAGTGTGGCGGACAATGGCCCTCTTCTCATAGCTCCATGAGGCAGTACCCCAGTGGGAACTTTGTGTAGGGGCTCACACCTCAATTTCCCTTCTGTACTGCCCTAGCAAAGGATCTTCATGAGGGCTCTGCCCCTGCAGCAAACTCTTGCTTGGACATCCAGGCATTTCCATACATCCTCTGAAATCTAGGTGGAGGAACTCCAACCTCAGTTCTTGAATTCTGTGTACCTGCATGGCCAGATTCAAGTGTAAGCCACCTTCTGGCTTGGGACTTGGGGCTTGCACCCACTGAAGCAATGGGCTGAGCTGTATCTTGGCCCCTTTTAGCCACAGCTGGAGCTGAAGCAGCTGGGAAGCAGAATACCATGTCCCCAGGCTGCATAGAGCAGGGGTCCCCTTGGCCCGACCCACAAAACCATATTTTTCCTTCTAGGCCTCTAGGCCTCTGATGGGAGTGGCTGCCGTGAAGGCCTCCAACATGCCTTGGAGACATTTTCCCCATTGTCTTGGTGATTCACATTCATCTCCTCGTTAATAATGCAAATTTCTGCAGCTGGCTTGAATTTCTCTCCAGAAAATTGGGTTTTCTTTTTTATCACATTGTTAGGTTGCAAAGTTTCCAAACTTTTATGCTCTGCTTCCTCTTGGATGCTTTGCTGCTTAGAAATTTCTTCTGCCAGATACCCTAAATCATCTCTCTCAAGTTCAAAGTTCCACAGATCTCTAGGGCAAGGGGAAAATTCCATCAGTCTCTTTGGTAACACATAAGAAGAGTCACCTTTGCTCCAGTTCCCAACAAGTTTCTCATCTCCATGTGAGACCACCTCAGCCAGGACTTTATTTTCCATATCTCTAGCAACATTTTGGTGAAAGCAATTCAAAAAGTCTCTAGGAAGTCCCAAACTATCCCACATTTTCCTGTCTTCTTCTGAGCCTTCCAAAACCTTCCAACCTCATCCTGTTACCCAGTTCCAAAGTTGCTTCCACATTTTCAGATATCTTTCCAACAGAACTTCACTACCTGGTACCAATTTACTGTATTAGTCAAATCTCACGCTGCTAATGAAGACATATCTGACACTGGGTAACTTGAAAAGAGGTTTAATTGACTCACAGTTCTGCATGGCTGGGGATGCTTCAGGAAACTTACAGCTATGGCAGAAGTGGAGGCAAACACGTCCTTCTTCACTTGGCAGCAGGAGAAAGAAAAATGAGTGCCCAGTGAAGGGAGAAGCCCCCAATAAGCTATCAGATCTCTTGAGAACTAACTCACTGTCAAAAGAACAGGATGGGGGAAACCACCCCCATCATTCAATTATTTCTACCTGGTGCTGCCAAGACACATGGGGATTATGGGAACTACAATTCAAGATGAGATATGGGTAGAGACACAGCCAAACCATATCAACCTACATGACATCTTGGAAGTAACTAACTTGTTTTTGATTTTACAGGTTCATGGGTAGAAAGGACTTTCCTTGTCTCAGATGAGACTTTGGACTGTGGACTTTTGAGTTAATGCTTTACTGACTTAAGACTTTGGAGGGTTGTTGGGAAGGCATGATTGTCCTTTGAAATGTGAGAAGGACATGAGATTTGGGAGGAGCTAGGGGCAAAATAATATGGTTTTGATCTGTGTCCCTGCCCAATCTTATATCAAATTGTAATCATCAATGTTGGAGGTGGGGCCTGGTGGGAGGTGATTGGGTCACTGGGGTGGTTTCTAATGGTTTTGCACCATCCCTCTAGTGCTGTTCTCACGACAGAGTTCTGACAAAATCTGGTTGTTTAAAAGTGTGTAGCACCTCGGCCGGGCGCAGTGGCTCACGCCTGTAATCCTAGCACTTTGGGAGGCTGAGGCGGGCAGATCACGAGCTCAGGAAATTAAGACCATCCTGGCTAACATGGTGAAACCCCGTCTCTGCTAAAAAAAAAAATACAAAAAATTAGCCAGGCATGGTGGCAGGCACTTGTAATCCCAGCTACTTGGGAGGCTGAGGCAGGAGAATGGCATGAACCCGGGAGGCGAAGCTTGCAGTGAGCCGAGATTGTGCCACTGCACTCCAGCCTGGGCAGCAGAGTGAGGCTCCGCCTCAAAAAAAAAAAAAAAGTGTGTAGCACCTCATCCCTCACTCTCCTGCTCTGACAATGTGAGAAGAGAATTGCTGGCTTCCCCTTCACCTTCTGCCATGATTGTAAGTCTTCGGAGGCCTTTCCAGAAGCCAAGCAGATGCCAGCATCATGCTTCCTGTACAGTTGTATAGCCTGCAGAACCATGAGCCAATTAAGCCTCTTTTTGTATAAATTACCCAGTCTCAGGTATTTCTTTATAGCAGTGTGAGAATGAACTTATTCATATGTCATGCCACTCTATCATGGCCTGTAAGATTTCCAGTAAAAACTCTACTTCCAGACATATTGGAGCTCCATTGTATTTGATTTCTTTCATATATCTTGCTACTTTTAGGATCATCTTTCAATCCTTGATCTTCGTGAGTTTGATCGTTAAATGCCTTGAAGTAGTCTTCTTTGGGTTAAATCTGCTTGGTGTTCTATAGCCTTCTTGAGCTTGAATATTGATATCTTTCTCTAGGTTTATGACGTTCTCTATTATTCACCCTTTGAATACTCTCTATGCTGACTTCTCTCCCCACCTTCACTTCAAGGCCAATAACTCTTAGATTTGCCCTTTTGAAGCTGTTTTCTAGATCGTGTAGTTGTACTTTGTTGTTTTCTATTCTTATTCTTTTGTCTCCACTGACTGTATTTTCAAATAGCCTGTCTTTGAGCTTACTACCTCTTTCTTCACTTCATCAATTCTGTTAAGAGACTTTGATGTATTATTAAGTATGTGAATTACATTTTTCTTTTCCTTTTTTTTTTTTTAGGCAGGGTCTCACTTTGTTACCCAAGCTGTAGTGCTATGGCACGATCTTGGCTGACTACAGCCTCAACCTTCCAGATTCAAGTGATTCTCCCACCTCAGACCTCTAAGTAGCTGGCACTACAGGCACCCACCACCACGCCTGGCTAATTTTTGTAGCTTTTGTAGAGACTGGGTTTCTCCATGTTGGCCAGGCTGCTCTCAAACTTGAGCTCAAGCAATCCACCAGTCTCAGCCTCTCAAAGTGTTGTGATTACAGGCATGACTCACTGCACCCAGATTAATTACATTTTTCAACTCCAGAATTTCTGGAAAATTTCTGTTTTAGTCTCTTTGTTAAATGTATCTGATAGGATTCTCAATTCTTTCACTGTGTTGTCTTGAATTACACTGTTTCCTCAAAATAGCTATTTTGAATCCTATGTCTGAAAGGTCAGATAACTCTGTCTTTCCAGGACTGGTTGCTAGTGGCATATATAGTTTATTTTGTGAAGTCATGCTTTCCTGGATGGTCTCGATGATTATGGATGTTCAATGGTGTCTGGACATTTAAGAGTTAGGTATTCACTGTAGTCTTCACAGTCTAGGCTTCCTTCTTTGGAAGGTTTTCCAGGTATTTGAAGGGACTTGGGCGTTGTGAGCTAAGTTTCTGGTCACTGCTGGCATATCTGCATTAAGGGGCACCCCAAACCTAGTAATATAGCTTTTGCAGACCTGTAAATGTACTGCCTTAGTAGTATTGGATAAAATCTGGAAGAATTTTCTGGATTAGCAGGCAAGCACTCTTGTTCTCTCCCATTACTTTCTCCAAAACAGATGAGTCTCTCTCCTCTCTCTTCTCTCCTCTCTCTTCTCTCTTCTTTCTTCTTCTCTTCTCTTCTCTTCTCTCTTCTTCTCTTCTCTTCTTTTCTCTTCTTCTCTTCTCTTCCCTTTCCCTCTCCCTCTCCCTCTCCCTCCCCCTCTCTATCTCTCTCTCCCTCTTGAGCTGTTTGGAGCTTGGGGAGGAATGATACAAATACCTCTGTGGGTACCACTACTAGGACTGTGCTGAATCAGGCCAGAAGAGAGCAGAGTAATGGATCTTGCCCAAGGCCCACTATAACCAAAAGTTGGCTACCACTTTCGTTTGCTCAAGGAACTCAGGGTCTACAATGAGCATGTGGTAAATCCATACAGGATTGTGTCGTTCCCTTCAGGGCAGAAAGCTTCCACAGGCCCAGGCAAGTCCAGAGGTACCATCGGGAATCCAGGGCCTGCAGTCAGAAACCTTAGGTATCTACCTGGTAAATAAAATCATTTTTTATATTATCTATATAAACCTTAGGTATCTACCTGGTAAATAAAATCATTTTTTATTTTATTTTATCATAAAAAAATAAATAAAATCATTTATTTCGGTGTGTTAGAATTGGGATCCAAACCATAAGACAAAGTCCTTCCACTCTTCCCACCCCTTTCAACAGGCAGAGGAGTCTCTCCCCATGTCCACTATCACACAGGCCCATGGGGCATATAGCTAGGCTACCACCGATGTTCACTTAAGGCCCAAAGGCACTTCTCTCAAATTGTGGTAAATTCTGCCAGGCCTGGGACTCTCCCTTCAGGGCAGTGGCCTTCCCTCTGGCCCAGGACAGGTCCAGAAATGCCATCCAAAATCCAAGGCCTGGAATCAGGGACCCAGTATTCTGCATGGGCTCTACCCCACTATGGCTGAGCTGGAACCTCAGCTGCCTGACAAAGTTCCCTTTCTGCTCCCCACTGCTTATCTCACATAGGGGAGTCCTTCCTCATAGCCACCTCATCTGTGATTATGCCTAGTCATACTTGAAGTCAGCATGTCTCAGAGTCTCATCCAAGGCATATGGCAGACTACCTGCATATCACTGCTAATTATTCCAGGTCCCAAGAACTCTTTAGTTAAAGGTGATGAATCCTGCCAGGTCTGAGTCCTTTCTTTAAAGGCCAAAGTTTCCTTTCTGGCCCAGGGTGTGTCTAGAAATGTTGTCTAGTAGGTAAGACTTGGAATGGGAGCCTCATGACTCCAGCTGGTGCCCTATCTTACTGTAGTTGAACTGGTATCCAAGTTGCAAGACAAAGTACTCTTTACTCTGCCCTCTCCTCTCCTCAAGTGGAAAGAAGGAGTCACTTGTGTTCCTGCAAGCTGAACTGCCTGGGGCTGGGGAAGGAGTGGCACAAGCACTCCCATGGCCACCTCAAGTAATATCTCACTAGGTTGTATGCCCTTCATGTCCACTGGGTCTGAGCCGAGAACACCAGCAGAACTTGCCTAGGAGTTGCTGTCCTTATGGTCTAGACAGCCTTTCAAGTTTACTTAGGACCCCAGAGCACTTTAGCCTGTTGTGGCAATGCTAGACAAAACTCACATTTGTACCACTGGTATGAAAGATTCCCCTCTGGTGAGCGCTGACCTAAATGCTCCTACTGGGGGTATTTGCTGTGTTGTTTTGAGTGTTGCCTTCCTCTATGATAGGGTAGCACTGAGTTCCAACACAAAGTCCTACAATCACTGCATTCTCCCTACCGTAAGTACACCAATTCTCCACACCACATGGTTGCTGACAGGAGATGTAAAGAGGAGTTGCAAAAGCAATTGAAGACTGTCTTTCCTACACGTTTCAGTGCTGATTTTAGTGATATGTAGTTTAAACCAAGTATTGTGATTGCTCACCTATTTTTTGGTTCTCATAAATGTGATTTTTCTGTGTGTGTGTGTGTGTGTAGATGGTTATTTAATCTGGCGTTCCTATGGGGAGGAGGATACATGGAAGCTTCTCTATTTAGCCATCTTGCTCTGGCTCCTCTCCTTTTTCTAACAATTTGCTTCAGTTTATTTTTCCATAGAACTTATAATCATCTGAGATATTTATCTTTTGTACACCCTTCCAACTAGAATATGAGTACTATGGGGGCAGAAATTTTGTTTATTGCTGACTGTCTAGCTTTTTCAGTTTCTAGCACATATTAAGCATTCATGAAATTATACAAACAAAAGATGGTGGAGGCTTTCATAGATTCTAATTTGCACTTTTCAATAACTCTTTTGTGTCAACTAAAGAAGTTTTAAGTGTTAGATATTTTATAATTTGCAATATTTTTAAACTCCTAATATCTCAGCAAACAGTGTTTTTTTTAATCTGAAACATGAAGGTAATAAATAAGATGGCTCTTATGCAATCATTTACATTTTAAGAAGATAAATATTTCAAAAGGCCAAGATAATTCTTATAAAAGTATGGGCCTGGATTGAAAAGCTGGTGTTACTCCTCAGTGAATGATATCTTTTCCACAGTTATACAAGTATCCAAGTTGAGAAGAGCCATTATTATCGGCCACTCAAAAATTCTAATTTTTATTTATCAGCAATTTTTAGACCTTGGTGCACAAAAGAACGCACCTGGGAAACTAAAAAAATAAAAGATCCTTGTGCTCATGTCTAAATCCAGACAGTTAAGTCATAATCTGTAGGATGAAGTCTAGGCATTAGTATTTTCAAAAAAATAAGTTAATTTAAATTTACACACACTGCACAGATAATTTAAAAAGCAAGAGAATCATTACTCTACGATTACATCTTCATTTTTTATGTTTCTGTATGACTGATGTTTATTGTTTATTCCAGCCTAACAGTAGCAACACTTGGCTTAAAAAAGTATCAAATGCACATTACACATGCTGATCTACAAGACATAAAGAAACCTGAGTTAAAGATAGAGTCTTCAAAGAATTATGAACGTGAGTGATGTATTTACTAGTGGTTAAAACAGCATTTACCAATCACAGCATGTGTAAGTGCTGCCTGTACCTACTTTTATTCTGGGCGTGAGCTAGTGGCATTTTTTTTTTCAATCACAAAGTATTATTGTTATAGCACTTTTTATTTATTTGTAATTGGCAAATAATAATTGTGTTTATTTATAGGGTACAATTTGATGTTTTGATCTATGTATACATTTGTAGAGTCAATGAAGCTAAGTGATATAGTTGGGCTGTGTCCCCAACCAAATCTCATCTTGAGTTTTAACTCCCACAATTATGATGTGTCATGGGGAGGGACCAAGTGGGAGGTAGTTGAATCATGGGGGTTGGGTCTTTCTCCTTCTGTTCTCATGATAATGAATAAGTCTCATGAGATCTGATGGTTTTATAAAGAGGAGTTCCCCCACACAAGCTCTCTCTCTGTCTGCCACCATCCATGTAAGATGTAACTTGCTCCTCCTTCCTTGTCTTCCATCATAATTGTGAGGCCTCCCCATCTATGTGGAACTGTAAGTCCATTAAACCTCTTTTTTTTTTTTAAGTTTCCCAGTCTCAGGTATGTCTTTATTAGCAGCATGAAAACAGACTAATACACTAAGTAAGATACCTTTCACCTCAGTAACATCATTTTTTTTTATGGTGAGAATATCAAAAATCTATTATTGGCCAGGTGTGGTGGCCCATGCCTATAATCCTAGCACTTTGGGAGGCCAAGACATGTAGATCACTTGAGGTCAGCAGTTTGAGACCAGCCTGGCCAACGTGGCAAAACCCCGTCTCTACTAAAAATAATAATATGAAAAAAATAGCTGGGCATGGTGTTGCATGCCTGTATTCCCAGCTGCTTGGGTGGCTGAGGCAGCAGAATTCCTTGAACCTGGCATGTGGAGGTTGCAGTGAGCTGAGATTACACCACTGCACTCTAGCCAGAGTGATGGAGTGAGACACTGTCTCAAAAAAACAATTCTATTATTTTAGCAATTTTGAAATATATGATACCTTATTATTAACTGTGATTATCATGCAGTACAATAGATCAGTACAACTTATGACTCCAGTCTAACTGAAACCTTCTATCTTTTAATCAACATCTGCCATTTTCCCATCCCTTTGCTTCCCACTAACCTCTGGGACACCTTTCTCTTATCTGTTTTTATGAGATAAACATTTTTACATTCACATATAAGTGACATTATGGAGCATTTGTCTTTCTGCACCTGGCTTACTTCACTTAGCATGTCTTCCAGTTCCAACCATGTTATTATGAATGACGTATTTTCTCCTTTTGTAAGGCTAGATTGTATTCCATTGAGAATGCACATATCACTTTTTAAAAAACATTCACATATTGATGGGCACTTTGGATGATTCCATATCTTGGCTATTGTGAATAGTGCTGCAATAATTATGAGAGTGCAGATATCTCTTTGGCATACCAATTTCAATTCCTTTGGATATATACCCTGAAGTGGGACTACTATTTCATATTGTAATTCTATTTTTAGTTTATTTGACAAAATATCATACTTTTTCCAAGTGGCTGGACTAATTTACTTTCCCACCAACACTGTACAAAGATTCCCTTTTCTCCACATCCACATAAACACTTATTATTTTTATTTTAGATAATAGCCATTCCAACAGGTGTTAGGTAATATCTCGCTGTGGTTTTGATTTGAATTTTCCTGATGATTATTGATGTCGGGCATTTTTTTCATATCTCTCCTGGCTATTTTTATCTTTTCTTTTGAGAAATGTCTGTTCAGATCCTTTGCCTGTTTTTTAATTGGGTTATTTGTTTGCTTGCTATTGAATTGTTTGTGTTTTTTTCTATTCCTATGAAAAATGATATAGGAAATTTGATAGAGATTGCATTGAATCTGTAGATAGCTTTGGGTAGTACAGACATCTTAACAATATTATTTTTTTCAGTCCAAGAACATGGGATATTTTTCCATTTATTTGTGTCTTCTTCAATTTCTTTCATCAATGTTTTATAGTTTTTATTGTACAGGTCTTTTACCGGTTTACATTTACTTCTGAGTATTTTATTTCTTTAGATGTTGTTGTAAATTAATTGTCTCCTTAATTGTACCTACTTAGTTTTTCAGTACTTTAGCGTGGTAGAATCATGCACTATACATCAAAAGTAAGGTGCAAATTTAATGTAGAAAAGTTAAATTGAAAAACCACTCTTTACAGATATCAGCTGTATAAGTTATATTTTACAGACTACTTCAACTATATTTCCTTTTTTTCTGTGTGTCTTGGTAAATAATCAGCACAAAAGGGGAAGCTGAACTCTTTATGTTCTATATTTTATCTTTTTCTAGGAATTTTCTACTCATTTATAATCCAAATGCATAGATACATTTCAATTATAAGACTCATTAAATAACAGATATAAATGCAAATTAGTCATAAACCAACCTAAAGTAGTTTTAATATTATCTACCCAAACATATACATATACACACACACACATGCATACTGGTTTGGGGTAATATGAATTTAATCAAGCAGTTCTTATACACTATTACTAAAACAGTTTCTAACTACTTTTTTTAATTCAACTGATATCTTCATAATAAATGAATGGCTGAACTTATATTTTCCAATGTATTCATTTGTATAGATACAGTCTCAATTTTACTTTAGGAATAGTTTTTGTGGTCAGTTCTTCCTTTCTGCAAGTCAGACCTCTGTAAGTTGGTTATTTTTGCCTTCTCTTCTAGTCTTTCTGGCTATCCATTCAGTTCCTTGTCTAGAGCTTTACACAGGGTATATGCTGAATAAATGCCTGTTGACTGATAGTCAATGACTCACAGTCTTTTTTGCAGAGTTTGAGGAATAATACAGCATATTGGCTAACATCCCAGTCTGATCTTTGCTTAGGAATTTGGACTGCTTTATTTTGCAGACACATTGGCTCTGTATTTCTGTATAGTCTTCTTGGCAGAATAATTGTCTTGAACATTAGTTGAGACCTGAGGCATTAGAATCAGAGTCTTGAGTTTGAACACCTGCTCTGACTCTTATAGTTGTATGAAATATGTTGACACGCTGTGCCTCAGTTTTTATATCTGTCAACTATCAATGAAAATAAATAATGGTACCTCTCCCTGTGGGATTTTCTATGAGGATTAAATGAAGCAATGCATATCAAGTACAACTCATAGTGGCCGATGTATAATAAGAGCTTATAACAGTAGTGGTATTATCATTATTATTATATCCTGAATCAAAATTATCATTCCATCCATGTGTCAACTCAGGTTTTAAGTGCTCTCCAAGTGCTCAGCACTGGAATTTATTCTAAATATGTTTATAAAGAACCAAAAAGGTCAAATAAGATGAGTGAGGGAGTCAAATTGAACTGTATAAAATAGGAATTGTAGTCTGTTTTCAGACTTGTATCTCTTTCTTTTTTTTAAATTTTACTTTAAGATCTGGGATACATGTGCAGAACATGCAGGTTTGTTACATAGGTATACATGTGCCATGGTGGTTTGCTGCACCTATCAACCCGTCATCTAGGTTTTAAGACCCACATGCATTAGGGATTTGTCCTAATGCTCTCCCTCCCCTTGTCCCCCACCCCCTGACAGGCTTGTGTTTCAGTGGCAGAAAGAAAAAGGAATTTGGCCTGATGCTTGGGTTTCTATAATAGCACTTTATTTATTATTCACATTTGGGACTCTGATGGACAATGAATATTTATTCTGGACATACCTCTTCCAAACTTCAGAACATGAGTAGGGAATATCTTGATAAAATCACTTGTAGAAAAAACTAATTAATTTGTGAAATTCAAGTTCAGGCTCATCTTGAATAGTCAGTTCCCTCCCCAAACTTTGAATGACTGTCATAGAAACAAAGCTACCTTTTTTCATTTTGTGAAGCATATATTTTTATCATATCTTACTTACAAGGAATAATTACCCTATGTGGCTGGTTTGTGTATTTCAGTATTTTGTGTTTGATGTGGAATGTTCTCGACAGGAAGTTGAAAGAACAGTCCAAAGCTGTTTGGTTCTTCCTAGCTCTGTAACTAATGTCTCAGTGATGCTGGACAAGTCACTTCAACTTTCTTTGGCTCAGTTTCCTCATCTATCAAGAGGCTGATATTGCAGTCTGTGTTCTTCAAAGGGCTGTTGAGGGAGTTGATTAAATATCGAACCAGCTTTTGCCAGTGTCTATGTAGCACTTTTATTTTCCCTGATTCTAAACCTAGGTGAGTTTCGTTAGTTGGTTGGCTCCTAGTGATTATGAGGGACATGATAAGTTGTGTGCACATAGGGGAGTACTGCACTCTGTTATAAAGCCACAAACTGCACCTCTCCCCATCTGTTAAATGTGTGCCTTCAATCACAAAAGCTAAGGAGGATCAGCTGAGAGAGCCCAGATGATTTGGCATTGTGTAGTGGAAGGAGCAAAGGCTTCTAAAGTCATATGATAGCTTTGTCATAATTGGCTGTTGGATTCTAGGTGTCTTAGTTTGTTTTCTGCTGCTGTAACAGACTTTCTGAAACTAGGTAATTTATATGGAAAAGGAGTTTATTTAGCTTATGGTTCTGGAGGCTGGGAAGTCTTAAGGGCAGGGCACTGGAATCTTGTGAAGGCCCTCTTGCTTACATGGCAGAAGGCATCAGATGGCCAAAGGGTAAGAAAATGCATATGAGCTCAGGCCTTTCTCTCACTTCTTGTAAGGCCACCAGGCTTGGCATGATGGATCCACCCTGATGATCATAGCTAATCTTAATTATCTTCAAATGGTCCCATCTTCAATCAACATATGAATTTGGTAATTAAGTTTTTAACACATAAAATTTGGAAGACACATTTAAATTACAGCAATGGGCAAGTTGGTAAATGCTATGCTCCTTATTAATTTCATCTGCAAAATGAAGACAAAAGTACCCATAATGCAGGGCTGTTTTTGGATAAAAATCTGATTAATTTTGTGAAGAACCTTGTGGAGTTCCCTCTGGCATCTCGGGATGCTTAACAAGTTTATGTTTCTACCTGCCCCACATTTAATGCTATCTACCACCCTTTTAATGGTGTATATCAGATTTTTCATTGATACTAGTGTGGATAGTTGTTGGTAGTACAACCTATCATCTAGTTCTATAACACAAATTCTACTTAGAAGGAAATTGTTTCTTAGTAGTCTACAAGATAGCCTGCTTTCTTTGTTCTCTTCCGCAGGAAGACATGGATAAAGAGTTATTTGCCATCTTTGGTAATTTTGCCCATTCTGCTTTATGAGATCAACCCCACCAATTTTCAGCAGTAATCTCATTGTTATTGCAGTCAACTTACAATTATCACAGCTAATGCAAGAGAATATTAGCATATATGACACAATTAATGAAACAATCTGTTTAGGGCTTTCTTCACTTCTACTCTACTAACCAAATTCCAGAGGGCTCACTAATGATGACAGACTCAGGGAATAAAACTAATATGTATAAGAAGAAGGGACTGTAGGTATCAAATTCTGATATTTTCCTCTTGCCCTGATTGATATAACTCTCTGAGGGATTTTTTCTCTGTAATTATCCTACAAGCCTGTGGGAAGTAATTCAACCTTTTTTTTTTTTATTAATTCTTATTCCAAAAGTATTTAAAGATCATGCTGGTGAAATGAGAGAAATAGAAGCCAATGAACATCATGGGCTGTGTTGAAAAGGAAGTGAAGTGACACATAAAATGACAAGTGGACAGGGGAACAAGCAAACAATCATTAAAAGGCTGATTTCCCTAAGATCAACCATTGAGTCAATAAAAGAGCTGAAACCTGTATTAGTTCATTCTTACACTTCTATAAAAAACTACCCATGACTGGGTAATTTATGAAGAAAAGAGGTGTAAGTGATGCACGATTCCACAGGCTGTACAGGAAGCATGGCTGGAAGGCTTCAAGAAACTTACAATTATGGTACAAGGCAAAAAGGAAGCAAGTACATATTCACATTGTGACAGGAGAGAGAGTGAGCAAATGGGGAAGTGCTACACACATTTAAAGAACCAGATCTCATGAGAACTCACTTGCTATCAGAAGAACAGCAAGGGGAAATGTGTCCCCAGGATCCAAATAACTCCCACCAGGTCCCCTTGGCAAACATTGGGAATTACAATTTGACATATTTGGGTGGAGACACAGAGCCAAATGATATCATTCAACCTCTGGCCCCTCCCAAATCTCATGTCCTTCTCACATTTAAGAACACAATCATGCCTTCTTATATGGTTTGGTTGTGTCCCCGCCCAAATCTCATCTTGAATTGTAGTTGCCATAATCCGCACACGTGATGGGAGGGACCTGGTGGGAGGTAATTAAATCATGGGGTTGATGGTTTTATAAGGTTTTATAAGAGCCCCCTTTGCTCAGCCCTCATTCTCTCTCTTGCTGCCCTATGAAGAGGTACCTTCTGCCATGATTGTACATTTCCTGAGGCCTTCCCAGCCGTGTGGAGCTGTGAGTCAATTAAGCCTCTTTTCTTTTTTCTTTTTCTTTTTTTTAATAAATAAACATTTTTAATTTTGAGAGAGTTGTAGATTAGCCTCTTTTCTTTATCAACTACCCAGTCTTGGATATTTCTTCATAGCAGTGTGAAAATGGACTAATATAGTAAACTGGTAGCAGATAGTGGAGTACTGCTGTAAAAATTCCTGAAAATGTGGAAGTGATTGTGGAACTGGGTAACAGGCAGAGGTTGGAACGGTTTGGAGGGCTCAGAAGCAGACAGGAAGATTTGGGAACTTTTGGAAGTTCCTTGTCTTTGGGAACATTTGGAACTTCCTAGAGACTTGTTGAATGGCTTTGACAAAAATGCTGAAAGTAATATGGACAATAAAATCTAGGTTGAGGTGGTCTCAGATGGAGATGAGGAACTTTTTGGGGACTGGAATAAAGGTGACTCTTGCTATGTTTTAGCAAAGAGACTGGTGGCATTTTGACCCTGCCCTAGAGTTCTGTGGAACTTTGTATTTGAGGGAGATGATTTAGGTGTCTGGCGGAAGAAATTTCCAAGCACCAAAGTGTTCAAGAGGTGACTTGAGTGGCTGCAGAAATTTGCATAAGTAATGAGGAACCAAATGTTAGTCACCAAGACAATGGGGAAAATGTCTCCAGGACATGTCAGAGGTTTTTAAGGTATCACAGGCCAGGAGGCCTATGAGGAAAACATGATTTTGTGGGCCGATCCGAGAGCCTTGCTGCTTTATGCAGTCTCAGTACTTGGTGCTAAGAGGCCAATGTAGAGCTCAGGTCATTGCTTCAGAGGGTGCAAGCCCCAAGCCTTGGTGACTTCCATGTGGTGTGGCATTTTCATACCTCCTCTGAAATCTACGCAGATGCTCCCAAACCTCAACCCTTGCCTTCTGTGCACCGGTAGGCCCACCATGTGGAAGCCGCCAAGGCTTTGGACTTGCACCCTCTGAAGTAACAGTTTGAGCCGTATCTTGGCCCCTTTTAGCTGTGGTTGGAGCTGAACCTGGAGCGGCTGGAATGCAGGGCATCATGTCCTGAGGCTGCACAGAGCAGCAGGACACTGGCCCTGGCCAATGAAACCATTTTTCTCTTATACACTTCTGGGACTGTGATGGGAGGGGTTGCCTCGAATGTTTCCGAAATACCCTGGAGGCATTGTCGCCATTGTCTTGGTGATTAACATTTGGCTCTTGGTTACTTATGCAAATTTCTGCAGTGTTAAATTTCTCCCCAGAGAATATGTTTTTCTTTTCTACCACATGGTCAAGCTGCAAATTTTTCCAACTTTTATGCTTTGCTTTTCTTTTCAATATAAGTTTTAGTTTCAGGTAATTTTTAATGCAAACGAGCATAAAGGCGCTTAGAAACAGCCAGGCCACAGCTTGAACGCTTTGCTGCTTAGAAATTTTTTCCTCCAGATACAGGAAATTATCTCTCTGAAGTTCAAAGTTGCAGATACCTAGAACAGGGGAACGATGCCACCATTCTCTTTGCTAAAGCATAGCAAGAGTGACTTTTACTCCATTTCCCAATAAGTTCCTCTTCTCCATCTAAGACCACCTGAACCTGGACTTCAATGTCCATATCACTATCAGCATTTTGGTCACAACCATTCAACAAGTCTTTAGGAAGTTCCATACTCCCTCATTTTCCTGTCTTCTGATTCCTCCAAACTGTTAACAACCTCTGCCTGTTACCCAGTTCCAAAGTCACTTCCACATTTTCAGGTATCTGTATAGTAATGCCCCACTTTTCTGGTACCAATTTTCTGTTTTAGTTTGTTCTCACTTTGTTATAAAGAACTATCTGACACTGAGTAATTTACGAAGAAAAGAGACTTAATTGACTCACAGTTCTTCAGGCTATACAGAAAGCATGGCTGGGAGGCCCCAGGAAACTTACAGTCATGGTAGTGTTATAAATAATGTTTCGGTGCCACAAAACAAATAGCACTCAAATATAAAATTTTCTTTTTAATTCTCAGCAAGGCAAGTTACTTCTGTAGAAGGGTGCACCCTTGCAGATGGAGCAATGGTGAGTGCACACTTGGACAAGGGATGAGAAGGGGTTCTTATCCCTGATGCATGTGGCCCCTGCTGCTGTGTCTTTCCCCTATTGGCTAGGGTTAGACAGCACAGGCTAAACTAATTCTGATTGGCTAATTTAAAGAGATTGACGGGTTGAGTGGTTTGGCGGGAAAAATGGTTATGACATAGCAGGTAATCGGAATGAGTCAGGGTGGAGCAGGTGATCGGATTGAGTCAGGGTGGAGCAGGTGATCAGAATGAGTCAGGGTGGAGCAGGTGATTGAAATGAGTCAGGGTGGAGCAGGTAATCGAAAAAGGTTGCTTTATGAGGAAGTTAAGTTTAAAAGTAGAAGGCAAAGAATCGAGCATACTGACATTGATTCTTCAAAAAGAAATTTAGAACTCATATCTAACAGTAGAAGGTGAAGGGGAAGCAAACACATCTTCACATGGTGACAGAGAGATAGAGAGCAAAGTGCTAAGTCCTCCACACTTTGAAAGAACCAGATCTCATGGGAACTCACTCACTATCACAAGAACAGCAAGGGTGAAATTTGCCCCCATGATCCAATCACCTCCTAACAGGTCCCTCCCCCAACACTGGGAGTTACAATTCAACATGAGATTTGGGTGGAGACACAGAGTCAAATTATATCACACTAGACTCCAGGTTCAGACTCTTGTCTTTATGCCAGTATTCTTACAGAGTCATTGTACAATGGGGGTAACCATGTAGGCTTTGTAAATATCTGACAAACCTAGGGAGAATTCTTATTCTCCAATTCTGTACTGTGTGACCTTTGGCAAGTTGCTTAAGCACCCTGATGGTTAGCTTTCATATCCACAAAATGGACACTATTTAATTGAACAATGTATTAAAAGTACCTGAATAAAAACACTTTTACAAGCCTTAAAGGAAATGCAGGATAAGGTGGTCACGTAACTCTCATACAGCTGCATTGCCATGGTCACCATACTCTAGCAAGTCCACAGATCTGACAGTCTGGCATCAAAATACTTGTATGTCTTAGAAGCCACATTACATTTAAGTCAAAAAAGAGATGTTCCATATGTCAGGTATAATAGACTCAAAACACTGTACAATACCACCAATGTATGAATTGACCTAAGGCATGGCTGTTATTAAACACTGTTAGCTGTCTAAAGACTCTTACAGGGCCTGTTAATGGGCAGCTTTTGATTTTTCAAAAAAAATAATGTTTTCAGGAGTACAAGCTATAAAAAAGCAAAGGACTCTAATTTTCCAATGTGCGCTCTTCTAATCAAGCTGGTTTTCCCTTGTCTCTGTATTGAAATGACAAGCACATGTCTTTCCCAGATATCTGGCACCTCTTGTGATTTTTTTCTTCATGTCAAAATGACAGACTCTTAATTAGTAGGGCTACTTAATCCTTTCTTGCAGCAATGCATCGTGACAGTTTCATCCTCATATCATTCTTCCCAAGCTATTATTTAGTGTTCAGTCGGCAATGAGAATGCAGGACTATGCTTAAGAGTTTTTACATTATGGTTTTGCAGTTTTTTTCTATCAGTTAGACACATATGATTCATTGGTCTCCAAGACCTATGATACGTTTTGTTTATTTTTAAAGATTAGTATCTCTATCAGGACCATTCTGGCTGTGCATAGGGTCTATCCTTTTAAATCCAGTCCCCTTGGGATACCAAATGAGAGCCCATACAGGGATGAAAAGTGTAATTTAATTGTAGGTGTGCAGTGAAGCAGGGTGAAGAGTGTTCACAATAACCCCAGTTGCCAGGCAGGGAAATGTGTGGATGCATTTCTTGGTAAGCATTTACATTATTGACATTTGTAAGGCTGCCTTCAAGAATCCATCCTCTGAAGCTGCTTACTTGATTAAAATGAACTCAACTTATTCTAATATGTCCTTTACTATATGTGGGAAGAGCAGTTTCTTTTTGACTTGCTATCAAGCACCCCTTACTAATCTGATATTTGCAGATTTACTTCAATTAAATAAATTCACTTTCCAAGAGATAAAACAGCAGATCTAAGCATTTTCAATGGACTTTGACTTAAAGAACTATTCATCTGTGCATTGCTTTATCCATTTTATTTTTATATTTTAAAATAATATTTCAAAGATAAAAATCCCTAAGGATCCAAGTGCAATCACTGTAGCATTGACCTCTTTCAAACACTCACCAGCAATGTGAGCCAAATGTCCCAACAGAGCAGTCAGTGGCTTCACTCTGTGGGTCAGCTAGGAGTAGGTCTCTGTGTAAGGGAAATTACTTATCTAACCATCACCTTTTTCAAATTGTGTTAATTCTAAATGCCAGAATCAAAGGATATGAGCAGGTGAAAGGCTCATGTATGTTTTGTCATTTTTTTCACAGTAACTTTCTATTGGTTGGCATTCCCATAAGTGATATATAAAAGTGCCCTTCTTATCTCCCCCTTGCCAACAAAACGTGTTTTTTTTTTAATTTTTGCTAATTTGATCAATGAAAAATGATATATTGCTTTTATTTTCAATTCCTTTTATGATTACTGAGGACTGAACATTTTTCCATCCGTAATAGCAATTCTTATTTCTTGTTCTGTGAATTGTCTCTTAGTTTCCATTGTACTTCTACATGTTTTGCTCAAGTGCAGCTATACTTATTCCTGATCTAAGAAGCAGAAACTGTCACCATTATTCCTTCTTGGGATTCAACCAAATCAAATTTAAAATTCACAAAGAAAAACAATACAGGCAGGACCTCCAGTCCCCAGTTCCCCAGAGTCTCAGTCAAGAATCAGTTCTTCTTCATGGCTGTGCAGATTTTGAGAATGTGCATGCTCCCGTTCTCAGTCCTTTAGCATATGCAAAAGCACTTAAACAGATCTGTTAATAACTTGCCTGCTTCTTAAGGGGTGTTCAAGAAAGGGCCATTCGTTTATTTTCTTTTCGAGTAGCTCAAATGCACTGAAGGTAGTACACATTTGAATGCCGGTCACTTAAAAACACACACAGCCTAGAGTAATTTTTTTGCAACTGGCCTCATGTGGAGAAGAAAAGAAAAATGAACCAGCTGGATTGGTTGCTAGTTTCTAAGAAGGAATATTTCCCATTTAAAATTGTATTTCTCAGTGAATCAAAATTAGGAAATATGAACAAGCCGATCATGAATATACTCCCTAATTAAGCCTATTATATTTGAAAATCTTTATATCGATCATTATTCTAGATCCTATGGGATTTCATGTGGATTAACCTCGGGTTTTGGAAATTGGTCATATTTGAGGAACAGCCAAGTACTGAAACAAGACCAGCACTCATAGAGTTTGAGAGTTCAATAGCTAAACAGATGCTTGTCAATCTTATCTTACTGGCCACCAAAGACAAAGTGACTTTACCTAGAGAAAAAGTCTTGATTATTTGGGTTTTATTAGCACTTCAGGTAGGCAGAAACCCTCTTCACTTGTCATTTGTGGGGCATTCTTGTCTATCATATTTAGTATTCCTTGGTAGCATGAAGCAGGTGGAGATTTGCTTCTTTAGGAAAAAATTTTGTTTCATCTTAGCAAAATGTAAGGCATATGGAAAATAAAATAAATAAAACACTTCAGGTTTCATTAGTAATTTTTTTTAAAAAAACATGTATTTAAAATATTTTACTGTGGATATCTGAGTAATAGATATTATTAGGGGAAGTTTATTCAAGACTATTTGCAACAATAAAATAATTTGTGTCTACACATAAGAAGTTAAATAAGTATTAATCTAGATAATTCAGGCCATCTACATTTGATATATCCAGGCTTTTGAACAAAAAAGTTATTGCTTAGTCTGAATAGTATTGTAAGCTTCCATTCAAGATGTACATTTCAATGAGTGGTAAAAAGTCAACTGTTGTGAATAAAAAGACAGTGCATTCTATTAAATATTTGATGAAAGTTTGAGGGTAGTGGTAGGTCTTACTGTATTGACTAGTTGTTTGATCTTAATTAATTTTAAGTAAAGAGTCTAGGATTCCTAAAAGGTTTTGTGCTTTCTTTACGGTTTAATAGAAATTAATTTTTACCTGCTTCAAATTCTATGATATGTCATTAATAATTTGTTCCTTATTTCATTTTGTTATAATAATTATTAAATCACATGGTACATGCCAGACTCCAAAGAACTACTAGAATGGCTAACTAAGATACATTTCTGGATTCCCTCTCTATTCTTATTTACCAGTGTGTTCTATACTATCTCTAATTGATACCAAAGAGTCCTAGATCTTTCCACTGATTTATATGCTATAATTTTAGATAGACAATTATGCAATTTGCCATCTGTCAAGCCATAGACAGCGGAAACAAAGTACACACGTTAGAAGTTCTCTCTATATTTGCTAAATTAATGAAATAAAGGAAGAGGGGAAAAATAAGTGAATAGTATTTTTTGTTACCAGGAAACAAAAAGGAAGTATTAGCTCGTTCTTAATGTGGTTCAATGTCTTTCACAGCTTTGTATTTTTCCCTTACCTCTGAGCCCCATCTCCATTTCATCCTCTGCAAATGATTAAAATCCGTCTCTTCTTAAAAAGATACAGATGTTGTTGTCATAGAATATTTAGAAAGGGGTAAACGTTACTTTACTTCTAGTTATAAGTACATTCAAGCTTTTCTCCCCACTGTGGCCTTTACATTCTTTTCCTGGTGGTGTCGAAGTTTTCAGGTGGTTACACAATGTGTTCTCTTCAACAGGAAGTTTTGCCTGGCCTGACTTTGCCTCCATATAATGTGTGAATGGTATGATATTTGTTACATCAATTGATTTTTAACTGTTTACCTTATGGGGTTGTGGCCTTCTTTTAAAAGCTTCTCATGCTGAAATAGAAAGCCAGCAGGGATTCCGGTGGTGCTAGCTAAAGCAACATCACACATTTTATCGAAGGATAACATGGACACATAGTGGGAAACAACACTCTGTGGCCTACTGGAGGGTGGAGGCTGGTAGGAGGGAGAGGATCAGGAAAAATAACTAATGGGTACTAGGCTTAATACCTGGGTGATGAAATAATCTATTCAACAAACCCCCATGATACAAATTTACCTATGTAACACACCTGTACTTGTACCCCTGAACTTAAAATATAAGTTTAAAAAAAAGAATTAGTAACATGCATGAGAAGGAACTGTATCTCTTGACAAAATTCCTTGTGTCTTGCTTTTAAAAACCATGAAAAAATGTTAACCTGCCAGACTCTACAATATACTGCTGGAAAGCCATGTTTTAACAGTACATGTTTAACCTTTCTCTATCAGGAGAAATCTACCCCATCCTTACTACTCTGTCTCCCACAGAAGCAAAAAAAAAAAAAAAAAAAACAAAACAGCAATGAGAAAAATGGCTGAAAAGTTTTAACGTTTTTATCCAATGGTCATAATCTAACTTGCACTTTTAAATTTTACATGCATTTTAATTTTTATTTTTTGGATAAAAAGTTATAAGAAAGAGCAGAGAGATGTTATAAACTCTTCACCTAGCTTCCTATAAAGTTAGCATCACATACAATTATAGTACAGCAATTAAAAAAAACAGAAAATTAACCTCAATAGCAATTCTATTAACTGTTATACAGATCTTATTTAAATTTCACCAATTGCACTACTGAGGCCTTTTTTAGGTTGTTTTGGACTAGTATATCAGATTGCATTTTATTTTGATGTTCCCTCTAGCATTCTTCATTCTATAAGAATTCCCCAGAGTTACTTTGTTTTTTTGTGATCTTGGCATTTTCAAGAGCACTGGCCAATTGTTTTGTAGCATAGTACTCACTTTGATTTGTCTAATGTGTTTTCATGATTCTAGTGAGCTTTTGCATTTTTAATAAAAATATTACAAAATGATGTTGCGCCCATATCAGTACATCATATCAGCAGGTGCATGATGTTAATCCATCTTGGTACTGGTGATGTTAACCTGTATCATTTGATTACAATGATGTCTGCCAAGTTGCTCTATTGTGGAGTTATTATTTTTTCTTGGTAATTTGATTTACATTTTTAAGGGTTTTCTGGATTTAACCTAGAGAATAGATTGGTGAAAAGCAAGATATGAGTTAGGCAAAATAGAGAAGAGACTGTTAAATTAGATGACATAAGAGCTAATGTGACTTAAACTAGATAGTCATAAAAAGTAAATAAATATTTGCTATATATTGGAATAAAAGTCAATAAAATTGGTGATGAATTGAATATGGTTGGGTGAGAAAATATGAGATATAAGGAAGAACTCCAAGGTTTCTGCCTTGTAGGATGGGGTGAAGGGTAGTGATATACTTTGGGATGAGAAACATTGGATGAGTTCTGTCAGTCAGTTATTTTAAGAGGAAGTATGGATAATGAGTTGGAGAAATACAAGAGTGGGAGGAAAGAAACTAGTTCGGAAGCTATTGCATTAGTTTAGATTACCAGTGATGGTTTCTTTAGATTAGAAGGGATGACAAAATGGAGAAAACTATCTCCCTGATGTGGGAGATGATTTAAGAATTATAATTAATAGGCGTTAAGCCTTAATTGATTAAGGGGATTTGCTGAGCAAAAGAGGCGACAAAGGATAACTTCTAGGTTTCTTGCTTTGCACAACTGGATGAATTGTGGTTCCATTTATTCAGATGGGAAGCCATGATGGGAAACTAGGTTTAGAATGGTAGTTATTTACCCATTCACTACTAATAATACAAAACAATTGGCTAGTGCTCTTGAAAATGCCAAGATCACAAAAAACAAAGTAGCTCTGAGGAACTCTTATAGAATGCAGAATACTAAAGGGAACATCAAAATAAAATGCAATGTGAGATCCTAGACCAAAACAACCTAAAAAAGGCCTTAGTAGTTTAATTGGTGATATTTAAATAAGATCTGTATAACAGTTAATAGTATTGCTATTGAGGTTAATTTTCTGGTATTTTTTATTGCTGTACTATAATTGTATGTGATGCTAACTTTATAGGAAGCTAGGTGAAGAGTTTATAAGAACTCTCTGTTCTTTTTTTATAACTCTTTTATTCAAAAAATAAAAAATAAAATGCATGTAAAATTTAAAAGTGCAAGTTAGATTATGATCATTGGATAAAAACTTTTCAGCCATTTCCTATTGCTGTTTTTTTGTCTAAAAAATATAAATTCACTCTCTAGTGTAAGAGTAGTATGCATAACTTGTTGTAAATGGAAATGTGTGTACACAAAAACAGCAAAGGAAAAATAAAAATAATTCTCCTCATTCTTCCCCTTTCCCCCAACCTGCTCATATCTTTTATTGTTCTTTTAAAATAAAAACAGAAAATCTAAACTTGTTCTACTGATCCCTATATAATCTGGTCTCTGACTCTTTGTCTAATCTTATCTGATGATAGCACACTCCCCCTTACTAACCACACTTGAGGCAAACAGGCACCTTTCTGTTTTTTAACCGAGCTCCTTATTACCTTGGGACCTTTGTTCTTGCTATTTCCTCATACTAGACTGTCCCCACTCCTGTATTTCAATGGCTACCTCTATCTACTTGGACTCCTTATGCACCCTGTGTAACAACCTATTCTCCTCATAGAAGCGAATATAATCTATTAAAAATATTAATTGGATCAGATGTTTCTTCTACTTAAAACTTTTTCATAGGTTACTACTGTGCTTAAAGTTTAAACTCTTTACCATAACCCACAGGTACCGTATATTCTGATCCCTCCCTGTCTCTCCAGCCTCATCCCAAGCCACTATCTCAGCCTAGCACTATCTCCTCCCTGCCCAGTCCACTTTATCTGGATAACTTTTATTCATCTTTCAATTATAAGACTTGAGATCATTTTCTGAGAATGCTTTTCTGATAGTCTTCTTCCCATATCTGGGGAAACGCTTCTATTTTTTTTTTTTTTTGAGACAGAGTCTCGCTCTGTCGTCCAGGCTGGAGTGCAGTGGTGCAATCTCGGCTCACTACAACCTCTGCCTCCCGGGTTCAAGCGATTCTCCTGCCTCAGCCTCCTGAGTAGCTGGCACTACAGGCGTGTGCCACCATGCCTGGCTAATTTTTGTATTTTTAGTGGAGATGGGGTTTCACTATGTTGGCCAGGCTGGTCTTGAACTCCTGACGTCAGGTGATCGACCCGGCTGGGCTTCCCAGAGTGCTAGGATTACAGGCGTGAACCACCTCGCCCTGCCACGCTTCTTATGGTTATTCCCATAGCTGCTTATATTTCCTCATCATAGCACGTATCAAATTCTAATGTCATGTTGTGTGGTGTTTATAACATATGTACAAGTAACATCTATAACAATAATAGCACAAAAACTAGAACAAACGAAATTATACTGTGCTATTATAAGGTTCTTAAACTATATGTGGAATAGTATAATATCACTTGAAAGTAGTTTGTGATAAGTTAAAGGTGTACACCAAAGGATTTCCAGCTTCTGTTATGAGAACTAGAGAGCTGGATGGAAGGAGCATCACTCCTAAATTTACAATGAAAAAGAGACAAGTTTACTTTAAATTGATATTCAAACAGAGAGAGCCAAGGTTGCAGAGCAACCACCCTACTCAAAACCTGAGGATACAAGGTGACTTCAGCGTCTGTAGTCATGAACTCTTTCACAACTGGGGTAGATCTAATCAGATAGTGGGAAGAAGAATTCAGGGAGAATGTCTGTCAAATTAATGAAGGCCAAGATCAGATTGGTGGGAGAGTGCGAATTCTCTAAGAGGGTCAGAAAAATTGATGGAGTTCAAATCCACTTATAGCCTCTTTCACCACCAACCGCACTGGTCCAAACAGAAAAGACTGGAAAGAGATCTAAAGAAATGGCTATTGTGTTGCAGACTTGGGACGCAAAAAGGGTAGTTCAGTTCCACAGGGGAAAAACTGCCCCCAGATGCTTTTCTCTTCTCTCAACAGTAGAACAAAAGCCTTAATCTGCGGGGGAAGACAAAAAGCACTGCTTTCATTGGGGCATTACTGAAAACTCCTTATATTTGTGGGAAGGCAACAAAGAAAAGGAACCCCTAAGTATATCAAAAATCATATCCAATATAAATGTTCTAAACAGTCCAGTTGAAAAGCAGAGACTATCAGACTGGATGTAAAAGCAAGACTTGACTATATGCTTCTTATAAGAAACACACTTTATGTATAAAGACATTAATTAATTACCAAACACTAAAGAATAAATATTAATTCATCACAATCTCTTCCAGAAAACTGCAGAAGAGGAAACAATTCCCAACTCCTTCTATAAGGCCTTTATTACCTTAATATCAACCCAATCAAAGATATGACAAGAAAAGCAAACTACATGCCAATGCAATTGCCATAATTCTAGCAACTAAAATCAGAATACATATGAAAAAGACACTATCCAGTACAGTTTATTCCTGAAATACAAGATTGGTTTAATATTTGAAAACCGATGAACTTGCCATATTAACAAACTAAGAGGGGGAAAACTGAGGTCATATCAATATATGTGGATAAAATCCATTTGACAAAGTCCAATAATGTCTTTGTGTGGTTCCTTTGAATATAGTGTGTCTTCTCTTCTCTTCAGAAACCACATCAACAGTGCAACTCCATGAGTTTTAGTGTGTATTCATTTTGAAAGTAGTGAAAATTTAAATGAATCAATGTGAATGTAAAATCCTTCTGGGTGTTGACACTATTTTTACTAAGATTTTAAACTTGTCTGAACCACATTAAATTTGATAGTATCTTTTTTCTAAAATAACTTGCTTCTAGAAGGTTTTTCCAAAGCATTATATTCAGTTACTATAGAAACAACCCCTTTTCATAAAGCTAATATAATTGATTAATTTAGATACAGTAATTACAAGAAGAACAGATGAAACAGGTTTTGGATCAAACGCAACTGACCCTTGGCAACACACAAATGAATAGTGGTGAGCTAAAGTATATGGGCAAAGTAGAGAATGGTCTGTTAGATACACAAGTGTGTATGTGCTGTGGTTATCAACCAAAAATTGAAAGATTTTACGGCAGGAAAGAGAAATATCAGTTAATCTAAAAGTTAAATAGGTAAAACAGAATATCTACATTGTTTTAGGTGTTGTACTTCTATCGTCAATTTTTAAAAATTACTTGTGTGTTTTTCTTCTGGTTTTTTATGATTTCCTTTCACACCTTTTTTTCTTATGTCTCATTCCTTCTTTAGGAGTTCACTTTTCTTTATGTTAGAGTAAAACTGTTTCTTTTTATTTTTGTTTTATTTTGTACATTTTCCTAGTTAGAGTTGCTTGGTCTTGTATATCTGCTGAAATATTCTTCATTATATCTTCATTCTTGAATGACAGATTAGCTGAATATACAATTATATTTTGCGAGATATTTCCCTGCAGCATTTTGAAGGCATGTTTCTGTCTTCTGACATATACCGCCGTGAATGAGAAGTCTGCTGTCAGTCTGAGTGATGTTTCTTTGGAGCTAATCTCTTTTGATACTCTGCCTGTTTTTAAAATTTTCCATGTGGATTTATTCTGCCATCTTGAAAATAAGTCTAGATTTTTTTATGTGTGCTGAAAGTTATAACCAAGTAGAAAAATAATAATAAACAAATTTGCTACTAAGATGTAACTGCTGTTAACATCTTGCCAACATTTTTATGCTTTTTATATTGTATCATAGTCAGGATCATACTGTACACACAATTGTATCTTATATTTTTTAGATGGTATAATAACATAAGGACTTTTAATGTTATTACTATTTTTTGTAAATACTATGTTAATACTGAGTAGTATTCTATCATAGGATATACTTTAATATATGTAACCTTTTTTCTATGTTTAGTATTCTCTGGTTTCTTGACTTTTTAATTTTATCAGTAATGTTTTAATAGCCAATTTTGCCTGTAAGTTATTCGTTTTATCTCTAATTATTATTACTTTTTATTTCAATAGCTTTTGAGGTACAGGTGGTTGTTATTGATTATATGGGTGAGTTCTTAATGATTAATTCTGAGATTTTAGTGCACTCATCACCTGAGCAGTATACATTGTACCCAACATATAGTCTTTTGTCCCTCACTCCCCTCTCACTCTTCCCCTCTCAGTCCCCAGAGTCCATTATATCACTCTGTATGTCTTTGCATCCTCATAGCTTAGTTCCCACTTAAAAGTGAGAACATACAATTTTTGGTTTTCCGTTCCTGATTTACTTCATTTAGAATAATGGCTTCCAGCTCCTTCCAAGTTGCTGCAAAAGACATTATTTCATTCCTTTTTATGGCTGAGTAGCTTTCCATGATATATATATACCACATTTTCTTTATCTGCCCATTGGTCTATGGGCACTTAGGTTGGTTCCATATCTTTGCAATTATGAATTGTGCTGCTATAAACAAGCATGTGCGTGTGTCTTTTTTATATAATGACTTCTTTTCCTTTGGGTAGATACCCATTAGTGGGATTGCTGGATCAAATGGTAGATCTACTTTTAGTTCTTTAAGGAATCTCTGTATTGCTTTCCATAGTGGTTGTGCTAGTTTACATTCCTACCAGCAGTGCATAAGTGTTCCCTGTTCACCACATCCACTCCAACATCTTTTTTTTTTGACTTTTTAATTATGGCCATTCTTGTAGGAGTAAGGTGGTATTTCATTGTGATTTTTATTTATTTATTTATTTTTGTTGTTTTGTTTTTTGAGACAGAGTCTTGCTCTGTCACCCAGGATGGAGTGCAGTGGCACGATCTCAGCTCACTGCAACCCCCGTCTCCCGGGTTCAAGCAATTCTCCTGCCTCGGCCTCCTGAGTAGCTGGGATTATAGGCGTGCACTACTACGCCCAGCTAATTTTTGTATTGTTAGTAGAGATGGGGTTTCACCTGGCTGGTCTCGAACTCTTGACCTCAGGTGATCCACCTGCCTCGGCCTCCCAAAGTGCTGGGATTACAAACGTGAGCCACTGCACCCGGCCTCATTGTGGTTTTAATTTGCATTTCCCTGATGATTAGTGATATTGAGCATTTGTTTCATGTGTTTGTTGCTTGTTTGTATATCTTTGTTAAAAGAAAAACTTTAGCCCAATTAAATTTTTTAAAAGTTTAATTGAGGAAAGAACAATTCCCAATTTGGGCAGCCTCCCAAGCCATAGTAGGCTCAGAGACTCCAGCACAGCCACCTGCTGGAAGAAGATTTATGGACATAAAAAGGAAAGTGACATACAGAAAATGGAAGTGAGCTACAGAAACAGCTGAATTGGTTACAGCTCGGCATTTGCCTTGTTTGAATGTGGTTTAAATAGTTGGCCACCTCTGATTGGCCAAAACTTGGGGATTGGCACAAGAGTAGGCTACAGTTTGTTTACAAATCTGTTTAGGTTATAGTTCATGAGAAGTGTACAGCAAAATTTTTAGGCCACAGTTAAAATATGTGGGGAGGCAGCTTTATGCTAAACTTGGCTTAACAATTTCTCCCTTTTGGTCATCCTCTAAATTTTGAGAAATTGGCCCAAAATGTAGTCACTGATGTCACTATCATCATTGTAAGTGTACTTATTTGGTCTTGAAGCCCATGGGGAAATAGCAGAACAGTGGGTTTTGTAAGGTGGGAACAAGGACTTCATTTTAATTTTTTGTCAGGGTTAGAGTAGGAGGTACCCTCCTTATGCTGGAATATCCTGTTTACAGGAGGAAAACAAAACTCTGTCTGTTCTAGGATCTATGTGTTCTCTTAAAGTCTTAGTTTGATCGTCACATTTAGTATAAGTGAGTCCATTTGGTTTTGTGTGGTCTGATGGGGCCTAGTGCATGAGCTCAGCTCAAAACAATGGCTTCCCATAATTTTCTTTAAAAATTTCCCCCTTTGGACAGGTTCTAGCTTAAGGGAGAGCGTGACCAAAACAGAGGGCCTTAGTGCTGCTCTCAGTTACCATCATTTTGAGTTTCCAGTCTCAGCACGTCATTCATAGGTTATGGTGACCTCATGGTCATACATTTCTTTCAGCTCTTGTTATTCCAGTTGAAGAGAGACCATTTGACATTCTAGAGATGGCTGTATTAAGAAATTGAAACCTTCTGAAAGAATATAGCATACCAGGGTGACTATTATTATGACTATCAGGAGGATAATATCAAGAGTTTGGAGTATGCTTCTCAGCCAGTGTCCACATAAACCAAACCAACTAAAATCAAAGTGATCAATGAATGAGTTAGATAAAGAGTCTACTTGCTTTAATTAAGCAGTTTCTTCATTAATATTCTATAACTGAATTTCTATAATAACCAATGTAATGTATTTCTCCATGGGCAACAAGGAGGGCCAGCAGCTGCATAGACACTTCTCTGTTTAACCAGTAAGTAATCTAGAGAGATTTTGTTATTTAACACAACTTTCATAATAGAATTCAAAATCTGTCATGTAAGCTTAGCCTTTACAGTAGAATCTGCTATAAAGCCTATCATGAGTGATACATTCCTAATTGTCTCATTTACTTCAACCCAAGGAAAAAGGACCTAGCAAATGATGCTCTTCTAGAATAGTGAAGACGTCCTGGCAGTGTTCTCTTTAACCATGATGTGGGTTAAGAGGAGTGGACTAATGTTCTGCTTCTGACTGATTATCAGGCGTAATATGTACCATTATAATTTCTCACCTACATTGTGCCTTCATCTTCCATCTATCAAGGTATGTTTTCCATGTGTAAGGTTGGCTGCAAAATTATTCACAAATAAAATTATACCCCATTAATGCACACAACAGACCCCCTTTTCTTTTTTTATTATTATTATACTTTAAGTTCTAGGGTACATATGCACAATGTGCAGGTTGGTTACATATGTATACATGCGCCATGTTGGTGTGCTGCACCCATTAACTCATCATTTACATTAGGTATATCTCCTAATGCTATCCCTCCCCACTCCCCCCACCCCACGACAGGCCCTGGTGTGTGACGTTCCCCGCCCTGTGTCCAAGTGTTCTCATTGTTCAATTCTCACCTATGAGTGAGAACATGCGGTGTTTGGTTTTTTGTCCGTGCGATAGTCTGCTGAGAATGATGGTTTCCAGCTTCATCCATGTCCCTACAAAGGACATGAACTCATCCCTTTTTTATGGCTGCATAGTATTCCATGGTGTGTATGTGCCACATTTTCTTAATCCAGTCTATCATTGTTGGACATTTGGGTTGGTTCCAAGTCTTTGCTATTGTGAATAGTGCCGCAATAAACATACGTGTGCATATGTCTTTATAGCAGCATGATTTATAATCCTTTGGGTATATACCCAGTAATGGGATGGCTGAACAGACCCCCTTTTCATTTCTATTGTTCACACATGCATAAGCAAGAGGAAAAAATGGAAGATAAGAGTCTCAGGATAGTAGAGAAGTCTTGTTCTGTGATCTTGGGAAAAAGACGTCCACCTCCTGGATGCCATCTTCTTCTGGAGAGAAACTTCCCTGGTTAGGTTAACCTTAAGGTTTCCAATGGATATACAGTTCCAAGAGTGTGGAGGGACCCTTCTGAGTTGTGAGACTATGAGCCTAAGGTTCAAGGTCCTGAAGTTTTCCAGCAGTGTGGATGGCAAGGGCAGTCTTTCTTGGATGTTCTCAGAAGATCCAGCCTTTGGGTTCTAGAATGTGAAGGGGTTGATTGTCCTCAATCAGTGAATCATGAAAATTTTTCTTTGCTGGAGTAAATACAGTGTGGCATAATGAGCTACTGTTATAACAGCCCTCTTGCATGAGAAAGCTTTTATACAACCAGAAAAAAACCATTCATTTAAAATGACAATGGAATAGAATCTCTCTATAAATATTTAAATAGCCCATCAGGTATTGGAATGTACTACCTGATTGTGGATAGGAGTTTTGATTGTCTGCTCGGGAATATGGTTTTAACAAACCAAACATTGGTCATAAAATATTTTAGCAATTTAGAAGTAACTATATATATATATATATATATATATATATATATATATATATACACACACACACACACACATACACACACACATATATACACACATATATACATATACATACACACACATATACTCATATACATATGTTTAATTTAGATCATTTTATCTTCTCCATGATGAGTCATGGAATGGAGAACTTTCAATAAAAAGTTTTCGGGACTCAGAAAGGACAAGGCAACCATCAGGGTTCTACATGAGTCCACGCTTAACATTGGATTTATGTCCTCTCGAATACCGGTTGTTTCTCCAATTTAGGTACATAGCACTGATAACTGATAGGTTATCATTAGGTAATTTGACTTAAAGCATGAAGTTCATTCAAACTGTATATTTAAACAATTTTAGTACTGACTGATCTAGCATGAAAATATGGCAAATTATTTCCTTGGAATTCAATTAATGTTTCTATTGCTTGGGTTAGCTGTTTTATAAACCAGTAAGTCTTTTCATGAAAGTTCCAGGAATTCTTATCCAGTCCAAATTATGTGATTTCTAAAGTTATCAAAAACGTGTATTCAAAAGTGTTTCTCAGGATCCTTTCTGTCCTTTCATGAACCTTAAAGACACCATATTCTAGGATTCTAGGCAAGAACCATCTAGTCAAATTTAGGCATGGAAAGGCGAAAGACATCTGGTCGACCTTAGGCATGGGAAAGGGAGAGCCATTTGGTCAACCATAAGCATAGGAAGGCAAGAGACATCTGGGAGACCTTAGACATGGCAAAGGGAAAGCCATCAGCTCAGTCTCAGTCATAGAAAGAGAGCTATCTGGTCAATCTTAGGCATGGGAAGGCAAGAAACATCTGGTAGACCTTAGACAAGGCAAAGAGAGAGCCATCAGCTCAATCTCAGGCATGGAAAGGGGAGAGCCTTCTGATGAACCTTAGGCATGGGAAGGGAAGAGACCTCTGGTAGACCTTAGACGTGGCAAAGGGAGAACCATCAGATCAATCTGAGACATGGAAAGAGGAGAGCCATCTGGTCAACCTTAGGGATGGGAAGGCAAGAGACATCTGGTAGACCTCAGACATGGCAAGGAGAGAGCCATCAGCTCAATCTCAGGCATGGGAAGGGGAGAGCCTTCTGGTTAACCTTAGGCATGGGAAGGCAAGAGATATCTGAAAGAACTTAGACATGGCACAGGTAGAGTCATCTTGTCAACTTTTGGCATGGGAAGGCGAGAGACATCTGGTCCACCTTAGACGTTGCAAGGGGACAGCCACCTCGTCAACCTCAGATATGGGAAGGCGAGAGACATCTGGTCAACCTTAGACATTGCAAGGAGACAACCACCTGGTTGACCTCAGGCATGGGAAGGCAAGAGACAACTGGTCCACCTTAGACTTTGCAAGGGGATAGCCCCCTTGTCGACCTCAGGCATGGGAAGTCAAGAGATATATGGTCGAGCTCAGGCATGGGAATGCGAGAGACATCTGGTCAACCATAGATATGGGAAGGTGAGAGAAATGTGGTAGACCTTCGTCATGGGAAGGGGAGAGACATCTGGTATGCTTAGATAGGGCAAGAGGCGAGCCATCTCATCGATCTTTGGCTTTGGGAGGCAAAAAATATGTGGTGGTTTTTCGATATGGCAACACGTGAGCCATCTTGTCAATCAGTGGCTTTGGAAGGTGAAAGACGTAGTAGTCTTTAGCCATGGCAAGGGGAGAGCCATCTGGTCAACCTTATGCACGGGAAGGTGAGAGACATCTGGTAGATCTCAGACATGGCATGCAGAGAGCCAACTTGTCAACCTTTGGCATGGGAAAGAGAGAGACATCTGGTCGACCTTAGACATTGCAAGGGGACAGCCATCTGGTCTACCTCAGCCATGGGAAGGCGAGAGATATCTGGTCGACCTTAGCCTTTTCAAGTGGACAGCCAGCTGGTCGACCTCAGGCATGGGAAGGGGAGAGACATATGGTCGACCTCAGTCGTGGGAAGGCGAGGCACATCTCGTCGACTTTAGACATTGCAAGGGAATAGCCACCTGGTCAATCTCAGGCATGGGAAGGCAAAAGACATCTGGTCGACCTTAGACATTGCAAGGGGACAGCCACCTGGTCGACCTCAGGTATGAGATGGCGAGAGACATATGATAGATCTTTGACATGAGGAGGCCTGAGCTATCTGGTTGACCTTAGATATGGGAAGGTGAGAAACATCTCATAGACCTTAGTCAAGGGAAGGCGAGAGACATCTGGTCCACCTTAGACATTGCAAGGGTACAGCCACCTGGTCAACCTCAGGTATGGGAAGGCGAGAGACATCTGGTCCACCTTAGACATTGCAAGGAGACAGCCACCTGGTTGACCTCAGGCATGGGAAAGAGAGAGACATCTGGTCGACCTTAGACATTGCAAGGGGACAGCCACCTGGTGGACCTCAGGCATAGGAAGGCGAGAGACTTCTGGTCAACGTTAGACGTTGAAGGGGACAGCCACCTGGTCTACCTCAGGCATGGGAAGGCGAGAGACATCTGGTCGACCTTAGACATTGCAAGGGGATAGCCACCTGGTCGACCTCAGGTATGGGTCAGCGAGAGACATATGGTAGATCTTTCACGTGAAAAGGCCTGAGCTATCTGGTTGACCTTAGATATGGGAAGGTGAGAGAAATCTGGTAGAACTTAGTCAAGGGAAGGCGAGAGACCTCTGGTCCACCTTAGACATTGCAAGAGGACAGCCACCTGGTCGACCTCAGGCATGGGGCGTCGAGAGACATATGGCCAAGCTCAGGCATGGGAAGGCGAGAGACATATGGTAGATCTTTGACGTGAGAAGGCCTGAACTATCTGGTCGACCTTAGATATGGGCAGGTGAGAGACATCTGGTAGACCTTAGTCAAAGGAAGGCGAGAGATATCTGGTCAACCTTAGACATTGCAAGGGGACAGCCACCTGGTTGACCTCAGGTGAGGGAAGACGAGAAACAAAAATTTGCGAATTGGGCAGCTTTCTGATCCAAAGTCGTCTTAGAGACTCCAGCACAGCTACATGGAGGAAAAACATTTATAGACAGAAAAAGGAAAGTGAGGTATAAAACTAGAACTGAAGTACAGAAACGACTGGATTGGTTATAGCTCAGTGTTTGCCTTATTTGAATATGGTTTGAATATGTGGCCACCTTCGGCCAAAACTCAGTGACTGGCACAAGAGTAGGCTACAGTCTGTTTTTAACTCTATTTAGGTATAGTTTACGATGTATAGAGAAACCTTTAGGCCAAACATAAAATATGTAAGGAGGAAGCTTTAGGCTAAACTTGATTTAAATCTTCTTTTGAGGAATGTCTATTCACATCCTTTGGCCGCTTTTTGATGGGATTATTTGCTTTTTTTTTTTCTTGCTGATTTGAGTTCCTTGTAGACTCTGGATACTAGTCATTTTTTTTGGATGCATAATTTGCAAATATTTTCTCCTGCTCTGTGGGTAGTCTGTTTATTCTGATGATTATTTATTTTGCTATGCAGAAGCTTTTTGGTTTAATGAGGTCCCATTTATATTTGTTTTTGTTGCCTTTGCTTTTGGAGTCTTAGTCATGAATTCTTTGCCTAGGCCAATGTTCAGAAGAGATTTTCCAATATTATCTTCGGAGATTTTTATGGTTTAAGGTCTTAGATTTAAGTCTTTGATCCACCTGGAGTTGATTTTTATGTACAGTGAGAGACGGAGATCCAGTTTTATTCTTCTACATGTGACATGTGGCTAGCCAGTTTTCCTAGCAGCATTTAATGAATCGGGTGTCCTTTCTCCAATTTATGTTTTTTTAGGCTTTGTTGAAGATCAGTTGGCAATATGTATTTGGGTATATTTCTGGGTTCTCTATTCTGTTCTATTCGTCTAAGTGCCTATTTTTATAGCACTACAGTGCTGCTTTGGTAACTATACCCTTGTAGTACAATTTGAAGTTTGATAATGTGATTCCTCCAGATTTGTTCTTTTTGCTTAGTATTGCTTAGGCTTTATAGGCTTTTGTGGTTTTATATAAATTTTAGATTTTTTAAAAAACGAGGATGGTATTTTGATATAAATTTCATAAAATCTATAGATTGCTTTTGGCACTGTGGTCATTTTCACAATATTGATTCTTCCCATCCATGAGCATGAGATGTATTTCCATTTGTTTCTGTCATCCATGTTTACTTTCAATAGTGTTTTGTAGTTTTCCTTGTAGATATCTTTCACCTCCTTGGTTAAGCATTTTCCTATATATTTTTATTTTTCGGCAGCTGTTGTAAAAGGGATGGAATTATTGATTTGATTGATTGCCCACTTGGTTGTTGTTGGTGTATAGCAGTGCTACTGATCTGTGTACTTTGAATTTGTAGCCTAAGACTTCGCTGAATTTGTTTATCAGATCTAGGAGCCTTTTGGATGAGTCTTCATGGTTTTCTAGGTATACGAATGTATCAGCAGCAAACAGCAACAGTTTGACTTTCTCTTTTCCAATTTGGATGCCCTTTATTTCCTTCTCTTGCCAGATTTCTCTGACTAGGACTTCCAGTACTATGTTGATTAGTAGGGACATGGATGAAGCTGGAAACCATCATTCTCAGCAAACTATCACAAGGACAAAAAAAACCAAACGTAGCATGTTCTCACTCATAGGTGGGAATTGAACAATGAGAACACTTGGACACAGGAAGGGGAACATCACACACCGGGGCCCGTTGTGGGGTGGGGGGAGGGGGGAGGGATAGCATTAGGAGATACACCTAATGTAAATGACGAGTTAATGGGTGCAGCACACCAACATGGCGCATGTGTACATATGTAACAAACCTGCACGTTGTGCACAGGTACCCTAGAACTTAAAGTATAATTAAAAATTAAAAAAAAGGAAATGGTAAAAATGAGAATTATTGACTTGTTCCAGGTCTCAGGGGGAATGCTTTCAATTTTTCCCCATTCAGAATAATGTTGACTGTGGGTTTGTCATACATGCCTTTTATTACTTTGAAGTAAATCGTTTCTATGCCTATTTTGTTGAAGTATTTTATCATAACAAGATTCTGGATTTTATCAACTGTTTTTTCTGCATTTATTAAGAGGATCATATGGTTTTTGTCTTTAATTTTGTTTTTGTGATGTATTACATTTATTAACTTGCATATGTCAACCCATCTCTGCATGCCTGGGATGATGAGACCCACTTAATCATGATGTACTATTTTTTTGAGGTGTTGTTTGATTCAGCTTATGTCCTTTCCTGGTTTTGGTATTAGAGTGATACTGGCTTTATAGAATACTTTAGCGAGTATTGTTTCTTTTTCTTTCTTTTGAAATAGTGTCTGTAGAATTGGTACCAATTCTTCTTTGAATATCTGGTAAAATTCAGCTGTGAACACATCTGGTCCTGGCCTTTTTTTGTTGACTATTTTTATTTTATTTTTACTGATTGAATCTTGCTGCTTATTATTGGTCTATTCAGGGTTTCTATTTCTTCCTGATTTAATCTATGTGGGTTGTACGTTTCCAGGACTTTATCCATTTCCTCTAGATTTTCTAGTCCATGCACGTAAAGGTGTTCCTACTAGCCTTGAAAAATATTTTGTATTTCTGTGGTATTTGCTGTAATATCCCCAGTTTTATTTTTAATTGAGCATATTTGGATCTTTTCTCTTATTTTCTTGGTTAATCTCACAAATGGTCTATCAATTTTATCTTTTAAAAAATACCTTTTTGTTTAATTTGCTTTTGTATTTTTTTGTTTCAAATTCATTTACTTCTGCTCTGATCTTTGTTATTTCTTTTCTTCTGCTCGTTTTGGGTTTAGTTTGTTCTTGTTTCTCTAGTTGCTTGAGATATGACATTAGGTTGTCAACTTGTGTTCTTTCAGACGTTTCGATGTATGCATTTCATGCTATGAACATTCCTCTTAGCACTGCTTCTGCTGTATCCCAGAGGTTTTGATAACTTTTGCCACTGTTATCATTCCTTTCAAATAATTTTTAAATTTCTATCCTCATTTCATTATTAACCCCAAGTCATTCAAGAGCAGATTATTTAATTTCCATGTATTTGTATAATTTTGAGGGTTTCTTTTTTTGATTTCCAGTTTTATTCCTCTGTGGTCTGAGAAGATACTTAATATATTTTTAATTTTCTTAAATGTATTGAGATTTGTTTTGTGGCCTATCATATGGTCTATCTTGGAGAATGTTCCACGTGCTGATGAATAGAATGTGTATTCTGCAGTTGTTGGAAAGAGTGTTCTGTAAATATTTGTTAAGTCCTTTTGTTCTAGGGTATAGGTTAAGTCCATTGTGTCTTTGTTGACTTTCTGTCTTGATCTATCTAGTGCTGTCAGTGGATTATTGAAATCCCCCGCTATTATTGTGTTGCTGTCTATCTCATTTCTAGGTCTAGTAGTACTTGTTTTATATATCTGGGAGTTCCAGTGTTAGGTGCACATTAATTTAAGACTGTAATATCTTATTGGACTGATCCTTTATGATTATACAATGTCATCTTTTTTACTGTTGTTGATTTAACATATTTTTTGTCTGATATAAGAATAGCTACTCTTTTTTGTTTTTGGTTTTTAATAGCATGGCACATCTTTTTCTACCTATTTACATTGAGTTTATATGAATCCTTAAGTGTTAGGCGAGTCTCTTGAAGACAGCAGATATTTGGTTGGTGGCTTTTTACCCATTTTGCCATTCTGTATCTTTTTAAGTGGAGCACATAGGCCAGCTTTACCTGTAATTATTTCTCTCAAAGACATTCCTAGAATGGATCAAGTCTACATGAAATAGTGTGAATGTTTTTAATATTCTTGATATATAGTGCTATATTGCTTCCCATAATGATTTTACCTGTTTATCATGTCACCTGTTATGGAAGCCTATATGTTAATTGGTCTTACTATCATCTTCAAAATAATTCTTGCTATTTTTGTTATCAAAATTTTATTTTCATTTGAATTTCTTTATTATAAATAAAGTTCAGTACTTTTTTTTAGTAATTATTAGGTCTGAATCTACAACTATGTGAGCTCTTCTTGGGATAGGGTACTGGACACATCATATTTCAAATGTCATTAAAGAGACCTGTTACTTAAGCTCTGACTGATTATTTTTCTCTTTCCTATTTTTCTGTACTTTGGTGTATTTCTAAAGAGATTTGACATCTTTGATTTGGCCACATACTCCCAATTCTTTAAAATTCTTAATGCTTCTTTCAGAAAGCTGTCCTAAATTTTGAGAATTAGTGAAAATAGTTGCATGCCCTTTCCAAGTACAGACTGTTATATTTACATATACTTCATTACTTCTTGAACTTGGGAAACCACTGGTCATTGCATATTTTTTATTAAAATTTGGAAAGCATATGGAATGTACATAACCGAAGTTGCCTTAACATCCAGGATTTAATTTATCTTGCTTTATTCATTTAAAATGTTATGTAAGGACCTTGCCAATGTTTAAGTAGATCAACTATTGTCATCAGTTGGGCTAGTTTCTATTTGTGTTATTCCTATCATGCGTTCCTTTATAATTCTCTACAAAAGACCATTCTTTTAAAAATAGACATATAAGATTATTTTTAGCAACAGTAGGAATGACAAATGAGTTTCACCTATTGTGCAAACTTCAATCAATTGATAGTAGTTGCCAAGTGCACAGTATTGAGGAGAATTCTGAGGCTTCTTCAAAGCTTACTAGAAAAGATAGCCATGATTTTTTAATGACACCTATTACAATTGGATGTGTGTATGTGTGTGTGTGTGTGTGTGTGTGTAAGATAGAAGTTATGTACTTTCCATTCCTGAATGATAATTAACCTAGAATTTTTAAAACTGTAACATCCCTTAAAATATACTAATTATAATTATTGTCAGATTATATGCTAAAAAGACTAGCATATTGTACCTTTCCTATTGCATGGAACTTAAAATATGCTTAATAAATTTTGACTACATATGTGTAACTTAAACTCACAAAAATATGCCCTGCATATATTTTAAAAGCCCTGTGTAATAGCTGATATAATTCTGCATACTGGGATATATGATTTTAAAGTGAGTTAATAAACATGAGCAAGTGAAATCATTGATATGTTTGTGATTCCATATTATTTTATAATTACAAGATAAAACTACTTTAAATAACGCTTGAATCCCTAAGGATACTTAAACCACTCAATTGAGTGTGCTAAGCTTATAGTAAGTCAAAGTTGCTACTCCTTTAGCATAATGTATTAGAAAAAAATTAATTTTAAATAATGTTTTCCAAATACTTAGTTTATGTTCAGAACTACAGTTTTCCAGTTTTTGTCTTGTTTTTAAACAAGGGTAAAGTAAGACACAATTGTTGTTTGATGTCAATATGAAGAACATACATGTGTTTTAAAGAGGATATTGGTAGTGGAGCAGGAAAAAGGGGAGTGAACAAGGTGGATTAGAGAAATAAAGCCTATCTGAGAAATGAGATTTTTGAGTTTATTGTAGAAACATAGTCAGCTTAGATGACTAAGGAGACAGTGTAATGAAAGTCAATGGAGATGTCAGTAACTGAATACATATGAAATAATTATAATGTGGAAATTATAATTATTTTAAGCAGTATTTTCGTGAAGAAATAATAAAGCAATAAAGCATTGTTTAGAGTGGGCTGTAAATTTCAAGAATAGGGTATTTTCTCTATAAGCATTAAGAAGCTTTAAAATGAATAAGGTAGAATGTGAAGATAATTTTGCTGATTTCTGGCCATTTGATGCTTAGTAAATCTCACAAAGGTGCTACTTGTTTGCCGCATGCACATAGGTGACACATTTTTTAAAAATATTTAAGACTGGGAAAAGTAATGTAGTTAGCCTTAAGGTTAAGGGTAAGACTTCTGGGTTCAGATTTTGCCTCTGCCATTTAATAGCTCTGCGACCTTGGACAAGTTATTTAACTTCTCTTTACTTCAATTTTCTCATCTGTAAATTAAGGATGTACACATGTTTTAAGGAATAAGTAAGTTCTTATTTAGAAGTCACTGTAGGGGAGACAGAACTTTTCTTCTATCCTCTGAGGGTTTGATAATTGCGTCTTTGAAATAAATGGACAATAGACATATTAGCAGGACAAAAGATCCCAAATTTATTACGTGCATGGGGGCATCACAGAAAAAGAAAAGTGAATACCCCAAAACCCAGTGAGATATAGAAGCTTATATGCCTTCTTCATAAGGGAAAGTCAATGATTTGGAGGAAAGATAAGGGGGTCGTTAGAAGAATGGGTAGCAGCCCGTCTGCGAGTGGTGTAGACATCCATTTTCCTCACCTTTAATCCAAGTTAATTCTTCCTGGAGAAAGGAATCATGACAATTGCATTCATTTTGTAGAATCTGTCTATAGGCAGATAAGGGAAATTCAGAAAAATCTCCTCCATGCGTTTGCTGTTTCCTGACTGCCCTCAGTTTGATATTCAAAGTTGTATATTTTGGGGTGGCATTTCCTGAACTCTTTCATCACTTAGAATAGTGACTGACATGTGACAATTCATCTATAAATAATAGCAAACCCTTCATACACACCCTCATGTGGTTAGTCCTTGTAAATAATAGTATCACCTCCACACACCACCACCATCCCTATATGCTTAATCTCTGTTGTCAAAGAGGAAAAAATTACTTCCTTCCACCCTCCTTGATTCTTTGGCTGGGCTACAGGAGTAAGAACATATTTAAATGCTTGCATCCACATGGGAGTTACATAAAACATAAGACTCAAAGAAGAGCCAGATGATTAAAACTTACATAATAACATCCTGAGCTACAGAAAGGAATAGGTGATTGGGACTTCGGAGGTTGTGGTAGCCACAAGTTATGGGAGGTTAAGGGGAGAAATGTATGGTGCATAAAGATTATCATGTCATGTAGTTTAAAAAAAAATCTCTTAGGTAATAAAAGTTGTCTTGCAGCAGCCCTCTTCCTGATACAGATACTTTTGCTAATGTAGATTTCTTTTATACATGCAAATTTTCTTTACAAAAGGGTAGTTTTTCAGAGTTACTCCGGTGTCTGTAGTTTCTCAGAATAACTAGCTAAAAATATGCCAAAGAACTCTATTTTGGTGTGGTATATTCTGGTCTTCTAGAGTCATATTTTGAGGTGGTGTTTTCTGAGCCCTGGCGCTGGAGAATCTCATTCTAACATGTCAGTAAATATTGGGGGTTAGCAGGAGTGGCACAGTAATATGAGCAAATAAGATTTTCTCTGACCTAGTTATTATTATATACATTTGAAAGCTAAGAAAACAAAGACTGAGAGATATAAGTAATTTTCCCCATTCACACAGCTTGAAAATAGCAGAGGCAGTTTTTGAAACCATATGCAACACCGAAGCTCAAGCTTCACACACACAGCGATGCTTTCTGCCCCTCCAGTACCTTTTGGTTCAAGAGAGGCCAGCTGTTCCTAAAACCATTCCTATCCATGATGCAAGTAACACTGCTGAGTGCTATCTGGAGAAAAGATAAATAAACTGGAGATTAGTGGAAGTATATTTTCAGCTTTTTCCTCTTCCTCAACTGCTTCCTGTTCCTTGCCCTGCAATTGCTAAAATACTCAGAATGCCTTTCCTAGCCTCATCATAGCTGCTAACAGTTTTCCTTTAGTAATGGGATGCCCCCCAAGGAGTCTCCCCTTCCTGAGGTGCTGACTTATAATTATATTCCTGTATCCTGCTTACTGCTGCCATCAGTGTGTACAGGTTCTGTTATTGTCTCTTTAGGAGTAGCAGTAGTAGTAGCAGCAACAGCAGCTCAAACCAAAGCAGTGTCCAATTAACAAGTCTCTTTTCGCTTGTTCAAATAGCCGCTGTTTTAGCATTCAGTCCCACTTGTCTCTTCATGAAAGTGCTCATGACTGTAAAGAAGATGCATTTCAAATACATACACTGGATAAGTTGTGGAAAGACACCAATAAAATGCCCAGTCAACAGTCCCCGGTGTGTGATGTTCCCCTTCCTGTTGTGGGGTGGGGGGAGGGGGGAGGGATAGCATTGGAGATATACCTAATGCTAAATGATGAGTTAATGGGTGCAGCACACCAACATGGCACATGTATACATATGTAACTAACCTGCACGTTGTGCACATGTACCCTAAAACTTAAAGTATAATAATAATAAAATTAAAAAAAAAGAAAAAAAGAAATAAAAATATCAATATTGGTAAAAATAAATAAATAAATAAAAACAAAAATAAATACAATGCCCAGTCAGATGTGATCGTTATCATTTAAGGAATAAAGTAGAAAAATAATTTCCAATTTAGAGAAGGAGAATGTGTGGGTAAGAAACTAGAATCCTAGGTTGGAGTTCTGAATTTGTCATGTACTCGGTGTGTGATAAAAGCCAGTCACCTGCTCCTTTCTCCTAACCTAAAATAGCTTCTCTTAATGTAATTAGGTTTCTTGCAATGAAAAATGGGAATCAATCCCAATGTCTTCCTTAATATCCTGAAAACATTTTTGTAAGGAGCAAACAGATGAATTGTAAAGAATTATACACATGCACAGTGTGATATGTGGTTGGGCTATAACTATTTTCCAAGAGTGTTTTGAAAATAGGAGAATAGTTTTCTTCTTAGTACCAGCCCACGGGCTGTTTTCTTCTAAAAAGTATGAGTCAGGATTGTATCTTGAAATCCTAAATAGAACTTGGGTAAGAAACAGACAACTCAGAGGAATATGAGTAACATAATTCTCGATAAGTACTTGCTTTTTCTCCAAAGATGGCTAATGGTATATTATTACTATTCAAAAGTCTCCTGGGAGAAAAATGCATAGATGTTTCTCTGGGTAATTAAAATGAGAGTTGCCAAGTAAAGGGGATAACAGAAAGGTAAAGGTAATTCAAAACAAAGCTATTGGAGTGCCTGAGTAGGCAGAAATGTAAGGTAACAGAGGAACCACTTTTACAATAGGCAAAATGTGCTTCTGGCTGGCATTCTGTTATGTTAATCATGCATCTCTGCCACACCAGGATCACTGTCCTTTAAAAATATCCTTTGGAGTATGCTTTGCTTTCTCTAAGCCATCATGGAAATCATACATGCTTTTATTATTAATACATGTTTTTCTTACTGACAATAGGAGTCAAAAATGCTAGCATATACAAGGCAAATTTTCTCAATGATAATGTGAGTACAGAGCAGATCCTTCATTTTCATTTTGTCAAAGTACACCTGCATGACACACACCCACACATGCGCATGAACACACACACACACACACACGACAAAACATATCCCTACCATTGGCAATAATAACAGAGGCCAGAAGTCCTGCCATATCAGAAGCGTATTCACTTTGTAATTCAGCTCTTCTCCAATCATTTACATCTTTTTTTAGGTTAGTTCAGTTGTTTTGAATTGAATTGACTTCAATTCAAATTCAGAATTGAAGTATGAGGAAAATCTGACTTGTTCTAGACTTGAGCTGCCATATACTTATAGGTTACCACCTAATTCCTTCTGGACGTTTTTACTATTCTTAGGCTTAAATTCTGTGACACAGTCAACTACAAAAGACATTTATTGGAAAAAACTTTCCAATGATCAATGACACATGTCCATTAAGTATCACAATTTTTTTAACTAAGAGCAATCAAAAACAATTAAACTTGATTTTAATGGACTTTTTAATGTGGTGAATATTCTTTACTCAATACCTGCTATCTGTCTAAGCAAAAGAACAACATTTTAATAACGTTGTATTTCTGAGTAAACAGAATCATAAGAATATGCTGTAACATATTATTGGAATGAAAAGTTTTAATCTCAAGATTATAGTTCAGACTTAAAAAAATAATTCTTATTTCATGTATGTCATTCAAAGATAAAATCTTCTCCAATAAAATTATCAGATGTTTCAATTTGAATTTTAGGTGGAAATATAAAACCCCATGTACAATACTAAAAACAAAATAAAGTAAAAAAAAAAAAAAGCTATGGTGATTCCACTATCTATGGTCATGTAGAAGCAAGCTGACTTCATTTCCCTTTCTCTCCTGCAAAACCAAATACGAATTCACTCTGCCAAGGTTACCAACAACAATATCCTGGAAATAAAATATGAGATGAGACAGTTTTCAAGGCTGCAAATGTAAATTTGAGTTAATATTAGAAACTATATAATATGTAGCATGAATAGGACAATGGAAAAATATGAAAATGTAGATAATTATTAAAAGGTATTAAACTTTCTATAAAACCAGGAAGATGACAATTTAAAAATGAATCATTTTTAAATGACTGAAAAATATCTTTCAGGCAATTGCCACAGTACATGTACTGTGGAAATACTATCAACATTCCTATGCAAGTCGGGAATAAGACAAAAACACATACCAGGACTAAACTTATTTGGCATTACTCTGAAAATTAAAGCTAACATAAGATATCAGACATCTGGAGACAATATTATTATTAATTGAAGATCATTTGAATATTTACCAAAACAAAATACAACAAAACCAAAGCAAGATAATTCATTGATAAAGTACGAGAAATCAGAAATAAGACTTCCACTAAGGCAGCAATTCCCAAAGTGTGGTCCCCAGACCAGCAGCGTCAGCATCACCTGAGCATTGTTAGAATACCAATTTTCATTTTAACTGGGGTGAGATGATAGCTCATTGTAGTTTTGATTTGCATTTCTCTGATGATCAATGATGTTGAGCACATTTTCGTATACCTGTTTGCAATGTGTATGTCTTGAACTTATGGACATAAAGAGTAGAAGGATGGTTACCAGAGGCTGGGAAGGGTAGTGGGGTATTGTAGGGGAGGTGTGGATAGTTAATGGGTACAAAAAATATAAAGGATGAATAAGATCTACTACTTGGTAGCACAATAGGGTGACAGTAATAAAGAATAATGTAATTATATGTTTTAAAATAACTTAAAGAATGTAATTGGATCATTTGTAACTCAAAGGATAAATGCTTGAGGGAGTGGACACCCCATTCTCCATAATGTTCTTATTTTACACTGCATCCCTGTATCAAAATATCTCCTGTATCTCCATTAATATATATGTGATTACCTAATATGTACCCACAAGCAATTTTAAAAAAATCTTAAAAAATTTTAAAAAGAAATCTGAACATTGGTCCAGAATCTACCCCAGGTCTGTTGAATCAGAGACTCTGGGGCTGAGGCCCAGAAAGCTATGACTTAAGAAGCCCCATCACGTGATTAGGGCTCATGTTAATAATTCCAGAACCAGTGATCTAAAGCAATAGATATAAAAAATGAGGAAAGCCTTCTCTGTTTCCTCAAAATAATCAGTGAAAAATATAATGGAAAATATCTCATTCTCAATGATGTAGTATTGCCAGATTTAACCAAAAGGAAAAAAGTCATTCAGGCAACCCAATTAAATTTGAATTTCAGAAAATCAATGCATAATTTCAGAAAAACAACTCTACCAATAAAATCAAAATGTAAAATTCCAAGAGTAAACATAACAAGGAATGTGTAGAGCATATATGAAAAAAAACTATAAATTTTACTAGAGGAAAGAATGACAAAAAAGATAACACAGTTTTTGAGCACTTACCGTATGCTGGATGCTGTTCAAACTACTTCAAACTGCATTTCAAACTACATGTATTAACTCATTTAATCCTTTCAGCAATACTGCGAGGTGGGTACAACTTAATTGTTGAGGGAATTTAGTCACAGAGTATTTAAATATCATAGCAAGCTCCCATAGATACAAAATAAACCTTATATTAATAAAGATATATTATAGCCTTAGATTGTAAGACTCAATATTGTAAAGATATCCATTCTTCACAAATACATTTATAAATTTAACATGACTCCAGAGAAAAATCAAAATGGAATTTCTATACTTGACAAAAATGTCAAGGTTCATCTAAACAAATAAATATATTAGACCAGCCAGGACATGTTTGAGAAATAATAAATGCAAAACTTCTGTATCATATTAATAACTAAAGTAAATTGTGATAGTGAGACTTCATAAGAATACAGATACCTATCAATGGAAGAGGATACTATAGAATAGAAAAAACAGGAAGAAATACACCAGAAGGTTAGCAGTAGTTTTATATGGTGAGGATTTGTGTAATTTAAATTATTTTCCATTGCACTTTCCTGGTTTTCAATTGTTTAATGAATATTTTGTATTTTTGTATCTTATATTTTTAGGGAAGAAAAAAGGTTTTACCCTAAAGAAAGCAAAACCAGGCCAGGCGCGGTGGCTCACGCCTGAAATCTCAGCATTTTGGGAGGCCGAGGCAGGTGGATCTTACTTTTCAAATCAAATGGCCTTGATTTTTTCTGTTTTTCCAGGGTCTCTAGGAAGGCCTGGAGTAGAGTGATCCTGATTTTAACCAACTTCTCTGTCTGGGTGTATTACTGGAATCTCAAACTCTCAATAAGTCCAACATATATATCTTGAGCTTTTTCTAAATGAGCCAGTATTTGTGCATAACATGTAACTAACATATATTTTTCTCACTTAAATTATCCATCAATGTTGCGAGATATTTGCTCTGTATTAGTACATTCTTGCATTGCTATGAAGACATATCTAAGACTGGGTAATTTATAAAGAAAAGGGATTTAATTGGCTCGCGGTTCTGCAGGCTATACAGGAAGTACAGTGGCATCTGCTTCTGAGGAGGTCTCAGGGAGCTTTTACTCATTGCAGAAGGCAAAGGGGGAGCCAACACTTCACATGGAAAAAGAAGCAGGAAGAGAGGGTGGAGGTGCTACATATTTTTAAACAACCAGATCTCGTGATAGCTCATTCACTATCATAAGAATATCACCAAGGGGATGGTGGTAAACCATTCAGAAGAAACCACCTCCATGATTCAATCACCTCCCGCGAGGACCCACCTCCAATATTGGGGATTAAAATCTGACATGAGATTTGGGCGGGGACACAGATCCAAACCATATCATGCTCTAATTAGACACTTAAAGATCAAAAACAAGCAAACAAATGAAAAGCAGAGGCTCAAGATGCTTAAATAATTTGCCTAAGTTGTGAATGGCAAAATTGGGATTCAGACCCAATCAAGTCCTCAGTGTGATTCCATTCTGCTATCAAAATTGTACTCTCTCATCTCTGGACCTGCTTCTGTTGATGTATTCTCTCTCTTGACAGATGATACCAATGTTCAGCCTGACCACCAAGTCAGTCTAAACAGCAGTCACCCTCAATTCCTTCTTCCCCCTCCATCTCATCCTCCAAATGCAGTCACTAGATCTTGTTAAGTCTATTGAGATTTTCCAAATTTCTACTCTGCTTACTTCTCTGTTACTTCCATTACTTTTGCTGCTGAATTTAATCATTTCTCTGCCCTTGTCTAGACTGTCTAGATTTCTACGTGGTCTTTCTCCCCTACTTTTCATTCTCCACACTGAAGCCGATATATAAATCTTACTTTTCCACTTCATGATCCAAACCCTTCAATAGATTCCCATTACCTAGGGAATTTAAATTCACTAGCCTGGCACCTAAGACCCTTTGTTGTCTAGCCCCTATCAACCTATCTTAGTCTTTTTGGTCTGCTACAACAAAGTATCATAAACTGGGCAGCATATAAAGAACAGAAATGTATTTATTATCTGGAAGTTGAAAAGTCCAAGCTCAAAGCACCTTAGATTTGGTTTCTGATGAGAATCCACTTTCTAGCTCAGAGATAACATCTTGTAGGAGTGTCCTCACATGGTAGAAGGAGTGACAGTTCTCTTTGGGGCCTTATTGTATAAGATCACTAAGCCCATTCATGAAAGCTCCCCCTTCATGACATAATCACCCCCAAAGATTCCATCTTCTAATACCATTGCCTTGGGTTAGGATTTCAGCATATGAATAGGGGAGAGCACAAACATTCAGACCAAAGTATAGCCTCTGCAACCCCAAGAGGCCCTACTCTCCCATGTGCAACATGGATTTCAGCCATACCAGTCACTTGCAGATCCTTGAATGAACACACCAGATTGTCACTCCTTTTCCATTTACGCATGCAGGAGTGTTTTTCAAATACACATATTTTTGACATCCTTCTGTATTAGTTCATTTTCCCACTTTCACACTGCTAATAAAGACATACCGGAGGTTGAGTAATTTATAAAGGAAAAAGGTGTAACTGACTCACAATTCAGCATGGCTGGAGAGGCCTCACAATCATGGTGGAAGATGAAGGAAGAGCAAAGGGATGTCTTACATGGCAGCCAGCAAAAAGAAAATGAGAATGAAGTGAAAGAGATTCCCCTTGTAAAACTATCAGATCTTGTGAGACTTACTCATTACCATGAGAACAGCATAGGGGAAGCCACCGTCATGATTCAATTACCTCCCACCGGGTCCCTCGTACGACATATGGATATTATGGGAGCTATAATTCAAGATGAGATTTGGGTGGGGACACAGCCAAACCATATCACCTTCCCTGCCCTGTCTTCTTGGAAAATCCTTTTTCATTCTTTAAGAGTTAACTCCAATAATAACTTCTTGGAAATTGCTCTAACCTCCTCAGACAAAATAAGACCCACCCTCTCATGTGTTTGCACAGTAGCCGACAGTTTTTTTTTTTTTCCTTGCAGAGTATAGTGAAAAGAGAATAGGCTTTCCAATATCTACTCTCTTTCAAATCACAGGAGTAGGGCCTGTACCCAGAAATTGTTGTTTACTAACTGTAGCATCTTGGGCAAATTATCTCTACATGGGATTTAATGAGACTTCTTAAAAGCAATTTGACCAAAATGTTGATCCATTGGCTTCTCCACTTTAAGACTAAAAATGAAATCATTCTTGACTGAATAGGTAGAAAGTTATTTATGTTAGAAGTTTTTTGTTTGTTTATTTTCCAGAAGAGATAGCTGCATTTCTATTAAGTTTTCAAGACACTCATCATTCCTGAATCCTTTCTATCTAGCCATTCACATTCCTACCTGTTTTTTTGTTTACAAATGTTTTCTTCTATTTAACAAAATGGATTTACAATCATATTTCTCATAGATTTCTTGCTTTGAAACACTTTAATTAGTACTCATTATTTACCAGACACAAAAAAAGACAGCAATAAGGGCCATAAAATCAAAGAGAAGTACATTTCTCAGGAAGTCTAATGGAGGGAGACTCCAAATTTTTAATCCAATGGATGCTAGTGGAATATTAATGAGCCTAGAGGGTTGTGTTAATATTGATCTAGTCCCATAACTCAATTTCCCATCCCACCTCATGGCTTATAAAAATTCAAGACACATAGTAGTTCTTAATTATTCTCTTGGAGATTTTCTTCCAATAACCAAAGCTATCCCCAGGTCAGAGAAGGATTGCTCCAAGAGGTATTTCTCTTAATTCGCCAAAGGTAGAGATTCGGGGGACAAGTGAGTCAGTGTCTATCTCCACATCATACCTATGACTTCTGTTTTATGTACCAGTGTTTCTCATTAAATTTCATAATTGAAGCATACTGATTTTTCCCTTTAGAATACATTTGGTAAGATAGTGAGTGTCTCCATCTAAAGGTGGGAGTTTCAAAAACACATCAAATGTTTTCTTATATTTACTAGCTCTGTAATCTCATAAGCATGTGGCAGTATCTCAAGTTGAGACAAGATTATTTCCTCTGTGTTCAGACATTTATGGAAAAGGAATAGCATAGTGGTAGAGAACATACATTTTAGAGTCACTAAGACCTCTATTCAAATTTTACCTCTGTAGCTATAATGCCCAAGAGTTCAGTTTACTTCTCTGAACTTCATCACACAAAAGTCTTTAAAGTATCGGCCGGGTGTGGTTGCTGACGCCTATAATCCCAGCACTTTGGGAGGCCAAGGTGGGCGGATCACCTGAGGTCGGGAGTTCAAGACCAGCCTGACCAACATGGAGAAACCCCGTCACTACTAAAAACACAAAATTAGCTGGGTGTGGTGGCACATGCCTGTAATCCCATCTACTTGGGAGGCTGAGGCAGGAGAATTTCTTGAACCCGGGAGGTGGAGGTTGCGGTGAGCTGAGATCACATCATTGTGCTCCAGCCTGGGCAACAAGAGCAAAACTCCTCCATCTCAAAAAAAAAAAAAATCTTTAAAGTATCCACCTACTTCATATTATATTCAATGAGGGTTATGTTATTGCACTCAATGCATGGCTTCATAATAATGACAGTAGCTAATATTTATTGGGGGTTACTACTATGACCTAATGTTTGGAAAACACTGGCCTAACTATTCCATGAGAAGTGAGAAATAAGAAAGGAACAGAAATCCCATCTGGAATGTGTTGCTGAGCAAGGTTGTTCAGGAGACACATGGCATAAATGCTGCTTGTATGAGATATAATTTCAGAGTGAGATATTTTAGGATTGTGGGAAAGAATATGGGATAGCCTCAGTTTTATAGATAAGGGCTGATTGAAGCTGCTGAAAGGCAAGGTCAAAATATGAAAGGAGATTAAGCCCTGCCCTGTGCCATTGCTCCTTGGATTGTGCACCTCTGTTGAGACTTCCCTGAAAGTTAAGTAAACCAGTGTCATGGTAGGCAACATTAAGTAACCGATTCCTTAAGAAAAGTGAATTCCAGCTGTCTAGTAACAGGGGCTAGGGAGAGAGTGATTGGCAATCAAGGTCAGGAACAGGAGTAAGTTGAAATCCCGTCCCTTAGGTGAATTACTGCGTATGTACAGAGTACAGAAAAAAGAAAGCAAAAGCTAATATCCTCAGGATAATTGGACATGGGCGAGACAGAAGGATGAGCACATATCTGATGGAAAATCATTTGGCCGCAGATTCTCTTCTGAAACATCCTGTGAAGTAAGTACTGAAGGCATTGGATCAAATTCTTTCAAGTGTGTACTTAGCATGAGGCTGCTGCTGGCTATGCTGTTTACAGAGTAAACCAAGAACAAAGTAGCCAATCTCAGGCCTCTGCCTAGTGCAGAGTTTTGCATTTGAAATGTCTAGTAATGTATGAGGCTTGGAGAGGATGTTTGACAGCTAGTGCTTATTGTTTTAGAAGGGACTCACTCTTTCTTGGGTGGTAGGCAGATCTATTAACTTGGAAGGAATATTCCAATTATGTCCTTTAGTTCAGGCTGCTGCTGTAAGGGTTGAAGATCAGATAGATAAGTTACACAGACGCCAACTTCAGATTTCATTTTGGTAGCTGGACTTCCCTCTGCTAGATGGAGATATCCCCTAGGAAGAATGAATGACAGGCAGTGAAAAGAAGATGCCTAAAGAAAACGTGAGCATTCACATTGGAAAGAGAGTTCAGTATATTGCTAGAAAGTCTTATGTAGAGAGAAGGGAATGTATTGAGATTGTAGATTCACAAATAAACACACCCAATGTCTTTCTGCATTTCAGATATTAAGCTTGAAACCTCATATAACAATAAAGGTCACAATTTCTGTTTTAAACAAGTATACCACCTACGACTAATCTGAGTCGTAGGCTAATTAAAAAAAAGCAAGCTAGAAAAGAGTGGCAGAGAAACTCTTCCTCTAGACTTCGTCTTTTGACCAAATTCACAACCATTTAGAGGCAGATGGAAAGGTAAACAATGTCTAGTCTCATTTTACACACAGGTGACATGGGGCTTAAGTGAGCACAGCACAGCAGTTATGAGCATTTATGAGGCCCAGGAGCCTCATGCAAATCCCAGGTCCAAACCTCACAAACTGTGTGAGCTTGGGAATGCCCTATGAGTTTTCTGATCTTTGTCTCTCAGGTGGGTCAAATGAGCTAGAGTCTGATGCAGTGCCTGACAGGCAAAGGTGGCAGGTGCCTGTCGACAGGGATCTAGCTGTCAGTCTTTGTTTCCTCAGCGAAGCGCTGCATTCTGGAGTTCCCGAGTCTGTGTTCTTTCCTCTCCCCTGAACGTCCAGGAACCACAAGCAACTCCCCAGCTTCCTTCCTGAGGCCAGGTTGAGGCACTGCTGCTTGTGCCACAGTCAGCAAGTGACCAGGGAGCAGTGCTGGATGGCCTCTGCATGGGAGAATAACCTTGCCCGGCACTGGAATGCAGGGCTTGAATGAGCCACAGTGGAGCGCTTAAGTATAAAAAGAGAGGCAGGTGAGTCTCGGCAATCTGAGGCAGAAACTATCCCTAGAGAGGGAGTTAGTTGTCCAAGTCCCATGAGAGAAAAGTGACAATGTGCAGGTGATAGCATGGCAAGGTAACAGTGGGGAGGATAGAGGGAGGGCAGCAGTGTATTGGGGTGCAGGACGTGGTGGGTGCATGGAGAAGTGAGGTTTCAATCCACTCCGCTTCAACCACACTGGACTCCTTACTGTCCCTGGATCATGCCGGGCTCAGTCTCTGATTAGGGCCTTTGCACTGCCTGCTTCTTCATCCTGGGATCATTCTTCCCTATACATCCATGGCACTGAGCCTCTTTCAAGTCAAATGCCACCTTTTCATTGAGGCCTATACGGGCCACCCTTTTTGTTTTGTTTTGTTTCTTTTTTTTTATTTTACTTTAAGTTCTGGGATACATGTACAGAATGTGCAGGTTTGTTTTCATACACATACAACATACACACATGCATGTGTATATACCAAAGCAGAATATGTCATCGTAAACTTTGATATTCCATTGTTAGTAATGTTAATTGTGTCACAAGAATGACATACTCCAATAATTTAGAACCACTGCCATTCTCTAGTGCATAGAGAAACAAATTAAGCATGCACCTCTGTTCTCTAGAAGCTCATAGTCCACCGAGGGAAACACAGACATTAATATTAAAGCCAATGCAAGCAAGAATGTACTCAGTGCTACACTAGACCTACAAACAGAGCCCTGTGAAAAAAGAATAGATGAATCCTGACTTTAAACATCTGGAAAGACTTATTGGAGGAGATAGGATTTTAACCAGGACTTGGTAAATGTGTAGGAACTTGAAAGGTAGATAGATGATGTTATCAACTTCTTTGTATGCCTGTCTTACTTTCCAGTTTGGACAAAAGGCATATCTGAATTTCAAGGTCATGGAAACATTTTTCATTGAGGGAACACTGGACTAAAGGTTCAGACAGGAGTGATTCAGAGATACTGAAATTGGAATGATCAAGTTTCCTTACATATTTTTTACTTTTTTTTTCTTTGTTGTTGTTGTTTGTTTTGTTCACTTTCCCTTAGAATTGGACAGGAGCCAGGGATTCTGAGTGGAAGCACTTTCTAGGAATCAAAATTGCACAGGTGGTTGGCTTTTTATTCGTCATGAACCTCCTGGTGTTTGAACATAACAAATGGGTACAGGAGCACAAGAAACCTCCCAGGAGTTTATATACATGAGTTTATGTCTAAAGATATTGTACCTTAGATTCTCTGTAAGTAACAATAAATGAATGTAATGTGGTAGAATCAAATAGAAAAAACATGCTGCCCGGTCACCCTGTTTGATGAAAGCTCTGGAAGACCTAAAGATATTTCTGTGACTAGATTACATTACGGGTCAAAGAAATATAACTCTAAGATTCTACCTATCTATTACTATAACTGACAATGACTAATTATACCCATAACTATTTATAATTTTATATATATATATATATATATATATATATATATATATATATATATCCATGAGGAAATACACCCATTGTCAATAATAATTAGTCAAATCTATAGCTAATCAAAACCTCAATTCTTGACTTCTGTGTACTCACAGGCTCAATACCACGTGGAAGCTGCCAAGGCTTGTGGCTTCCACCCTCTGAAGCAACAGCCCAAGCTGTACCTTGGCACATTTTAGTCATGGCTGGAGTGGCTGAGACACAGGGCACAAAGTCCATAGGCTGTACAAAGCATGGGGACCCTGAGCTTGGCCCACGAAACCACTTTTTACTCCCGAGCCTCCAGGCCTGTGATGGAAGGGGCTGCCATGAAACCTCTGACATGCCCTGGAGATCTTTCCCCATTGTCCTGAGGATTAACATTTGGCTCCTTTTTACTTTTGCAAATTTCTGCAGCCAGCTTGGATTTCTCCTCAGAAATGGGATTTTCTTTTTTATTGCAATATCAGGCTGCAAATTTTCTGAACTTTTATGCTCTGCTTCCCTTATAAAATTGAATGCCTTAACAGCACCAAAGTCACTTCTTGACTGTTTTGCTGCTTAGAAATTTCTTCTGCCAGATGTCAAAAATAATCTCTCTAAAGTTCAAAGTTCCACACATCTCTAGGGCAGGGGCAGAATGCCATAGTGTCTTTGCTAAAACATAACGGGAGTCACCTTTGCTCCAGTTCCCAACAAGTTCCTCATCTCCATCTGAAACCAACTCAGCCTGGACTTTATTGTCCATATCACTATCAGCATTTTGGGCAAAGCCATTCAACAAGTCTCTAGGAAGTTCCAAACTTTCCCACATTTTCCTGTCTTCTTCTGAGCCCTCCAAACTGTTCCAACCTCTGCCTGTTATCCAGTTCCAAAGTGGCTTCCACATTTTCAGGTATGTTTTCAGCAGCCCCCGGCTCTACTGGTACCAATTTACTGTATTAGTCCTTATTCACGCTGCTGATAAAGACATACTTGAGACTGAGCAATTTATACAGGGTTTAATGGACTTACAGTTTCATGTGGCTTGGGAGGCCTCACAATCGTGGTGGAAGGCAAGGAGGAGAATCTTATGTGGATGACAGCAGGCAAAGAGAGAGCTTGTGCAGGAGACTCCCATTTTTAAAACCATCAGATCTCGTGAGACCCATTCGCTATCACAAGAACAGCATGGGAAAGACCAGCCCCCATGATTCAGTCATTTCCCACTGGGTCCCTCCCACAACACATGAGAATTATGTGATCTACAAGATGAGATTTAGGTGGGGACGCAGAGCCAAACCACATCATTGAGCCTCTGTGACATGTAGCAGCCCTACAGGGAACTGCCAACAAAATTAGTTTTAAAAAGGCTTGTCCAGGAAGCATACATGGGAGCTGGTCACTTTGCTCTTTCAGCCCTCATAGAGGTGCTTAGACCTCTGGAGAGAGACACTGAGACAGGTAAGAGGGCAGAAATGACTAAGAGGTAACACACTGTGGAGTCCCAAAACCAGCACACGCTTCAGCCCACAAAAAGCCTAGGCCACAGCTCTGTTCCTCCTTTTAAGAAAGAAAAGTGGGAAACAAATAATCTATGAATGAGGAGAAAACAAGGAGAATGTTCCCCTTTTGGGCACCCTGTTGCTTTTATGGTTCTACCTGCTGGAATTTGTGTTAGATGGAAATAATGATCTTTGTGCACATTTACACCAAGAAAAAAGAGTCCTAAGGTCGACCCACAAACTATAGAGTTCCTAAGTTCTCTTTTTCTCTATTTTCTTTTCTGCCTGCTTTAAAGCTGCTGTTGGCTTTCTGCTTAGATACAATCCACTATTTGCATCCAACCATTTCTTCCTGTTACTATTTTGCAAACCAATGAGTTTGTATTAATATCTCATGACTAGAGTTCTGAAGTAAAAGCTATAGGATCTTTGGTTGTATGAGTATGTATGTGTGTGTTTATGTATACATACATGTATTTCATTGCGTTTTGGCCAGAAGGTACAAATTTGGCTTAAAGAGTTGTCTTGGTCAGTTTTCACACTGCTGTAAAGAACTTCACTGAAACTGGATAATTTATAAAGGAAAGAGGTTTAATTGACTCACAGTTCCATATGGCTGGGGTGGCCTCAGGAAAATTGCAATCATAGTAGAAGGTGAAAAGGAAACAGGCACCTTCTTCACAAGGTGGCAGGAGAGAGAAGTGAGAGTGCGGGAAAAAAATACTGCCACTTTTAAAACCATCAGATCTCCTGATAACTCACTATCATGAGAATAGCATGGGGGAATCTGCCCCCATAGTCCAATCATCTCCCTCCAGGTCTCTCCCTAGACAAAGAAGATTATGGGTATTATAATTCAAGGTGAGATTTGGGTGGAGACACAAGGCCTAACCATATTGTTCCATTCCTAGCCCCTCCCAAATCTCATGTCCTCACATTTCAAAACTTATCATGCCTTCCCAACAGCCCCTCAAAGTCTTAACTCATTCCAGCATTAACTTAAAAGTCCAAGTCCAAAATCTCATCTGAGACAAGTTCCTTCCACCTATGATCCTGTAAAATAAAAATAAAAAACCAGTAAGTTACATCCAAGAAACAAAGGGGGTACAGGCATTGGGTAAATGTTTCCATTCCAAGTGGGAGAAATTTGTCAAAACAAAGGGGTCACAGACCTCAAGGAAGTCTGAAATCCAACAGGGCAGTCATTAAATCTTAAAGCTCCAAAATAATTTTCTTTGACTCCATGTCTTACATATAGGGCATGCTAATGCAAGGGGTAGACTTGCACAGCCTTGAGCAGCTCTGTCTCTGTGGCTCTGCATGGTACAGCCTCCATCCCTGGCTGCTTTCATGGCTGGTGTTGAGTGTCTGCAGCTTTTCCTAGCACACGGTGCAAATATCAGTGGATCTACCATTTTGGGGTCTGGAAGAGGGTTGCCCTTTTCTCACAGCTCTACTAGGCAATGCTGCTGTGGGGACTCTGTGTGGGGGCTCAAACCTCACATTTCTTTTCTGCACCACCCTAGAAGAGATTCTCCATGAGAGCTCTGCCTCCGTAGCAGACTTCTGCCTGGAGATCCAGGCGTGTCCATATAGCCTCTGATACCTAGGAAGTTCTCGAACCTCAATTCTTGTCTTCTGTGCACCCGCAGGCTCAACACTATATGGAGGCCACCAAGGCTTGGACTTTGCACCCTCTGAAGCAATTGACCCAGGTGTACTTTGGCACCTTTTAGCCACAGCTGGAGCTGGAGGGGCTAGGATGCAGGACACCAAGTCACGAGGCTGCACAGAGCAGGGGGGCCCTGGGCTTGACTGACAAAACCATTTTTTTCCTCCTATGCCTCAATGCCTGTGGTAGGAGTGGCTGCTGCCAAGACCTCTGACATGCCCTGGAGACATTTTCCCCATTGTCTTGGCAATTTACATTTGGCTCCTGGTTACTTATGCAAATTTCTGCAGCAGGCTTAAATTTCTCCATAGAAAATAGGTTTTTCTTTTCTATCACATAATCAGGCTGCAAACTTTTCAAACTTTTATGCTCTGCTTCCTTTTCGAACATAAGTCCCAATTTCAGATCATGTCTCTCAAGTTCTAAGTTCCACAGGTCTCTAGGGCAAGGGCAAAATGCCACCAGTCTCTTTGCTAAAGCACAACAAGAGTGACCTTTGCTTCGGTTCTCGAGAAATTCCTCATCTCGGTCTGAGACTACCCCAGCCTGGACTTTATTGTCCACATCATTATCAGCATTTTAGTCAAAACCATTCAAGAAGTTTATAGGAAGTTCCAAACTTTCCCACATCTTCCTATCTTCTTTTGAGCCCTCCAAACTGTTTCACCCTCTGACTGTTATCCAGTTCCAATGTAACTTCCACATGTTCAAATTATCTTTTCTTTATAGCAGTACCCCACTCTCTGCAGTACCAATTTACTTTATTAGTCAATTTTCACACTGCTATAAAGAACTTCCCTGAGACTGGGTAGTTTATGAAGGAAAGAGGTTTAACTGACTCACAGTTCCATATGGCTGAGGAGGCCTCAGAAAACTTACAATCATGGTGAAAGGCATAGGGGAAGCAGGCACCTTCTTCTCAAGGTGGCAGGAGAGAGAAGTGAGAGTACAGGAAAAAACTGTCACTTTTGAAATGACTGGATCTCGTGAGAATTCACTCACTATCATGAGAACAGCATGGGGGAAACCATCCCCATGATCCAATAACTTTTCTCCCTCAGCCCATCAGGACTGCAGTTCCCTTCCTTGACATGTGGGTATTACAATTCGATGTGAGATTTGGGTGGGGACACAGGGCCAATCCATATCAAGAGTACTCATAAATTAAATAATAAACCCAGATGCTCTTCAAGTTCATGTGATGTAAGTAAAAGTTTTAATAAGCTAGCCTTAAAATTATTGGTAAAGTAATACTAGAAATGTCTCAAGAATTTTCAGTATACATTTTTGTTTGCATTTATTGTTCAAGCAATTTCATACTCATTCCTGCCAAACACTAGAAGTGTCAAAATTTGGCATAAGGGATACAAAACTATAGACCAAGCCCAAAACAGAAGGATCTTTTCTTGTATAATTTTTGATAAATAAGACATTAATATTGGTTTAATGAAAATAGTTAAATATTGAATTATTCTGTAAAACAACCATATATTTAATCTTAAGGTTGCTACATAGGTAAACACCTGAAATTCACAGGCTTTAAAATGGGTGACAATGAAGTAACTGTAACCACCCAATGAGTTCACCTTGCCCACTGCCTAGAAAGGGCTGATTTATCAAGACAGGGGAATTATAATAAAGAAGAGTAATTCATGCAGAGCCACTATGCAGTACACCTGAGTTTTATTATTACTGAAATCAGTATCCTCGAGAATTTTGGGATCAGAGTTTTTATGGACACTTTAGTGCTCAGGGGACCAGTGAATCAGGAGTTCTGACTGGTTGGGTCAGAGATGAAATCATAGAAAATAGAAACTATCCTCCTACACTGATTCAAGACCAGATGAGCCAGATCATTCATTGATCTGGGAGGTGCCAGTAGGTCAGTGGAGTGCAGAATCTGTAAAATATCTCAAGCACTGATCTTACATTTTAGAATAGTGATATTATCCCCAAGAACAGTTTGGGGAGATTTAGAATCTCACAGCCTCCAGAGGCATAGCTCCTAAACCATGATTTCTAATCTTGTGGCTTTAGGCAGTCTAGTCCCCAGGCAGGAAGAGGGTTTGTTTTTGGAAAGGACAGTTATCATCTTTGTTTTAAAGCAAAACTATAAACTAAGTTCCTCCCAAAGTTAGTTGGACCTATGCCCAGAAATAAAAGGACAGCCTCGTGGTTAGAAGCAAGATAGAGTCCATTAGGTCAAATTTATTTCACTGTCTCAGTTTTGCATGGCATTTTCATAACATAAATAATGACTATTATAGTTTTCATAAACAATCTAAGCTATTAAAATAATTCAGTAAATGTAATGGGATAAATACTTGTAGACAAACTTGTCCTCATTTAGAATCTAAAGTGATATTAAGTTAAATCATTGATATTTCATTACTTGGATATTTTCCAATAAAATATATTGTAGAAAAACATCGTTTCTAGAAGAATGTGTGTCCTTTTTAAAAGGTGAATAACTCTTGTCTAATTCAAAGCTTATTTAAAGGTTATATATAAAACAAGGTAAAAGGAACCGAGAAGTAAGAGAGATATAGAGAAAATTATGGAAATAAAGAAGTATTTTTGGTAAGAAAGCTTAAAGAAAAATAATTTTATATGAGAAAGAATCTCGTATGGTAAATTTTGTCCTAAAAGAAAATGACTGGTTGTTTAAGAAAGAGAGATGTTCAGGACAAACCAAAAAATCCAAGCATGTCATGAATGATCTGTATAAGTCATAATAAGAACATTTATTAAAAATACTTTTATATGATTGAATTGTCTAGAATTAAAGGGAAATTATAATGGTCTTTCTGGAGATTGGGTTTGATTAAAAAACTTATGTGCTAAAGAATTGGTTCAAACTATGAAATTTTCTAAGATGTTGCTTTGATCTTAATAAATTAAAAGACAATGTAATTTTTTTAATGCAAAGTTCAACTTTTATTAAGTCTCACTATTTTCAACTTTCTCTCCCATTTTAAAAGGCCTGAAAGAAAAACTCTATTTTTTAACTCACTTTCAGCTCCTGGAATTTTTTTCCTTTCACGTTCTAACTGTTGTGGCCTAATGCTAAAAAACAAACAAACAAAAAAATTATGTCTTAAAAAGTTTAAAGAAAATGTTTCCTTCCAACATAATATTCTCCATAGGGAACAGCAGTAACACTGCAGAAGATCTTTTCTTTTGCCTTTTGGTAACTGGCCTAATAAACAGATCTTACACTCTATCAAAATAATTGCGATGTTATTACTAAGTTTGACTTGCTTAGAAATAACTGAAATAAAAAAATACAGAAGTTTATTACATCCATGTAACTTTCTGTTTGTGCTTTTAAAGTCTTTGTGCCATTAAGTTACAGGGCTTTGACTCCTGAGTCTAAAAAGTACATTACGTCCTGCTAAATCTTAAACTGACAGCAGTTAAAGCCTCATCTTCAGACCCAGTAGAAGATGCCAATCAAAATAAACTGCATTCATGAGACACAGGGCCAGAAATTAAAGCTATTCAACTTCTGAAAGCCCAGGGACTATCACGGAAGAGGTGGGTTCATGAGATTGTAAGGGCCAATTTTGAGAAATAAAATAAGTTCAGTTTCTCTATAAATTAACCATTAAGGTTGAAGGCACAATGATGCAAGACAACCATATGGACTTCAGAGTAATATGGCCTACGTCAATTTTCCAGGATTGTTCTTTCTTTGTTTTTGTTTTTCTCCCTTCCTCCCCTTATTTTCTCTTTATAGGACGTGAGACTTCACACCCTGCTAAAAATGAGCTTTCCTAACAATGTGGGGCCTACCTGTCAAGGAAAAAAACATCTTAGCCATGAGAGATCAGGTGAAACCTGAGAGCAGAGACACATTTTATTCTAAAATGCTTTCTCTGATAGATTTTAAAAAGAAAAGAGGGGAAATGTGAAAGGAAAATAAATCTTGGGACCCCAAAATCACTAAGGCAAAGGGAAAAATCAAGCTTGGAGCTGCTTAAGGCAAGCCTGCCTCTGATTCTATTCCTAAAAAAGATAGCTACTAAGATTTTTTTAAAAAAGGCTACATACCACCCTCACAGGGAATTTCCATGTGTACAAAGGACAGACAGACCTCAAAGTTATCCCTCTGCTCACTGAGATAAATTCATATCTGGTTGTCTCCTTTGGAAAGGCTAATCAAAAACTCAAAGGAATGTAACCATTTATCTCTTACCTATCAATGGCCAGAAAGCCCCCTCACCGTTTTGAGTTGTCCCACCTTTCCAGAAGGAATCAATGTATATCTTACATATATTTGATTGCTGATGTCTCATGTCTGCCTCAAATGTATGAAACGAAGTTGTGTCCTGACCACCTTGGGCACAGGTCATTAGTACCTCCTGAGGCTGTGTCACAAGCACACATCCTTAACATTAGCAAAATAAACTTCCTAAATTGACTGAGACCTTCTCAGATATTTGGGGTTCACAGTTCCCTCCTCCATCTTCAACGCCAACAGTGGTGAGCTGAATCCCTCTCATGATGCCATCTCTCAGATTCTCTTTCTTTCCTTTTAGGGACCTATGGAACTACATGGGGTCTACCAGATAATCTGGGATAATTTCCTCATCTCTTATGATTCTTAAATTAATCGCATCTGCAATTCCTCTTCTGATATGTAACAACATTCACAGGCTTTGGGGATTAGGGTGTGGAAATATTTGGGTGGACATTATTCTGAGTACCACAGGTTCTTATTACCTTACAGATGAAAAACTGGGGCTCAAAGAAATTTAGCAATTTGCCCAAGTGGTAAATATTGAGGCTTCAATTCAATCCTAGTCTGGCCTCTAGAGATGCTATAGTAATCAGTTCAAGGTGAGGGTACAGTGAGAGAACCATAATTCTGCCCACTGATTCTCATTCTCCCTCTGTTCCTGATTCTCTTTGCAACCATTAATAGTTATTTAAGTTTCCATTAGATTTTATTGTATCTCACCATTACAACTGAATGTGAATTTCACTCTAGCAGGACTTCAAGGATTTTGGTAAGCACAGAATGTTTCCTGAGGAATATTTTCAATTCCAAGCAGGTCTAGACAGGTACAAAACACCTGTGCCTGTTTAGGGGATTCAGAATAGATTGCCACCTTCACAAATATCTAAAAGACTAGGAAAAGAAAAACAGGAACATAGGCTCTGGCTCTGAGTTTGCTGAAGTTCTCAGATAACATTATCAGCTTTCTTGGTCTTTGACAGTACCCCAAGATCCATGTCAGAGCATGAAAGCAGAGGACAGAAGTCTAGAAAACCCTTATCTAATGCAGTATTTTAAAAAATATGTATTATTCTTTACATGTGTCTCTCTACTTAGTATTCTTCAGAGTCTTTTCACCAGCCAGGTTACAAACTCTTGAGTGTCTTCTGGAATTAAAATATCTGTGTATTTTAGAGCAATAAAGGAAAAACTGAACAGCCATATCTGGAAACATAATATTTGCTTAATGAAGGTTAGTCTTTCTCTCAGTCTCTGGACAGTCTTCTTTGTGTCTCAACAGTTGCATTTCCTGGAGGGCAGTCATCATTATAAATTCAAGTGACTTTTATAAAAACTCATTTAAGAACAAACTCAGAAATTAGTGCACATGTAATTCATGTATTTACTTGAACACAAGTAGCATAATGACGACTAGTGATGTATAACTCCAGAGTCCAGTACTACATAGTTGTTAGCAATTTATACAGTTGAACAAATGTAAGTAGAAATTAATCATACACTATGCAGATAATCTATCCCAGGCCTCCTTTTCCACCTTTACTATAGGGCTTAAGATGTGCAGCCTCTCAAATCCGAAGACGTTTAAATGATTTAACTGAATACCTATTTAAGCCCACAGTAGAAATAAACCTATTTAACCCTAAAAGCTGGTGGAGGAACTCTAGTAACTATAGTTAACATATGTGTTATGGACTACCTGCATACTGAAGCATATGCTTTCAAAATAATTATCTATAAAACAGATCTGATTTTTTCATTGGTTGTCATGATACCATCAGTGAAGCGTTCTCTGGGGAAATGAACCAACTGGTGAATGATTTCTTTGGTTTTGTTTTATTTGATGAGGAAGGCATGGTCCCAATCTAGTCCTTTATTTTTTATTTGCAATGTTTTTAGAATTGGCAATATTGCACTAAAAATTGCAACACTACACTAAAAAACATAGTATATGCATCCTTCGGCATCTTCTCTTGCCCCTTTCTGTAAGAAAGGGACTAAAATTTGTATCAGTCATTGTCGATTCTTGTATTAGCATGGGAGGAAGAAGAGGTTGAAATAATTGATTGAATAAATGATTGGCTAAAATCAAGTACAGTATGTGGATTTCAGCTAACTGGTTTTTTACCTCATTTAAATACTCTCTGCAAGATAACCTAATACCTCCCATATATAAGAATTGCTTGTGTAAAATTGAAAGCCATATGGAAAAATCATTGATCTATGTGTGTTTTATTATGTAATATTTTCGTCTAACTATAAAATAAAATGTATGGGAGAAAGCTTGACACATAAAATTTCTTTTGAACATAAAAGCAAGAAATATCAAGAATGTTTCCCTAATATAAAGGCTTTCTGCTTTTGCTTTTTATCTTAGAATAATGATGGAATAAATTGCAGCTAGAGAAGTGAAGATGAAAGAGAACTAATCCATAAGCGAGGAGTTGTAACATCAGAAGGACTGTTGCAGATTACCCTGACCCCTACAGTCTGCCAAAGGAAAATGCAGTGCCTGGATAAGTGTCCTGCATATATTCATATGCCAATTTCTCAATAATGATTTCCCCAGATTTTAATACTGGTGTAGAATAAAATCCCTTTTGTTTTTTTATTCAAATAGAGTCATGAAATATTGGAAGTCACAATTAGCATGCAGGATAAGTTGATAGCTAAAATAATCATAGTATTTTAGTTTAAATTCTTCCATTTGAAAAAGTATTTAGCCCTGAATCATAAAAACTTTTAAAGACATAGAGAAATAGGACTGTGGTGGGGTGAGGGGAGGGGGGAGGGATAGCATTAGGAGATATACCTAATGCTAAATGACGAGTTAATGGGTGCAGCACACCAACATGGCACATATATACATATGTAACAAACCTGCACGTTGTGCACATGTACTCTAAAACTTAAAGTATAATAATAATAATAATAATAATAATAATAAAAGAGAAATAGAAGCCAAGGGCTCCTCACACTTTTCCATTATATAATGCAGCTATCTTTTAAATTTGCTTTCTTCTTAACTAGAAGGTCTAGTATGGCATTCAATCTGAGAAGTAATCGGCTTTCTTTTCCTAAGCTTTTTACAAAGGAAAACCTGTGAACAATGGAGTTTCCTAAAGATGGAGTTAGTGAGTGTTCAACATATGTTTTTTGATAAGTGAATGCACTGGTCTAGGCTCTGGGATAAAAGCTAAGTTCACAAATGGATATACTAGCATAGTTTTCATTTTTAAAGAATGTATATGATAGTGGGGAGAGAAGGCACATAAGACATAAGCAGATAACTGTAATTTCTAATGTTTCAATAAAGACACAAGGTAGATGTCTGCAGCACAGAGGAGAATTTTTTTTTCTGGAGACGGAGTCTCGCTGTATTTCCCAGGCTGGAGTGCAGTGGTTTGATCTCGGCTCACTGCAACCTCTGCCTCTCGGGTTCCGGTTCTCCTGCCTCAGCCTCCCAAGTAGCTGGGAGTACAGGCATGCCCCACCACGCCCGGCTAATTTTTGTATTTTTAGTAGAGATGGGGTTTCACCATATTGGCCAGACTTGTTTCAAACTCCTGACTTCAAATGACCCACCCGCCTAAGCCTCGCAGAGTGCTGAGATTATGAGCGTGAGCCACCGCGCCTGGTTGAGAAGTACTTATTCTTGATTTAAACTGAAAAATGAGTGGTTTCTAATGAAATTAAAGTAGGTAACATTGTTAAGGTATGTTAGAAATTTGCTATTTTCTTTTAAAGTATCTAGTTATAAGTAGTCTTTCTCTTGGTAAAAGTTGAGTTTAAGAGTTGTAAAATAAAACTAAGCATATGAATTATATTACTATTGCTCTTAGTTGACTTCTAAATAGTATCTATATCAAGCTAAACAGGTATAGCAAGTGTATATTGTTGTTGTTGTTGTTTGATATGTGTATAGATTTGATTTGTTTTTGTGAGCACTGTTGACCCCAACTCATTCAAGTATCCAATCACGGTGATTTTATTAATATACTAATATATACTTATTAATATACTCACTGGTGAGCTGACTCATATAACTTTCCAGCCAGAAAACAGAGTGACTTGCTTTTTTTACACTATTTTCTTTTTACTGTCTTCGTTTTTCTGTTCATGTCCTTTGATTCACATCTTACCACCCTGGTAACTCATGAGATACTCATCATTATCCAGGAAAGGATATTCTACTTCCTCTCTTCCAAAATGCTCAAAGTTTGAGTGTCCCAGAGCTTAGTTCTTTATTCACTTCTTTTTGCTTTCTACACTGACTACCTAGGCGATTTCAGATTCATAGATTTAACTGTTCTTTATATGCTACTGCCTTTCAAATTTGACATATCTTTTGAACACATATTCCTATGTGCAATTTCCTACTTGACATTTCCTCTTGTCGAAAAATGAACTCTGAGTTATTTCCCCCAGTACTGTTTCTTCACCTTAATAAATGGCATCACCATTCACCCAGTTTCTCAGGACAAATGTGTTGCCATCCTTTATGACTTTCCTCAGCACCACCACCACTATCCAGTGCATCAGCAAATTTTGTTGGCTCTAACATCAAACTATATTCCATAGTATATTATGTTATTCAAGATTATAAACTTATTGTAAATGTATCATTTCTATAACCATTTCTACTGCCTGCTCACTAGTAGGAGCAACCATCCTATTTTCCCTTGACTATTGTAATAATCCACACTGAATACTTTATTCATGTTAGTTCAGTCTTTGGAGTCAAGGAGTTGTAAGTCTGATCATTTTAATTGTGAAATGAGTGCTCAAGGTGGAATGGAGGCCAAGAAAATTGGAAGTGAGAAGGTCAAGTAGCTAAGAGTCCAGGGTGTAGTAGTGTCATCTGTATGGATTTTGAAATAGCCAAATTGATGATAATCATATGATTAGAGAGCAACATAGAGAACAAGGTGCTGAAATCTAGAACATGAAATGAGTGAGAGGGAAAACCCTTGGTCCCATGTATTTGCACTTGCTCTACTTCCCTCATAACTCTCATAACGCTATACTTGTTCATGGGTTCTTTGCCTTTCAGATTTAGCTCTTTGTTAATGACCTCACTCCCTGCATTGTTTTCAGTTCACATTCCTCAGAACAAGGAGCAGATCAGCTCTGTCTATTCATGTTTAGGTGGTCATTTTTTCAGTGTGTGGCAGGCCATATCACAGTTTGCCCTTTGCTCATGTTCCTACCTCTGATCTGCTTAACTGTAGCCAAACAGTGAAAAGGAATGACAGAGCAAGGATAAAGGGATCATGACTACCTAGCGTTGTACCTTCAGCAAAAATTAGATTGAGGGGTTTATCTTATACACTAAAGCTTTGAAAGCACTTTAGACACGACACACAATAATTGAAATCTCTATATAATGGGGTTGTGCCAGAGACTGTGGTAGTGAAACAGCAGAGATGAGGTGGGCAGTATGGGGAAGTCATTTTATAAATTCCTAGCATACATGTACTGTCATCTTAATTGAAGAAAACAAAAAACCTGATAATGTATATAATTACATATATTTAATATATGCATATATATACACACAAACTATATACAATTTTTATTTATCAAATGTGTGCCCAAAAACGCTTAAAATAAAAAGAGAGAAAAGCAAACTGAGTATATACATGACTTTACTTGGTGCTTGATGCATCCTAGATATTAAAATGTGCTTTGATTCCTACTTCCATTCAATCACCGAGTGTTTATTACGCAGTCACTCTCTGCTGGGTATTTGTATTTGATGAGTAGTGAGTCCATGTAAGGATAATTAGGAATTCTGTGGCTCTGGGACCAAAACCTTACTTGCTTTCTCAACTCAGGCAAAGATAACTAGATCCTCACTCATTAAGAAGGATCAGCAATGCTATATAAATGATTCCTCTTACTGCACTTGCCCTTAATATAAAGTAAAAGGATGGATAGCACACTTACTTCATTGGAAATTAGAAAGATTAATTAAGTCAGGAAGCAGTGCTTTGAAGACGAAAGTGATTCCTGAGTGTTAAAGTGCTAGATAAGTATCCAGCAGTTGCAGGGACGATGCAGTCTGCAATAGTGTGCCAGGAATTGAAGGCACACCATAATGCTTTAGAATTACAAAAGGCATTTGCTGAAAATTCAACTGAGACAATGAACAGCTTGATAGCCTTGGGTTTCTGATAAAGTATCATTCTGTTTTCAAGTATATGGTATCCAACAGAAAATACAAACATACGTCTTAAGGATAAAATGAGATTTAAGTGGACAAGATGAATAAAGTGTAAAACCCCATCATGGTGTATATCCTAATGTTCAGAACATGCGTGAGGAAAAAGACCTATATTGCATCACCTGATTTGAGTGATACAAACTAGAACAAAGGAGTTTGGAGGCAGAGTTGAATGCACATCAAAGATGCTCCCCAGATCTGAGAAATTTGATAAGATAAAGGTTGAAAAATGGAGAACATTGATTTGGAAAGGTGCCATAAATATTTCTTGCGTGATTGCAAGGGGTGGGAAAATAAATGGAGGAATGATACATGATTGTACATTGTTTGCTCATTTATTTTTTTGATTGCCTACTTTTAAAAATTTATCCTAAGTGTTATCACTTGAATTGTGCCTCCCTCTGGAAAAAAACATAAACAAATAAATAAAATAAATAAAATAAAAAAAGTTGAAGTTCCAACCCTCAGTAGAATTTCACCTAAAGTTACCTTTGAATGTCACTATATTTGCGATTGAAACTTCCCAGATGATTTAGTTGTGATTAGGTCATTAGGGAAGACTCTACTCTGATATGACTGGTGCCCTTCTATAAAAGGGAAAATTTGGACACAGAGACACACCCACAAAAGAAGAATATCATGTGAACATGAAGGCAGAAATCAATGTGATGCCTAATGATGTCAGAGATCACCGGCAACCATCAGCAGCTGGGAAAGAGGCATGGAACAGATCCCCCCTCACAGCCCTCAGAAGGGAACCAACCCTGCCAACCCTTTGCCCTCCAGCATCTACCCTTCAGAACCGTGAGGCAACACATGTCTGTTGTTTTAAGCCATCCAGTTTGTGGTACTTTGTTAGGGCAGCCCTACAAAATGAGGACGCCTAGGATAGTGAAATATCCAATTAAATATACATATATACATTTTATTTTTCATTCAAATGAGTCTGTGCTCACTGGCTGCATGTAGGAAAACTTTCTGTAAAAGATGAATATTTTAGGCTTTGGTCTTAGGCACAAGTATTGAACTCTGCTGTTATCGTGCAAGAACAGTTGGGTAGTAAGTAAAGAATTGGCATGAATGTGTTCCAACAAAATAATATTTATGGACACTGAAACTGGAATTGTATGTAATTTTCAAGTGTCATGAAATATTATACTTCTTTTGTTTTTCTTAACAAATGAGGGATGTAAAAACCATTTTTAGCTTGTGGACAGATTTGGCCTGTAAGCGATAGTTTGCTAACCTTTACTATAATAGGAAGAAGATAGGTTTTTGAGTCAATGCGCCTGGTACTATCCCTTTCTTGCTGTGTAATTTCTGACGTGTTACTTCACTGAGTTTGGTTTCCATCCTTGGAAAACAGAGATAATTTTGGTTTACATATACACAATGGAATATTATTCAGCCATAAAAAATGAAATCCTGTCATTTGCAACAACATGGATGGAGCAGGAAAGCATTATGTTAAGCAAAATAAGCCAGGGACAGAAAGACAAATATCACAAGTGCTTAACCATATATGAGAGATTAAAAATAGATCTCATCGAGATAGAAGGTAGAGTGATAGTTACCAGAGGCTGGAAAGGGTAGTGTGGAGAGGGAATATGAGGGGATGGTTAATGGGTACAAAAATACAGTTAGATAGAAGGAATAAGATCTAATTTTGATAGCTCAATAGAGTAACTATAGTTTGCACTAATTTACTGCATTTTCAAAGTAACTAGTGAAGTAAAAATGGTTGCTCTTAACATAAAAGAATTATAAATGCTTGAGATGATGGATATCCCAATTACCCTGATTTGATCATTACACATTGTATGCTCATATCAAAATTTCACAAGTAGTCCATAAATATGTGCCGGTATTATATAGCCACAAAAAATAAGTAAGTAAATAAATAAATAAATAAATAAATTCACTTTTAGCAGGGCTGGCTTATAAGCACATTATCTTCTAATTTTTTTTTATTTTTGTGGGTATATAGTAGGTGCATATATTTATGGGTTACATGAGGTATTTTGATACAGGCATGCAATGTGAAATAAGCACATCATGGAGAATGGGGTAACCATCCCCTTGAGCATTTATTCTTTGAATTTTTAAAAAATCCAATTGCACTCTTTAAATTATTAAATATACAATTAAGTTATTATTGACTATAGTAACCCTATTGTGCTATCAAATAGTAGGTCTTATTTGTGGGATCTAAAAATCAGAACAATTAAACCCATGAACATAGATAGTAGAAGAATCATTACCAGAATCTGGGAAGCGTAGTGGGAGTCTGGGAGGAGTTAGGAATGGTTAATGGGCACATTATCTGAGTAATCACACAGGGCCCTGCATTTAGAAGGGTTCAGCATTTGATTTAATACTCTACTGTCATTATCTTGAAATGCTTAATAATTTTGAACAGGTCCTGTATTTTCATTTCATACTGAACCCCGTGAATTATGTACACAACTCTGGCTCCTAGCATAAAGTAGAGGCCCTAAAAGAATAGCTATTGTTGTGACTATGTGTTGTAGTGTGTAATTAAGTGTAGATGAATAAAAAGGTAAATTTTTATCCTCAGTTAAAGAACCATGACTTCACTGGTGGACAATAAGAATACACTCTCATAGGACAAAAGCACTGATGACTAGCAAGATAGACATCCTTGGAACAGATGAGCATACTGGCCTGGGAAGTAAAGACACAGCGCTCTAATTCTGTAACATGACAAATTAGGGACCAAGAGGAAATGCTCCAGAGACAGCCAATTTATGTGGGGGACCTAACTGTTCTCTTACAATGAAGGTTTGAGCTATGAAATCACTTTGAGAATGTGCTGACTTTGCAGGGGTATGTGCACAGAATGTTAAACAACTCCTTGCAGTTGGGTCTTGCAGCAATCTTTATTTTGAGCGGTGACATCAGAGCATTTATCCAAACGCTTGTTTAAATAGAAATGCAAAAAGAGGTGCATTGCAGTGGCTGCCGTGCAGTGTAAATCTCACACTGGGAGTGAAATCTGGGGCGCTGAGGATGTCTTGCCAACACAGCACAGAGTCTGACCTACTGTTAGTTTTTTTTGCTCACTGTATGCCACCAAATGGGAAAACTCAGAGCTCCAAATGAATTACATGCTCACCAACATTTCACTTTTCAGAATTACTGCTCAAGTGGTGGCAAGCAGTATGAGATTTATAAACAAACAAGCCATGCCATTTTTTCCTATATATATGAAAGAATACTCCTATTGGTGAGAAAATTCCCTTTGACAGTCTTCCAGCATGTTTGTCTCTATGCCAAACAGTATTGCAAAATATTCTGGCTGATAGAAGAGCTCCAATCCCAGGTTCATAGGATAAACCCAGCTCTCTGCAGCTACTGTGAACTTCAGGTATGGCTTGAATTGTGAGAGTGCATTTTGCCAGTGTTATATACCCACTCTAGGGAGTGATTTCAGCCACTGGATGAATTAATCTTCAGAATTAGTTAAGTAAACAAATCATTACGAAATACATTATATTATTTACTAAGCAGTTTATATGTCTACAGTAATGACAATAACACACAGAACTTACAGCAGTATGAGACTGATATAAACAACACCCCTCCCTTACTAAAGTATTGGTGAAGCCCTGGCTTACTTAGGTGTGAAGCCTGTTGATGCTAATATTGAACAGTTTGATTTCCTTTGTCATTTAGGTGGTTAGGCTGCTTCTGAGCCACTTCTCCATTTCTTGCTAATTCCTATTAGGCTGGTCATCTCCCTGTATCAGCAGATATTCAGGGATAAATAAACCAAACCTTACATCTTTGTGTTTTTAGACAAGAAATTTTGTAAGAAATACAAGCCACATTAGCCAACGTGTTCAGGAATCTCTGCTCTGCCGTGCTTCTCCTTTGGCCTCCTGTGATTGTGCACTGAGCCAGTTTGCTGTTCATTAGCACCTTCAATATGCACTGCGCAGGGCTGGAGAGAAAAGGTTAAGATCAAATGAGTCAATTTGGCTTCTTATTAGTAGCTTTGACAAAAGACTTGGTGGAGAAAAGTTTACAACTAATCACTAAAATGAGAGGAAATCAACCGTGCTATTCCTACCCCTGATTCCTGAGTGAGCAGAAGGTTGGATGATTTTTCTCTTTGCTAAATGGTGTCCTGAGGGTTTGAATGCTTGTAAAAATGCTTGCCTTTGTATTGTTTCTACAGTGGGAAACTCATCAGTTGTCTGGGATCAAATGGTTTTGCTAATTAATCCTTTTTTTAAAGCAATTTAAAGGAGCACAAATTTATTATTTTATAGTTCTGTAGGTCAGAAGTCTGATACAAATCTCACTGGGATGATATCGCAGCATAGGCAGGGCTGGGTTTATTTCTGGAGTATCTAGGGGAAAATCTGTTTCCTTGCCTTTTCTAGTTTCTAGAGGCTCCCAGCATTCCTTGCTTTGTGGCTCCCCTTCTTCCATCTTCAAAGCCAGCAATATCACATCTCTCTGACCCTTCTTCTGTTTCCACATATGTCTGACTGCAGCCAGGAAAAGTTGTCACCTTTTAAGGACTCATATGATTAGACTGGGATCTTAAAAACCAAAATATATTTTGCTAATTCACCCTTCCACTTAAATGACTTTTTTTTGTTTCTGTTTTTTTGTTTTGTTTTGTTTTGTTTTGTCTTTTTTACATGAAAGAGGCATATCTTTTGGGAGTAAGGTGAAGCAGAATATAACCAAGTAAAAAATGGAGTAAATACAGTAATTTTAGATAGTGGTAAGCGCTAGAGAGAAAATAAGGCAGGGTGAGGAGTCAAGGACTGAGTGTGATCATGATGTTGTTTCAGGTAAGGTGGTCTGAGAAGGCCTCTTGGAGAGGTAACATTTGATCAGAGACCTGAATGATGAGGGTAAACCTTGGGAAGTTCTGGTACAAGTGCCTTCCAAACAGAGGAATGGTAAAAGCTCTGAGGCAGGAAAGCATTTTGGCTGCATAAGAAGCGGCAATTAGGCTGGTGAAATTGAAACAGTGAACAAGGTGAAAGAGTAGTAAGAGACCAAATTAGAGGCACAGACAAAGATCTGATAATACAGAGTCCTGAAGCTTCTGCTAAGGAGTTTGGATTTGATTTTAAGTGCAGATGGGAGCCATTGTCTAGTGTTAAGCAGGAAACTGGCGTGGCCTGATTTATGGTTTAAAAAGATCATCCCATCTGCTGTATTGGGAACAGATACCAGAGAAGGTAAGAGTTAAAACCAAGAGTTAAAAGAGGTTGTTGAAATAAACAGATGAGAGATAATGTGTGAGACTTGGAATAGGATGATTGTAGCAGAGATGATGACAAATATCAGGATTTTAGAACAAATTTTAGGGCAGGTTTGCTAATGGGTTAGATTTGGGGAGAGGACAGGATTGAGGAGAAAAGAGAGGTCAAGGGTATAACACTTTGGTTAAAGGCCTGAGCGCTGTGTGGCCTTGGACAAGTAACTTAATGTCTCTGAACTTGTTTATTCATCTGTAAAGTGAGAATTACAATAGCTACCTTCCAGAGTCATTATTGCATTTATATATTCAACTAATATTAATTGGCCTCTTACACGCCAAACATTTTGCTGTTGCTTTACATTTTTTTTTTATCCTGAGTTGATTCTCACAAGGCTTCTAGAAGGTTATTATAGGACATTATTTCCATCTTACATATGGAACTGATATTCGGAGTTGTAAGGTTTGATAACACATGGCAAGTAAACAGCAGATGCAAGACTTAAATCCAGATCTTTGCTTCAAAGCTTATGATCTATCTGGCTGAGTGTTACTCAGATGAGTGATGATGGACTTACTCTTGGAGATATCACCCTATCTTAAGAATCTGCCTTATTACAACTGGAGACTCTAGTAAGAAGTAAAACTCTCCAACCTTTAAAGAAAGCAACAGGATCAGAGTTTCTCATCTAATTTCCTGAACTTCTTTAAAGAGATGGAATGGGAAAAGGGCATTTAGTTAAACTTTGCCCAGGGATTCCCCCAGGTTGTCTTTTTTTTTCTAGTTTAATTATATACCAAATGTTACTAAACAGATGGAATCCCACAAGCAGTTTAGCTTGAAAAAGCAGAATGCCTAAAAGGAGCTAACGCAAAGAACGATGAGGGTCACTGTTGCATTGTCAGGATAGTATAAATACTGTAAAAAGTGGTTTTTAAGATAGAGGAACAACGAACATCCCCAGAGTCAAATGATGCTTAAAATGAAGATGATATCCTTTTTAATACAGAGGCTTCTCTGTGTGTAAACATTGACGTGGAGTTTAAAGGAAATAAGAAGTAAGAACGTGGAAATTCCCAATCAACCAAGTTGATCTTTGTTTAATAGAGAAGAAACTGAGATTTTAGCATTTTTAAGTTGCCCAGCAATTCCTCCAATGGAAGTCTTCTGGAATCAAAGATCTCTTACTCCTTTACCAAATGTTTCCAGCATCTAGGAGACAAAGAGAAACACTGCTCATTTCTGTCAAAACCTGGTGCTACGTAACCATTCTGAAAGCTTTTAAATGACCTCAAGCTTCTCTCCATCTCCAGACCAGCATTCAAAACATCCTAGGAAAAGAGTCTTTTCCCTTTTTCCCAACATCACCCATTGTTAGAGATTTCTCTGGATATTATGACCCTTTGCCTCCCATACACATTTTCACTTGCACAAATACCTGCACCCTGTAATGACTTTCTTCTGTGCTGTGCACTAGTGTAGTGTAAGACATAGCCAAGAGCATCCCATAGGTTGTTAATAGGCGTATGGGTCATTGGTCCTGGGTATCAGCTTCTTCTTATTTTTTTGTTAGCAAGAGACTACAGATTGTCTGATTCAACTGCTTGACTCAGTTTTAGAAAAATAAAAGACAAGAAAACTGAATGGCTGCTTTTCCTTAGAGTAGCAACCCAAGAACCAGTGTTGAAGCTGCCTTCGTGGAGATATTAAATCTATAACATTTGTTACAGGTAGCGATTTGTGGGTTTTTTTTTTTTTTTTTTTTTTGGTATCCTTTTCGGGCAATAAACTTGGCAAAATGAAGTCAAGTAATCAAGTCAGGGCAGAAATATCATTATGACAGAAGGTTCAACAAGATTGTCTAGTTATTACATTGTTTATTTTCTTCTAAAAATGTAATACTGTAGTTTAAAAGTTCACTTAGCTGTAATTTGGAGTTGTGTTAAAGAAACATTTCATATTCAAGTTAAATCAGTCTTGAATTTTAACTAAAAGACCACAAAATTTTGTAAAATACAGCATCAAAAGTCTTGGCTAATGAAAAAAGTTAATATAAAGAAAATTTATGAAATAGATGGGTTATGTAACATTCTACAAAGTATTAATTCTGATAGTTGCTGAACATAAAATTTGCATTTCATATAAACTTATAAATGCTTTCTGACATGGTAGATATATATTTTATCGGAGGCAGGGAAAGAGGATATACCCTTTGGGAAAGAACTATACAAAGATTTTTATTTGACTATATAGTTTGAGAATGAGTTTCTGAGTAATTCCACCTTTTGCTCATAAAGAACCTCGGCATTTGTGTTGTTGCTCAAGTTTGATGTGGCTTCTCCACAGGAACTTTCTAGATCTATGACAGTAAGAGACCAGAGCAGTGAGAATATCCAGGGGCTTTGCTGTGCCACTGACCTCACTGAGTCTGTTACGGAACCTGAGATCTCGTTTCAGCATCCCTCAAAGTATACTGGAAAAAACTGAGGCTCAGAGAAAAATAAATCCAGGGCCCCTTTCTGTCCCTAACTTCAACCCTCTATATATTGAACAATTCAGTCTTTCCTGGCCAGGTCTAGTAGACAGAAAATAATTGGTCAATGGCGTTTGCCTCGTTCTAGGAAGTGGAAGGAGAAATAAACTAGTAGTGATGTGAGATGGCAAGAGTGGAGAAGAGAGGTATTTTTAAAAATAAGTGGGCAAGGTAGTACATAATTTGTTTCAAAAACATTTCTGATTATTATATATACGAAGAACAAATGTCTTCTCAAGAAGGCAGTATTGAATTGAACAATGAGAATACATGGACACAGGAAGGGAAACATCACACACCGGGGCCTGTTGTGGGGTCGGGGGAGGGGGGAGGGATAGCATTAGGAGATATACCTAATGTTAAATGACCAGTTAACGGGTGCAGCACACCAACATGGCACATGTATACATATGTAACAAACCTGCACGTTGTGCACATGTACCCTAAAACTTAGAGTATAATAAAAAAAATTGCAACTGAATACCTTACAAGGTCAAAGAATGACTAAACAAACTTCAGAACCTCAAAAGAGTCTTAATCAACAAGGATATCTATTTAAAGTTGCAGAATTATCAACCAGCTACCATAATGCACATTAGATAGCAAATTTTGAAAATTCAGCCCACCTTTCCCCAAAATGAAGCCCATTGGTGACTGAGAAATCGTAAAATAAGATTTACTAGTCATTTCAGATATTGCTTTATTTTTCCTAAATAATACCACAGTCTTGAATAAATGCAGACCATAAACTTTTTTTAAAAAATTATGAATTAGCCCTCACTTACAAAAGACTACCTCAGTTCTGTAAAGGGCCTTTTTGCTATATTTTTTCACTCTTTTGTTACTCCCAGAAACCCTATAACATGAAGAGACTGAGGAACTTAAATGACATTTCACAAAATAAAAATTACAAATGGTAAACCTACATAAACAGCATTTTATTCTTAAGTATTCAAGGAAAGAAAACTAAAATAAAACATAATAATAGTAAAGTAAGAGTTTGCATCAGCAAATTAACAAAAATAAAGTGATATTAACTGAGACTCCTGCAGTTAATGCAGAATTGGGTCACTCCGATTTTACTGGTGGACAGGGAAAGAGGATACACCCTTTGGGAAAGTAATCTGCTAATATATCAAGAACTGTGCAAAGATTTTTATTTGACCCATAAATTCTGATCCTGGAAATCTGTCACAAAGAAATAATGCCACTAAAGGAACAAATATATTCTAAGGCAATGATACTCAATCAAAGGCAACTTTGACCCCAGGATATATTTGGCAATATCTGGAGATGTTTTTGTTTGTTACAACTGTGAGGGTGCTACGGGCATCTGGTGGATAGAGGCCAGGAATGTTGCTACACATCTTACACCTATAGGAAACCCCCCCACAGAAAATAATTATCAATAGGGCTGAAACTGGAAACCCTGACTCTAAAGTGCTGATTGCAGAAAGTGTGTGTAATTAGGGACACAATTAGGGACACACTGGAAACAACTTAGACGTCCATTACCCCAAAAAGCAGATGGATGTTTAGAGAAGTCAAATTATATCTATCTATTTGATATACTATTGTGTAGACATTTTAAATGTTAGAGTGCTTTAAATAAAAAATTTAAAAAATACAACAAAAAGTAGAACCAAAAAAAATACTAGTGCCATTTGGAAGGAATATGAGTGGATTGGATATGGATAAATGAGTGGCTATGGAGTCAGTAACACAAGTTTATTGCCATATTTTAGATTTGTTGAAAAAGAATCAGTTCGTTCTTCAAATAATATCATAGCGTCAGGGTCATCTTCTTCCCTAACTCCTCTCCAGCTAATATGTCTAGTTTGAAAAAAGTACTGATCAAGTAAAAAGACAATGTACCAAATTGAGGAAAACACCCTAAGAATTTTTATGGATTTTGCTGACATGAAATTTATTCTCTTCAGTTGCAAACTGAAAGACACTCATCTCATTCAGTCTGTTCAAGAATGAATTAGCAATAACATCCTCAGCAGAATTTAGGACAATCAACTTCTTATCATCCAAGTCTGTATTTCTAGATAGTACTAGGTCAGAAAGAAAGACAAGAAAAGATGTGCAACATAATTTGGAGTGACAATTGTATAGTAAAGAAAACTAAAGATGCCAAAACCAAAACTACTTAGAAGTGTGTGTGTGTGTGTGTGTGTGTGTGTGTGTGTGTGTGTGTGTGTGTGGTGTGTGTGTGTGTTTGGTGTGCGTGTCTGTTTGGAGGAGGTGATATCAAGTGAAATTAGGCCAATAGTCTGCTTTTCTATATTCTTAAATGGGGGTATGGACAGTGCAAAAAATGTACTGTGGTGGGCAAAATATTTTACCAAAAGATGTCTAGCTTTGTAATTTCTGAAACCTGGAATATATTGTTACATGGCAAGGAAGAATTAAAGTTGTACATAGAATTGAGGCTGCTAATCAGTTGATTGCTAATGTAATCACAAGAGTTTTTTATATGTGAAAAAGGGAGACAGGAGAGTCAGAGTCTGAGGAGGAGATGTGATGATGAAAGTAGAGGTCAGAGTGGTATAATTTCTGGCTCTGAAGATGGGAGGGGACTATGAGCCAAGGAATGCCGGCAACTTCTAGGAGCTAAGAAAGGCAAGAAAATGGATGATCTCCTAGAATCTCCAGAAAGAACACACTCAACCAATGCCTAATATTAGAAGAATGAGACCTCTGTTATGCTTCTGATGCCCATAACTATAAGATAATATATCTTTCTTGTTTTAAACCACTAAGATTTTGGTGAATTGCTATAGAAGCAACAGGAAACCAACACAATTACCTCTTTGTAACTATGTATGCATTATACCTGTCCATGTATGTGTCTGTTGGGAGAGCACATGGGTGCAGTTTTACCTTATTTTTCTTATAGTGGCCTTGCTCTGGAAAAATGTTACTGTTTCAAGTAATTTTTTTTTGTCCAGTGATTGATTGTGTGCTTGCCTGGAAATAACTATTCCTCTGGCTTCTGTCACACGAAGAATGCAAGGTAAAGCAAGAAAATGAGAAATAACTTTTTGAAGTTCTTGTTAATAAAACAATGACTTCTCTAATAGTCAAAGTGAAGGAAATACGTATGTTTTGTAATAAAGAATAAAAAAAACAGTACAGTGTAATGGGAAAAAATATAGATTTTGCTGTCAGACATATTTGAGTTCAAATCCTGGCATGGATATTTTGAGTAACCAAGGGCAAGTTACTTCACCTTTCTAGTTCAAAATCACATTGTTTCTTATTGGAAAAATGACCCATCCCCTGCAAACCTTGCTGTGGTTTGAATATGTTTAATGTTTATATTATATAAAATGGTATTCTTCCAAAAATTAGAAATTAACAGTAAGATACCTTGCATGCAGTCTCGAAGAGCAGTCAGAGTGATGTTTCTAAAAATCAAATTTGGCCTCTTTACGTTAAATTTGACCCCCCTTACATTGAAGCTTTCAGTAGCTTTCTATCACCTACAGCAGCAGTTTTAAAACGTTTTGGTTTTATGACCCTTTTTAAATTTGTTTTATGACCCTCCTAATAAGTATTAAGGACAAAAACCATATTATAAATTAAAAGAAAAGTAACAATAATAAACCCATTGACAGTTAAAATAAATACTTTACTAAAAATAACTATGTTTTTCAAAACAAAAAATGAAGAAAAGTGAGATTGTTTTATATTTTTCTAACTAATTTATTTAATATCTGGCTTCATAGAGGAAAACTGGTTTCTCATATCTAATCCTGCATTCAGTCTCTTGCAATATATCATTTGGGTTGAATTACATAAAAAATTAGCCTCCCACGTATATGTAGTTGGAAAATAGCCTCTTCATATCATTTTGGTTATTATTCTTGGATACTATGGTAAAACTACACAAGAAGTCATTTCTTAAGGGCTGGCAATAATGTGGTATTTGATGTCATATTAATGAACTTTTTGTACTTTGTTACATTAAAGTCCCTTGGCCTGTCTTATACTTTGAATGGATATTACCCATGCATAATTTGGTCACACCAACCACTGGACATTTTGAAAATATTGGCTCACTAAGATATATAGATCTTTCAAATGTTGACACATTCCATTATAAACATCAAACATTCACATATTTTAATATCATCACCAATCTCAGCAGAAAAGTATTTAAGTATGAAGAAGCCGTCAAGCTCACTATAGTAGATAGAAGTTTTCCAAAATTTTAATTTTCACTGAAAGCTTACATTTTATCATTGACAACAAACACTGTCATTTGTTGTCATTGAGGTGATAGGCTCACTTCATATATTTTTGAGAAAATATCTACCAAACGCCCAGTCTGAATAGCCGGTTTGCTTGTCAGTCATTCTTTAAAGCAAAAACAGTGTTTCATGAAAAATGCATCTAGTTCAGCTCACAATTCTAAAAATCATACCAGTGCTTTTCCTAGAGTCAACCATCATACTTCAGTCTGCAGCAGAAGTGATCAGTGCATACTTTCCAGTTCATCACACAGAATGTTAAAAACACATGTGCTCAAGGTTGAAATTTAATAAAATGAATAGTTTTCACTGCTTTATTAAGAGCATTCCCATGTGAAACTTTTTTTTTTTAACTGTGAGTATCTAACAGTGAAGAATACAGGATTACTAGTATGTTCTACAGTACACATTTGCACTTTGGTGCTAGTGGGTTTTTTTTGTTTGTTTTGGTTTTTGTTGTTGTTGTTGTTTTGAGATGGTGTCTTGCTTTGTCGCCCAGGCTAGAGTGCAGTGGTGTGATCTCGGCTCACTGCAACCTCCTCCTCCCAGGTTCAAGCAGTTCTCCTGCCTCAGCCTCCCAAGTAGCTGGGATTACAGGCACGCGCCACCACGCCCTGCTCATTTTTATATATTTAGTAGAGATGGGGTTTCACCATGTTGACCAAGCTGGTTTCGAACTCCTGGCCTCAAGGGATCTGCCCGCTTCAGCCTCCCAAAGTGTTGGGATTACAGGCGTGAGCCAACATGCCTGGCCCTGGTGCTAGTCTTGATTTTTGTGAATGTGGCAGGAGTGTTACCCATCATTGCTGTTGAATCACCAGTGAAAGTGTCAGCAGAGTGAAAAAGTCAAATAGTGTATATGTATTAATTGGAAAATAGTTCTGCCTTTGCAGACTCCCTGAAAGTGTCATGAGTACCCATAGGTGTCTGAGGAACACACTTTGAGAAATAATAGCCTACTAGATAAATTATAAGTTCCTAAGCAGGACATGCACAGCCTTACATATGTGGCTTCTACTTTTATTTCCAGCCTTATTTCTCATCACTCATTGCCTCATTGCACTTCATGGACCAATAATCCTGAAATGCATCTAGTCCAGAATAGACTATGCTCATTCATGTGTTTCTGCATTCTGATGCTTTTCAGACCATTTGGTGCACAGTAATACATAATGCCATCCCCCTTGTCTTTTGTACTCCTCTCCCCATCCTTTGAGATGTAACCCACAAGTTAATGCCTTCACAGTCTTTTCTAAATTCTCCCCACTTAGAGCCTTCCTTCTCTGTGCTCTTTAGCACTTTCTGAACACCCCCATCACTCATACTTCTATTAAAATAGTCTTCTTACACTTCATTCTCCCTCTTTTTATACAAAATTATGCTCTTCTTTAGGGTAGAAACTCTGCATTATTTGCAGGCGGATAGTTGTAACCCCAATTCTGTTGTCTACGTAGGTTTGCAATACATTGCTATTTGAATGAATACAGTAATTAATGTAAACCTGTTCAAACAGGTGCTGGTGAGGCCGTGGCCAAACGGGAAGGCATCTACACTGTTGATGGGAATGTAAATTAGTTAAGCCACTGTGGAAAGCAGTGTAGAGATTTCTCAAAGAACTTAAAACAGTACTACAACTCAACCCAGCAATCCCATTACTGGATATAAATCCAAAAGAAAATAGATCATTCTGGTAAAAAGACACACGCACTCATATGCTCATCACAACACTATTCACAATAGCAAAGATGTGGAATCAACCTAAGTACACATCAACAGTGGACTGGATAAAAAAAAATGTGATACATATATACCATGGAATACTATGCAGCAATAAACAAGAATGAGATCACGTCCTTTGCAGGGACATGGATGCAGCTGGAGGCCATTATCCTAAGCAAACTAATGCAGGGACAGAAAACCAAATACCGCATGTTCTCACTTATAAGTGGGAGCTAAACAATGAGAAATCATGGACGCTAAGAGGGAAAAGACAGACACTGGGCCCTACTTAATGGTAAAGGGTGGGAGGAGGGAGAGGATCAGAAAAAATACCTGTCAAGTACTGTGCTTATTACCTGGGTAATAATTTCTATACCAGATCTCCATGACATGCAGTTCACCTATATAACAAACCTGCACATATACCCCTGAACCTAAAATAAAAGTTTAGAAAAGCATATTCCACAAGACAAGCCTGGGGAAAAATGAACATCCCAAGAAATCATGTTTAGTTTAAATTTCACCACCTTCACCACAAACAGATTTTCAGTTTAGTACAATATTCAACTAAATAACAAAATGCTAGTTGCTTTATTCAATATCTATTCAGCAAAATTATCAAATGTACACTTCTTTTCCTACTCTATGCCTCTTGCTGAAGAAGATGAGAGTCACTGATTATACAATGATAATTATGTACTTTTATGATTGAAAGCAAACCGGATTTGAAGTCATTTTTTTAAATCTGTATGTTCCATTTAATAACTATGTAACCTTGAATAAATTATTTATTCCCCCTGAGCCTCAGTTTTTATAGGTGTGAAATGGAGATAATAGTTCTTGCTTAAAATAAGTTATATTAATCACATGAGAAAATTTAAGTAAACACACCTATTACAGTGCTCAGTACACAATAAGAGTGCCATAAACATTTATTTGAACAAAGAGTACACGGTTTTTATCTTTGAAGTTACTACAAGGTAATTTTAGCATCATACATACGAACAATCCTCATTTGAGGATAAAAGAATTAGATGCAAAATAACCAAGAAGTAACACGGTTTAGGAGCTCAACTTAAATATATTGTATATTGCAAAGTTGCTAATCAAAGTTTAACATTCTCACCACCCACAAAAATAGCAAGTTGGTGAGGTGATGGATATGTTAGTTAGGTTTATTAGATCTTTTTTCAATGTATACATAGATCAAAACATCACATTGTAGCTGATAAATATACACAATGATTATTTGTCAATAAAAAATAATTACTAAAAGTACATTGAAGAAAAATCGGAAAAATTAAGAAGTAGGTTCATTAGGGCGCTATAGTTCCCTGCTACTCAAAATGTGGTCCACGTGATACCAGCATTTATATCACTTAGGAGCTTGTACAGAATTCTGAGACCCACCCTACCCCTTCTGAATCAGAATCTGCATTTTAACTAGATCTCTAGGTCAGTCCTTTGCACATTAAAATTTAAGAAGTACTTTTTTTAGAGAGACAAATGTCACGTCATTAAGAGTTCCTACAAAATAATTAACTCTGGATAAATATGTAGGGCCACTACTTTTCTTGTTCCGAGGGCTCACTTAAAACGTTGACAGCTTTCTGAGTGCTATCCTTGGTGTTGATTTCACCTTACATTGAACCTAAAAACTCAAATTATGTTACTTGCTGTCTCAGTCCTTTTGGGCGGCTATCACAGATTGGTAGCCTACGAACAACAAAAGTCTATTTCTCACAGTTCTGGAGTCTAAGTTCAAGATCAAGGCATTGGCAGATTCTGTATCTGGTGATGGTATATTTTCTGTTTTACTGATGGTACCTTCTTACTGGGTCCTCATATGATAGATGGAGGCAAATAAGTTTCCTCAGTCTCTTTTAAACGGCATTAATTCAATTCATGAAGGCTCTGCCCTCATGATCTAATCACTACCCAAAGGATCTTCTAAAAGTATCACATTAGGGAGTTAGGATTTCAACAGATAAAATGTAGGAGGACACAAATGTTCAGGCCACCGCACTTGCCTGGATGAAGCTAACAACCAGACAGGTCTCCTTGTGAAACAAGAAAGTGAGCTTTGAAGTTTGGGTGCTAAATGAAATACACATGTCATATTTCAGTCTCTTGTCAACCTTAGCAGAGAGATCAGTGAAGGAGAATTCTTCCTTGTGCTGGCATAATAGACTTGAATTTCAGTGTTTGATTAGGGATTTCATCTGTTAAAATATTTTCTGAATATTTAATTAACACAAATGAGTATTTACCAAGTTAAGCCTAGTATATGAATGCCCCTATATAACAGGAAAGATAGACACAGGAGATGAATTTAACAAAAGTTATTTCTCCGATAAGTTGTAAAAATCAGCTGTATTCTTTATCATTAGACGGTATGGAGAATCACAGTGATTCTCAAGCATTATTGTGTATATGAATAATTTAAAAAGCATAATGAAATCCAGAGTCTTGGGCCTCAACCCTAGAAGTTCTGATTCAGTAGGACTAAACTAAGAGAATGATTAGTTTATCCAGTTCTCCAGTTGATGGCCTGTAGGTCATACTTTAAGAAATGCTGAAATCTAACCAGGTCAGAATATTGAATTGGAACAGCTGGGAAATGGAAGAGGTATTAGCAATTATCTGAATATTTAGTATGTACTGGGTGTATTAGTAACATGATGGCATTTTACTTTCCCATTTTTATTCTGTAAGGGAGCTGTTATCCCCATTTTACAGATTGGAAACAAGGTCACATATCTGGGAATGGTGGAGCCAACATATGCTCCTAAGTCTCTCTGACTCCACAACTGATGCTCTTCTCACCATGATACAATGTTGACCCTTAACCTATCGTATCCTGGCTTGAATCAATTTATTTTTGTAGCCATGGACAAGGTACTTCAGTTTTTTGAGTTTTAGTTTTCTCTTCTGAAAAATAGGGACAGTAAAAGCAGCTCTGTCAATTTCATAAGACTGTTGTGACAATCACACACAATCATGGATGTGAAAATATTTTGAGTTTTTCAACTTTTGTTTCTGCAAAATGCATATCTTGATCTTGGTTGTTCATCCAGGGGCCCAACATAGTTCAAAATGTAAAATAAGTGTGAAAATATTTTATGTTGTTTTGTTATTGCTGCTTGCTTATTTCTGACAACAAATCAATGCATAATTTTTGTAGAAATTTTAGAAAATATATACAATTAGAATGAATCAAAATATCATTCTTTCCCTTCAATCAACACAATTTTCTCTCCAAGTTATTTTTCCTCTGTGTTGGCAGAAAATCCCATCATTTATGGATCCAATTCCTACTCCCAGGATAATACCAGGATTTAAAGAGCTGCCAAATAAAGGTCATGGAAGATTAGCTTCTCACCTCTCCTCTGACCTATTATGGTAATAGACGTTGTTCTACATGTGGGGTCTTGCCACCTTCACACAACTCCTTCACTAAGAGGTGTTCAGGTCCCTCCTACCTTGGGACTCATAGGTCTGTCTTTCCAAGACTGAAGAGATCTCTCCCCTCCCTTTCTCGACTTTCAAAGGCATCTTTCTTTCACTTTTTTTTATGACTCCATTTACGTAAACCTACTCATGACTCTTCAGTAGGTTTAAGCTTCTATAAACAATAGGACATGTCTATAAATATAAGCTGCTTTGGTACTGGATCCTACAAAAAGTGCTTGAGGCAAGGAATTACAAAGGATTGAACCACCTGCTTGAATTGTGGGGAAAAGAAAAACCAACACTATGCAGCCATAAAAAAGGAAGAGTTCATGTCCTTTGTAGGGACATGGATGAAGCTGGAAACCATCATTCTGAGCAAACTATCACAAGGACAGAAAACCAAACACCACATGTTCTCACTCATACGTGGGAATTGAACAATGAGAACACTTGGACACAGGGTGGGGAACATCACGCACCGGGGCCTGTCGTGGGGTCGGGGGAGTGGGGAGGGATAGCATTAGGAGAAATATCTAATGTAAATGACCAGTTAACGGGTGCAGCACACCAACATGGTACATGTATACATATGTAACAAACCTGCACGTTGTGCACATGTACCCTAGAACTTAAAGTATAACAATAAAAAAAATTGAGTATTAAAAAATAAAACTGTTTCAGCATAAGGAGTTATATGGGATGATCTAAAAGTGATCTAGAAAGAGGGACACTAAAGGTAATTAATGTTACAGGAAATAAGTGGTTGAGGACAGGATAGAAATCAGTAGGATTCATTGAAATGGGATGTGAAATACAGATAACTGGTTAAAGAACCAAAATAAAAAAGAGTGAGGACTTCTGGATGTTGAAAAAAAAAAAAAGAAAAACAAAATAAAGAGTAATGCTCACATACGTATATATTTTTTAAAAATCCTACCATATGTAACAACACATAAACTTTCTGGGGAAAAAGTACCTCTAATCCGTCATTCAGGAAAAAACAGTGCTGTCCTTTTGGCACTTTTTTTTCCTCTACATTCTTGTATTTGACTTTTGTATTTTAGTCTTACATTGAGTTTTGTATCTTTGTTTTCAGTTAATATAATGCAGAAATTGTTTGCCCATATCAAAAAACTAAAGAAATGTTAGGTCATATCAAAATGTGTACAATTATAAAAGTGTTTTGATAAGTAACTTCATATGCAATCACTTGTATGCATTTTGACCTATTTTCTTAAGAAGTAAACCTTGCAGTGGAAATATAGGACTGAAAGGTACAGAGATGTAAGATATGATGATTCCATTCATTCATTCAACAAGGTCTTGAGTGTCTATTACATGCCAGGCACTGCCTATTATTATTTATTCCCAAGCTAGAGGAGAAATTTGGCTCCTTTGAATATATCTATTTGGCAAAATTAAATGTAGCTTCAGAACTCAGGTGATAAAAATGTCAGGACCAGCTGTTCCCACTGATCATGCTCCCCCTTAATGAGGAGAATGCTAGGGTTAAACATTTACAATCTGGATTAAATGAATTTTGATGCCCTTTTGGTTTTGTCAAAGTCCCAGAGACACCAAATTTTAACGGTTCATTAGCCGAGTTCAAGCATTTGCAAGATGACTGACTGTGTAAGGAGGGATTGGGATCAGGGCAAGCTTTATAAGTGTGTGACTGGTATAGCTGCACAGAGTTTCGCACTTAAAAGGGCTCTGCGCTTGGTTTAATTCTTTGCTACCACCATTTTGAAACTGATAATAATTTTCAAACAAATAATTTTAACATTTTTATTTTGCACTAGGTTCTGCACAGTAAGGTGTTACTGCCATAAAAATGACACAGATGTTGGGTAGACTGAACAATCATTATGACTAATTTTGATATTTTAGAGTACTGTCTGTTTGCTATAGGGCCCTTCAAATGGATCAGTCCCCTTGGCACAATATCCCCATCAGGAATTCTGTCAAGATGAGCCATAGGCAGAAATAACCTTATGTCAGTGACATTTTCCCAGATTATCCACTCTCCTGTTACGATTTACTCTGCTTTGCTTTTCCCCCCTTGTCTCTAATCTCTGATCCCTGTCTTGTGCCAGATTCCCAGCTGCTCTCCAAGTACCTGTTTTCAGGCTCCATTTGAGCAAGCTTTGGGACTCAGCAGCGTTTGTTACATATAATGTGAAAGTTCTTTCTGGACCTGATTACATGCAGTTGCAAGGAAAAGGCATTCACATATACCCCTTACCTTGAATTCGGCTAAATGCAAGAGAAAGAGATTAGTTAGTTAGGGGGCATGGATGCAGAAAGAGTTATATTGATTTAGTTTGGAAATGGCTGTCTTGAAGTTATTCTCTCCGGGAAACCTTCCCTAATTCTCCAACAATAAATTGGCTGCTGCTTCTATGTGGCCCCATAGCACTTTATACTCACCCCTATGTAACACTAACCAGATTACAGGGTGAGCACATGCTTAGTTAACAATGTCTGACATTGCAATATACGCTACTTGGGGGCAGGCACCATGTCTTCTTTGCTTATGTAACCCCCAAATATAGCTATAGTGTCTGGCACATAGTATTTACTCAAAAAATATTCATCAAATGAATTAATAGGTGAATAAATTAATAACATAATTATTTGATTTTTTAATTGGTAGGTTTTATTTTTAGAGCAGTTTTAGGTTTACAGAATGAACCGACCCACAGTTTCTCCTATTATTAACATGTTGTTTTGGTATGCTCTATTTATCACAATTAATGAACAATATTGATATATTATTGTTAACTAAGGTCCCTGGTTTACATTACGTTTCACTGTTTGTGTGGTATATCAGTGGCTTTTGACAAGTATATAGTGACATGAATCCACGTCTACAATATCATACAGAATAGTTTCACTAAAAATCCACCGTGTTCCATCTATTCATCCATACCTCCCTCCCCTCAATCCAGTCTTAGCCTGAACTCCTGACAATAACCGATCTTTCTACTATCTCCATAGTCTTGCCTTTTTCAGAATGTCAGACAGATGCCCCTCAAATTACAATGGGCCTCATGCAGATGAGTTTCTCTGGATGTAACAGCATCATAAATCAAGAAGCATACTTAAAGCATGTTGCTTTTGCAGCATCTTTTTAAAACATTGTGTTTATAATTGACTCATAATAATTGTACGTTTATGGTATACACTGTGATGTTTCAATACATATATACATTATATAACAATTAAATCAGAGTAAATAGCTCATCCATCGCCTTAAACAGTTACCATTTCTTTGTGGTGAGAACATTCAAAAGCCTCTCTTTTAGTTGTTTTGAAATATAAAATACAATATTGTTAACTATAGTCACCCTACTGTGCAATAGAACACCAGAACTTACTTTTCCCATCTATGATTAATTTTGTACCAGCTGATACACCTCTTCTCATCTCCCATCCCCTCCTCTCTCCGACCTCTAGTAACCACTATTTCTCTACTTCAACTTCATCAAATTCCACATATGAATAACATCATGCGGTATTTGTCTTTCTGTGTCTGGCTTATTTTACTTAACAGTTTGTCCTCCTGATTCATTCATGTTGCTAAAAATGACAGGAATTCATTCTTTTTAGAGGATAAATAATATTTCATTGTATATGTATAACCACATATTCTTTATCTATTTATCCATGGATATTTAAGTTGATTTCATATCTTGGCTATTCTCAATAGTGCTTCAATAAAAACGAGAGTGCAGATAACTCTTCAACATATTGATTTCAATTCCTTTGGATATATACCCGGTAGTGGAATTGCTGAATCATCCAGTTGTTCTATTTCTAATTTTTTGAGGACCCTCCACTCTGTTTTCCAAAGTCAAAACATTGTAAGTCGAGTCATCATAAGTTGGGGACCACTTGCAGTTGCAATTATATGGTATACAGCCTTTTGAGATTGGGTTATGTCCCTTAGAAATATGCTTTTTGCAGTTCTCTATGTTTCATCGTGCCTTCGTAGCTCATTTCTTGTTATCACTGAATAATATTCCATTGCATGAATATGCCACAGTATGTTTATTCATTCACCTTTTGAAGGACAACTTCATTGCATCCAAGTACGAGCAATTATGAATACAGATGTTATAAGCATTCATGTGCAGGCATGTACATGGGCATAAGCTTTCAGCTCATTTGAATAAACACAAAGAAATGTGATTGCTGGGAAAGAGGTACGTGGAGGAGAGTGTGGAACTCATCTTGATGGCATTGCTGCACCCCTGAATCCAGCCATTTTTGTGTATGCAGCCAGAAGCACTCCTGGACATTTCAGTACTATCAAGCTACGAATCCCCCTTTTTAACCTAGGACATTTAAAGTGAGTTGTCTGCCATCTTATATTGAGGAGTTGTGACTAATGCACTAGTACTCCTTTATTGATTATCAAATGAGCTATATTTTTCCTGATGTTATATTTTTATCCTATACCTGTGTGATCACAGAGCTAAAAGCAGAACTACCATAGACCCAGCAATCCCATTACTGAGTATATACCCAGAGGACTATAAATCATTCTACCATAAAGACACATGAATATAAATGTTCATTGCAGTAGTATTCACAATAGCAAAGACATGAAATCAACCTAAATGTCCTTTAATAATAGATTGGATAAAGAAAATGTGGTACACGTGTACCGTGGAATATGATATATCCATAAAGAAGAATGAGATCATGTATTTAGCAGGAACTAGGATGAAGCTGGAGGCTATTACTAGCAAACTTACGCAGGGACAGAAAACCAAATATCTCATGTTCTCAGTTATAAGTGGGATCTAAATGATAAGAACTTATGAACACAAGGAAGGAAACAACAGACACTGGGTTCTACTTGAGGAGGGATGGTGGGAGGAGAGGGAAAAGTAGAAAGCATAACTATTGGGTACTGAGCATAATACCTGGGTGATGAAATAATATGTACAACAACCCCCCTTGACACCTGTTTACCTGCATAACAAACCTTCACATGTACGCCGAAACCTAAAATAAAAGTTTTTTTTTTAAAAATTCCAAATGTTGGATAAAGTTTTCTCAAGAAGCATAAGTGACTTTTCACCTTTTTTTCCCTCTAAATACCTATGTAGGAAAGCTACATAATTTACCTGAGTGTCAGTTTCTTAGTATTTATCCTACAAAATTATTGCATCAGATAATCTATAATAGTTGTGTATTCTTCCTCTCATACACACACATCCAGTTTTCTGAAAATCCCCTTTTCAATGATAAAAACTTTAATTCCATTTCAGACAGAATCTACTTGATCTCTTGAGCTTACTGTTTACCTTCTTCTCAAATTACACTCTTCCCTTGGCATCTGTAACTTATTCTCAGACTTTCTTCTTATTTTTCTGGTGCTCTTTTTAAATGTCATGTGAAGGCTCCTTCTGAAGATGATGAGGTTACATCTTAGACTTGGCTTATTTTCAGATTTCTGAATTGAGGAATAACAGTTCTAACAGTAAACACTCAGCTGTGTGCTACTGTGTTCGATACACAATAGCCACTGGGGTACACACTTATAGCCCTTGGCTGTGATTATGTTTTTCTTCAGCTTCTTTGTTGAGAGTAGGGTGGTGAGGAGGCAGGCAAGATGGTGTGTTCTGTTAGGTTTCTTTACATGCTTTAGCTCCAGCATTTATGGCACCCCTTGCTTGTGATCCGTCTAAATAAAGATTGCCCATCAGGCTTTTGTGTATATGAGCTCTCATGAAAATAATCTAGGCTTTGTTTATAGATTAACAACACAACATAGGAGTGGTGATTACAGCCAGCAGAAGAGATAAGATCAGCTAGAGATTGTGTAAAGGGAATTGAGCATCATATTGAGGCCAAGACTATAGTAAATACTGTGTGTGCAGCAAAGGACCCCTCAGAAGAGTACTTCTTTCCCCTGAATTGCAAAACAATTTGCCAAAAAGAAGATAATTGAAAGAGAATATCACCACTGATAGAGTTGAAAGAATTATAGCAGTGGGAACCATTGCCCAGGGTGCAGGCAATATGGGATATATTGTTTGTAGACAATTTGAAACCAGTAAAGTTGACTGAGAATTGGTCTGTTTTTTTACTGTCACTATCCACTGGCAATTCTAAACAAAGTCAGTGATAAAATATTCTCCTGGAAAAATGTTTTGGTCTTAGTTCTAAACAGTTGCTGCAGAATGTAGTTATGTTTAATATTGTATATGTAAACTTCATGTTTATTACCTATTCTTTAATCAACATTGTGTTCTATGGGAACATTATTTTAAAGTACTCTTAGTCATACAGTTGTCCTCTGATATAGCTATATGCATTCATTTCATGAATAAGTAACAATTTGATGGTTCAAGGCCTTTCAGATCATTCCTGCATCCAACACTTGTGGAACTACATATATGTAGGCGTGAACAGTAGATTGGAAACAATGATGACCTAGCAATTGTGGAGACAGGATTGAGTTCATTTTTATTTTAGCACAAAAATGAGCTATTACTATATTTTATAGTCAGTAATAATTGTTATCTACATATTTAACCATTTGATTTGTATATTGTTTCTCACATCCTGCTCTTTTCTCTGGTTAAAATACATCCTTTCTTCTGCTCTTTGGTAGTTTTGTGGTTGCCTCCACACAGTCTCCTGGGAACCACATGTCCAGAAATGGGCCTGATAATGGTAACGCAATGGTCCTTCCCTGCAGCAATATTGAAGATGACACAAATTCATTCCCTCAGCCTGTGGCTTGCCCTAGTTCCTGGTAGTGCAGCTGCTTGCATCCTTTAGCCATTGAGATACACACTCACAGCCCTTGGCTGTGATCATGCTTTCATTCAGCTTCTTTGTTGAAGGTAGGGTGGTGAGGAGGCAGGCAAGATGGTGCTTTTGCATATTTCTTTTCCAGGAGCCTAACAGGCTGCATGTTATGTTCCATTTCTGGTTTATGGAGATGTGTATCTTGGTTTTCAAGAGTGATTGCTTTAAAAAAAATCCATCATTGTTATGTTGGGAGCCAAGTGGGGATTTTACTGAATGTACCATACAGAACCATCTTGGCCGGAAGCTATAGTTAGGACCTTGAGGCTCTTTCAAACAGACCGATGCAATCAGAAAATCTGTTACCAAGCAATATATTCACTTATAACAAGAACCTTTATAATATCAGAAATGCTTTCAGGAGTTGAAAAATATCTTATTGAAACTTGTTTTTCATAAAACTAAAGTACTAGTACTTGATACATCATTACTGGGAATGCTGTGAAATACGATTTCCTTCAAAATTTCCCAAATACATTACTTTATTAAAACCACTTATTTTTTAAACTACAACTCTAACTCCTAAGGATTCACAGATATTGTGTTCACCATACTCAACATGTAGCTGAAAACAACATAATTGGGGAAATATACACAGTCCTTGACAAATCATAATTTGAGAGTTTGTTTGCTTCCAGTTGCCAGAGTACTGTGGAATCCTGTGGTGGATTTAAGTTTTATAAGTTTGTTTTCTTTTGTTCTTGAATTTTTAATAAGATGTAACACTTGAGTATGTACAGCCCTTGCCATTTGAACACCATGTACTCCTAGAGACTCTAGGAGAGTGAAATGCCCCACTATGGACTCTGAATAACATAAGTCATGATAGTAAAGCTATAACATTACATACAAGCAAAGCCATGGTAAGCCTTCATAACTTTTGAGATAGAAAAGCTTGCCCAGGTCAGAGATGCATAACAATATAACTGCAGTTTCAGCCTTGCTTTGAATTCTGACTGCTATCTTGGGAAAGTCAACCCCTTTGACCCACATGGTAAAAGGAGGACAGTGACAGTCACTTCACAGGTTTAGGATGAGAATTGCAGGATATGAGTGATGCTCCATGCAACAATGGACAATTACACTGAGAGCAACATGGGTGCCAAGAGAGATTTTGGTGATCAGCACTTACCTCCCATAAGCAGGAGAGCATCAAAAAATAGTTAGGAAACAAATGGAACTAGCCAAACTCATTATTTCATTAATGAGTAAAGTATGCCTCAAAGGCTTCACAATGCTAGTTCTTGCCAGACCCAGAACTCATTTCTAGGTTTCTTTTCTTTTTTTTAAAGATGGGGTCTGGGCTTGGCGCAGTGGCTCATGCCTGTAATCCCAACACCTTGGGAGGCTGAGGCGGGTGGATCAGTTGAGGTCAAGAGCTCGATTCCAGCCTGGGCAATATGGAGAAACCCCATCTCTACCAAAAATACAAAAAAAAAAAAAAAAAAATAGCCAGTCATGGTAGCGCATACCTGCAGTCCCAGCTACTAGGAAGGCTGAGTCAAGAGGCTCTCTTGCACCCGGGAGACGGAGGTTGCAGTGAGCCGAGATCACACTACTGCATTCCAGCCTGGGCAACAGAGCGAGACTCCAACTGAAAAAAAAAAAAAAAGAAAAAAAGATGGGGTCTGGCTCTGTCATTCAGGCAGGAGTGCAGTGGCGTGATCACAGCACAGGCTCGAACTCCTGGACTCAATTGATCCTCTCACCTCTGCCTCCCAAGTAGAAGTAGCTGGGACTATAGACACCATGCATGGCTTTTTGTTTTTTAAAGCCAGTGAGTTAGATACACAACAAGTGAGCATGTTTGTGGTTCATGCTTTAGGCAGCTAATGACTATGAGATTCTGAGCTTTGTATCATATATATATATATATATTTGATAACTATATATATTTGATAACTATATATATTTGATAACTATATATATTTGATAACTATATATATTTGATAAATATATTTGATAAATATATATTTGATAAATATATATATTTGATAAATATATATTTGATATATTTGATAAATACATTTATTTGATAAATGTATATATTTGATAAATATGTATATATGAGATAAATATATATATTTGATAAATATATATATAAAACAATTATATTTCTCATTTGTTCAATGCTGACTGTTAGAAAATCTATTTTGTTTTCCTAAAAGTAAAGACAGAGGGTTGGGGATGAAGTACCTTTATTAGTAAGTATCATGAACATAATCTCATAATGACTACTTACTAATTTACAGTATAAATAGAATAGCGCTATCCTTGAATTGTAGCTTCTGATGTGTGTTAGGTAACTTCATGACATTTGTATAGTTAAATGAGCATAATATTGAAACAAATAACAGATCAGCTTAGTGCAGCTGTCCTGCAGGTGAGCCTGTGCCATGGGATACCACTTCTCTTTCCATGGTTTATAGATCATGTCTCTAGTCAGCCTGCATGCACAGAGTGGACTCAGTGAAAGAAATGCAGCAAAGAAGCCTAATGGGCTACTCCTGGTCCCAGTCTCAACTACTGTTCCTCATAGAGTTTTCATAGTCTCCATCAACTTTTGTGGCTCTCCAAATTCAGGTAATTAGTGGGATGTAATTTTCCTTTTGGTAACTGGGATATAATCTACCTATGCTTGAGATTATATCCTTATCTTTTCCCCTCTTGGGCCTTATTTCATCAACTATCAAAAACATCTTCATTCTTTCTTTCTCCACTGGATCTTAACTCGCAGTCTAAAAATTTCTTAAGTCTAGTTTCTGAAAATCAGACTCTAAACTAGGGAATGTTGGAACAGTGACTTATTAAAGGATATTCTTTAGTAAACACCTGTAAGTGAGGAAATGAAGCAAGATAAAAAGTAGTGGAACTCAGCAAATACGTAGACTTGGCAAAAATCTAGTCCAGGAAGCCCCATACTATTTTCCATAGCTACTGCACCATTTCACATTCCCACCAAAAGGGTACAAGGGTTTCACTTCCTCCATATTTTGCCTAACACTAGTTTGAGATATATATATATATATATATATAAAATACACACATATATAATATATATACATATTTTATATGTAGATAGGTAGATAGATAGCTATCCTAAAAAGTATGAAGTGATATCTCACTATAGTGTTGATTTGCACTTCTCTGATAATTAATCATGTTGAGCATATTTTTATATATTTGTTGGACATTTGTATGTCTTCTTTGGAGAAATACCTGTTCAGGTCCTTTGCCCATTGTTTAATTGGATTATTTGGTTTTTGGCTATTGAATTGTAGGAGTTCCTTATCTTTTTTGAAAGTTAGCCTAGGTTGGGAAAAATTCTCAAACCATGATTTCCTCTGCTCTGACACCACAGCCATCATTAACACAGAAGAATTCTGTGACCAAATGTTGGGGAGAGTTAAGTTTTACCTACCACCAAGTGAGCAATTAATTTTGTAAACAACACCAACTGGGTGTCCTCCAAGTCAATTCTGATGCTATCTACCTGGAAATAGTTTCCCATCCCACAAGTTGAGGGCTCAGTTCCCAAGACTGCCCTTTCTAGGACACTAGTCACATGTGCAGGTCTCCAGAACTGACCCACAGGCTTCAAGTTGGGTTTCCCATGATCCCTACTTTGGGTTCAATTAATTTGATGGAGCAGGTCACAGAACTCAGGAAAATACTTACTTACATTTACTGGCTTAATATAAAGGATATTAACAAAGGATAGAGATGAAAAGATGAGTAGGGTGAGATGTGAGGGAAGGGGCATGTAGCTTCTATGCCCTCCTTGAGTGTACCACACTCCAGGCACCTCTGCCTGCGCAGCTATCTAGAAGCTCCTGAACCTGTTCGTTTTGATTTTTATAGAGGTGTCATTACGTGAGCATGATTAAAAACTGTGTAGAAATATGACTGGACAAAAGGGCATTATGCTAAGACTGATTTGGGAAACAAAGCAAGGCATGTCTTTTAAGAGTCTTCTTGGTTTGTCTGTACAGCATTCCTGCCTCCAAAGTATGGGCAGAACCCTCTCTGAAATGAGGGTTTTTTGACTCATGATCACATTAGAGTCCTGCTTTTCGAAAGGTAAAAGGACAGGAGAGGGTCAGAAAGACATATTCTATTTCCTGATGTCTGCTTCTAGTGCTTAAAGTGCCCCAACATTATGACAAAATACTGTAATAAGGTCTGTGGCAGTTACAAGGCAGGAACCATGGATAAAAACCAATCTGTATTTGGTTCTGTTTACATGCTGGATAACGTTTATTGATTTGCATATGTTGAAGCAGCCTTGCATCCCAGGGATGAAGCCCACTTGGTCACGGTGGATAAGCTTTTTGATGTGCTGCTGGATTCGGTTTGCCAGTATTTTACTGAGGATTTTTGCATTGATGTTCATCAGGGATATTGGTCTAAAATTCTCTTTTTCTTGTGTCTCTGCCAGGCTTTGGTGTCAGGATAATGCTGGCCTCATAAAATGAGTTAGGGAGGATTCCCTCTTTTTCTATTGATTGGAATAGTTTCAGAAGGAATGTTACCAGCTCCTCCTTGTACCTCTGGTAGAATTTGGCTGTGAATTCATCTGGTCCTGGACCTTTTTTGGTTGGTAAGCTATTAATTATTGCCTCAATTTCAGAGCCTGTTATTGGTCTATTCAGAGATTCAGCTTCTTCCTGGTTTAGTCTTGGGAGGGTGTATGTATCGAGGAATTTATCCATTTCTTCTGGATTTTCTAGTTTATTTGTGTAGAGGTGTTTGTAGTATTCTCTCATGGTAGTTTGTATTTCTGTGGGATCGGTGGTGATATCCCCTTTATCATTTTTTATTGTGTCTATTTGATTCTTCTCTCTTTTCTTCTTTATTAGTCTTGCTAGCAGTCTATCAATTTTGTTGATCTTTTCAGAAAACCAGCTCCTAGATTCATTGATTTTTTGAAGGTTTTTTTGTGTCTCTATCTCCTTCAGTTCTGCTCTGATCTTAGTTATTTCTTGCCTTCTGCGAGCTTTTGAATGTGTTTGCTCTTGCTTCTCTAGTTCTTTTAATTGTGATGTTAGGGTGTCCATTTTAGATCTTTCCTGCTTTGTCTTGTGGGCATTTAGTGCTATAAATTTCCCTCCACACACTGCTTTAAATGTGTCCCAGAGATTCTGGTATGTTGTGTCTTTGTTCTCGTTGGTTTCAAAGAACATCTTTATTTCTGCCTTCATTTCGTTATTTACCCAGTAGTCATTCAGGAGCAGGTTGTTCAGTTTCCATGTAGTTGAGCGGTTTTGAGTGAGTTTCTTAATCCTGAGTTCTTGTTTGATTGCACTGTGGTCTGAGAGATAGTTTGTTGTAATTTCTGTTCTTTTACATTTGCTGAGGAGTGTTGTACTTCCAACTATGTGGTCAATTTTGGAATAGGTGCGGTGTGGTGCTGAGGAGAATGTATATTCTGTTGATTTGGGGTGGAGAGTTCTGTAGATGTCTATTAGGTCCGCTTGGTGCAGAGCTGAGTTCAAGTCCTGGATATTCTTGTTAACTTTCTGTCTCGTTGATCTGTCTAATGTTGACAGTGGGGTGTTAAAGTCTCCCATTATTATTGTGTTGGAGTCTAAGTCTCTTTGTAGTTCTCTAAGGACTTGCTTTATGAATCTGGGTGCTCCTGTACTGGGTGCATATCTATTTAGGATAGTTAGCTCTTCTTGTTGAATTGATCCTTTACCATTATGTAATGGCCTTCCTTGTCTCTTTTGATCTTTGTTGATTTAAAGTCTGTTTTATCAGAGACTAGGATTGCAACCCCTGCCTTTTTTTGTTTTCCATTTGCTTGGTAGATCTTCCTCCATCCCTTTATTTTGAACCTATGTGTGTCTCTGCACGTGAGATGGGTTTCCTGAATACAGCACACTGATGGGTCTTGACTCTTTATCCAATTTGCCAGTCTGTGTCTTTTAATTGGAGCATTTAGCCCATTTACATTTAAGGTTAATATTGTTATGTGTGAATTTGATCCTGTCATTATGATGTCAGCTGGTTATTTTGCTTGTTAGTTGATGCAGTTTCTTCCTAGCCTTGATGGTCTTTACAATTTGGCATGTTTTTGCAGTGGCTGGTACCGGCTTTTCCTTTCCATGTTTAGTGCTTCCTTCAGGAGCTCTTTTAGGGCAGGCCTGGTGGTGACAAAATCTCTCAGCATTTGCTTGTCTGTAAAGTATTTTATTTCTCCTTCACTTATGAAGCTTAGTTTGGCTGGATATGAAATTCTGGGTTGAAAATTCTTTTCTTTAAGAATGCTGAATATTGGCCCCCACTCTCTTCTGACTTGTAGAGTTTCTGCCGAGAGATCAGCTGTTAGTCTGATGGGCTTCCCTTTGTGGGTAACCCGACCTTTCTCTCTGGCTGCCCTTAACATTTTTTCCTTCATTTCAACTTTGGTGAATCTGAAACCACATGATTATCTCAAAAGATGCAGAAAGGCCTTCAATAAAATTCAATAGCCCTTCATGCTAAAAACTCTCAATAAATTAGATATTGATGGGATGTATCTCAAAATAATAAGAGCTATTTATGCCAAACCCACAGCCAATATCATACTGAATGGGCAAAAACTGGAAGCATTCTCTTTGAAAACTGGCACAAGACAGAGATGCCCACTTTCACCACTCCTATTCAACATAGTGTTGGAAGTTCAGGCCAGGGCAATCAGGCAGGAAAAAGAAATAAAGGGTATTCAATTAGGAAAAGAGGAAGTCAAATTGTCCCTGTTTGCAGATGATATGATTGTATATCTAGAAAACCCCATCGTCTCAGCCTAAAATCTCCTTAAGCTGATAAGCAACTTCAGCAAAGTCACAGGGTACAAAATCAATGTGCAAAAATCACAAGCATTCTTATACACCAATAACAGGCAAACAGAGAGCCAAACCATGAGTGAACTCCCATTCACAATTGCTTCAAAGAAAATAAAATACCTAGGAATCCAACTTACAAGGGATGTGAAGGACCTCTTCAAGGAGAACTACAAACCACTGCTCAACGAATTAAAAGAGGACACAAACAAATGGAAGAACATTCCATGCTCGTGGATAGGAAGAATCAATATCGTGAAAATGGCCATACTGCCCAAGGTAATTTATACATTCAATGCCATCTCCATCAAGCTACCTATGACTTTCTTCACAGAATTGGAAAACACTACTTTAAAATTCATATGGAACCAAAAAAGAGCCCGAATTGCCAAGTCAATCCTAAACCAAGAGAACAAAGCTGGAGGCATCATGCTACCTGACTTCAAACTGTGCTACAAGGCTACAAAAACCAAAACAGCATGATACTGGTACCAAAACAGAGATATAGACCAATGGAACAGAACGGAGCCCTCAGAAATAATACCACACATCTACAACTATCTGATCTTTGACAAACCTGACAAAAACAAGAAATGGGAAAAGGATTCCCTGTTTAACAAATGGTGCTGGGAAAACTGGCTAGCCATATGTAGAAAGCTGAAACTGGATCCCTTCCTTACACCTTATACAAAAATTAATTCAAGATGGATTAGAGACTTAAATGTTAGACCTAAAACCATAAAAACCCTAGAAGAAAACCTAGGCAGTACCATTCAGGACATAGGCATGGGCAAGGACTTCATGTCTAAAACACCAAAAGCAATGGCAACAAAAGCCAAAATTGACAAATGGGATCTAATTAAACTAAAGAGCTTCTGCACAGCAAAAGAAACTACCATCAGAGTGAACAGGCAACCTACAGAATGGGAGAAAATTTTTGCCATCTACTCATTTGACAAAGGGCTAATATCCAGAATCTACAAAGAACTCAAACAAATTTACAAGAAAAAATCCCCATCAAAAAGTGGGTGAAGGATATGAACAGACACTTCTCAAAAGAAGACATTTATGCAGCCAACAGACACATGAAAAAATACTCATCATCACTGGCCATCAAATAAATGCAAATCAAATCCACAATGAGATATAATCTCACACCAGTTAGAATGGTGATCATTAAAAAGTCAGGAAACCACAGGTGCTGGAGAGGATGTGGAGAAATAGGAACACTTTTACACTGTTGGTGGAACTGTAAACTAGTTCAACCATTGTGGAAGATAGTGTGGCGATTCCTCAGGGATCTAGAACTAGAAATGCCATTTGACCCAGCCATCCCATTACTGGGTATATACCCAAAGGAATATAAATCATGCTGCTATAAAGACACATGCACACGTATGTTTATTGCGGCAGTATTCACAATAGCAAAGACTTGGAACCAACCCAAATGTCCATCAATGATAGACTGGATTAAGAAAATGTGGCACATATACACCATGGAATACTATGCAGCCATAAAAAAGGATGAGTTCACGTCCTTTGTAGGGACATGGATGAAGCTGGAAACCATCATTCTCAGCAAACTATTGCAGGGACAAAAAAACCAAATACCGCATGTTCTCACTCATAGGTGGGAATTGAACAATGAGAACACATGGACACAGGAAGGGGAACATCACACACCAGGGCCTGTTGTGGGGTGGGGGGACGGGGGAGGGATAGCATTAGGAGATATACCTAATGTAAATGACGAGTTAATGGGTGCAGCACACCAACCTGGCGCATGTATACATATGTAACAAACCTGCACATTGTGCACATGTACCCTAGAACTTACAGTATAATATATATATATTATACATACATATATATATAATATATATATATTATACATACATATATATATAATATATATATTATACATACATATATAATATATAATATATATCATATATATTATATATAATATATATATTATATATATTATATATATTATTATATATTATATATATAATATATATTATTATATATATTATATATATTATATATATATTATATATATTATATGTATTATATATGTAAAAAGATAGTTATATCCAAAGGACTTAGGCAGATTGACACCTTGAATTATCAGTTAACTTTGTATTTGAGATCTAGCAGTGTTCTCACAAGGCATGGTATGGTGGCTTGGGGCTAAGACTTGGATTGAAAGGGAGGTTAATTGTGTTGAGCTGGATTACTTTGCTACATTCCATGCAGCAGTGCTGTAGGAAGGGCTGGCTGATGGGCAATACCTGACAGTGCCTTCTGAAGCTCTCAGAAGGAAAATAGTTATTAAAAGTCTGTGGCCTTTATTACCTTGGGACTTGATCCTTCATCTGTCCAAGCCAAGTCCCCTTCTTGCTGAGAACAAAGTGAGGAGAGAGGGATTCGCTCAGTTGCACTGAGTGTGTGATTTCTTGGCCTGTTCTTAGCAGGGATAAAACTGCCCTGGTAGCCCCCCATCATGAAAAGGAGTCAGACAAAAAGTGTCCTGTGTTCTGGCTGCTACAGGAGCAGGGCTGTGATCTGCTTAGAAGAAATTATCCTGCATCCCTGGTACTCTGAGAAATAAATTCTTGGTGCTTCTGCATAACAGGAAAAAAAAAACAATCTGTATATATAAGCATAATACAACAAACTCCTTATCTCATATATGATTTAAAAATATTTTCTTCCATTCTTTAGGTTGCCTTTTTTGTTGTTCATTGTTTCTTTTGCTGTGTGGAATGCTTTTGTTTTATGTAGTCCCACTTATCTATTTTTGCGTTTGTTGCCTTTGCTTTTGGGGTCATACCAAAGAAATTATTGCCAGCCAATGACAGGAAGCTTTTTTCCCTATCTTTTCTTCTAGGAGTTTCACATTTTCAGGTTATACATTTAAGTCTTTAATCTATTTTTAGTTTACTTTTTTATTGTTTTAGATAAAGGTTTGGTTTTATTATTTCGCATGTGTATGTCTAGTTTTCAAAACCGTTTGTTTTAAAAACAATCTTTTCTCCACTGCATGTTCTTGACACTCTTGTATAAGATCAGTTGACTGTATCTGTGTGGATTTACTTCTGAGCTCTCTATTCTTTTCCGTCAGATTTATGTTTTTCTTATGCCAGTACCATACTATTTTAATTACTGCAGCTTTGTAGGATAGTTTGAAGTCAGAAAATGTGATGTTTTCAGCTTTATTCTTTTTTCTTAAGATTCCTTTGGCTACTCTGGGTCTTTTGTGATCCTATGTGAATTTTAGGATTATGGGTTTTTTTTTTTTTCTCTAAATAATGTCAGTGGAATTTTGATGGGAGTAGCATTGAATCTGTAGGTTGCATTTGGTAATATGGACCTTTTTAACATTATTAAGTATTTAAATCCATGAACAGAAAATACCTTTCCATTTATTCGTCTCATTCAATTTCTTTTATCAATGTTTTGCAGTTTTCAGTGTACAAGTCTTTCACTTCTTCAGTAACTTCATTTCTAAATATTGTTTCTATGCTATTATAAGTGAAATTGTTTTTTAGTGTTCTTTTTGATGGTTATTTGTGTATAGAAATGTAATTGATTTTGTATGTTGATTTTGTATTTTGCCACTTTGCTGTATTAGTTTATTAGTTTAACAGATTTTTTGTGGGGTCTTTAAGGTTTTCTACATGTGAGATCATGTCATCTGCAAACACAGATTATTTTACTTCTTTTCATTTTCTAATTTGTATTCCTTTTATCTATTCTCACCTAATTGCTCTGGCTAAGATTAATAGACTATATTGCATAGAAGCGGTAATAGTAGACATCCTCATCTAATTTCTCAAAAAATTAAAATAGAACTACCATGTGTTCCAGCAGTTCAACTTATGGCTATATTTCCAAAAGAGTTGAAATCAAGATCTTGAAGAGATATCTGTGCTTTCATATTCATTAAAGCATTATTCATAATAGCCAAGAAGTGGAAGTATCCCAAATGTCCATCAATAGAAAAATACATTTTTAAATGTGGAATATACATATGATGGAATTCAGCCTTTAAAAAGAAGGAAACTTTGCCATTTGTAGCTATTTAGATGAACCTGCAAAATATTATTCTAAGTAAAATAAGCTAGTCATAGAAAGATATTGCATGATTCCTCTTATATAATTATCTATAATAGTCAAATCCATATACAGAACATATACAGTGTGGTTGCCAGGGGATAGAGGGAGAATTGGGAAAATGAGGAGGTTTTGTTCAATGGGCATAATGCTTTAGTTTTGTTAAATAAGTTCTAGTGATCTACTATATGACAAAGTGCCTGCAGTTACCAGTATAATATTGTACACTTCAAAATTTGTCAAGAGCGTTGAGCTCATGTTAACTACTGTTCTTACTACCAAACACACACACACACACACACACACACACACACACACAAAAAAAAAAAAAAAAAAAAAAAAACCAAAGGAATACAAAGAAACTTTGGGAGGTTTGCATATGTCTATTACATTGATCATGATGATGGTACCATTGATGTTTGACCATATCCAAACTTATCAGATTATACACGTTAAATATGTGTAGTTTTTTGTATGTCAATTATACTTCAATAAACCTGTTTTACAAAAAGTCTAGTCTAGATGCCTCATGAGCAAAATATCTGGAGCATAAACATTACCTTTGTGTTATCCTCACTTGAAGTAAGTGAGCCAGCCTTTTACATCCTTCTATCATTCAGCCATTAGTTATGGACCACCACACTAGGTGATGTACATTTCCAGGCAAGGTGGCTCTGATCATTTTCAGCAGCTAGAAGAATGAATCCACTCACTGAATAAATGGGTTTTGGGAAGCATGACATCACAATGTCTACTACCGTCCATCCCTTCTGCCATTCAGGCCTTTTTGCTTCTTAATATTAAGTTCAGCACATTTGAGCATACATTCTCTAGCACAATTCCTGGTATTTATGTATTTATTTAATAAATTTAAGGTACATATTTAATATGTATCTCCTTTCCCACCACTGATTCCAGATTTTCCTTAACTTCAACTATCACTTCTGCTGGTCTAGGTGGCTTTCCTCGTGGGATGACTTTGACCCTAATCTCTGAGAGGTCTGAAGCCCAGTGTCCATTCCCTTATTAGATCTGTGGTTACTGCACTTTCCCATTCATAGTTAAGACAGAGCATGGAAGTACCAAGAGATGCCACAATAGATCACCTGAATGCCAAACGTACTCTTTGCTGCCCACATTATATAGCAACGCTCTTACCTCCTCATGATGATCAGGATTAATTACTACTGCCAATATAATAACTATTTTCGATATCTGTTGGTATACTTGCAGAAGAAGCCCAAAGTAACCAGGCAGTGGCTGTAAGCTTTATATGCAGCAGGAATCTTACTGTTTCTACTGTGGAAGTGATCCCACTGTGAGAACCAGAATCTCTACACTCACAGAGCCTAAAATCGAGGAGACTGGCAAAACACATCCCCCAAGTTCATAATTGGGAGTAATGGTGAAGACAGCTAGTCTTAATTCCACCCCTTTCTTCCTGCACCTATGTATACTATCTAGTGAAGACACAGAACCGCATCTTGTCCGTAGATTTAAAGAATAAAACGTATCCTGCAGAATAACGCCCATGAATAAGGGGTCTCATTCCCACAGTGATGCCTCAGCAACATCTTTAGAAGGTCATTTGCCACTGTATTAGTCTGTCAGTTCCTGAGGAGTGCATTATATTATAAAACTAGTGGATCTCATGATCATGTGCCTACTGCCACACCTCCTTTGCCGTAAAATGGGCCCCTTCATCCAAGGCAATGTTATGCAGGTTCTCACAGTGAGAAATCAGACCCACTGCGAGGCTTCAGATAACAGTTTGGGTCAAGGGCCTGTGGTCAGAAAATGTAAACCCATACCCAGAAAATTATATATATATATATATATATATATATATAATTATAATAATAATTACATATATGTGTGTACATATATGTATATGTGTGTATATATGTATATATACGTGTATGTGTGTGTGTGTGTGTATACATATATGTGAGAGAATATATTGCTTCACTTTTCAAGTAGAAAGTTCTTCAATGTGATTCAACTTGCCACAGACTAGTTGTTCATATCCTCAAAAGTTAGTGCCATATTAGGGCATTGACATCTGTCTTTGTTGTCAGCATTTTAGTGGTAGCTGAGGAAAAAGCTTGACTATCAGTAATTTGCTAGGTTATCTGTCCAGTGGATATTTAGTTCTTCTAATGGAACAGATGCTGTTTAGGTGAACTAATGTTAAAAAAAAAAAAAGACCTTTACACTTTGTATTCACTCACGTAAGTCCATCACGTATTCAGTCTTGCACCTTGCTCCGTCTGGGCTACTGACGAACCAACTAAGCCACTTAGTGGGGCTCATATATTTATTGAAACCTACCCCTATATCATGCCACATCTCTCTCCAAATAAAGTGAGTTACCAGATGCACTGACAAAAACTTTTCTAATTGGGAGGATTTCCCATTACCACTTTATTTCAAGGTAAGCCTGAGAAAGAATGCAAATAGCAGCAGCCCATTTTCAGTTTGCACCAATGTCCCATATCTGACATCTTTTTTTTTTTCCACCTGGACACAAGGACACTCCAAAAAGACAATAGGTGTAGTCTGAATGAGAGGCATCAATCTCTGAGCATGATCTGAGTGAGACCCTACTATGGTTGGGTATTAGATATCTGTTTGCTCAGCTTATTTGTATCCTTTGCTGTGCACCATCCCATTTCTTCTTATTAGAGATTGTGACTGGACCTGGTAGACTTTATGAAATCCAGGAATGGAATTTTCTAGTTTATGATTGGTAGTTGTGGCCACAGGGTCACTTGACTTCCCTTGCTCAAGTGCTTCAATATAGTAAAGCGACGTGATGTTCTGTGGAATAGCCAGATGTGTCCAGATATTTTTGGACTCTATTATATTGCAAAGAGCCAGAGAGCTAACGTATCTCTGGAATGCTTCATATTTTACTTCGTGATGAATATGAAACATAATATATTTGCCACACCAATACCTATGTTCACAAACCTAAGACTGTTAATAGGCTTTAGTGAAGATACCACAGATGGCACAATCGTTGTAATTAGGGCTGCTACTTGATTAAGTTTGCATTAGTCCACTGTCATAAGTCATTATCTGGATTTTTTCAGGAACCAGAAAGGAGATAAATTATGATCAAGATAAACACCTCTGCTCCCTCCACATCTCTGAACATGGTACTAATCTGTTATTTTGCTCAGGATGCAACGTGTGTGTGTGTGTGTGTGTGTGTGTGTGTGTGTGTGTGTGTGTGTGTAAAGCTGATATACATAGAAATTTACTTTTTTGGACAGTTCTATGAATTTTAACACATGTACAGATCTGTGTAACCATGACCACAATCCATATATAGAACACTCACACCACCCCCCAAAATCCTTCGTGTGTGTTTTTTTTTTTTTTTTTTTTTTTTTTAAGGCAAAGTTTTACTCTGCTGCCCAGGCTGGAGTGCAGTGGTGTGATCTCAGCTTATTGCAACCTCTGCTTCCTGGGTTCAAGAGATTCTCCCACCTCAGCCTCCTGAGTAGCTGGGATTACAGGCATGTGCCACCATGCCCAGCTACTTTTTGTATTTTTAGTAAAGATGGGGTTTCTTCATGTTGGCCAGGTTGGTCTCAAACTCCTGACCTCAGGTGATCCACCCACCTCGGTCTCCCAAAGTGCTTGGATTACAGGCGTGAGCTACTGCGCCTGGCCTTGTGTTGTCTTTTAATCATCACTCCCCACCCATAACCACAATCCACAATCATTGATCTGTTTTCTGTCACAATAGTTTATCTTTTAGAGAATGTTATATAAATGTAATCATATACCACATAATATTTTGAAAGCTAGTTTCTTTCACTCCATCATGTCTTTGAGATTTATCCAAGTTGCATGTATCAATTATTCACTCATTTTTATTGCTAACAAGTACTCTATGGTATACATTACCATAGTTTGTTTATCCATGAACTTATTGAAATATATCTGGGTTGTCTTTAGTTTTGGTAATTATGAATGCAATTGCTATAAACAGTTTGTGTACAGTTTTTTTTTGTGTGTACATATACATTTTAGTTTTCCAGGATAAATTTCCAGGAATGGAATCGTTGGCTCATATTATAAGTGTGTGTTTACCATTATAAGAAACTGCCAGATGTTTTCCAGATTAGCTGTACCATAGCATTACCACCAGTATGAGGGTTCTGGTTGATTTGCATTATTGCCAATACTTAACATTATTAGTATATGTAGATATGTACATATGTGTGTATATGTATATATCACCTTATATAGCCATATATATATATATATATATATGTATGTATGTATATAACCATTCTAATAAGTGTGTAAAAGTATTTTCACCATGGTTGTAATTTTTATTTTCCTAATAGGTAATTATGTTGAACATCATTTCATGTACTTATTTATTACTCATATATCTTCTCTGAACTGTCTGTTAAATATTGTGATCGTTTTTAAGTCAGGTTGGTTGTTTTCTTACTATTGAATTTTGAAAGTTCTTCATATGTTCTAGACACAAGTTCTTTGTTGAATATGTAATTTGCAAATATTTTCTCACAGTCTATACCTTGTATTTTCCTTCTCTTAGCTGTGTTTTCATATAACAAATTTTAAAATTTAGATTAAATCTTTTAAATCATATTTTTATTCTATGAATTATGATTTTGGTGTCTATCTATTTTCCTAAACCCAGATCATGAAACCTGTTTTTCTCTACAAGTTAAATACTTTTATATTTTACTTTTAAATTTATCATCCACTTTGAATTAACTTGTACATAAACTATCATGATGTTTAAATGGAGTTTTTTGTTTTTATTTACCCTAAATATGTCCAATTGTTCCAACACTATATTGAAAAGACTATTTCTACTAAGTTACCTACACATCATTGTTAAAATCAATTGTTCACCTTTGAATGGACCTATTTCTGAACTCTATTCTGTTATATTGATCTCTGTGATGACCATCAACTCCATAATGCAGTGATTACTGGGGCTTTACAGTAACTTTTATAATGAAGTAGTTAACTTCTCCAACTTATTCTTCTCTTTAAAAGTTACTTTGGTAGTTTATTTGTATTTTCACATAAAATTTAGATAAAGCTTGTCCATAGATGCAAAACATTGGGCTAGGATTTTGATTGGAATTATAAGTCTGTTCATCAATTTGTGCGGAATTGATTTTTTTTTAACTATCTTGAGTGTCCAATCCATTACCACGGTATGTCTCTCCATTTATTTGTCTTCCTTAACTTCTCACCACAGTTTTTTGGAGTTTTTTCCCTTGATATCATGTTTTATTATCTTTATACTTAAGTATTTCATTATTTTAAAGCTGTTATGAATGGCATTGCTTTTTAAAAATATCAGTTTCCAATTGTTCATCACTACTATTTAATTTAAGATTGACTATGTTGTGTTGACCTTACATCTCATGGCATTAATAAACTCACTTATTAATCCAAAGAGATTTTCTGTAGATTCCTTGGAACTTTTATGTAAGTAAATATGTTATCTACAAATCTAGAACAATTTTATTTATCTTTTCTTCAATATGCTTCCTTTTTATTTATTTGTCATTATATTGCACTAGGTAGGATTTCCAGTACGATGTTGAATAGGAGTTGTAAGAGTGGATAGCCCTGCCAGTTTTCAATCCAAGGGGGAAAATATTCAGTTTTTATGTTTCCTGTAGGAATTTTGTACATTTTAAAAATATTTTGAAACAGTTTTCTTCTATTCCTAGTTTGTTGAAAGTTTTTTTTGTCATTAATGAAAGTTGAGTTTTGTCAAATACATTTTATATAAAGTTTTATGATGATGTATTTTCCTTTTATAAACTGTAATTAATGTGGATTGCACTGATTGATTTTCAAATGTATGCCAGACTTGCATTGCTGTATTAAACTTTCTTGTCCTAGTGTTTTATTCTTTACATATACTGAAGTATGGTTTTGCTGACTTGTTTTTAAGGATTTTGCATCTGTGTTCAAAAGCCATACTACACTGTAGGTTTTTTTGTATTACATTTGTCTGGTTTTGTTATCAGAGTAATGCTGGACTCATATAACTTGGAAGATGCTCCCTTTTCTGTTTTATGTTTTTCTCTGTAATTTATATAGCAGAATTGATGTTATTTGTTTTTTGAATGTTTTGTGGAATTCCTCAGGGTGACTATTAAAGCTGTATGATTTGTTTTTTGAGAGGTTTTGAGCTATCGCTTTGAGCAAAATGCTAATAGTGATACAGACAATGAAATCCAGGCTGAGGTGGTCTTAGATGGAGTTGAGGAACTTCTTGGGAAATGGAGCAAAGACCACTTCCTTAGAGATCTGTGGAACTTTGAACTTGAGAGAGATGATCTGAAATTGGAAATTACATTTAAAACGGAAGCAGAGCAAAAGGTTTGGAAAATGTGCAGCCTGACCATATGGTAGAAGAGAAAAACCCATTTTCTGGAGAGGAATTCAAGCTGGCTGCAGAAATTTGCATAAGTAACAAGGAGCCAAATGTAAATTTCCAATACGATTGGAAAAATCTCTCCAGGGCATGTCAGAGACCTTCATGGAAGCCAGTCCCATTACAGACCTGGAGGCCTAGGAGGAAAAAATGGTTTCTTGAGTCAGGCCCAGGGCCCTGCTGTTGCTCAGTGCAGCATTGGGACTTGGTGTTCTTTATCCCAGCCATGGCTAAAAGAAGCCAAGGTACTGCTCTGGCCATTGTTTCAGAGGGTGCAAGGCCCAAACCTTGGTGGCTTCCACGTGGAAGCATTTGATGTTTTCAATGTTTTGGGTTTTAGCTACTCAAATAGATATGTAATGGTACCTCAATGTTGTCTTAATTTTTAATTCCCTAATGACATATGATGTTTATCATTTTACAAGTCTGTGCCAAAGATAAAGACTGCAAGAAAATATTTACAAATCAAATATACAACAAAGGACCTGTATGCAGAATACATGAAGGATTTTTTTTAAATTCAAAAATCAGAAAACAACAGCTCAATTTTTAAAATAGGCAAAATACATCAACACACAACTCACTAAAGTTGACATATGGATGTTATATAAACATGGTAATTTTTCTTCTATATCATCAGCCATTAGAGAAATGCAAATTAAATGCATGATTCAAACAGGAAAAAATGATACATTGAAGTTACTCAATATAAATAAATCATTGTCTCCCCAGGGCTTATAGAAGAAACAGGCTGAATATTATGTGGTTCCCTGTGTACTACAGTGAGATGTACCCTCAAGTGTCTTAAATGTATTCGTATTTACTCCAGCCAAGATGTACATCCCCTCCCTTCTACTGACCTGAGGATGGCACCCTTGGGCTAAGGCCACCATCTCCCTGACACTTCAGAAAAGGAAGCCAGAAGGAAGGAGAGGGTTGTGCTGCTTGACATTCATTCACTGGGGCCTCTCAGGGCAGACAATAAGGCCACATTTCTGTGAGGTTTTGCATGTCTGTTATGAGAGGCCCTTCTGCATTTCTTCTGGGTCCTCACTGAAAGAAGCACTGGAAAAGGGTAGAAAAGACAATCTTGAATTCCCTATGCTATGCCGCCCTCATGCCCTAACATTAGCTGCTTGGTGAAGAGAAAGTCTGTGTCCTTAACAGAGGGAGAGCACAGGGATTATGAGATGTTGAATTGAACTCAGTGCTGCTGTGTCAGAGAACAAAGGAAATTTGGTTCAAATTCAGCCAGTGCCCTCCCATGGAGGGAGCATTCAAACCAGCTCTAGCCAGAGGAAAATCACTCATCCTAGTGGTCATTAACGTGAGTTCTGTCAAGCGTCGCCACCACAAACCAAAGTGCTCTGGGGCTCTAAATGAACTTGAAAGGCAGTCTAGGCCAGAAGGACTACAATTTCCAGGTGAGTCTGAGTAATCAACTAGACTCAGTGCCAGTGGACATGGAAAGCATTTGACCCACTGAGACACGAGCTGGAGCATCTAAAGGAGTGCTTGTACCACCCCTCCCCCAAACTCAGGCTGCATAGCTCACAGAGCCAAAAGATACCCCTTCCTTCCTCCTGAGGAGAGGAGAGGGAAGAATAAAGAGGACGATGTCTTGTATCATGGATACTAGCTAAGTCACAGTAAGGTAGGGCATTATTCAGAATCACGAGGTTCCTTTTTCAGGCCCTAGCTCCCAGAAGACACTTCTAGACACACTGTGGGGCAGAAGTGAACCCATTGCCTTGAATAGAAGGACTCTTTCCTAGCAAGACCCATTACCTGCTGACTAAGGAGCACTTGGGCCCTGAATAACCAGCAGCAATTTCTGGGTAATGTGCCATGGGCCCTGGGTGAGACTTTGAGACTTGCTAGCTTCATGTGAGACTCAACACATTCCTAGATGTGATGGGTACAGGGAGAGACACTTTCTGCTTGAGACTTTGTCCTGTATCTTAGGTACCAGCTCAGCTACAGGAGAGTACAGCACCAAGCAGGCTCTTGAGGTCACCAATTCCAGGCTTTGGCTGTTGAACAGAATTTCTGGACCTGCCGTCAGCCGTAGGGGAGCCCAATGCCCTGAAGGATGAGTCTTAGGCCATGTAGCATTCAACACAATCTGACTGTAGAGTCCTTGGGCCTTAAGGGAACTTTGGCAGTAGCCTGGCAGTACTCCTAGCGGGCCAGTGGTGGTCGTGGCCATGCACTGAGGCTTCTCAGCCTGTGAAAATGGGAGAAAAGAGTGGGAAAGATTGCCTCTTGTGGTTTGAGTGCCAGTCCAGCCTCTGTACAATAGAACACCAGGTAGAATTCTAAAGTTTTTGATTCCATTCCCTGACTCCGGAAAGCACTTTTGGATCTGCCTGTGGCTGGGGAACTTGCTGCCCTGAAAAAAAGGACATAAGCCTGGCTGGCTTTGGCACCTGCTGATTGTAGAGACTTAGAGCTTTAAGCAAACATAGGCAGTGGCCAGGTAGTGGTTACTGTGGGTGTTGTGTAAGACCCATGCTGTGCAGGTTTCAAGTCTGATCAAGTACCATTCCAGTAGTGGTGGCCACAGGGGTGTTTGTGCCACCTTTCCCTCAGTTCCAGGAGGCTCAGAATAGAGACAGAAAGATACTTTGGTTGTTTAGGATATTGTAAGGAAGAAAAACAAGAGTCTGTGCCTAGTAATCCAGAGAATTATTCCAGATCTTCTTCAAGGCAATACTTCTATGAGTCTTCAAGAACCACAGAGTTGCTGGGCTTGGGGTGTCCCCTAATGCAGATATGGCCTAGATCATAATACTCAAGTCCTTTTGAATACCTGAAATCTTTAACAAGAAGGATGAGTACAAAGAAGCCCAGACTACAAAGACTACAATAAATATCTAACTATTCAATGTCCAGACACTGACAAACATCCACAAGAATCAAGACCACATAGGAAAACATGACCTCACCAAATAAACTACATGAGGCACCAGGGACAAATCCTGAGATATATGACCTCTTTGACAAGACAATTCAAAATAGCTGTTCTAAGGAAACAAAATAAATCAAGATAACATAGAGAAGGAATTCAGAATCCTATCAGATAAATAAATTTAACAAAGAGACTGAATTAAAAAGAATAAAGTAGAAATATGGGAGCTGAAAAATGCAATTGACATACTGAAGAATGTATCTGAGTCTTTTAATAGCAGAATTAAGCAGAAGAATTAGTGAGCTTGAAGACACACTATGTAAAAATACATAGTCAGAGGAGACAAAAGTAAAAATATTTTTAAAAGTGAAGCACACATACAATATGTACAAAATAACCACAAAAGGGAAAATCTAAGAGTTATTGGCCTTAAGGCAGGGGTGGGGGGCGGTGGGGGGTGGGCTATAACGTTTATTCAAAGAGAACATAACAGAGAACTTTCCAAACTCAGAGAAACATATCAATATCCAAGTACAAGAAGCATTTAGAACAACAAGCAGATTTAATCCAAAGAAGACTACCTTAAGGAGTTTAATAATCAAACTACCAAAGGCCAAGGACAAAGAACGAATTCTAAAAGCAGCAAGAGAAAAGAGGCAAATAACATACAATTGCACTTCAACATGACTGGCAGCCGACTTTTCAGTAGAAACCTTGCAGGCCAGGAGAGAGCGGCATGACATATTTAAAGGGCCAAAGAAAAGAACTTTTACCCTAGAGTAGTATATTCAGGATCAAAAAATTCATCAAACATGAAGGACAAATAAAGACTGTCCCAGACAAATATTAATGTAACCTGAGGGATTTGATCAACACAAGACCTGTCCTATAAGAAATGCTAAAGGGAACAGTACCTCAAATCAGAATAAAAATGATGTTAATGAGCAATAAAACATCATTAGGAGGTACAAAACTCACAAGCAGTAGTAAGTACACAGAAAAACACAGAATACTATAACACTGTAACTGTGTACACTAATTTGATCTTAAGTAGAAAGATTGAACAATAAACCAATCATAAATAATAACTACAATAAGTTTTCAAGATAGAGAGTAAAACATGATATAAGCACAGATATTAAAAAGTTTAAAAAGCAGGGGGATAAAGTTATAGTGTAGAGTTTTATTAGCTTTCTATTTGCTTTTTAGATTTTTAATGTAAACTGTGTTGTTATCAGTTTCAAGTAATGGATTCTAATATGGTATTCACAAGCCTCACAGTAACCTTGAATCTGAAAACATACAACAGCTACACAAAAAATGAAAAGCAATAAATTAAATCATATCACCAGAGATAATTATCTTCACAGAAACAAAAACAGGATGGAAAAAAGAAGGAAGTGAAGGCTACACAAAAACTCAGAAAACTTACAGCAAAATGACAGAAATTTGTTCTTACTGATCAATAATAACATTGAATGTAAGTGGACTAAACTCTCCAATTAGAAGATATAGAGTGACTGAATGGATTAAAAAAAAAAAAAGCAAGACCCAGAGATCTGTTGCCTACAAAAAAACCACACTTCACCTATAAAGACACACAGAGACTGAAAATAAAGGGATGGAAAAAGTCACTCCATGCTAAAGAAAAAAAAAGAGCAGGAGTAGCTACATTTATATCAGACAAAATAGATTTTAGGAGGAAAAGTATGACAAGAGACAAACAAGTTCAATAAAGAATGATAAAAGAGTCAATTCTGAAAGAGAATCTACCTGTTGTCAATATATATGTATCCAACACTGGACCACCTAGTTATATAAAGGAAATGTTATTAAAGCTAAGAAAGAGATAGACCCCAATACAACAATAGCTGAAGAATTCAACACCCCAAGTTCAGCATTGAACAGATCTTCCAGACAGAAAATCAACAAAGAACCATGAGATTTAATCTGCCCTATAGGCAAACTGGGCCTAATAGGTACTTACAGAACATTTCATCCCACAGCTGCACAATACACATTGTTCTCAGGAACAGACCTTATGGTAGGTCACAAAGGAATCTCAAAACATTTAACAAAATAAATAATATCAAGCATCTTCTCTGACCTCAATGGAATGAAACTAGAAATAAATAACAAGAGGAATTTTAGAAACTATACAAACACATGGTATATGCTTTTGAATGATCAGTGAATCAATAAAGACAATAACAAGGAAATTTAAAAATGTTTTGAAACAATCATAATGGAAACTCAACATACTAAAACCGATGGGATACAGTGAAAGCAGTAATAAGAGGCAATATGTTTTGACTCTGCGTCCTCACCAAAATCTCATGTTGAATTTTAATCCCCAGTGTTGGAAGAAGGGCTTGGTAGGATGCAGTCGAATCATGGGAGTGGACTTTCCCCTTGCTGTTCTCATGACAGTGCGTGAGTTTTCATTAGATCTGGTTGTTTAAAAGTGTGCAGCACTTCTCCCTTAACCCTCTCTTCCTCCTCCAGCCATGTAGGACATGTATGCTTCCCTTTCACCTTCCTCCATGATTGTAAGTTTCCTGAGGTCTTCTGAGCCGTGCTTTCTGTACAGCCCACAAAACCATAAGTCAATTAAACCTCTTTTCTTTATAAATTATCCAGTCTCAGGTAGTTCTTTATAGCAATGCAAGAATGAACTAATACAAGAGGAAGATTATAGCTATAAGTGTCTACAACAATAAAAGAAGGAAAATTCCAAAAAAGAACCTAATGATCCATCTTAAGTAACTAGAAAAGTAAGAACAAACTAAGCCCCAAGTTAGTAGAAGAAAAGAAATAATAAAAATCAAAGTAGAGATAAATTGAAATATCAAAAACAATACAGAAGATCAATTAAACAAAAAGTTGCTCTTCTTGAAAAGATAAACAAAATTGACAAATCTTTACCTAGACTAACTAAGAAGAATATAGAGAAGACCCAAATAAATTTGAGATGAAAAAGAAGACATTGCATCCAATACCACTGAAATTCAAAGAATCGTTAGTGGCTACTATAAGCAATTACATACCAATAAATAAGAACATCTAGAGGAAATGGCTAAATTCCCAGACATAAAAGCCTTCCAGGTTTGAACCATGAAGAAATTCAAAACTTGAAAAGAACGATATTGAATCTCTGACAACAACAAAAAAACTCCCAGTAAAGAAAAGCCCAGGACCCGGTGGCTTCACCAATATATTTTACCAAACACAAGAATAAATAATATCAAACATACTCAATGAATTCTGAAAAGCAGAGGAGAAGGGAATGCTTCCAAACTCTATTGGGCCAGTATTATCTCGATAACAAAACCAGACAAAAACACATTCAAAAAAAGACAACTGCAGGCCAATACCACTGATGAATATTGATGTAAAAATCCTCAATGAAATGGAAGAAAACCAAATTTAACAACACATTAAAAAATCATTCTTCATGAACAAGTGGAATTTATCTCAGGGATGCAAGAATGGTTCAACATATGCAAATCAATACATGTGATACATCATGTCAACAGAATGAAAGACAAAAACCATATGATCATATCAATTGATGCTGAAAAAGAATTTGATGAAATTCAGCACCACTTCATAATAAAATCCCTGAAAAACTGGGTATAGAAGGAACATGCTTCAACATAATAAAAGCTATATATGAAAGACCCACAGCTAGTATCATACTGAATGGCGAAAGACTAGAAGTCCTTCCTCTAAGATCTGGAACACGACATGGATGCCCACTTCAACCACTGTTATTCAACATAGTATTGGAATTCCCAGGTAGAGCAATCAGAAAAGATAAAGAAATAAAAGGCATCCAAATTGGAAAGGAAGAAAATATATCCTTGTTTGCAGATGATAAAATCTAATATTTGGAAACACCTAAGACTCAACCAAAATATAGAACTGATTTAAAAAATTCAGTAAATTTGCATGATACAATATCAACATACAAAAATCAGTAGCTTTTCTATATGCCAGTCATGAATCATCTGAAAAAGAAATTAAGAAATTAATCCCATTTATGATAGTTAAAAATAAAATAAAATACCTAGAAATTAACATAAACAAAGAAGTGAAAGAGCTCTAGAAGGAAAACTATAAAACACTGGTAAAATAAATTGAAGAAGACACAAAAATGGAAAGATATTCTATGTTTATAGATTGGAATAATCAATATTTTAAAAATATCCATACTACCTGAAGCAATCTACAGTTTCAATATAATCGTTTTCAAAATACCAATGATATTCTCCACAAAATTAAAAAAGAAAAATCCTAAAATTTCTATGGAACAAAGCAAAAAATCCAGAAAAGCGAAAGCTATTCTAAGCAAAAAGAACAAAACTGGAGGACTCACATTACCCGACTTCAAATTATACTACAGAGCTATAGTGATGAAATGGCATGGTACTGGCTTAAAAACAGACACACAGACCAGTGGAACAGAATATAGAAACACAAAAATAAATCCATACATTGACAGTGACCTCATTTTTTACAAAGGTGCCAAGAACATAAACTGGGGAAAGGAAAGATTTAATTTATAAGTGCTAGAAAAACTGGTATCCATATAAAGAAGAATGAAACTAGACCGTTAACTCTTGCTATATACAAAAATCAAATCAAAATTGACTAAAGCTTAACCTGAAGACCTCAACCTATGAAACTTGTAAAAAAAAAAATGGGAAAATCTGCAAGATATTGGAATTTCCAAGGATTTCTTCAGTAATACTCCACAAGCACAGGCAGCAAAAGCAAAAATAGACAAATTGGATTGCATCATCTTAAAAAGGTTTTACATAGCAAAGGAAACAATCAGCAAAGTGAAGAGGCAACCCACGGAATGGGAGAGCATATTTGCAAACTACTCATCTGACAAGGAAGTAACAACCAGAATATATAAGAAGATCAAACAACTCTGTAGGATAAAATCCAATAATCAAATTGAAAAATGGAGAAAAGATCTGAATAGACATTTGTCAAAAAAAGACAGGTAAATGCAAACAGGTACATGAAATGGGGCTCAGTACCCTTGATCATCAGAAAAACATAAATCCAAACTCCATTGAAATACCATCTCACACCAGTAAAAATGGCTTTTATCAAAAGGTCAGGCAGTAACAAATGCTGGCAAAGATATGAACCCTCCTACATTGTTGGTGAGAAGGTACATTAGTAAAACCACTATGAACAGTTTGAAGGTTCTCCAAAAATAAAAATAGAGCTACCATACTCTCCAGTAATCCCACTTCTAGGTATGTACCCACAATAGAGGAATTCAATACATTGAAGACATATCTGCACAGCAATGTTTGCTGCAGCGCTATTCACAATAGCCAAGATTTGGAAGCAACCTAAGTGTCCATCAGCAGATGAACGGATAAAGAAATTGTGGTACATATACACAGTGGAGCACTATTAAGCCAAAAAAAAAATGAGATCCTGTCATTGGCAATGACATGGATGGAAGTGGAGGTCATCATGCTCCGTGAAATAAGCAAGGCACAGAAAGACAAACTTCACATGTTCTCACTTATTTGTAGGAGCTAAAATTTAAAATAATTGAACTGATGGTGATAGAGTGTAGAAGGATGGTTACCACACACTGGGAAAGGTAGGAGGGGGTCAGGGGAGAAGTGAGGATGGTTAATGGTTACAAAAAAGAGTTAGAGGGAATCAATAAGTCCTACTATTTGCTATCACGACAGGGTGACTATAGTCAAAAGTATTTAATTATACATTTTAAAATAAGTAAAAGAGTATTACTGGATTGTCTGTAACACAAATGGTAAATGCATGTGCTGATGGATAACCCATATACCCTGATGTGATTTATTACACACAGCAAGCCTATATCAAAATATCTTCTGTAACCCATAAACATATGTACCCACTATGTACCCACAAAAATTAAAAATAATAAAAACAAAACAAAAAAAATAAAAAACAAGAGAACAGGAAAGGAGACATAGCCAAAACTACAATTATCCAGGAAATTATCAACACTGCTCTCTGAGTAAATGATCAGAAAATTAGAAAATGTGTAAGAATACGGAAGGAACTAAAAAAGAATATTAATCAAATTGATCTTGAAATTTATAAATAAGACACTCCAACAGCAGAATAGATACTATTTTCAAGTGTACATGGCATATTCACCAAGATAGACTACAAAACAACACTTAAAATTTTTAAATAATTAAAATTATATAAAATAGGTTATCTATCCATAATAGACTTAGACAAAAGAAAACAAAGTCCAAGATAATCGGAGATTAAACAATATATTTTACTAAACCGTGTTGCATAAGAATTATTGAGGAAAATAAGGAAATATTTTCAACAGAATGAAAATGAAACTGTAGCATAGCAGAGCTTGTGAGATTTAGCTAAACCAGTGCTTACAGGGAAATTTATGTCATGATATGCTTCTGTCAGAAAAAATGAGTGAACTCAAATCAATAATCTAAGCGTTCATGTAAGAAACTATTAAAAGAACAGTAAATTGAACCCAAGGCAAGAAGAGTGATGGGAATAATGAAATCAAAATTAGAAAACAATGGTGTTCAGTGGAAACAAATCTGCTCTTTGAAAAAATCAGAGAAGCTGAAATATCAGATGTTAATCCGAAACTAAAACAAAACAATATTGTGAGTAGTAATGGCGTGGGACACAGCTAAAAGTATAGGAAATTGTATAGACATAGAAAGCAATATATCACAGTTATTTTCAGAAAGGGCAAAAATGACAAGTTCTTGGCAGTGCTGGAAAGCCAGGCAACAAAACTGATATTCAGTGCATTGGGTATAATGGGGTCAATAAAGATAGATTACTGTATAGGAACATGAGGAAGTCGATGTATGAGGAAGGGCCTTCTGGAAGCTGTGACCATGGGAAGCCTAGAGTACAGTGGTTGGATGTCAGGGCCCAACACCCTGAGGGCATGAGCAAGAAAGAAAGCTCAGTGGACAGGACTCTGGGATTACATTCTTTAGTTCAAGTGTGCTGCTCTATCTTCCTTATATTGAAAAATTGGATTTCTTTCCAAGGATTCAACTGAAATACGAGATGCCATATCTAAAATTTTTGCAACCACTGTCTACCACTTAGGTATAGGATACATCATGGAAATTTGCCCTCTGAGTACCTAGGCGCAAGATTGCCTCCAACACCTTGCTGTGTTTGCTATGCAAAATTTGAGATACTGAAGAGCTGTTAGCTGCCTAAAAAAAAAAAAAACACTAGGATAGAAGAGATAAGTATCTGGGCATTGGTGCTTATAAGCTCAGTTTTGGAGAGCCTGAAAAGTACTGAGATAGCAGATGTGGAATTAAAAACTCATGCTATATAACTTTATAATGTGAGCAACAACAACTGCAAGCATGGGTATATATATATATATCTCTCTCTCTCCATGGCTATTGTTCACTCACAAAGCTCCAGCCTCCATGAAAGAGGTCTACTACAGAGGGGAAAACATCCCAGTCTCTAGCAGGCAGTGAGATGGTGCTGGGACTGGGACACCCACAAGGGTGTCCTAGACCACTAGGATAGTCAGGAGATGTAGCTAACCTAGAATAATGCCAGGGATCCAGCCATGCTCATCCTGATAGGACATAGAGTGATTTTAAGGCAGTGTCGGGTGTTTTATATATCTATATCTATATATAGATATAGATATAGATAGATAGATAGATATAGATATATGAGTTTTTCTGTCTTTTTATATGTTATATACATGATACATAACATATAAACAGATGGAAAATTTATCTAATTTGTAGAACTCTAGGTGAGCATTCCATTCCTTTCAAGTCTTACTGGGATGTATTATTGTTTTATGATTTTGCTTGCAAAATCACAAAATTATTATGTTTGCAGGAGAGGAGATTTCATCCCACAGCATGTATACTTCAATCTACACAACACTTGATACAGGCTAGCTTAATCTTCAGCCCAGGACCCTCTTTTGATATCAGCCCCATGTTTCCTATTGCCCATTGAGCAGCTTTACCTGGACAACTAGCATAACTTCATTATCTACATGGCCCACGGTGATCTCATCTACCACACCCTTCCTCATCTCTACCCTAATGCAAGTTGCCACCAACTTTTCTTCCTTTATCCTCAATCTCAGCTAGAAGAAACAGCTTCTACCTAGTCAGTAATCTTCAGAACTCATAGCCATCACACACTACCGCACGATTTCACAGTTCCTAATTTCCTAAAATTCTCTCCATCTCCTTACCACTTTGTCCCACCCACAGCTTGAATTACATGTCTTGTCATTTTTCTTTGTTTTGTCTTCTTGGTGTCTTTACTCTGAATGTATTTAAAAATTGATGAAAGAAAGAAAGAAGGAAAGAAAGAAGGAAGGATGGAAGGAAAGAAGAAAGGAAAAGAAGGAAGGGAGGGACGGAGGGAGGAAGGAAGGAAGGAAGGAATCAAATTAGCAGAAGATCACATGTGTTGATTCAAAATGTGACATCTGAGCTCTACCTGGGTCTTTTGCTTCCAGAGAAGAAACCTGCAGTGCCACAACTGCTCATGTAACTTAAGAATTCCCAAGAGAAACTATCACTGAGCATGTCATTATGGATTTCTCATCTTAAAGCCCAAACACTATCTTGGCTATGGGGATGCTCTCAACAGCATGACACATGATGCATCCTGCTTTGCACTCCACACATACCCATTAGTTTAACAAGAAAGTGTGTGCCATCCTCATAGGTTTCCCATCTACCCTGCACACGTCTGCATCTTGGTCCATTCCTCTATCTCAGACAATATCTGGTGGCAACGCAGGCCAGCAGTGATAGCCACAGGACACCCACCCTCAATCCAGGGTGCCAATAGCCCAGATTCCAAGGGAAGCACTCTGAACTGAAGACATCATTTGGGCTATTTTCCAGGCATGTCCATCCCCAACGCTTAATCTACAAAGTCACTGAGATAATTAGTACCAGGGTATTCCCAATTAAATCTGCCCTCTTTGAAGCTGCACAGTGCCTTCCACTGACCCTCAGTGTTCCTGCCTCTTCGCTTACTGGTCATCAGTAACCAACCCCACTCACTCACAAAGCCCCAGCCTCCATGAAAGAGGTCTACCACAGAGGGGAAACATCCCAGTCTCTAGCAGGCAGTGAGATGGTGCCGGGACTGGGACACCCACAAGGGTGTCGTAGACCACTAGAATACTCAGGAGATGTAGTTAACCTAGAATAATGCCAGGGATCCAGCCATGCTCATCCTGGTAGGACATAGGGTGACTTTAAGGCAGTGTCGGGTGTCTTACACACCACTGGTCCCCTCCTTCAGTAGACCTGCCTACCCAGACCACGTTGAAGCTTACAGCTTGTAACAAAGACTCAGAGATTCCCCAAGTCTGTTCACGTAAACTTTCCTACAATATGTTGCATTATCCCTCCCACCCACTCAACACCCAGATCACAAAACTCCCAAAGAAGGAACTGCAGGTTCCCAAATCCGCAGACTGCCTAGGCTCAAGGCATTTATATGTGGCTCCTCCCATCTGGAGTTTTATCTCCTTACTTCTTCTTTTTACTTGTTCTTTAGGCATTAAAAGGCAATTCATCATCTTCCTTACTGCTGCTCCTAGACTCTACCAGTCTGTGTGTAGGGTCTTGTTTATCCTGAGATGCCCACTACTAACACAGGACCCTGAAGCGCAAATGCACCATTGACGTTTAGGGAATTAAGGATGCAGTGAGCATGGGCTTTCATGTTTTGAGATTTATTAACATTTATCCTACTTTCTTGAGAAACCCAAGCAAATCCATATTTAAATATTTAATTTTCCAGAAGAATGGACCTAAACGGATAGGTGAACCCAAGACTGAACCATCCTTTACACTTTTCCTCTGTTATTAAATCCCTATGTTTTACGACTGGGATCTTTCACATTTCCAAGGAAATTGCTATTCCAGTGCTGGGGAATGTTGTACTAGATCACAATAAAAGATGACAGGTTTCCCAATTTGTTTTGCAAAATATCAAAGCTATTGTTCTTAAACTTAAAAATATCAATAAACGTTTGGCCAATATAATTTCATAAACTTGAATTCTAAAGCTAATACATCTTCTATTAAAAGGAACAGCATTTCAAAATACCAAAAAGAAAACAAAGATAAAGCTCCATGTCCACCATACAGAGGAGAAACACAACTTGTTGCACACTGTGTATTTACCAGGTTGACCCTCGCCCTCCCCTACTTAGAACCTTGACTGCCCTCTTCAAACAGAGTTGAGAATCAGGAGAAGCTGCTGACCAACGCTGTGCAATGATTATGACAACAGTACTGTCCATGGGTCCAATCCTGGCCCAGACTCTCTCTTCCTCATCTCTCAAAAACTCATCATGTCAGCCTGAGGACAAGAGGTCAGTCCCTTTGACTTTGGCTAAAAATTCTAGAACTTTCGTCTTGCTGGTTTCAGCCTGGGCTCTTGGACCACACAGAAATTCATAGCATGGAGGATCACTGCTAGGCACCTATCAGTATTTTAGGTAATTTGCTTGCACCCAATCTATGGTGATGAGCTTTCTGAGCTCCCCATAGATGAAATGCTCCTTTCCAGCATACATGCCCAGCATATTCTGGAAATCCTAGATGTCTTCCCCAGAGGCACCATTACCCTCTATGAATATCACACCCAGGACAATGATCAGGAGGCCATTTTTCAGCATTCTCTGGCTGTCAGCCAGCATCTCATCATAGGTGAGGTCCCGCGAGTTAACAAGGACATAGGAGTGGCTGATGCGGTCCACTTCCTTCATGTCAATGCCAGAGACCACCTCCAAGCACTTGGAGGCTCCCTTGAAGGGCAGGGAGAAATCAGTTCTTGTATCTTTTGACAACCTTGAACATTTCCACTTTTGTGATGGGCTCCTTAAATAGATACTTGAGAATCAGGAAATATACTAAATGAGTCACCTTCACTTCTAGCCGGTCTCTGGACAAGGATTCCATGTCCGTTGAGAACTACAAGGTGCTTGAAGTCTGCTCCTCTTCTTGGATGCTGGAGTCTTCATCAGGTGTGCTCCACGAAGTAGAGGAGGAGGAGCAGGAGCTTGGAGGACTCTAGAGAGGAATCTGGGGAGGGCTCTGGGGAGGACTTGGCATCCCAGAAGTAGCCACATCCTCCTCCTTTGGAGATCCAAGAATCAGTGCAGAGGAGGATGGGGGGGGGGGGGCGGGGTAGAAGAGGAGAAGGGAAAGGAGAAGTAGAAAAAGGAAGAGGAAAGGGAGAAGGCTTCCTCCTCCTCATCATCAGTGGGAACCTATGCATCCACCAAGTCCTTCCTATATCTCAATTGGGTGCTGAAAGTCTTGCTCAAAAGTGAGGCAAGAATACTGCAAAACAAACCATGATTATTCTTATCAGGAGCAGCAGGTAGAGGTGTGAGCAGGAGTGTGAGTGTTGGGTTCCTACAGGCCTGGGAGAGAGGTGGACAGTTTGAATGGCCTCAGCTGAGAAATTTACTCATTCTGACTCTGACAAAGGTTGACTTACAGATCTTTTCTTACAGTGATGCTCTATGGCCTCACAGGTCTCCTGTCTTGTTAGAGGATTTGTCTCCTAGTAGGAGGACATGAGAAAGTGCCTCAGGGTGCGGCTGGCAGGCAAAGCCTGAGGCTCCAGGGCTGACGGTGGGTGGGGCAAGCACTGTGGGGCCTCCTCTGTTTTGGGGGTAGTGTCTTGGTATACTGTTAGGGTGTTATGTCACCTTCACTTTTGGCACTGCCTGGGCCTCCTTTGCTATATGACCTTAGGACACTGCTTCAGACCAAGGACTCACCCCCATTTACTGGAACCCCTGTGGGAGAAACTTAGCCCTGTCTCCCGCCAGGCTGAAGACTACAAACACAATGACTGTGTTGTAGGGTTGGAGGTACCCTATTGCCAAGATCTCTAGTTCCCTGATATGTCAGTGGGCCACCATAAACTAAGACCTTTCAGAGATGAGAGCAGGTGTGAAGCTGGATTCTTTGGGGCTTCCTCTATGCGGGTTAGGTGTCTCTGCAGTTCTCCCTGAGTCCTCATCTGATGACTGGCACATCATGGGCTCCTGTCTCTATCCAAAGAGGACAGTGTGACAGAAGATTAAAAGAACTAATATACCATGGACAAGCCTGACAAACAACCTTAGTAAGGTGATAGTGGTAAGTCACATTGATACTATACACTGCAAGATATGACATGATGAGAATGGCACTTCACCTTTGTGGCTTTCCTCCTGAAAGAACATAACCCACATCGAATCATTAGAAAAATATCAAACAAATTCCAGTTTGGGGCCATCTATAAAGTACACAGTTATAGTAGGGAGTCAGGCAGACATAAGCAGGGCAGGAGAGTCACCCACTGTTAGGGACAAACTGCCCCAGGAAGCTTCTTGGTGCTACCCACCGCTCCCCACTCTGCAACTCCTCTCCGTGCTGCCCCAAGCCTCTTCTAAGCCCTTATCTAGGCACCGTGGTGAAGCCAGCAGACTTTACTTATCAGGCCTGGCTGCTATAAAGCAAACCCCAATTACAAACCATCTGACCGCACAGGGGGAGGTTGTGGGAAGCATAAACAAACTTTACACCCTCTGGTACCATAAACGTCACAAGGTGATTTGTGGCAGAATTAACCAGCAAACAACCCTGGGATGCGGCCATACCAAAGAATTCCCTCAAACTCCCTCTCCAATATAAACCCCTCATTCTGTAAACTGGTTGCTGCTGCCTCCTTTGTCTGTGGTAAAGCAGCCGGCAGGTTTAATAAAAGCTTGCCTGAACTTGGGTCTTGCTCTCTCTCTCGTCCTTACTCTGGGCTGACCTTACACCCACCACCCACCAGGAATGTCTGGAAACCATCAGGTGATGGTCAGGCAGTTGCTAACTGCGTCTCTAAAATAATTGGTCGCAGCCAGTGCCAGGGAAAGGCAGTCCTCCAATAGATAGAAAACATCTGAAACTGGTGATTAGCAGCTTCCCGATAAGACCCTAAGTCAAATGGTCAAACCATGCACTTGATCTCTCAAGTTGCCCACCTGGCCCTCTTCCAAGTGTAATTTACTTCTTTCATTCCTGCTCTGAAGCTTTTTAATAAACATCCACTCCTTCTCTAAAACATGCCTCAGTCTTTCCTTCTGCCTTATGCCCCTCAGTCAAATTATTTCTTCTGAGGAGGAAAGAATTGAGGTTGCTGCAGACCTGTACAGATTCACCACGAGGTAACAACATGATCAGTACTCCTCAAACATATGAAAGTCAACAAAATCGAGAGAAGTCTCAGCAGCTAGCACAACCAAGGGAAGTCTAAAGATACATGATCACTAAAAGTAATGGGGGTAATCTCAGGGGATAAAAAAAAAAATAACACGGGGTGAAAAGTAAGGAAATCTGCATAATGTATGGATATTTGTTAATAACATGTATCAATATTGGCTTATTAATTAATAGAGCTGTATCATACTAAGGTAAGATATTATTAATAGGAAAAACTGAGTGTGGGACATCATCACTATCATTGCAGTTTTCTGGTAATCCTAAAACAATTCTAAAATGATGTGGAGGTTAAAGTAACTCCATCTTGGAAGCTAATCTGCCATGTTGACTTCTCCTCAACCCAGGCCTTGGGGAATGCCTCTGAGATTTCAAATTTATCTATTGTTTCTTTTGTTGTACTTACCAAAAATTGTGCCCTTAGAGCAAATCAACCTTGATAAACTCCTACTTACTGTAAACCATGGCTTTGGCCTTAGGTAAATTCCCAGCCATTCTCCCAGAAGTACATGTGCCCCTCCCCTATGTTATGTAGCCACTAGGTCTGGGAGGTTATTGTTCAGAGACATACCTGTCTTATGGCTGCCCAAGACCGTGCTTCTGTCCATGAGTTCCCCCAATAAAACCAAACTAAAATGACAAGCTGGACTTGTCTCCTCCTTTCTTGTATTTTTTTTTTTTGGCTTTCTCTACATTTGGGGGTTTTCTTACATATACTGCCCTTTCATAGAACAAATGAGGTTTATGAAACTTAAAATGTTGGCAAACTCCATAAAGGATATGTATGAAATACCTACCACAAGCATCATACGTATTGAGAGAAAGTTGAAAGCTTCTACTTTGACCTTGAGAACTAAACTAGGGTTCTTGCTGATCATCATTTCTATTCTGTGTAATAGAGTGTAACAGAGATAGTAGCCAGTGCAGTAATGTAAAGCAGAAGAGATAAAAATGAGAGCAGTCAGAAAGCAAGACACAAACCTTTCAATACTAATAGATGATTAGACTGTGTATGAAAAACACTCAAAAGAACTAACAATAAGCTTTTTACTTTTCTAAAGGAAGTATAAATTTACCATGTCTTTATGACAGAAGGTAGTTTCTTCTTTTCATTTCCAACTTTTATGTGAGGTTCAGGGTGTACATGTTTGGGTTTATTATATAGGTAAATTGCATGTCATGGGGGTTTAGCATACAGATTATTTTGTCACCCAGGTAATAAGCATAGTATCTGGCAAATAGTTTTTAAATCCTCACCCTCCTCCCACCCTCCATCCTTAAGTAGGCTCTGGATTCTATTGTTCCCTTCTTTGTGTCTACGTGTACTCAGTCTTTAGCTCCCAATTATAAGTGAGAACATAAGGTATCGGTTTTCTGTTTCCTCCTCACTTTGTTTAGGATAATAAGCTCCAGCTCCATCCATGTAGCTGCAAAGGACAAAATGGCATTTGGGGTCTGTCTTTCATATACAGCCCTGTATCATTCTATTTTAGGGCTGCCTATTATTCCATGGTGTAGATATACCACATTTTTTATGCAGTCCACTGTTCATGGGCATTTAGCTTAATTTTATGTCTTTCCTACTGTGAATAGTTCACAATGAGCATACTGTGCATCTGTCTTTATAGTAGAATGATGTATATTCCTCTGGGGTTATACCAGTAATGGGATTTCTGGGTCAAATGGTAGCCCTGTTTTAAGTTCTTTGAGAAAGCTCCAAACTCCTTTCCACAGTGCCTAACTAGTTTACATTCCCACCAGCAGTGCTTCAGCATTCCCTTTTCACCACAATCTTTCCAGCATCTGTTATTTTTTGACTTTTCAATAACAGCCATTCTCACTGGTTTGAGACGGTATCTCATTGTGGTTTTGATTTGCATTTCTCTGATGATTAGTGATGTTGAGGCTTTTTTTATATGCTTGTTGGCCATGCGTATGTATTCTTTACAGAAGTATCTGTTCATGTCCTTTGCCTGATTTTTAATGGGGTTGTTTGTTTTTTTGTTCATTAAAGTTCCTTACATATTCTTTATATTAAAACTTTATTGAATGAATCCTTTGCAAATATTTCCTTCCATTCTGCAAATTGTCTGTTTATTCTGTTGATAGTTTCTCTGTCTGTGCAGAAGCTCTTTAGTTTAATTAGGTACCATTTGTCAGTATTTTATTTTCTGTTTCTGTGTTAGTTTGATGAGGATAATGGCTTCCTCTTTCAACCAAGTCCCTGCAAAGGACACGATCTCATTCTTTTTATGGCTGCATAGTATTTCATGGAGTAAATGTACCATATTTTCTTTATCCAGTCGATCATTGGTGGGCATTAGGTTGATTCCATTTCTTTTCTATTGTGAATAGTGCTGCAATGAACATACACATGCATGTGTCTTTATAACAGAATTACTTATATTCCTTTGGGTATATACCCAGTAGTGGGATTGCTGGGTCAGTCGAATGGTATTTCTGTCCCCAGGTCTTCGAGAAATTGCCACACTGTCTTCCACAATGACTGAACTCATTTACACTCCCACGAACAGTGTAAAAGCATTCATTTTTCTCCACGACCTTGCCAGAATCCCTTATTTTTTGACTTTTTCTTAATAGCCATTCTGACTGGTGTGAGGTGGTATCTCATTGTGGTTTTGATTTGTATTTCTCTAATGATCAGTGATGTTGAGCTTTTTTTCGTATGTTTGTTGGCTGCATGAATGTCTTCTTTTGAGAAGTGTCTGCTCGTGACCTTTGCCCATTTTTTAATGGTTTTTTGTCTTGTAAATTTGCTTAAGTTCCTTGTAGATTCTGGATATTAGACCTTTGTTGGATGGATAGATTGCAAAAATATTCTCCCATTCTGTAGGTTGCCTGTACACTCTGTTGGTAGTTTCTTTTGCTGTGCAGGAGCTCTTCAGTTTAATTAGATTCCATTTGTCAACTTTTGCTTTTGTTGCAATTGCTTTTGGCATTATCATCATGAAATCTTTGCATATGCCTATGTCTTGAATAGTACTGCCTAGATTTTTTTCAAAGGTTTTTATAGTTTTGTGTTTTAGTCTTTAATCCATCTTGAGCTGATTTTTGTATACGATGTAAGGAAGGGGTCCAGTTTCAATTTTCTGCATATGGTTTGCCAGTTCTCCCAGCACAATTTATCAAATAGGGAAAACTTTTGAATTGCTTGTCTTTGTCAGATTTGTCAAACATCACATGGTCGTATGTGTGCAGTCTTATTTCAGAGTTCTCTATTTTGTTCCATTGGTCTATGTGTCTGTTTTCTTTTTTGTTGTTGTTGTTGTTCTTTTTATCAGTATTATGCTCTTGGGGTTACTGTAGCCTTGTAGTATAGTTTGAGTATGATTCCTCCAGCTTTGTTCTTTTTGCTTAGGATTGTCTGGGCTATTCAGGTTCTTTCTTGGTTCCATATAAATTTTAAAATACTGATTTCTAATTCTATGAAGAATGTCAGTGGTAGTTTAATGGGAATAGCATTGAATTTATAAATTGCTTTGGGCAGTATGGCGATTTTCACAATATTGATTCTCTCTATCCATGAGCACTGAATGATTTTCCATTTGATTGTGTTATTTCTGACTTCTTTGAGCAGTGGTTTGTAGTTCTCCTTGAAGAGGTCCTTCACTTCTCTTGATACCTGTATTCCTAGGTATTTTATTCTTTTCGTTTCAGTTGTGAATGGTATTTGATTCATGATTTGGCTCTCAGTTTGCCTGTTCTTGGTGTATAGGAATGCTAGAAATGTTTGCACATTGATTCTGTATCCTAAGAATTTGTTCAAGTTGCTTATCAGCTTAAGAAGTTTTTGGCCTGAGACAATGGGGTTTTCTAGATATAGGATCACATCATGTCATCTTCAAACAAAGATAGTTTGACTTCCTCTCTTCCTATTTGAATACCTTTATTTATTTATCTTGACTGATTTCCCTGGCCAGAACTTCCAATAGGATGTGGAATAGGAGTGGTGAGAGAGGATATCTTTGTCTTTCGGTGGTTTTCAAGGGGAATGCTTCCACCTTTTGTCCATTCATTATGATATTGGCTGTGGGTTTTTCACGTATGACTCTTACTATTTTGAGGTATGTTCCTTCAATACCTAGTTTGCTAAGAGTATTTAACATGAAGGGATACTGAATTTTATTGAAGGCCTCTTCTGTATATATACAAATAATCATGTGGTTTTAATCTTTACTTCTATATATGTGATGAATCACATTTATTGATTTGCATATATTGAGACAACGTTGCATCTTGGGGATGAAGCCTACTTGATCGTGGTGGATAAGTGTTTTGATGTGCTGCTGGATTTGGTTTGCCAGTATTTTGATGAGGATTTTTGCATTGATGTTCATCAAGGATATTGGCCTGAAGTTTTCTTTTTTTGTCATCTCTCCACCAGGTTTTGGTGTCAGAATGATGCTGGTCTCATAGAATGAGTTAGGGAGTAATCCCTCCTTCTCAATTTTTTTTGGAATAGTTTCAGTAGGAGTGGTACCAGCTCATCCTTCTACCTCTGGTAGAATTCAGCTGTGAGTCCATCTGGTCCTGGGCTTTTTTCAGTTGGTAGGCTATTTATTACAGTCTCAATTTCAGAACTCATTATTGATCTTTTCAGGGATTCAATTTCTTCCTGGTTCAGTCTTGGGAGGGTGTATGTGATCAGGAATGCATCCATTTCATCTAGATTTTCTAGTTTACGTGCATAGAGGTGTTTATAATATTCTCTGATTTATCTGATAGTTGTTTGTATTTCTTTGGGGTCAGTGGTGATATCCCCCTAATCAATTCTGATTGTGTTCCTTTTAATCTTCTCTCATTTCTTTTTTATTAGACTAGATAGTGATTTATCTATTTTATTAATTTTTTCAAAAAATCACCTCCTAGATTTGTTGTTTTTTAAGGGGTTTTATGTCTCTATCTCCTTCAGTTCAGCTCTGATCTTGGTTATTTCTTGTCTTCTGCTAGATTTGGGGTTTGTTTTCTGTTGGTTCTCTAGTTCTTTTTGTTGTGACATTAGATTGTCAACTTAAGATCTTTCTAGCTATTTGACGTGGGCATTTAGTGCTATAAATTTCCTGTTAACACTGCTTTCGCTGTGTCCCAGAGATTCTGGTATGTTGTGTCTTTGTTTTCATTAGTTTCGAATAACTTCTTAAGGGGGTGGAGCCAAGATGACCTAATAGGGGCAGCACTGCTCTGTGACTCCCATCAAGAAGGACAAAAACTGTGAGTGAACTCTGCATCTTCAGCTGAGGTACCAAAGTTCTCTTACTGGGACTGAATAGGTGGTCGGCACAACCATGGAGAGTGAGCAATAACAGGGTGGAGCAAGACCCCACCCAGGAGCTGCAAGCAGCAAAGGGAACTCCCTCCCCCAGCCAAGGTAGAAGGTGAGGGATTGTGTTTCCCCTCCCTGAAAACCAGGCTTTTCCCACAGATCCTTGCAACCTGCAGACCAGGAGGTCCCCTCCTGAGCCTACGCTACCAGAGTCTTGAGTTACAAGCACAAAGTTGTGGAGAATCACTGCGGATGCTTGGGTATGTGGCCGCTTTGAGCAGGCACTGAGACACAGGAGTATTTGCGTTCTCTGGCTCTAGGAACTTCCCTGAGGCAAGAGATCCATCCTCTCTCGTTGGGAGGGGGCTGAAGCCCGGGAGCCAAGCGGCCTCACTCCCAGGAAACTCCACAAGCTAAATCCCACTGGCTTGGAAACCCCACCAGCCAGCGTATCCGGCTAGAAACTGCCTAAGAAGACCAAGTTCTTGGGGTGGAAGAGGCAGACACCATCACTGCGGCTCCAGTCAGCCGCTTTCCCTTGCTGTGGGTGCCAGCAAGACAGGGAGGTCCAGACTGAGAGCGGCTCCCTACAGCGCAGCACAACAGGTGGACCAGTTCGTGTTCAGACTGCTTCTTTAAGTGGACTCCTCCTCACAGGGCGGGGCCTCTCTGTGGAAATTTCCGCATCCCTAGCCAGGGGTTTTGGACAGAACACTGATAACCCTGAGAGGAGTCCCTGGGAGGAGGAGCAGCTGTGGTATCATGTGTCAGTGATCTTAGTCTTTTCTGCCTGCTAGCTCTGGAGAGTCAGGGAAGACCAGATGAGGGGGATTCCCTGCAGCGCAGCACACCTTATTTCAGGAAATAGGCGCGGGCATAGATTTCATGATGAAATCACCGAAAGCAATGACAACAAAAGCAAAGTTTGACAAATGGAATCTAATTAAACTAAAGAGCTTCTGCACAGCAAAATAAACTACCATCAGCATGAACAGGCTACCTGCAGAATGAAAGAAAAATTTTGTAATCTATCCATCCAACAAAGGTTTAATATCCAAAATCTACAAGAAACTTAAATTTACAAGAAAAAAAAAACCCTTAAAAAGTGGGCAAAGAACATGAGCAGACACTTCTCAAAAGAAGACATTAATGTAGCCAACAAACTTATGAAAAAAAGCTCATCACTGATCATTAGAGAAACACAAATCAAAACCACAATGAGATACTATCTCAGGCCAGTCAGAACAGCCATTATTAAAAAGTCAAGAATGCTGGAGAGTCAAGAATGCGGAGAAATAGGAATGCTTCTACATTGTCGGTGGGAATGTAAATTAGTTCAACCATTGTGGAAAACAGTGTGGCAATTCCTCAAAGATCTACAACCAGAAATACCATTTGGCCTAGCATTACTGGGTATATGCCCAAATGAATATAAATTATTCTATTACAAAGATACATGCACACATATGTTCATTGCAGCACTATTCACAATAAGAAGGACATGAAATCAACCCAAATGCGCATCAATGATAGACTGAATAAAGAAAATGTGGTACATATACACCATAGAATACTATGCAACCATAAAAAGAAATGAGATATTGTCCTTTGCAGGGACTTGGATGAAGCTGGAAGCCGTTATCCTCAGCAAACTAATGAAAAGAACAGAAAACCGAACACCACATGTTCTCACTTATAAGTGGGAGCTGAACAATGAGAATACATGGATACTGGGAGAAGAACAATACACACTGGGGCGTGTCGGAGGGTTGGGGTGGGAGAAGGGAGAGCATCAGGAAGAATAGCTAATGGATGCTGGGCTTAATATCTAGGTGATAGGGTTATCTGTACAGCTAATCACTATGGCACATGTTTAACTATGTAACAAACCTGCACATCCTACACATGTACCCCTGAACTTAAAATAAGAGTTGGAAGTAAAAAAAAATGCTGAATATAGGTCCCCAGTCTCTTCTGGCTTGTAGAGTTTCTGCTGATAGGTTTACCCTGATGGGGTTACCTTTGTTGGTCACCTGCCCCTTCTCTCTAGCTGCCTTTAATATTTTTTCCTTCATGTTGACCTTGGAGGATCTGATGACTATGTAACTTGGAGATGGTTGTCTTGTACAGTATCTCTCAGGGCTTCTCTGGATTTTCTGAATTTGAATGTCGACCAGTCCAGCAAGGTTAGAGAAATTTTTGTGAATTATATCCTCAAATATGTTTTCCAAGTTGCTTATTCTTTCTCTATTTCAGGGATGCCAATAAGTTGCAGTATTGGTCTCATTACATAATCTCAAATTTCTTGGAGATTTTGTTCATTATCTTTTATTCTTCTTTCTATATTTTTTTCTGACTGAGTTGATTCAGATAACTGGTTTTCAAGCTCAGAGATTCTTTCCTCTGCTGGGCCTATTCTGTTGTTAATACTTTCAGTTGTATTATAAAATTACTTCAGTGAGTTTTTTAGCCTTATCAGTTCTGTTTGGTTTCTTCTCAAAATGGTGATTTCATCTTTCAGCTTTTCTATCATTTTATTGGATTCCTTAGATTATTTGGATTAGGTTTTGACTTTCTCCTGAATCTCAACGATCTGTGTCGCTATCCAGATTCTGAATTCTATGTCTGTCTTTGTAGCCATTTCACCCTGGTTAAGAACCACTGCTGGAGAACTAGTGTGGTAGTGTGGAAAAAAAGAAGATGCTCTGGTTTTTGGAGATGCTATAGTTCTTGTGCTGCTCCTTTCTCATCTGTGTGGACAGATGTTCCTTCATTAGTTGAAGTTGCTGTACTTTGGATGTTTTTTTTTTTCTTTTCTATTCCTTGATGCCCTAGAGGGTTTGTTGTATAAGGTGGGTTTAGTCAACTAGCTTCATTTCTGGAAGATTTTAGAAGGCAAAAGCTCAGGTTAATACTCCTGGTCTGCATGCTCTAACTGGGGACTGGTACCAGGCCCACATCTTTGTTCTCTGTCCCCTTGAGGTTAGGCAACTGCTATGCTAGAAATGCTGAGGTGCTCCTTGTCCACCGGCAACAACACTCTGATGGCGGTTGCTGGCTAAAGTGTTTCAGTGGGGCAGTGGCAGCAGCGTCTATACTCAAATGGGCATACAACCAGCAACAGTGGCATGGCTAAGATTATCAATAGATGAAAATATATGTTTCCTATGTATAAAATCAATAACAAAAAAATGAACTCCATTTTCTTGCGGCAACAATAAGTATGATAATGAAAGTAAATATAACTTCTAAACTATTATACCAAATATCAAGTATCTTAAAAAACTTAACCAAAATAAAAGTTACAGAAAAAAAAAAACATTAAAATGTTATTTTAAGATACTAATGAAGATTCACATGACCATAAAATAAAATAAATTCGCGGCCATGAAGTTTCAATAGTTCTCCCAAAGAAGGAATCCACAGATTGATTGCAATCCCAAATCAAAACAACCAAAGGGCTTTAGACATAAATGCATGTATTAATCACCTGATTCTAAAATATGAAGGCATTCAGAGGACCACGTATAGTCAATACACTATTGAAAAAGAGCAATAAGTCTACCAGATATTAGGAATTACAAAGAAACTATTGCAATTAAGAGTTTGAGATTTAGGTGCAGGGATTGACAGACCAATGGAACTGAATGGAGAGTCCTGAAAAATGAAACCAACAAAACATGTATAAACGCACACTTAACTGATAAAAAAAAAATGTGCAGCTCTAGCGCAAGAGACAGTCTTGTTGAAATAAGTGTCATTGGAACGCCTGAATATCCATATAAAAACTCTAGTGTAAGTGGACCCCTTTTTCACGCTATACACAAAAGGCAATTACAGACAAATTCAAAACCTACTTTAAAAATGTTTACTTTTTTTGTTTGTTTTTGTTTTGTTTTGGTAATTTTATTTATTTTTATAAATTTTAAATGTTGTGAAATAGTCTAGTTTAGAAAATGTACACTTTCCCATGTTGATAATGGCTATATTTTTGCCCTAGGTTTTGTGAGAGAGAACGAGAGAGAGAGAGAGTGTGTGTGTGTGTGTGTGTGTGTGTTTGAGAGAGAGAGAGAGAGAGAGAGAGAGAGAAAGAGAGATATGAAATACTTGGTGTTTCCTAGTCCTTTTTATCAACAAGTACAATTTATTCACTGAGCAAATTTTCAGAGTTTTTCTGTGGAATACAATTATACAACTGTTTGCTTGCTTTTAAAATAACTGGAGTTATTTTAAAAATAGAGCTGACCATGGGGTAAAAAAACTGAACAAATAAGCAGAAAATCCAAGCAATACCAAGTGAGTGCTCTCATGCCCATAAAAACAAGTATTTCAACATGGCCTGGTGGGATGGGCAGAACATCTGATGAAATTAAAGAATCATCAGTTTTGTGAGGGTGTTTATAACTTTTCCTTCTTGTTCTTCATGAAAACTTGAGATTTTGTAGTACTTTTTAATAGGTAAAGTTGTGGCTCATGTTTCATAGTTTACATAGGTAACTTTATCAACATTTCACAGTTAGAATTTTCATATTATAGGCATATTTCATTTTTTTTGCACTTTGCTTTATCACACCTCACAGATATTGTGTGCTTTTTTTTTTTTTTTGAGACGGAGTCTTGCTCTGTCACCCAGGCTGGAGTGCAGTGGAGCGATCTTGACTCACTGTAACCTCCGCCTCCCAGGTTAAAGCGATTCTCCTGCCTCAGCTTCCTATTAAAAAAATCAAATATACACAAACATACATGAAAAAACAAATAAGACTTTGTATAGATGATCTTTTAGTGAGTCAGCAGTAAGAGTAAATTAGAGCATCAGTAAGGCTAGAGGTGAAAGAACTGAAACAGGCTGGGGTCATTGGTCACACCAGTAACAGAAGGAAACAAGATGATATGAGTCAAAGAGGAAGAGATGAAATGGCAGCTCTTTCTGCCCCCTTGTCCCAGCCATAGAAGGCTTTGCTACTTTAATGAGCCTTTGCTTTCTGAGAGCAGGATTTGGGAATCAATAGTGGCTGGGGAAATGCTACCTGGGATAATGACATATTAATTCCCCCTCTGACTTGACCCATCCTCCTGCTGACCTCTGGAACTCTGGGGATCTAAGAGATGTAACTTTAGCAGCTCTATTCCAGAAAGTCATGACAGAGGGATGTCGTGTTGATGATAGACACCCTGACCAGGTCCACAAACACTTTCCTGACATAATGGCTGTGCCAGGTTGCCCACATAATAGGAGTAGAGGCCTGTCTCCCTCTCCACATGGATAAGAGCTCCACATACTTCCTTTCAGCTGTTCTTACTCCTGACAGAGCCCTCAGAAGGATTGAGGGGCCCTGAGATTCCAAAAGAGGTTGACATATGGCTTTGCCAGAGATTTCACTGAGGGTTGGGCTTCTCTCCATCCACTATGGCCAGGATCAACTCAGCCGTTCATGAGCTGATTTCCTTCCTCAGCTTTGGCTCAAGGTCCCAAGGGCAGTTGGCCTCTGCTCACAGCCAGGATTGGTGTATCAAACCTCAGTGCTCAAGGTGGAAACCCACAGAGAAGGAAGATCTTCCAGACTGGGAGGCAGCTGGTAGGCTGAGTTCCAGCTCTGGGCCCCATGTCCTTGGAAATTATCCACATGGAGTTGTTCTTCTGAGGTCCCAAGAAAGGAGCACTTCTTATGGAAGGTGAAAAGAAAATGGCAGTCTATCATTTTACCTACTGCTATTGGAAGTAAGTCTCCTGTCCAGAAGCAAGAGGCACTAAGGTTCTTGTGATGGCATCAGTGGGGCGTGTCAGGGACCTTTGAAATGAGTGAACACAACCATTCTCTAAACATCCCCCAAATGACTCACCTTCAGTCCCTTATTCTCACTTTAGATTCATCCTTCAGTGAACATGCTGCTTCTGCCAGTGAAGGTGTACCATAGTTGCCATGAATATAGAATTGTTGGGCACAGGGTTGCAGGAAGGGAGGGAATTCCCAGATTTCAAAGAAGAAGAAACATTTGTGCATGTTTCTGACAGGTTACAAAATACACATGAAGGCTGACAAAAAATTGAAAGAACAAAGTATGGCTCAATTTGATTTTTGTTAACATCAAAGATGGCAGAGTTTTTCCTGTTGTGCTTGATGCCTACATTTACCTTATCCCAAATCAAAACCAACAGCAACTTTGTTCCTTCAACTGCTAAAATCCATTTCAAATCCTTCCACTTTTTCAATCTCCATTACTACTGCTGTGTGTGAAGTTAATATTTTCTTTCACTTAGGCTAGGCTAAAGGCGCCTTTGTTGTTGCTACTTTTTCTATCATTGTCCCTGTAAAATCCACTGTCTTTTCAGCAGGCTATGATCCTTTTGAAAATCCAATCCATGACATAGATGGAGCTGGAGGCCATTATCCTTAGCAAACACAGGAACAGAAAACCAAATACTGCATGTACTTACTTATAAGTAGGAGCTAAATGATGAAAACACCATGAACACATAAAGGGGAACAACACACACTAGGGTCTTTGGCGGGGGTGGAGGGTGGGAGGAGGGAGAAGATCAGGAAAAATAATGAATGGGTACTAGGCTTAATAGCTGGGTGATGAAATAATCTGTACAAATATCCCTATGACACAAGTCGACATATGTAACAAACCTACACTTGCATCTCTGAGTTTAAGATAAAAGTTAAATAAACATTTTAAATACATACATCAAATTTAACTGCTATGTAAAGCTTTATTTATTTAGGCAAATGCATGGAGGTCCACATCTACCATTCAAGTATTATAATGATGAGTTCAATCAACCTAAAATTCCACTGTGCATTCCGTTTGAGGTCAAACACTGCACTTCTCCAAAGTCCCTAGCAACTTTGCTCTGTTTTCAGTTCCTACGGTTTTAACTTTCCAAATTTGTCATTATGAATAGGCTGATAAAATACTGACTTATAAACCTAGCTGTATCATTTTTCATCACAAATAGCAGGGAACGAGAATTCCTGTTGTTCCATATCCGCTCATATTTGGTATTTTAGATTCTCGAATTTTAGCCATTCTAATAAGCATGTATTGGAATCTTCTTTAGTTTTTGTGTGCATCTTCCTAATAACAAATTATGTTGGCCATCTTTTTATATTCCTCTTTCTGAATGGTATATCCTCTTTGCTAAAGTATCTGTTCAAATGATGTGCATATTTCTAAAAACTAATAGACTTCATTTTTAGAGCACTGTTAATCCAAAAATATAAAGAGAAAATTTCAGCAAAAGAAACTACCATCAGAGTGAACAGGCAACCTACAGAATGGGAGAAAATTTTTGCAATCCACTCATCTGACAAAGGGCTAATATCCAGAATCTACAATGAACTCAAACAAATTTATAAGAAAAAAACAACCCCATCAACAAATGGGCGAAGGATATGAACAGACACTTCTCAAAAGAAGACATTTAGGCAGCCAACAGACATATGAAAAAATGCTCATCATCACAGGCCATCAGATAAATGCAAATCAAAACCACAATGAGATACCATCTCACACCAGTTAGAATGGCAATCATTAAAAAGTCAGGAAACAACAGGTGCTGGAGAGGATGTGGAGAAATAGGAACACTTTTAGACTGTTGGTGGGACTGTAAACTAGTTCAACCATTGTGGAAGTCAGTGTGGCGATTCCTGAGGAATCTAGAAATACCATTTGACCCAGCCATCCCATTACTGGGTATATACCCAAAGGATTATAAATCATGCTGCTATAAAGACACATGCACACGTATGTTTATTGCGGCACTATTTACAATAGCAAAGACTTGGAACCAAGCCAACTGTCCAACAATGATAGACTGAATTAAGAAAATGTGGCACATATACACCATGGAATACTATGCAGCCATAAAAAAGGATGAGTTCATGTCCTTTGTAGGGACATGGATGAAGCTGGAAACCATCATTCTCAGCAAACTGTTGCAAGGACAAAAAACCAAACACCGCATGTCCTCACTCATAGGTGGGAATTGAACAATGAGAACACATGGACACAGGAAGGGGAACATCACACAGCAGGGCCTGTCGTGAGGTGGGGGGAGGGGGAGTGATAGCATTAGGAGAAATACCTAATGTTAAATGATGAGTTAATGAGTGCAGCACACCAACATGGCACATGTATACATATGTAACAAACCTGCACGTTGTGCACATGTACCCTAAAACTTAAAGTATAACAAAAAAAAGAAAGAAAGAAAAGAATCATCTTACCAAGAAAAAAAAAGAAAGACTGGATTTTTTGAAATAAGAAACTGTGCTTTGTTACAGAAAATAGAGTTTTTGTGCTTAAAATCCAAACTATGTTGGTGTTGGATCTTTGACCTTCCAAATCCACCTAATAATGATTTGCACTCTGACTGCAAAAAAAAAAAACAAAATTTCATAAAAATTACAGAGTTCCTACATATGTACACCACTCTTCCTGCCCTGCCCACTTCACACACACACACACACACACACACACACACACACACACACGCACAGTGTCTCCTATGATTTATATTTTGTATTATTATGGCATGTTTGCTACAACAGATGGACCTGTATTGATACCTCATTATTAAGTAAAGTCAACAGCTCACATCTGGGCTCCCTAACTTTGGAGATGTTAAAAGTTTTGATAAGTGTGTAATGGCAAGTATTCATCACAGTATCACAATGAATTGTTTCACCATCCTAGATCTCCTGTACTCCACCTATTTCTTAATCCCCTGTGCCTCAACCCCAGCCACTAAGGCCCTGGAAACCACTACTATTTTTAGTGTATTCATAGTTACCTGTTCCAGAATATTGTATGATTGTAATCATACATTATGTAGCCTGTTTAGATTTTCTTCTTTCTCTTAGCAATATGTTTACATGATTCCTCCAGGTCTTTCCCACTTAAACAATGCCTGAAAGTTCCTGTTGCTCAACATATGTGTCAACATTTGACATTTCAGTGTTTGGGAATTCAGCCATTCTCCTGGGTGTAGAGTGCTATCTCCTAGGTGCTTTAATTTGCAATTCTCTAATGTTATATGACATTGAACAGTTTTATTATATACGCTTATTTTCCATTCCTATATATTTATTTTTTGGTGGGGTGCCCGTTCCGATTTTTTTTTTTTGCCTACTTTAAATTGGGTTTTCTATTCTCTGATGGCTGGGTTTTCAGAGTTTTGTGCATATTTGAATACATATATTTTATCAAACGTGTTTCACAAAACATTTATCCAAGTTTCTGGCTTGTCTTTTCATTATCTTAGCAGTGTCATTTCAGAGTAGAAATTTTTAATTGTCGTGAAGTCCAATTTATCTCTTGTTTCTCAAATGGTTGGTACTTTTGGTGTTGCATCTGAGAAAGTCATCATAAAACTCAAGGTCACCCGGGATTTGCATCTATAAGTTTGACCAAAACGTTGATGTTGCATCTACAAAATTCATCACCAAAACCAAGTCACCTAGGGTTTGCACCCATAAGTTTGACCAATATTTAAAACTGTGATAAAATACGTTTGTGAATAAATGGTTTCCCCATAGACAAAAATATGGGGGAAATTAACTGGTTAAACATTTTGGGGAAAAAGCCACCAACATTATGAAGTATAAGATATTCATACTCTGTTCACACTGACTCAGTTTCCATATGAATGTGCATTCCTTATAAGGAACTATAGGCATTTGTCCCAGAATTTATGCTCAAATATGTTGAATTTATTTATTTTAATTATAGCCACAAAAGAGAAACACGTGTGTGTTCATCAGGAGGAAAATTGTTCAATTGGTTATTGCACAGAAATAAAATGGAATTCTAGGAAGTAGTCCCAATAGTGAGATAGATCTATATGTGTTGTCATGGAAAGATCTTAGTCTGTATGTGCTGTCATGGAAAGATCTTAGATCCTTTTTTTTTTTTTTTTTTTTTTTTAGCAGCAGAGTTTCACTCTTGTCGCCCAGGCTGGAGTGCAGTGGCACGATCAGGGTTTACTGCAACCTCCGCTTCCCGGGTTCAAGCAATTCTCCTGCCTCAGCCTCCCGAGTAGCTGGGATTACAAGTGTAAGCCACCATGCCCAGCTAATCTTTGTATTTTTAGTAGAGACAGGGTTTCACCACGTTGGCCAGGCTGGTCTCGAACTCCTGACCTCAGGTGAGGAGTTCCACCTGCCTCGGCCTCCCAAAGTGCTGGGATTACAGGCATGAGCCACCGCGCCCGGCCAGATCCATTTTAATAAGTGATTATGTTGGTTTATTAGGACTGCCATAGCAAAGTACCACAACCTGGATGACATAAACAACAAAAATTTATTGTCTCATAGTTTGGGAGTCTGGTAGTCAAAGAGCAAGGCATTCGCAAGGTTGATTCCTTCTGAGGGCTGTGAGGGAAGGATGTTTTCCAGGCCTCTCTCCTTGCCTTGTGGAGGCATGGGCTGTCTTCAGTCCATGCGTGCTCATTGTCATCCCTCTATTCATCTCTGTGTCTAAATTTCCCCTTTTTATAATGACTCCCATCATATTTGATTAGGGCCAGCATTAATAACCTCATTTTAACTTAATTGCATCTGAAATAATTCTATCTCTAAATAATGTCACATTTTAATTTCAATGTAGAATTTGGGAGAAGATGAAATTGAACCTATAATAGTAGCAAAGGCAAGCAGCAGATCTATATGCATATTATTACACATGTATAGTTTTATATGTATACATGTATATATATATACACAGCATATACATGTGTGCTATTATATATAATATTTGCATATATATATTAGCACATCTGTATTTCTAAAAGCCTAAAATAATCTTTTAAAATTTACATACCACATTGTTAATTGTGGAAACTTCTGAGTAGGGGGCTGAATTTTGGAGAAACTTTCTAAAGGAAAGAAATGTGATTTCTATGTATTTTAAGAAATTTTTGCAACAAGAATATATGCAGTATTTATTTAGAAGAAAAAATATTAAAGTAAGTCCAAGAAAAGGAAGAGGAGCAGTGTAGTAGTCAGATAAAGTAACAGTAAGCTGATGGAACAAAAAAATTGCTGAAATTAAAATGGCTTAACCCAAGTTTATTTTTGTGCACATAAATTCTAACCTGAGTTGACATGGTGCTACGGGCTGAATTGCAGCTCTCTTCCCAAATTCATTTATCCAGGTCATAACCCCTAGTACCTCAGAATGTCACTGTATTTGAAGGTAGAGCCTTTGAAGAGGCCATTAAGATATAGTAAGGTCTTATAAGTAGGACCTGATTCAGTATGACTGGTGTCCTTATAAGAAGAGGAGATTAGGACACAGACACAAAGACCAAGGGACAACCACATAAGAATTCAGTGAGAAGGTTGTCATCTGCAAGCCAAGGAGAAGCCACAGAAGAAATCAAACTGGCCAACATATTGATCTTGGATAATCCAGCTTCCAGAAATGTGAGAAAATACATTTCCATTTTTAAGTCACCCAGTCTGTGGTATGTTGTTATGGTATAATAAACTAATACACAGTGGATCCTGGCTCTCATGTCACCCAGGAATCCAAGCTGATTTTACCCCATAGCTCCAAATCACAACATATGTTAACTCTTAAACAGACATGAAAGCATTCGAATGATGCACTGGCTTCTGTCTAACTACAAATGAACCACTCAGGAAGACAAGGTAGACAAAAAAGCGATGGGCACTTGTAATCTCTCCCATAAGCCATTATGGTGCTTAATTAAAAGCAGCTTTTATAATTCATGACAGTAAGTCTTTTATTTTATTGGAATGGTTTATGGGAATGCTAGCATTGCCTTGAAATCTTCCAACTTATTCTTGTTCTTATGAGGTGACTGGCAATTTGAAATACAGGATTACATCTAGCTTTAAAACAATTCCTTAAGTCTTGGCAGGGAGGGTCAACCTTATTCCCTCAATAGCACTTTTCTGCACTGTCCTTTTTATAACCTATATGATTTCTTTAGGCTGAAAATTTTCTCATTCATTTTGGTGTATGACAAATATCCTACTCTGAGAGCCTCTGCTTCCCTCCACATGACTAAACATTTCTGATCAGCTGTACATGTGCCTGTGGCATACTGCAAACCAGGATTTTCCTGCGAGGCAGATATACAGACAAGAGAGAGAGGAAAGATGGTTAACCATTGTTGGTTTTTCTCATTAGAGCTAGCATCTCTGCCACGGAACCCTTGTCACCTCCTAGGCAGTCTTTGTGATTTTGTTATTATTTTGTTTTTTTAAAAAAAATTCAGCTTCCAGTAGATCATTTACAAAGTGATTTTATAGTCTTTCTTCATCTACAAAGATTATGAAGGAAACGTTGGTTTTTGATCACCTATGAAAGCTCATTCAACTATGTTTGGGTTCAGTGCACTGTTTCAAATAATGCCTCGTATTAAAATCCTACCACAAATATCACATGTTAGGATTCTTTCAAATACCCTATCTCTGACTTTAGAGTTACATCTCTAAAACCAGTATATTATGTGGCAAATCAGATTCTACTCACCGGTCTATGTGGAAATACATTGAGAGTGTGTTGAAGATGCCCAGGGTAAGTATTGAAATGTCACTATCCAAAGTGAATAGTCACATCGAAGGGCTGTTATCACAGAGGACTCAGGGGGAGGGATGGATGACTCAGGGAACTTCTGCATGGAGTAAGAATGGTCTATCTTGGGGAAGGGCAGGTGATTCAGGGCTTTTGCATTGGGAGCAGGGCACAGCATTCAGAGGGAGAGACACTAGTGACAAGCTAGTCCCCTGGACAAGAGACCATACAGGGAAGATCAAAAGGACAGTGCTGTAATGTGGGAAAGTACTGGGGCTGGACAAAACTGCCAGCACCTGGACATAGTCAGTTCTCAAGAAACCCTGGGCTTAGAACAGGAGGACTTTAGGTAAAGAAAGCCAATAATGATCCCTGAATTGTACTTTATTCTCATTATCACACCTTCATTCTTTAGGCCTAACTTACAACTTTGGCCACAGGGTTCATCTTTATGTTACTTGAGAGACATTAAGAAGCGTGAAGAGAACTGACTTAGATTAAAGGCTGTCCTCGGGCTGGGAGAAGTGGGGACAGTGTGGGCCTAGATCAAATTCAGGGCAGGGCTCAAGTCCGAGTCACTTTCTAGCAATGTGATATTGGGGAATTAAATAAGAGATATGAGCCTTCCTCAGGCTGGGAATAGTGGGGACAGTATGAGTCTAGATGAATTCAGAGCAAGGCTCGAGTCCCAGCCCTGTCACTCTCTAGCGATGCGATCTTGTGGAATTTATCAAACCCTATGAGCCTCAGGTTTTTCATCTGTAAAAGGGGCTTCATAAGCCCTGCCTTGTAGAATTGCTGGAATGGATGTAATGTGAGTAAAACACCTGGAACAATGCCTGACATATATTGGAAATTTAACAAATGGCAGTTGTTATCGATATGATCATAACCCCAAAGGCTACCACTGTCTTTTGTGAAAATTCAGCTGTTTTTGTTATCCAAAATATGTCAGCATATGTAGTTGAATATGTCATGGAGTACCAACTCAACCAAAAATTCAGCTTCACAAATAAAACTCAGCACATTTTCTTTCTGAAATGATATATTGTATAATTTGGGTAAGGGGAGAATTCCCCAGGTGGAATGCAACTCAGTGATCCTAGAATTTGAGTCAAGGACCAACTCCTTTTCATCTTCCCCAATGCTCGTCCATCCAAACCACTACTTTTATTTGTCCTCCACTCAAAATAGCCCTTGCTGAGAGTTGGCCAACTTACATTCAAAATAACCTAATTAAATGTCCTTTCTATGAAGTGGGCTCTGGCTCTCCTAGGCCAGGGAAGTGAGTGCCAGCCTAGAGTGTTCTGGGAAGCACTTCAAGGGATTATCATTCTATTTCTCAGGAAACCCTTGCAGATGATGGGTATCAATCACCTAGTTCTTGCACCGCGTTCAAGCTCACCAGTTAGAGAGCTGCAGGACACCTTCCATTACTTCCCTATGTGGAGACTCCTCTCTGCCTCATCCTCCACCCAGAAGCAACTGCTCAGAGCAATTTTCCATTCCACGTTTTTCTCTCACCTTCTGAGAGTCTGGTTGCTGCCAACACCCAGCTTCATAACAATCAGCTCCCACAGAAGCAACTGCAGTTTTCCAAAGCCCCAAGCTGCCTTAGCTCAGGGCCTTTATACTGGAAGGCTCACATTGGAATCTAACCTCCCCAGTCCTTTTTTTGTTTTGTTTTGTTTTCAATTATAAGTTTATTTAATTTAACAAATAATATATTCATATGATCTATTTCTTCTCAAAGGTGGTTTTGTAGTTTGCATCTCTCAAGGAAATTTTCAATTTCGTCAAAGTTGTAAAACTTATAGGCATGAAATTTGTAATAATATTCCCTTACTGTCCTTTTACTATCTGAAAGCTCTATACTGGTATTCCTATTTATTTTACTCCTGACATAAGTAAAAAACTTCTACTTTTTTTTCTTTTTCTTTTTTTTTCTTAAATGATAATGGCATTTATTATTTCACATAAGAGGAAACCTGGACATACATAAGCTTCTGGATGGGTTTATCCAGTACTTCTTTTTTTTATTATTATTATGATACTTTAAGTTTTAGGGTACATGTGCACAATGTGCAGGTTAGTTACATATGTATACATGTGCCATGCTGGTGTGCTGCACCCATTAACTCGTCATTTAGCATTAGGTATATCTCCTAATGCTATCCCTCCCCCCTCCCCCCACCCCACAACAGTCCTCACAGTGTGATGTTCCCCTTCCTGTGTCCATGTGTTCTCACTGTTCAATTCCCATCTATGAGTGAGAACATGCGGTGTTTGGTTTTTTGTCCTTGCAATAGTTTACTGAGAATGATGATTTCCAATTTCATCCATGTCCCTACAAAGGACATGAACTCATCATTTTTTATGGCTGCATAGTATTCCATGGTGTATATGTGCCACATTTTCTTAATCCAGTCTATCATTGTTGGACATTTGGGTTGGTTCCAAGTCTTTGCTATTGTGAATAGTGCCGCAATAAACATACTAAAGAACAAAGCTGGAGGCATCACGCTACCTGACTTCAAACTATACTACAAGGCTACAGTAACCAAAACAGCATGGTACTGGTACCAAAACAGAGATATAGATCAATGGAACAGAACAGAGCCTTCAGAAATAACGCCGCATATCTACAACTATCTGATCTTTGACAAACCTGAGAAAAACAAGCAATGGGGAAAGGATTCCCTATTTAATAAATGGTGCTGGGAAAACTGGCTAGCCATATGTAGAAAGCTGAAACTGGATCCCTTCCTTACCCCTTATACAAAAATTAATTCAAGATGGATTAAAGACTTAAATGTTAGACCTAAAACCATAAAACCATAAAAACCCTAGAAGAAAACCTAGGCATTACCATTCAGGACATAGGCATGGGCAAGGACTTCATGTCTAAAACACCCAAAGCAATGGCAACAAAAGCCAAAATTGACAAATGGGATCTAATTAAACTAAAGAGCTTCTGCACAGCAAAAGAAACTACCATCAGAGTGAACAGGCAACCTACAAAATGGGAGAAAATTTTCGCAACCTACTCATCTGACAAAGGGCTAATATCCAGAATCTACAATGAACTCAAACAAATTTACAAGAAAAAAACAAACAACCCCATCAAAAAGTGGGCAAAGGATATGAACAGACACTTCTCAAAAGAAGACATTTATGCAGCCAAAAGACACATGAAAAAATGCTCATCATCACTGGCCATCAGAGAAATGCAAATCAAAACCACAATGAGATACCATCTCACACCAGTTAGAATGGCAATCATTAAAAAGTCAGGAAACAACAGGTGCTGGAGAGGATGTGGAGAAATGGGAACACTTTTAGACTGTTGGTGGGACTGTAAACTAGTTCAACCCTTGTGGAAGTCAGTGTGGCGATTCCTCAGGGATGTAGAACTAGAAATACCATTTGACCCAGCCATCCCATTACTGGGTATGGGTATACCCAAAGGACTATAAATCATGCTGCTATAAAGACACATGCACACATATGTTTATTGCGGCCCAGTCCTTTTTTAAGTTGTTCTTTAAATTGTAAAGAGCACCTTACCAGCTTCTTGATATGGCTTCTGCTCCAAGAATCTCCTGTTTTATCAGTAGGGATAAGTCATGCTTTTCACACTATCCGCACTATGAAGAGTGCCTTCCAAAAGCATATGCTTAAATAATGTTCAGCAAATAAAGGAGTCAGTGAGGCTTTCTTGTATTCAGAGTTAATTTCTGCTACTTTTTTGAATATGCCAAGCCAAGCAAGGGATACATATTTAATTTTTAAGAACAAGAAAATAAAGGGTATGAGGAGATGCAAATATTAGCCATCCTTCATTTTGTTCAACTATTGAACTGCTGAGTACTTTCACATTTTAAAGAAAATTCCTATTATAATACCACACTATCCTGTTACAGATCACAAAATAAGAGAAGGTTTTCCCATCTTTTTAACAAAATATAAAATTCTTACTTTTAAGTCAGATAAATGGCAATACGTAAATAATATTAATAAACGAAGATTCTGAAACCAATTAAACCTGCTATTAAAATAAAAGCATTTGAAAATAACCAAAAGAAAAACAGGTAAATCTATAAACCACCCACATGAAACAGAAATGCAGAGAACGCTGTTTTCTCTCCAGCTCCACCTGGGCCCTTCACTATGTAGGACCTCAACTGCCTTCTTCAAACACAAAGGGAAGAAACTACCCCAGACTTCATTCAGGACAGGAGAAGTTGCTGGACATGAAACTGAAGCTTGCACTGGGCATGGCAGTGGCATCATCTGTGGTGGAAATTATGGCCTGGGCTCTCTCTTCCACATCTTTCAAAGCATCCTTGTACCAGGATGGAAAGGAAATAGGGATACTATTGTATAGCTTGGCCAAAAACTCTAGTACTTTCTGCTTGGTGCTTTCTGAATGGGCTCTTGGACCCCACAGGAATTCATAACGTGGAGGAGAACTGTTGGGCACCTCCCAATACTCCAGGTAATGTTCCTGCACCCAAACTTTAGTGAGGAGCTCCCTGGGCTCCCCATAGACGAAGTGCTCCCTCCCAGCATACACCCCTATTGCCTTCAGCACTTCCCAGATGACCTCCTCAGGGGCACAGCTGCCCGTTATGAAGATCACACTCAGAATAAGAATCAGGAGGCAGTTCTCAGGCCTGCCCGTGTCATCACTACCCTCATCGGCGAGGTCTACTGTGTTTGCAAACACATAGAAATGGTCAGGGCCCACTTCTATCAGGGAAAGGCCAAAAAGAAGCTCTATGAACTCACAGGCTTTCTCGAGTATCACAGGAAAGTAGTCTTTGTACTTGGTGATGACAATCGTCAGCATCTCTGACTCTGTTATAGGCTCCTTTGTTTGATATTTGAGGAGCAGGAACTCCACTCACTCGGCCACCTTTTCATCTAGTGTATATGTGAAAAAGAACTCACTGTCTGGCAGGCCAGGACAGGTCCTGCATCCTCCTCTTTTTGGCTGCTGGACTCTTCATTCATTGGGCTGCATGAAACAGAGGAAGAGCAGGAGCTCAGAGGATTCTGGGGAGGACATTGGGAAGGACCCTGTGGAGGACTCTTGGGAGTGCTCTGGAGAAGACTTGACATCCCAGCAGAGTGCACCTCCTCCTCCTCAGGGCCACCAAGAATCAGAGAAGAGGATGAGGAGGAGGAAGAGGAGGAAAATACTAAGTAGAAAGTAGAAGAGGAAATGGAGGCTTCCTCCTCTTCCTCATCTGTGGGATCCTGTGCATCTATCCAATCCTCTATTACAACTGGGTACTGGGAGTCTTCCGCAAAGTTGGGGAATGGAACGCTTGGAAAGAGAGGCATAACGACTTCTTCAGGAGCAGCAGGTAAACATATCAACAGGGATACGGATGATGGGATCCAACAGGCCTGTGGAAGAGAGTGACGCTGTGCGTGGCCTCAGCTGATAAACTCACCCATGATGGCTCTGCCAAAGGCCGACTTACAGCTCCTCTTCTCTTAAGGTCGTGCTTCAGGGCCTCACAGGTCGCCTGTCTTCCTAGAGAGATTGTCCCCTGGGCACCTGTAAGAGGATGTGAGAAATCACCTCAGGGTACAGCTGAAAGGCGGAGCCTGAGGCACCAGGAATGACAGTAGGTGGTTACGGCTGGGTGCTGAAGAGTCTCCTCTGTTTGTAGGGGTAGAGCCTTTGTAACAAAGTTAGGGTGTGCACTCACCTTGACTCCTGGCACTTCCTGGGCCTCCCCTGCTGTGCTGACTTTAGGAAGTGCAACTCAGACCCAGGTCTTCACATCCTGGTTCCTGGAGCACCTGCAAGAGGAAGTGAGGGAGCCCCTCAGGCTAAAGACTGCAAGCAGAGCCTTGGGTCTCCCAGGGCTGACAGCTGGGGCTGGCCAGACTCACAGAGCTCCATCGTTCTGGGCTGCATGGCTCCCTCAGAATTTAATTAGCAACCTCACAGCTTCTTAGACAGGGCCAGACCCCCACCACTCTGCTGGTCTGAGGCAAAACCTCAGAGCAAATTCCACATCCCTGAGAGCAGTGGGAGGTGGTGCGGTGGCAGCCTCTGCCAACTGCCAAGCGGAGGCAGCTCCCCTGCTGACTTGCCATGGGACCCCCAGACCAAGGCCTCCCCCCTCCCCTCCACCCCTCACCCAGAAATGAGAGGGCTGCGGCTCAGCCTGAGCTGACTGGGGAGCTCTAAGAGGGCTGATACGACGAGCAGGGTGGGAATCTCCAGGAATCTGTCCTCTGAGGTGGGGGTTCCCCGACTCTTCCTCAAAGTCTTCCTATTTATTCCCTAGAGGGCCGGCACCTCCTCCCTTCTTCTATCGTGAGGACCCCTCAGCCCCCAGCGGCCATTTTCCTCTCTGGGACCTACAAGTCCCACGGCAGGGGCAGCACCCGCTACGGTTTCTTCTCTCTGTGGTGGGAGTTCGCTCAGTTCTTCCTCAGGGCCCTTACCTTGAGGATTGGCCAGGTCTAAGACTTCTCTCTGCTGAACTGAGACGAGCCTCCTCACAAAGTGCCTCATGTCCTTCGGACTCACAAAATGCAAGTCGGGAAAGCACATCCAGGAACCCTGCCGGGGTTGACCAGAGCTGACAGCAGGGGCAGCGTGTGGCGGGGCCTCCACTCTGCAGAGGAGCCAACCCCCACGTGTCAGTCTCCTTCCACCCTTTCCTGACCACTTCCTGGTCGCCCTCCACCCCTTCCTGCTCACTCCCTAAGCCTTGCTGACCTCTTCCCTCCCACCTCCCCAGTCCCTGACACCCTCCTCCTGCCCCTTTTCCCAGGGCTGACAGCAGGGAGTGTCTCTTTGCAGCCTGGGCCTCCCCTCCCTGGTGGGAGGTCATCGTCCTTCCACAGAGTTCTCTTCTTGATTGTTGGCCAGTCCTGGAGCTTCTCCATCTGCTTAACTGAAGCTGCTCTCCTCAGAGAAAACCTCCCCTCCGGCTGACTCCCAAAGTGGAAGTCAGAAAATTGTACATTTGGGGACCCTGATGGGCTCCTCCAGAGCTGGCAGCAGGCACAGGGACAGGACAGGGGGCACTACTAGTCATGGGTGTTCTCTTCCTGCCTTCCTGAGAGGCTGTGCCTGGACTCCTGATACTGCCTGGGATGCCTGACCCTGTGCATCTGAGTCTTTCACCTCCATATAAGCCCCTCCAATCCCTGAGACCTGCAAGGTGCAAGAGAGGGAGAATCACATCCATCCACAGTGGTATAAGACCTCCCATGCCCAACGCAGGGCTCCACTGCTCCTGTCTGAAATGGAGTAGGAAGGCCCCTCAGTCTTCCTCAAGGTATTAGTTCTTAAGGGGCCTCCACTCCCTCCCTCACCTGTCCAGACAGCAACATTTGTTCCTTCAGCCGCTAAAATCCATTCCAAATTTTTCCACTTTACTGCTGAGTGTGAAGTTAACATCATCGCTCCCATAGCCTATGTTAAAGGCTTCATTATTGTTGCTTCTTTTCCTATCCTTGTTTCTGAAAAAACCATTGTCTTTTCAGCAGCCCGTGATCCTTTTGAAAACCAATACGTGATTTTCGTTTTAAATACACACATCAGATTTAACTAGAATGTGAAGTTATATGTATTTTGGAAAATGCATGGAGTCCCATATCTACCAACCAAGTATCATACTGACCAGTTCCATCTGCCTAAAATTCTCCTGTGCATCCCGTTTGAAGTCAATCACTGCACTCCACAAAGCTCCTGGCAACTCTCTTCCGTTTTCAGTTCCTGTAGTTTTAACTCTTCCAATTTGTCATATGACTAGGTTCATAAGATACTGACTTAACAGTGCGCCTGTACTCTTCTTTATCACAACTAGCAAGGAATGAGAATTTCTGTTATCCTATATCCTCTCTTACATTTAGTATTTTAGATTTTCAGGTTTTAGCCATTCTCATAAGCATGTATTGGAATCTTCTTTGGTTTTCGTTTGCATCTTCCTAATGACATATGAAATTTGTCATCTTTTTATATGCTTTTTTTCCCATTGGTATAGCCTCTTTGGTAAAGTGTCTATTCAAATCATTTGCATCTTTTTGTAGATGAATAAACTTCATTTTGAGAGCATTGCTAATCCAAAAATACAAAGAGAAAACTTCATCAAATTTAGAGTTCTTGTATCTACACCACCGCCCTGCCCTGCTTGCTGTACACACACACAAAGTGTCTCTTTTTATTTATATTTTGTGTTATTATGACATGTTTGCTGCAACTGATGGAACTGTATTACCTCATTATTAAGTCCACGGTTTATGTCAGGACTCACTCTTAACGCTGAGGATACTATAGATTTTGATAAGGGTGTAATGGCAAGTATGCATCATTAGAGTATTACACAGAATTGTTTCAGCATCTTAGATCTCCTGTGTGTTCCACCTAATGATCAATCCCCCGTACACCAACACCAACCATCAGCTCCTGGAAAGCAGTCATATTTTTAGTGTATTCATCGTTGCCTGTTCCAGAATATGATATGATTGAAATTGTACATTATGTAGCCTTTTTAGAATGTTCTTCTTTCACTTAGCAATAGGCTTTCACGATTCCTCCAGGTCCATCCCACTAACAACCACTGAAAGTTCCTGTTGCTCAACATGCATGTCAACGTTTGATGTTGCAGTGTTTTGGATGTCAGCCGTTCTCCTGGGGGTAGAGGGCTATCTCCTAGTTGTTTTAATTTGCATATCTATAATGACATAGGACATTTGACAGTGTTATGTGCTTATTTTCCATTCCTATATATTCTTTGCTGGCGTATCTTTTCAGATTATCTGGCCCATTTTATATTTGGTTTTCTTTTTTCTCATGATTGGATTTCCAGAGTTTTGTGACTTTCTCACAGTTTTGGAATCTGGTAGTCCAAGAGCAAGGTGTATACAAGGTTGTTTCCTGCTGAGGGCTGTGAGGGCAGGATGTTTTCCAGTCTCTCTCCTTGCCTTGTAGACGGCTGTCTTCACTCCATGTATGTTCACGTTGTCATCACTCTACTCATAGCACTGTGTCCAAATTTTCCCTTTGTATGATGACTCCCATCATATTGGATTAGGGCCGGCATTAATAACCACATTTTTTAACTATTAGTTTAAGTTCATGATACATGTGCAGGATGTGCAGGCTTTTACGTATGCAAATGTGTGTCATGAAGGTTTGTTGTACATATTATTTCATCACCCAGGTATTAAGCCAATATCAATTAGTTATTTTTTCCTGAGCCTCTCCCTCTTCCCACCCTCTGCCCTCTGGTAGGCCTTAGTGTGCATTGTTCCCCTCTACGTGTCCTTGTGTTCACAACATTTAGCTCCCATTTATAAGTGAGAACATTTGACATTTTGTTTTCTGTTCCTCTGTTACTTTGCCAAGGATAATGCCTCCAGCTTCATCTATTTTCCTGCAAAACACCTGATCTCCTTCCTTTTTATGGCTGCATAGTATTCCATGGTGTATATATACCACATTTTCTTTATCCAGTCTATCATTGATGGGCATTTAGGTTGATTCTGTGTCTTTGCTATTGTGAATAGTGCCTCATTGAACATACACTTGCATGTGTCTTAATAACAGAACCATTTATATTCCTTTAAATGTATACCCAGTAATTGGTTTGCTGGCTGGGGTGAATGCTATTTCAGTCTCTACATCTTTGAGAATTTGACAGACTATTTTCCACAATGGTTGAACTAATTGACACTTCCGCCAACAGAGTAAAAATATTCCTTTTTCTCCACAACCTCACCACGATCTCTTATTTTTTGACATTTTAGTAATAGCCATTCTGTCTGGTGTGAGGTGGTGTCTCACTGTACTTTTGTTTGGCATTTCTCTAGTGATTAGTGATGTTAAGCTTGTTTTCATATGCTTGTTGGCAGCATGTATGTCTTCTTTTGGAAAGTGTGCATGTCCTTTGCCCACCTTTTAATGGGTTTTTTTTTTTCATTTAAATTTGTTTAAATTCTTTATAGATGCTGGATATAGATCTTCATCAGATGCACAGATTGCAAAAAATTTCTCCCATTCTGTAGGCTGTCTGTTTAATCTGTTGATAGTTTCTCTTGCTCTGCAGAAGTTCTTTACTTTAAATACATCCCGTTTGTCAATGCTTGCTTTTGTTGCAACTATTTTTAGCATCTTTGTCATGAAACTTTCTCCCGTGCCTATGTCCTGAATGGTATTGCCTAGGGTTTTTCTAAGGTTTTTATGGTTTTGGGTTTTACATTTAAGTCTTTAATCCACCTTGAGTTATTTTTGTATATGGTGTAAGGAAGGGATGTGGTTTCAATTTTCTGCTTAAGGCTAGCTGGTTCTTCCATCACCATTTATTAAATAGGGAGTTCTTTACCAATTGGTTGTTTTTGTCACGTTTGTCAAAGATCAGATGGTTTTAGGTGTGCAGTCTTATTTCTGGGTTCTCTATTATTTTCCATTGGTCTATGTGTCAGTTCTTGTACCAGTACCATGCTGTTTGGTTACTGTAGCCTTGTAGTACAGTTTGAAGTGAGGTAGCATGATGCCTCCAGCTTTATTCTTTTTGCTTAGGATTGCCTTGGCTATTTGGGCTCTTTTTTGGTTACATACAAATTTCAAAATAGATTTTTGTTTCTAGTTGTGTGAAGAATGTCAGTGAAAGTTTAGTGGGAATAGCACTGAATCTATAAATTGCTTTGGGCAGTATGGCCATTTTCACGATACTGATTCTTCCTATCCATTAGGATGGAATGTTTTTCCATTTGCTTGTGTCATCCCTGATTTGTTTGAGCAGGGATTTGTCTTTCTCCTTGTAGAGATACTTCACTTCCCTTGTTAGTTGTATTCCTAGCTATATTATTCCTTTTGTGGCAATTCGGAATGAAAGTTCATTCATGATTTGGCTCTCAGCTTGCCTGTTGTTGGTGTATACAAATGTTCGTGATTTCTGTACGTTGATTTTGTATCCCGAGACTTTGCTGAAGTTGCTTATCAGCTTAAGAAGCTTTTGACCTGAGACAATGGGGTTTTCTAGATATATGATCATGTCATCTGCAAACAAAAATAGTTTGACTTCCTCTCTTCCTATTTGAATACACTTTATTTATTTCTCTTGCCTGAGTGTCCTGGCTAGAACTCCCAACACTATGTTGAATAAGAGTGGTGAGAGAGGGCATCCCTGTCTTTTGTTAATTTTCAAGAGGAATACTTCCAGCTTTTGTCCATTCAGTATAATATTGGCTGTGAGTTTGTCATATACGGTTCTTATTATTTTGAGGTATGTTCCCTCAACACCTAATTTATTGAGAGTATTTAATAAGAAAAAATGTTGAATTTTATCAAAAGCTTTTCTGCATCAATTGAGAAAATCATGTGGTTTTTATCTTTATTTCTGTTTATTTGATGAATCACATTTGTTGATTTGCATATGTTGAACCAACCTTGCATCCCAGAAATCAAGCCTACTTGATCCTGGTGGATAAGCTTTTTGATGTGCTGCTGGATATGGTTTGCCAGCATTTTGATGAGCATTTTTGCATCACTGTTTGTTAAGGATATTGGCCTGATGTTTCTTTTCTTTTTTTTTTTTTTTTTTTGTCTCTGCCAGGTTTTGGTATGAGGATGGTGTTGGCCTCATAGAACGAGTTAGGGAGACGTTCCTCCTTTTCAATTTTTTTGGAATGATTTCAGTTGGAATAGTACCAGCTCTTCTTTAATAACCACATTTTTAACTTACTTGCCTCTGAGGTAATCCTGTCTCCAAATAATGCCACATGTAAATTTCAACGTAAGATTTTAGCGGGGATGCAACTGAACCTATAATAGTGGAAAAGGAAGTGGCAGACCTATATGTATATTATTACCCATGTGTAGTTATAAACACACACGCATTCTCATATATGTATAGATTATATTAAAAAACCACATCTATCTTTCTCAAAATTCTAAATCAGCTTTTAAATTTAAACACTACAGGGTTAATTGTGGAGACTTCTGAATAGGGGGATGAGTTTTGGAGGAACTTTCCAAAGGGGAGAATTGTGATTTCTACCTATTTTTTAAATTTTGTATCAGAAATATATGCAGTATTTATTTGTAGGGAAAGTATTGAAATAAGCCTAAGAAAAGCATGAGGAGCAGTCCAGTAGGAAGATAAAGTATCAGTAAGCTCATGGAACACCAAGAAGAAAAATCCTTGAAATTTATGTGACTTAACACGACAAGTTTATTTTTTGGCACGTAAATTCTGATTTAGTTGGCAGGGTGTTATGGGCTGAATTGTGACTCACCCCAAAAATTCATATATCCAAGTCTTAAAACTCAGTATCCCAGAATGTGACTGTATTTGAAGACAGAAACTTTGAAGAGGTAATTAAGGTAAAATGAGGTCTTAAGTTTAGGTTCATATTCAATATAACAGGTATCCTCATAAGAAGTGCAGATTAAGATACAGACACACAGACCAAGGAACAACCATGTAAGAATTCAGTGAGAAAGTGGCTGTCTGCAAGCCACAGAGAGGCCAGAGAAGAAATCAAACCAGCCAACATCTTGATCTTGAAGTTATTATTTTGTAAATTTTCTGTGAATCTAAAACTATCCTAAAGCAAAAACTTTATGTAAAAATTGTAAATAGAAGCAGGATAATTAGGTAAGGAGACTAGAATTCAAAGTAATTTTTTGATAGGGTGGTTAGTTTCCTTTACTTTTTTTCCTTCTCTGTCTTCTAGCCTGGACTTAAAGGCATACAAAATTGAAGAATTGCACATGATACAGAGACAGAAAGTGTTCTAAGGCAATTAATGTTTTCATTTTTTCTAGAAAAACTTTTGTGTTTGAAGAACTAGGATAGGAGATTCCTAAAAGACAAAGAGAACATGAGAAATTCCTTTCTTCTTCAAGGTTGGCCTCCAGGCAAGCCAACCCCATTCCTGAAGGTGTAATCGTCCAATGAGAGCACTAGCACCAGCTGCTCAGGCATCTAAAACTCTGAGTGAGGAACATCCTTCCCTCTGTCAAGAAGACCTTTGTTTGAAAAAGTACGGGAGAAAACTTCGCTGTTATTTTTCTCTTTATATGCTCTCACTATTTTAGCCAGGGAGGCAGACCCATACAAAGCAGGTGGATGGCATAATGGACTGTACTAAAAGCCCAATTTCTAGTGAGAGTACTAGAAAGAGAGTCAGAGAATATAGAGGAGTGTGGTAGTCAGTTTGGGTTGCCATAACAAAAATGTCAAATATTGGGGATTAGGTTACAACCTATGTGTTTTGATCGGGGACGTGCACAAACAAAAAAGTCAATGTAAGAATGAGATTGTATCAAATATAATTGACGTCTTGGATCAATCCAAACTTGTCATGCAGGAATCTTTTTACTTTTTATTTATTTTTTATTTTATTTATTTATTTATTTATTTAAGATGGAGTCTCGCTCTATCGCCCAGGTTGGAGTGTAATGGCGTGATCTCGGCTCACTACAACCTCCGCCTCCCGGGTTCAAGCGATTCTTGTGCCTCAGCCTCAGGAGTGGCTGCGATTACAGGTGCATGCCACCACAGCTGGCTAATTTTTTTTTTTTTTTGTATTTTTAGTAGAGACGGGGTTTCACCATACTGAATAGGCTGGTCTTGAACTCCTGACCTCTGGTGATCCGCCTACCTCAGCCTCCCAAAGTGCTGGGATTACAGGCATGAGCCACCGCGCCTGGCCAGGAATCTTAACATAAAAAGGACACCATAGCTCGGATAACTGAAATAGGAGTAATTTATAACCATGGTATCAGATTAACTTCTTTCCCTTAGCAACATGCTTTTTATGTTCATCCCTGTCTTTCCATGGCTGATAGGCCTTTTCTTCTTATGGCTGCATAGTAATCCATTGTATAGGTGTATCACAGTTTGTTTATACTGTTGGTGGGAATGCACGTTGCTAAAACCACTATGGAGAACAGCTTGGAGACTCTTCTAAAAATGAAAACAAAACTCCCATACTATCCAGTAATCCCACTCCTTGGTATTTACCCAAAATGAAGGAAATCAGTACACTGAAGTGATACCTGCACAACCATGTTCACTGCAGCACGATTAACAATAGCCAATATGAGGAAGCAACCAAAGTGTCCATCAGCAGATGACTGGATAAAGAAATTGTATTTACATATACACATTGGAGTACTATTCAGCCATAAAAGCAATGAGACCCTGTCATTTGCATCCACATGGATGGCACTGGAGGTCATTATGATAAGTGAAATAAGCCGGGCACAGAAAGACAAACTTCACATGTTCTCGCTTATATGTGGAAGCTAAAAATCAAAACAGTGGAATTTGTGGACATAGAGTGTGGAAGGATGGTTACCTGAGGCTGAGAAATGTACAGGATGTGGGGGAGAAGTGAGGATGGCTGATGTTTACAAAAAACTGTTAGAGAGAATCAATAAGACCTAGTATTTGAGATCACAACAGGGTGACCATAGTCAAAATGATTTAATTGTACTTTTTGAAATAACTGAAAGAGTGTAATTGGATTGTTTGAAACACAAAGGATAAATGTCTATGCTGATGGATCACCCATTTACCCTGATGTGATTATTACACATAGCAAGCCTATAACAAAATACCTCATGTAACCCATAAACATATGTAAGTACTATGTAAAGGATTATTTACTCAGGGAGTAGTGTTGATATTTACCAGGATAAATATCACCTGGCATTTATCCACCCTGATGACCACTCTGATGACATTCCTTTTGTTGGTGACCTGTTCTTTCTCTCTAGCTGCCTTTGATATTTTTTCTTTCATCTTGACATTGGAGAATATGATGACCATGTGACTTGGGGATGGTTGTCTTGTACAGTATCTCACAGGGATTCTCTGGATTTCCTGAATTTAAATGTTGACCATCCAACAAGGGTGGAGTAATTTTTGTGAATGATACCTTCAAATTTGTTTTCCAAGTTGCTTGTTCTTTCTCCCTGTCTTTTAGCGATGCCAATAGGTTGCAGGATTGGTCTCACTACATAATCTCAAATTTCTTGGAGGTTTGAGGCATTCTTTTATATTCTTTTTTCTATATAATTTTTTTCTGACTGAGTTGATTCAGAGAACTAGTTTTCAGGCTCAGAGATTTTTCCTCTGCTGGGTTAATTCTGTTGTTCCTACTTTTAGTTGTATTATGAGATTCCTTCAGTAAGTTTTTCAGCCTTATCTGTTCTGCTTGGTTCCTTCTTAAAATGGCGATTTCATCTTTCAGCTTTTCTGTCATTTTATTGGATTCCTTAGATTCCTTGGATTTGGTTTTGACTTTCTCCTGAATCTCAATGATCTGTGTCCCTATCCAGATTCTAAACTCTCCGTCTCTCATTGTGGCCATTTCACCCTGCTTTAGAACCATTGCTGGAGAACTAGTGTGGTAGTGAGGAAGGAAGAAGATGCTCTGGTTTTTGGAGTTGCTAGAGTTCTTGTGCTGGTTCTTTCTTATCTGTGTGGGCTGATGTTCCTTTACTATTTGAAGTTACTAGACCTTGAATGGGTTTTTTATTCTTTTATACTCGTTGAAGCCCTTGAGTGTTTGACGGTGGTGGGTTCTGTCAAGAGGCTTCATTTCTAGAAGATGTTATGGGCAAAAGCTCAGGTCAGTACTCTTGGGCTGTATGCTCAACGTTTGGGGACTGATACGAGGCCCATGTCATTGTTCTCTGTCGCTGTGATGTAAAGCAACTGCTCTGCTAGAGACACCGGGGTGTTCCTTGTCCACTGACAACGACACTCTGATGGGAGTTGCTGTCTGAAGTGCTTCACTGGGGCAGAAGCAGCAGAGTCTATGCTCAAATGGGCATACCACCAGCAAGAGCAGAATACCACCACCAACAAGCATACCACCCAGCTTGTCAATAGATGAAAATATATAAGTTTCCTAAGTATAAAATCAACATGGGAAAAATAAACTTTGTTTTCTTGCAGCAACAATGAATATGAAAATAAAGAAAATATAACCTCTAACCTATCATTCCAAACATTAAGTACCTCAAAAAAACTAACCAACAAAATTAAAACATTACAGAAAAACCATTAACACGTTATTTAAAAATATTAATGAAGACCGACAGGAACAGAAAATAAATTCATGGGAATGAAGTTTCAATAGTTTTCCTTAAAACGGAATCGATAGAATAATTGTAATCCCAAATCAAAACAACCGAATGCCTTTGCACGTGAAGGCATCTATGAATCACCTGATTCTAAAATGTAAAGACATGCAAACCGCCAAGCATAGTCAATACACTCTTGAGAAAGTGCAATTCATCCAACAGATAGTAAGAATTACAAAGGAGCTATTGTATGAAGCGTTGGAGGTCTGGGTGCATGGATTAACAGATAGACCAATGGAACTGAATGGAAAGTCCTGAAAAACAAAACCAACAAAACATGTATAAAAGCAAGCTTAATTGATTAAAATGTGTTGCAGCTTTAGAACTGGAGACTGTCTTGTTGAAATAAGTATCAGTGGAACAACTAAATATCCATATAAAAAACCTTAATGTAAGTGGAACCCTTTTTCATATTATACAAAAATGCAATTACAGGGAAATTCAAAACCTACTTTTAAAATGTTCATTATAATAACTTTGAAAACACAGAAATGCACAGAATAATAAGTCTTTGTATAGATTATGTAAGGCTGGAGTTGAAAGAACTGAAAGACTCTGAGGTCAATGGTCACTTCAGTAGCAAGAGGAGCGAGATGATATGAGTCAAAGAGGAACACAGGAAATGGCACCTCCTCTCTCCCCCTTGTCTCACCCATAGAAGGTCTAGCTGCTTTCATAAGCCTGTGCTTTTTGAGAGTAGAACTTAGATCTCAATAGTAGCTGGGGGAAGGCTACCTGGGACAATGATGGATTTATCCCCCTCTTACTTGAACCATCCTCCTGCTGACCTCTGGAACTCTGGTGAGTCAAGAAATATAACCAGAACAGTTCTATTCCAGAAAGTCCTGATGGAGGGCTGTTGTGTTGATGACAGACACCCTGACCAGATCCACAAACACTTTACTAACTTAGTGGCAGTGCCAGGTTGCTCACATGATAGGAGTAGAGGCCCATCTCCCTCTCCACATGGATAAGAGATCCACATACTTCTTTTCAGATGCTCTTACTCCTGACAGGACCCTCAGAAGGATTCTTGCGCCCTGAGATTTCAAAAAAGGTTGATTTGTGGCTTTGCCAGAGATTACCCTGAGGATTGGGGTTCTCTGCACCCACTATGGTCAGGATCAACTCAGCTGTTCATGAGCTGACTTCCTTCCTTAGCTTTGTCGCCGTTTCCCAGGGGCAGTTGGCCTCTGCTCACAGCCAGGATTGGTGGATCATCAAACCTCAGCACTCAAGGTGGAAACCCACAGACAAGGAAGCTCTTCTCCCAGATTGGGAGGCAGCTGGTGGGTAAACTCCAGCTCTGGCCCACATGTCCTTGGGAATTATCCTCATGGAGCTTTTCTTCTGAGGTCCCAAGAAGGGAGCATTTCTTATGGATGGTAAAAAGAAAATGGCAGCCTATCCTTTTACCTCCTGGTATTGGAAATAAGTGTCCCTTCCAGAAGAGAGAGGGACTAATGTTCTTGGAATTGAATCAGTGGGGAGTGTCAGGGGCCTTTTAAACGAGTAAACACACCCCTTCTCCAAACATGCCCCAGATGACTCACCTTCAGTTCCTATTTCTCACTTAGATTCAGCCTTCACTGAACATGCTGCCACTGACAGTGGAGGTTTACCATAGGTGCCATGAATGTAGAATTGTTGGGCACCAGGTTGAAGGAGGGGACGGCATTCCCAGATTTCAAGGAATAAGAAATGTTTGTGCATGTGTCAGAGTGATTACAAAATACACATGAAGGCTGTCAAAAAATTGAAAAACCAAAGTATGTCTTCATTTGATATTTGTTACCATCAAAGGGGCACAATTTTTACTTTTGTGCTTGATTTCTCCCTTCATCTTATCCCAAATCCAATCCAACAGCAACTTTTTTTCCTTCCACCTCTAAAATCCATTCCAAATCCTTCCACTTTTTCAATCTCCATTACTACTGCTGTATGTGATGTTAACATTCTCTCTCAGCTAGACTAGGTTAAAGTCTTCTTTATTGTTGCTACTTAAAAAAAATCCCAATCCATGGCATGGATGGAGCTAGAGGCCATTATTCTAAGTGAACTAACACAGTAACAGAAAACCAAATACTATGTGTTCTCACTTATAAGTGGGAGCTAGAGAGGAGAACACATGGACACATAGAAGGGAGCAACACACATTGGGGCCTTGCAGAGGGTGGAGAGTGGGAGGAGGGAGAGGATCAGGAAAAATAACAAATGGGTACTAGGCTTAATAGATGGGTGGTAAAATAATCTGTACAAGAAACCCCCATGACACAATTTACCTATGTAACACACCTGCACTTCTATCTCTGAAAGTAAAAGTTAAAATGTTTTTTCAAAAACACACATCAAATGTAACTATTTTGTGAAGTTATACGTATTTTGGCGAATGCATGGCATCCCATATGTACCACCCGAGTATCGTAATGACCAGTATGATCAACTTAAAATTCTCCTGTGCATCCCATTTGAGGTCAGTCACTGCACTTCTGCAAAGCCCCTGGCAACTATGTTCTTCTTTCAGTTCCTATACTTTTAGCTTTCACCATGTCATAAGAGGAGGTGCATAAAATACTGATTTAAAAGTGCAGCTGTATCAGTTTTCATCACAACTAGCAAGGAATGAGAATTCCTGTTGTTCCATATCCTCTCTTACATTGGGTATTTTAGACTGTTGGATTTTAGCCATTGTAATAAGTGTGTATTGCAAACTTCTTTGGTTTTTGTTTGCATCTCCCTAATGACAAATGACATTACATGCCTCTTTCCAATATGTATATTCTCTTTGGTAAAGTGTTTGTTCAAATTATTTACATTTTTTTTAAAAAAATAGGCTTCATTTTTAGAGCATTGCTAATCCAAAAATACAGAGAGAAAACTTCGTCAAAATTAGAGTTCCCACAGATCTACACCACCCTCCCTGCTCTGCCTCACACGCACACACACCCACACACACACACATGAACACACACACACACAGTGTCTCCTATTATTTACAATTTGTATTATTATAGCATGTTTGCTACAACTGATGGATCTGTATTGATACCTATTTAGTAAGTAAATTCCACAGTTTACATCAGGACTCATTCCACATTGTGGATGCTATGGTTTTTGATGAGTGTGCAATGGCAAGTATTCATCATTACAGTATCATACAGAATTGTTTCACCAACCTAAATCTCCTGTGTACTCCACCTATTGATTAATCCTCCATTCCTCAACTCCAACCCCTCAGCCCTCGGAAACCACTAGTATTTTTAGTGTATTCATCTTGCCTGTTCCAGAATATCGTATGACCGGAATCATATATTATGTCGCCTTTTTATATTTTCTTCTTTCACTTAGCAATAGGCTTTCACAATTCCTTCAGGTCTGTCCCACTAACAATGATTGAAAGTTCCTGTTGCTCAACACACGTGTGAACACTTGTTGGTTCAGTGTTTTGGGTTTCAGCCACTCTTCTGGGTCTGTAGTGTTATATCTTAGTTGTTTCAATTTGCGATTCTTTAATGATATATGTCATTGTATTATTCTGTTTCCACATGGCTATAAAGAAATGCCTGAGACTGAATAATTTATAAAAGAAAGAGGTTTAGTTGACTCCCAGTTCCACACGGCTGCGGGAGGCTTCAGGAAACTTATGATCATGGTGGAATGCGAAGGGGAAGCAGGTACCTTTTTCTCAAGGTGGCAGGAGGAAGAAGCACGAAGGAGGAACTTCGAAACACATACAAAACAATCAGATCTCGTGAGAACTCACTCACTACAAGGGGAACAGCATGGGTGAAACTGCCCCCATGATCCAATCATGTCCCTCCCTGGACATGTGGGGATGAAAATTTGAGTTCAGATTTCGGTGGGGACACAGAGCCAAACCATATCAGAAATTGGACAGTTGTATCCGATTACTTTCTATTCACATATATCTTTGGTGGGGTACCTGTTTAGAATTTTTGGCCATTTTCAATTAGGTTTTCTGTTTTCTTATGATTGGGTTTTAGCATTTTGTGCATATTTAAATATATATCTTTTATCAGTTATGTGTTTCAGAAAACATTTATCCCAGTCTCTGTCTTTCTTTTCTCTTAGCAGTCTTTTAGAGTAGAAGTTGTTAATTTTAATGAAGTCCAATTTATATCTCTTTTCTTAGATGTTGGCACTTTTGGTGTTGCATCTGAAAAAGTCACCACCAAACTTAAGGTCAACTAGGGTTTGCACCTATAAGTTTGACCAAAATTTTGGTGATGCATCTGAAAATGTCATTACCAAAACCAAACTCCCCTAGGACTTTCACCCATAAGTTTCAGTAAGGTTTAAAATTCTGATAAAATATGTTTGTCAACAAATGAATCATTTCCACATCAACAAATGTGTAGGGAAACTAATTGGTGAGACCTTTGGTGGAAAGAGTCAGCAACATTTGAAAAAGTATAAAATTATTCATACCCTGTTCACTTCTACACAACTTCTACATTGAAATGTATTCCTTATAAGGAATTTTATGCATTTGTCCCAGAATTTATGCTCAAATATATTGATTATATTTATACTAATTTTAGCCACAAAGAAAAAGCAAATATGTGTTCATCAGGAGGAGGTTGGTTCAGTTTGTTAATGCACAGAAATAAATTGGCATTCTCGGGAAAAGTCCCCAAAGTAAGGCAGATCTCTATGTGCTGACATGGAAAGATGCTGGATACATTTTAATAAGTGAGTATCATGGCATGTTAGGGTTGCAATAGCAAAGTACCACAACCTGGATGACAAAACAACAGAATTTCATTGTCTCACAGTTTTGGAATCTGGTAGCCCAAGAGCAAGGTGTACACAAGATTGATTCCTTATGAGGCTGTGATTGGGGGATGCTTTCCAGGCCTCTCTCATTGCCTTGTACCTAGCTGTCTTCCCTCCATGTCTACTCACATTGTCATCTCCATACTCATATCTCTATGTCCAAATATCCCCTTTTTATACTGGCTTCCAATACGGCCAGCATTAATAACCTCATTTTAACTTGATTGCCTTTGAAATAATCCTATCTCGAAATCAATGCCACATTTTAATTTCAGTGTAGAATTTTGTGGAAGAGGCAATTGAATCTATTATAGTGGCAGAGGTAAGTGGCAGATCTATATGTATATCATTATATCATTACACATGTGTGTATATATGTACATATATGTGTATATATAAAATAGCACATCTATCTTTATGAAAGCCTGAAATCGAAAATCATATTTTAAAATTTACACGGCCACATTGTTACTTGTGGAAATTTCTGAGTAGGAGGCTGAGTTTTGGAGGAACTTTGTAAAGAAAGCAATGCAATTTCTATGTCTTTTTAGAATTTTTTTGCAACAAAAATACATGCACTATTTACTTTTAAGTCAAATACTGAAATGACCCTAAGAAAAGGAAGAGGAGCACTCCAGTAGTCACATTAACAGTAACCTGATGGAAAAGAAAAAACTCCCTGAAAGTTAAATGGCTTCACACGAGTTGATTTTTGTGCACATAAATTCTGATTTAAGTTGGCAGGGTGTTATGGGCTGAATTGCGCCCCTTTCCGAGTTCATATATCCAAGCCTCAACCCCCAGTACTGCAGAATATCACTGTATTTGGAGACAGAACCTTTGAAGAGGCAGCTAAGGTAAAATGAGATCTTATGATTAGGATCATATTCAAGATGACTGGTGTTCTCATAAAAGAGCAGATTAAGATACCGACACACAGACCAAAGAACATCCATGTCAGAATTCAGTGAGAAAGTGGTCATCAGCAAGCCACGGGGAGGCCAGGGAAGAAATCAAACTGGCCCACATCTTGATCTTAGATATTTAGCCTCCAGAAATGGGAGAAAATACAATTCTATTGTTTAAGTCACCCAGTCTGTGGTATTGTTATGGCATAATAAACTAATCCACAGCAGGCCCTCACTTTCCCCTCAGCCAACAATCCAAGCTGCTTTCACCTTGCCCCTCCATGTCACAACAGATGTTTAGCGCTGAACAGAAACGAAAGCATGGGAATGATGCACTGGCTTCTGTCTAACTACAAATGAACCCGCCAGGAAGGCGAGCTAGACAAGGTGGAGATGGGCACTTGTAGTCTCTCCCATATGTCATTACGGTGCTCAAAGAAAAGCAACTATTATACTTGAGGACAGTAATTCTCTTCATGTCTTGGAATTGTTTCTGGGAATGTCCGCATAGCCTTGAAATCTTCCAACTTTTTCTTGCACCTACGAGGTGACTGGTGGTTTCAAATTCAGGATTACATCCAGTTTTAAGACAATTCTGTAAGTCTTTGCAGGGAGGGTCAACCTTAATCCCTCAATATCACTTGGCACTGTCCTTTTAATAACCTATATAATTTCTTTAGACTGAGAATTCTCTCATATTTTTGGTGTGTGAAAAATAACCTACCCTGTGAGCCTCTGCTACCCTCCATATGACGGAACATTCCTGAACAGCTATACACGTGCCTGTGGCTCACTGCAAGCCACGATTTTCCTGTGGGGCAGGTACACAGACGAGAGACAGTGGAAGGATGTTTAATTATTGTTTATTTCTCATCAGAGATGGCATGTCCCCCAAAGTACCCTTGTCACCTCCTAGGCAGTCTTCAAGATTTTGTTACCGTTTTGTTTTTTTAGAAATTCACCTTCCTGTAGATCATTTAGAAAGCGATGTCTATAGCCTTTCCTCACCTACAAAGTTTATGAAGGAAAGATTGGCATTTGATCATCTACACAAACTTATTCATCTCTGTTTGTGTTCAGTGCCCTGTTTCAGATAATGCATCTCATTAAAATCATACTACAAGTATCAAGTATTAGGAAGATTTCAAATAGGCTATATCTGACCTTAGGATTACATCCCTAAACCCCATATGTTATGTGACAATCAGATTTTACTCTGCGGCCTATTTGGAAATATGTGGAGAGTGTGTTGAAGATGCCCAGCGTAGGTATGGAAATGTCACTATCCAAAGTGGATATTCACATCGAGGGCCGTTATCACAGAGGAGCCAGCGGGAGGGATGGATCGGTCAGGGAACTTCTCCAGTGACAAACAGTGGTCTATGTCAGGGGAAGGGCAGATGTCTCTGGGCTCTTGCACTGAGGGCTGGGCACAGGCTTCAGAGTGCGAGACCACAGTGAGAAGTTACTCAGCAGGCCAGGGTCCAGAGTTACACAGGAGAGCGCCCAGGGGAGATCAAATGGAGGGTGTTGTAAGGTGGGAAAGCCCTGCGGCTGGACAAAAGTACTGCCACCCAGACAGAGTCAGCTCTCAAGAAACCTAGGGCTCATAACAGGAAGAATTTATGTAAAGAAAGCCCAAAACGATCCTTGAAAGGTATTGATTCTCATTGTCACCTTTCTTCTCTAGGCCTATCTAAATACTTTGTCACAGGTTTCTCCTTTATGTTACCTGAAAGACATTAGGAAGTGTGAAGAGAAGTGACTTAACAGGAAGAAGGCTATGCTCAGGCTGAGAGGAGTGGGGACAGTGTGGGTCTAGATGAATTCAGAACTCAAGTCCCAGCCCAGTCACTTTCTAATCATGTGATCATCACGTGATCTTCGGGAATTTGTCATGAACTATAAACCTCAGCTTCTTCGTCTGTAAAATGGGTTTGATAATCCCTGTTCTGCAGAATGGCTGGAATGTATGTAGTGTGAGCAAAACACCTGGCACACAGCTTGGCATACCTTGGAATTTTAATAAATGGCAGTTGTCATCAATATGATTATAACCCCAAAGTCTACTACTGTCTTTTGAGAAAAATTCAGCTCTTGTTTTCATTATCCAAAACGTCTCATAGAACATCTAGCTGAATATGTCAAGGAATATAAACTGAACCAAAAGTTTGGCTTCATAAATATACCTCAGGGCATTTTCTTTCTAAAAGGATATATTGTATCATTCAAGAAAGGAGAGGCTTCCACAACTGAATGCAACTCAAAGATTATAGATTTTAAGTTAAGGACCAACTCCTTTTCACCTTCCCCACTGATCATCCATCCAAACCACTAGTTTTATTTAAGTTCCACGAGAAATCTAGACCTTGCTTAGACTTGTCCACATTACATTCAAAAGAACCCAACTAAAAGTCCTGTCAATGGAATGGGCTTGGGCTCTCCCAGGCCTGGCAAATGAGTGCCAGCCTAGAGGCTTCTGAGCACCACATCAAGGAATTATCACCACATTTCTCAGGAAAACTTGCAGATGATGGGTATCAATCACCTAGTCCTTGCACTGTGTTCAGGCTCACCAGTTAGAGAGCCACAGAACACCTTCCATGACTTCCCCAGGTGGAGACTCCTCTCTGCTTCATCCTCCACCCAGAGGGAACTACAGAAGTAGTTTTCCATTCCAGGCTTTTCTCTCACCTTCTGAGGGTCTGGGCCCTGCCACCACCCAGCTTCATGACAATCAGCCCTCACAGAATCACCTGCAGTTTCCTGAAGCCCCAAACTGCCTTAGCTCAGGGACTTTTTACTTGAAGGCCCCAACTAAAGTCTCATGTCCCCACTGTTTAAACTCATTCTTTAGATCATAGAGAAAATCTTACCCTTCCTGATATGGCTTCTGAACCTAGACTTTACCGTGTTATGGTAGGAATAAACCTTTTTTTGATAGTATCCCCACTAAGAACAGTGCTTTCCACAAGCAAATGCTGAAGTAACGTTCAGCAAGTGAAGGAGTCAGTGGTGCTTTTATTTATTAGAGATTTAAATTCGGCCAGGCGCCGTGGCTCACGCCTGTAATCCTAGCACTTTGGGAGGCCGAGACGGGCAGATCACGAGGTTAGGAGATCGAGACCATCCTGGCTAACACGGTGAAACCCCGTCTCTACTAAAAATACAAAAAAAATAGCCGGGCGTGTTGGCGGGCGCCTGTAGCCCCAGCTACTCTGGAGGCTGCGGCAGGAGAATGGCGTGAACCCGGGAGGCGGAGCTTGCAGTGAGCCGAGATCGCGCCACTGCACGCCAGCCTAGGCGACAGAGCCAGACTCCGTCTCAAAAAAAAAACAAAAAAACAAAACAAAAAAAATTAAATTATGCTACTTTCTTGATTAAGCCAAACAAACCCAGATATATAGCTTTAATTGTCTAGAACAACACAATAAGGAGGATGAGGAATGTCAAAAATTAACAATCCTTTATTTTGTTCCATGATTTAAATACGGAGTTCTTTCACATTTCAAAGAAAATTCCAATCCAATCCCGACACCACATTCTACTGTTCCAGATCATAAGACAGGTTTTCAATTTTTTTCCTTACAAACTATGAAATCCTTACTCTTAAACCAGATAAACAGCAGTACATGTGTGACGATTTTCATGAACTAAGATTCTGAAGTGAATTAAGCCAACCAAAAGGGGAAGCATTTGAAAAATACTGCCCCCCCCCCCCCGCCCACACACACAAAATGTTAAATTCTAAGTCACTCATATGAAACAGGAACACAAAGAACACTGTGGTCCCTCCAGCTCCACTCTCGTCCTCCCCTGCCTAGAACCTTGACTGCCCTCTTCAAACACAGAGGGGGAATCTGCCTCAGACTTGACTCAGGACAGAAGTTGGTGGACATGATAGTGGGCTTGCATGGGCCATGGAAGTAGCCTCATCTGTGGTGTCAATGACGGCCTGGGCTCTGCCTTCCACATCTTTCAAAGCATCCATGTACCAGGATGGAAAGGAACTAGCAATGGTACTGTCTAGCTGCCTAAACACTCTAGGACTTTCGTCTTGCTGATTTCTGAATGGGCTCTTAGACCTCACAATAATTCATACTCTGGACGAGCATTGTAGGGCACCTCCCGGTACTCCAGATACTTTCTCTGCACCCAATCTATAGTGAGGAGCTCCCTGGGCTTCCCATAAATGAAGGGCTCCCTCCCAGCATACACCCCTATCGAATTCAGCACTTCCCAAATGACCTTCTCAGAGGCACAGCTGCCCTTTATGAAGACCACACTCAGAATAAGAATTAGGAGGTGGTTCTTGGACATTCCCTGGCCATCACTCAGCCTCCCTTGGTCGCAGAGTTCTACTGTGTTTTCAAAGACATAGGAGTGGTTGTTGGTGTCCATCTCAGTCAGGGCAATGCCAAACATTAGTTCCATGAACTCATGAGCTTTCCTGAAGATCACAGGAAAGCAGTCCTTATACTTCTTGATGACAGTCGTCAGCATCTCAGCCTTTGTGACAGGCTCCTTTATTTGATAATTGAGGAGAAGAAACTGCACCAACTCAGGCACCTTTTCATCCAGTGCATATGTGAGCAAGGATTCACTGTCTGACAAGGCATGCCATGTAGCTGCATCCTCCACTTTTTGCCTGCTGGACTCCTCATCCAATGGGCCTCACAAAGAGGAGAAAGAGCAGGAGCTCAGAGGTCTCTGGGTAGGATCATGAAGAGGAATCCTGGGAGCACTCTGGGGAAGAATTGGAAACCCAGCAGCAGGCATGTCCTTGTCCTCTGGAGCATCCAGAATCAGAGTAGAGAATGAGGAAGAGGAGGAGGAGGAAGAGCAGGAGGGGAATAAAAAGTGGAAAGAGGAAGAGGAAATGGAGGAGGCTTCCTCCTCCTCCTCTTCTGTGGAATCCTGTGCAGATTCTACCAAGACCTGTATCAGAATTGCGGTCTGGAAGTCTTGCTCAAAGTTGAGGCGGGGAAGGATTGGGAAGAGAGGTGTGACGACTCTTGTTCAGAAGTAGCATCCTTTGAGCAGGGATGGGGAGGATGGGATCCCAGAGGCATGAGGGAGGGAGGGACAGTATGAGTGGCCTCAGCTGAGAAACTCACCCATGATGGCTCTGACAAAGGCCAACTTACAGCTCTTCTTCTCTTAAGGTGGTGCTCTAGGGCCTCACAGGTGTCCTGTCTTCATAAGGGGTTTGTTCCCTAGGAACCTGTAGGAGGATGTGAGACAGCACCTCGGGGCACAGATGGCAGGCAGAGCCCCAGACTCGGAAACTGGAAGTAGGTGAGTAGTGCCGGGTGCTTCGTGGTGGGAGGTCACTGTCCTTCCACAGAGTTCTCTTCTCGTTGAATGGCCAGCCCTGGGATTCCTCCCTCTGCTTGACTGAAGCTGCCCTCCTCTGAGAAATAGTCCCCTCTGGCTGACCCCTAAAATGGAAGTCAGAAAGTTGTACATCTGGCATCCCTGATGTCCTCCAGAGCTGGCTGCAGGCACAGGGACAGGGGAGGGGCACTGTCATCCATGGCATTCCCTTCCAACTTTGCTAGGGGCTGCGCCTGGACTCCTGAAACTGCCTGGGCTGCCTGCCTCTGGCCATCTGAGTCTTTCACCTCTGAATAAGCCCCTCCCATCCCTAAGACCTGCAAGGTAGAAGAGAGGGAGAATCGCATCCATCCACAGTGGGAATGGGCCTCCCAGGGCCTGTACTCCCTCCCTCTTCTGTCCAGACAGCAACCTTTCTTCTAAAATCCATTACAAATCCTTCCACTTTACTGCTGTGTGTGAAGTTAATATCAGCTCTCACCTAGCCTATGTCAAAGGCTTCCTTATTGTTGCTTCTTTTCTTATTCTTGTCCCAGAAAAACCCATCATCTGTTCAGCAGCCCGGGATCCTTTTAAAAATCCAATTCGTGATTATTTTTTTAATATACACATATCAGATTTAACTATGATGTGAAGTTATATGTGTTTTGGCAAATGCATTGAGTCCTACATCTACCTCCCAAGTATCATACTGACCAGTTCCATCACCCTCAAAGTCCCATGTGCATCCGGTTTGAGGTCAGTCACTACATTTCTCCACAGCTCCTAGTAACTATGCACTCTTTTCAGTTCACATTGTTTTAACCTTCACAATTTGTCATATGAATAAGTCCATAAAATATGAGTTTAAAAGTGTGGCTGTATCATTTTTCATCACAACTAGCAAGGAGTGAGAATTCCCGTTGTTCCATATCCTCTCTTACATTTGGCATTTTAGATTGTCAGATTGCAGTCATTCAAATAAGTATACATTCCAATTTTTTTTGTTTTTTGTTTGCATCTCCCTAATGACAAATGACGTTATATGCCTCTTTGCAATGGGTGTACCCTCTTGGGTAAAATGTCTGTTCAAATCATTTGCATCTTTTAAAAAACGAATAGACTTCATTTTTACAGCATTGTTAATCCAAAAATACAAAGAGAAAACCTCTTCAAAAGTACAGAGAATTCCTACATATCTACACCATCCTCCTGCCCTGCCCCATGTGTGCACGCACGCGCGCGCGCGCACACACACACACACACACACACACACACACACACAGTCTCCTATTATTTACATTTTGTATTATTATGGCATGTTTGTTACAGTTGATTTGACCTCCACTGATGCCTCATTATTAAGTAAAGTCCACAGTTTACATCAGGACTCACTCAACATTGGGGATGCTATACGTTTTGATACGTGTGTAATGGCAAGTATTCATGATTCCAGTATCATACAGAGTTGTTTCACCATCCTAAATCTCCTGCGTACTCCACCTATTTATCAATCCCCCATGTCCTACCCCCAACCCATCAGCCCGTGGAAACTACTGATATTCATAGTTGCCTGTTCAACAATATTGTATGAGTGGAATCATACATTACGTCTCCTTTTTAGCTATTCTTCTTTCACTTAGCAATATGCATTCACGATTCCTCCAGGTCTATCTCACTAACAGTGCCTGAAAGTTCCTGTTGTTCAACATGCATGTCAACATTTGATGTTTCAGTGTTTGGGAATTCAGCCATTCTCCTGGGTGTAGAGTGCTATCTCCTAGGTGCTTTAATTTGCAATTCTCTAATGCCATATGACATTGAACAGTTTTCTTATACATGCTTATTTTCCATCCCTATATAGTTATTCTTTGGTGGGGTGCCTGTTCAGACTTTTTTTGCCCATTTTAAATTGGGTTTCTGTTTTCTTATGATTGGGTTTTCAGAGTTTTGTGCATATTAAAATACATATCTTTTATCAGATATATGTATCAAAGAATACTTATCCCTTTCTCTTGCTTGTCTTTTCATTATCTTAGCAGTATCTTTTCACAGTGGAAGTATTTAATTTTATTAGAGTCCATTTTTTCTCTTTATCTTAGATTGCTGGTATTTTTAGTGTTTCATCTGAAAAATTCCTCATCACACCCAAGGTCACCTAGTGTTTGCACCCATAAGTTTGACCAACATTTAACATTGTGATAAAATGCTTGTAAAAATGGATCATTTCCCCATGGACAAATGTGTGAGGAAATTAACTGGTGAAACATTTTGGGAGAAAGCCCTCAACATTATAAAAAATACAAAATATTCATACTCTGTTCACACTCACTCAGTTTTCACATTAATATGCATTCCTTATAAGTAATTGTATGCATTTATCCCAGAATTTATGCTTAAATATGCTGATTGTATTTATTATAGCTGCAAAAGAGAAGCACATGTGTGTTCATGAGGAGGAGATTTGTTCAGTGTGTTAATGCAAGAAATAAATGGGAATTCTAGGGAGTAGGTCCGAAAGTAAGATAAATGTATATGTGCTGTGAGGCAAAGATTTTGGATCCATTTGAATAAGTGAGTATATTGGTTTGTTAGGCCTGCCATAGCAAAGTACCTCAACCTGGATGACATAAACAACAGACATTTATTGTCTCATAGTTTTGGAGTCTGGTAGTCAAAGAGCAAGGCGTTCACAAGGTTGGTTCCTGCTGAGGGCTGTGAGGGAAGAATGTTTTCCGGGCCTCTCTCCTTGCCTTGTAGATGGCTGTCTTCAATCCATACATGCTCACATTGTCATCCCTCTACTCATATCTCTATGTCCAAATTTCTCTTCTTAATAATGACTCCCATGATATTTAATTAGGGCCAGCATTAATAACCTCATTTTAACTTGATTGCCTCTGAAATAATCCTATCTCCAAATAATGCCACATTTTAATATAAACGGAATTTAACCTATGATAGTGCAAAGGTAACTCACATATCTATATGTATATCATTACCCATGTATAGTTATATTTATAGACACACATATATTAACATATATGTAATCTCTGTGTGTGTGTTTCTGTATTACCACATCTGTCATTTAAAATCTTGAAATCAGCTTCTAAAATTTACACACCACATTGTTAATTGTGCGAACTTCTGAGTAAGAGCTGAATCTTGGAGAAACTTAACAAAGGGAAGAAATGTGGTTTCTGTGTATTTTTAGAATTTTTTGCAACAATAATATATGCAGTATTTATTTGTGAGAAAAGCATTAAAGTAAGCCTAAGAAAAGGAAGAGTAGTGGTGTAGTAGTCAGATAAAGTAATAGTAAGCTGATGAAATGAAAAAATTTCCTGAAATTTACATAGCCTAACATGTTTAAATTCCGATTTTAGTTGACAGCGTGTTATGGGCTGAGTTCCACCTCTCCCTCCAAAGGCATATATCCAAGTCTTAAACCCCCAGTACCTCAGAATGTCACTGTATTTGGAGACAGAGCCTTTGAAGAGGTAATTAAGTTAAAATGAGGTCTTATTACTAGAGTCTTATTCAATATTACTGGTAGGTGTCCTCATAAGAAGAGGCGATTAGGATACAGACACACAGACCAAGGGACAACCATGTAAAAATTCAGTGAGAAAGTGGCCATCTGCAAGTCAAGGAGAGGCCACAGAAGAAATCAACTGGCAAAAATCTTGTTGTTGGATTTTTAGCCTCCAGAAATGTGAGAAAATACATGGGTGTTGTTTAAGTCACCCAGTCTGTGGTATGTTGTTATGGTATAATAAACTAATACACAGTGAGTCTTGGCTCTCACATTACCCAGGTATCCTAGCTGCTTTCAACTTGTAGCTTTACATCATAACAGATGTTAACTGCTGAAAAGAAACAAAAGCATTGGAAGGATACACTGGCTTCTGTCTAATTGCAAATGAACCAATCAGGAAGACAAGTTAGACAAGAAGGAGATTGGCAATTGTAATGTCTCACATAAGCCATTATGGTGCGCAATTAAAAGCACCTATTATAATTTATGACAGTAAGTCTTTTAATTTCTTGGAATTGTTTATGAGAAAGCCAGCATTGCCTTGAAATGTTCCCCTTTTTATTGCACCTACTAGGTGATTGGCGGTTTCAAAGAAAGCATTACAACAATAGGTTTTAAAACAATTCTGTAAGTCTTGGCAAGGAGGTCAACCTTATTCTCTCAGCACTTTACTGCACTGTCCTTTTTATAACAAACATGATTTCTTTAGGCTGAGAATCCTCTCATGCCTTTTGGTGTATATCCTACCCTGAGAGCCTCTGCTACCCTTCATATAACTGAACATTCTTGAACAACTGCACATGTGCCTGTGGCGCACTGCAAACCAGGATTTTCCTGTGCGGCAGGTATGCAAAGGACAATGGAAAGATGGTCAACCATTGTTTCCTTTGCTCATCAGAGCTAGCCAAGGAACCATTGTCACCTCCTAGGCAGTATTCAGGATTTTGTTATTTTTCTATTTTTCAGAAATTCAACTCCTTGTCATTTATTTACAAAGTGATTCCCATAGTCTCATCTCATATACCAAGTTTATGAAGGAAGCTTTGGCTTTTGACCACCTAGTATAGCTCATTCATCTGTGTATCTCTTCAGTGGCCTGTTTCAAACAATGTTACTACAAATATCATATATTAAAATCCTAATACAAATATCAAATATTAGGATGATCTCAAAAACTCTCTTACCCTAGGATTACATGTCTAGAATCAGTATATTATGTGGCAAATCAGATTCTACTCACCACCCTATGTGGGAGTATTTTGAGAGTGTTTGAAGATGCCCAGAATAGATATGGAATTGTCACTATCCAAACTGAAAATTTACATCGAATTACTTTTATCACACAGGAGCCGGCAGGGAGGGATGGATCAGTCAGGGAACTTCTGCAGGGATGAGGAGGCGTCTATGTCAGGGGAAGGACTGCGATTCTGGGCTGTTCACTGGAAGCGGCGCACAGCCTTCACAGAGAGATTGTAGGGACGAGCTGGTCAGCAGGACAGGTTCCAGAGTTACTCAAGAGAGCACACAGGAGAGATCAGAAGGAGGATGCTGTTAAGTGGGAAAGTGCTGAGGCTGGACAGTCAGCTCTCAAGAAACCTAGGGCTCAGAATAGGAGCAGGTAAACAAAGCCCACAATGATCCCCAAATTGTATTTATTCTCATTGTCACCATTCTTCTCCCAGACTACCTGAATACCTTGGACACAGGGTTCATCTTTATGTCATCTGAGAGATGATAGCAAGTGTGCAGAGAAGTGTAGCTTAAAACGCAAAGGCCTTCCTCAGGCTGGGAAGAGAGGAACAGTATGAATCAAGATGAATTCAGAGCAAGGCTCAAGTGCCAGCACTGTCACTTTCTAGCCGTGTGATCTTACTGAATTTATCAAGGACTATGAGCCTCAGGTTCTTCATCTATAAAAGGGGTTTCATAAGCCCTGCCTTAGAATTGCTGGATGTTTATAATGTGAGTAAAACACCTGGCACAGTGCCAAGCATATACTGGAATTTTAACAAATGGCAGTTGTTATCAATATGATTATAACCTCAAGGGTACCACTGTCTTTTATGAAAAATTTCACTCCTGTTTTATGATCCAAAACATCTCAGAGCATATTTAGCTGACTACGTCATGGAGTACCAACTCAACCAAAAATCTGGCTTCATAAATAAAACTCAGTACATTTTCTTTCCAAAATGATATACTGTATAACTTGGGTAAGTGGAGAATTACCCAAGTGGAATGCAACTCAATGATCCCGGAATTTGAGTCAAGGACCAACTCCTTTTTGCCTTCCCCAGTGCTCGTCGATCCAAAGCACTATTTTTATGTATCCTCCACTAAAAATCTAGCCCTTGCTTGGAGTTGCCCACATTAAATTCAAAATAACCTAATTCAGTGGCCTTTCCATGGAGTAGGCTCTGGCTCTCCCATGCCAGGTAAGTGAGTGCCAGCCTAGAGGCTTCTGGGCACCACTTCAAGGAATTATCACCACATTTCTCAGGAAACTCTTGCAGATGATGGGTATCAATCACCTAGTCCTTGCACTGTGTTCAAGCTCACCAGTTACAGAGCCACAGGACACCTTCCATGACTTCCCCAGGTGGATACTCCTCTCTGCTTCATCCTCCACCCAGAAGCAACTGCTCAGAGCAATTTTCCATTCCAGGCTCTTCCCTCACCCTCTGAGAGTCTGGTCCCTGCCACCACCCAGCTTCGTAACTACCACCTCCCAGAGAAGCAACTGCAGTTTTCCAAAGCCCCAAGCTGCCTTATCTCAAGACCTTTATACTTGAAGGCTTGCATCTGGAGTCTCACCTCCCCAGCCCCTTTTTAACTTGTTCTTTAGATTGTAGAGAACATCTTACCACCTTCTTAATATGGCTTCTGCTCCTAGACTCTACTGTTTTACGGGTAGAGATAAGTCATGCTTTTATTAGTATCCCCAATACTAACAGTGACTTCCACAAGCAAATACTAAAAGAATGTTCAGCAAATAAAGGAGTCAGTGGGGCTTTCTTTTATTAAGATTTAATTTCTGCTACTTTCTTCAACAAGCTAAGCAAAGCCAGGTATATATAATTTTCAAGAACAAAAGAATAAGCAGGACAAGGAAATGAAACTACTGACCACCCTTCAATTTTGTTCCACTATTTAACTGCTGAGTTATTGCACATTGTAAAAAAAAAAAAAAATGCCTATTACAATACCACACTACCCTGTTACAGATCACAAAATAAGGGAGAAGGTATTTCCATTTTTTTAACAAAATATCAAACTGTTACTCTTAAACCAGATAAAGAGCAATACATGTGCGACTAATATTCATAAATTAACACTCTGAAGCTAACTACCTGCTATTCAAAGGAAAAGCATTTAGAAAATACTGAAAAACAGGTAAATCTCTACATCACCCATATGGGACAGAAATGCAAAGAACACTACGTTCCTCGAGCCCCACCTGGCCCTCCACTACCTAGAACCTAAACTGCCCTGTTCAAACACAAGGGGAAGAAACTATCCTAGACTTCACTCAGAAAAGGAGACGTTGCTGGACATGACACTGAGGCTTTCACTGGCCATGACAGTGGCATCATCTGCGGTATCAATTGTGGCCTGGACTCTCTCTTCCACATCTTTCAAAGCATCCTTGTACCAGGATGGAAAGGAACTAGGAACAGTGTTGTTCAGCTTGGCTAAAAACTCTAGTACTTTCTTCTTGATGCTTTCTGAATGGGCTCTCGGACCCCACAGGAATTCATAATATGGAGGAGAACTGTGGGGCACCTCCCGATACTCCAGGTAATGTCCCTGCACCCAAACTTTAGTGAGGAGCTCCCTAGGCTCCCCATAGACGAAGTGCTCCCTCCCAGCATATACCCCTACTGCATTCAGCACTTCCCAGATGACCTCCTCAGAGGCACAGTTGCCCTTTATGAAGATCACACTCAGAATAATAATCAGGAGGCTGTTCTCGGGCATGCCCTCATCATCACTACCCTCATCGGTGAGGCCTACTGTGTTTGCAAACACACAGAAGTGGTCAGGGCCCACTTCTATCAGGGCAAGGCCAAAAAGAAGCTCCATGAACTCACGGGCTCTCTTGAGTATCACAGGAAAGTAATCTTTGTACTTGATGACAATCATCAGCATCTCTGCCTCTGTTACAGGCTCCTCTGCTTCGTATTTGAGGAGCAGGAACTCCACTAACTCGGCCACCTTTTCATCTAGTGTATATGTGAAAGAGGACTCACTGTCTGGCAGGCCCTGACAGGTGCCTGTATCCTCCCCTTTCTGGCTGCTGGACTCCTCACTGAATGAGCTCCATGAAAAAGAGGAGCAGCAGGAGCTCAGAGGACTCTGGGAAGGACCCTGTGGAGGACCCTGTGGAGGACTACTGGGAATGCTCTCGGTAAGATTTGGTATCACACCAGAGGGCACCTCCTCCTCCTCAGGACCACCAAGAATCAGAGAAGAGGATGTGGAGAAAGAAGAGGGGGAAAATACTAAGTACAAAGTGGAAGAGGCGGAGGAGGCTTCCTCCTCTTCCTCATCTGTGGGATGCTGTGCATCTACCCAGTCTTCTAACTCAACTGAGGTCGGGGAGTCGTTGTCAACGTTGCGGAATGGAACGCCTGGAACGGGAGGCATGACGACTTCTTCAGGAGCAGCAGGTAAACGTATCAACAGGGATATGGATGATGAGATCCAACAGGCCTGTGGAAGAGAGTGACAGTGTGAGTGGCCTCAGCTGAGAAACTCACCCATGATGGCTCTGACAAAGGCCACCTTACAGCTCTTCTTCTCTTAAGGTGGTGCTCTAGGGCCTCACAGGTCTCCTGTCTTCCTAGGGAGTTTGTCTGCTGGGAACCTGTAGGAGGATGTGGGAACACACCTCAGGGCACAGCTGGCAGGCAGAGCCTGAGACCCCAGGAGTGACAATAGGTGGGTAGGGCCGGGTGCTGTGGGGTCTCCTCTGTTTCTGGGGGTAGGGCCCTTGGTACACAGCCAGGGTGTGCACTCACCTTGACTCCTGGCACTGCCTGGGCCTCCTCTGCTGTGCTGACTTTAGGCTGTGTGCCTCACACCCAGTTCGTCACCACCTGGTTCCTGGAGCACCTGCAAGAGGAAGTGAGGGAGCCCCTCAGGCTAAAGACTGCAAGTAGGGTCTTGGGCCTGCTAGGGCTGACAGCTGGGGCTGGCCAGAATCCCAGAGCCTCATAGTTCTGGACTGCATGGCCCCCTCAGAATTTAATTAGCAACTTCACGGCTTCTCAGAGAGGGCCGAGCCTCCACCACTCTGCTGGCCTAAGGCAAAACCTCAGAGCAACCGCCACATCCCTGAGAGCAGTGGGAGGTAGGGCGGTGGCAGCCACCTCCCAGCACTCTACCATGGGGGCAGTCGGGGTAGCCTCACGTCCGTTCTGATGCACATGTGACTCCTCAGTCTTATCCCCAGCAGGGCCTGGGAATCTTCCCTCTGCCAACCAGAGGCAGCTCCCCGTGCTGACTTGCCATGGGACCCTCAGACCAAGGCCTCCGCCTCCCCTACGCCACTCACCCAGGAATAAGATGGCTGCCACCCCGCCTGAGCTGACTGGGGAGCTCTACGAGGGCTGATACTTGAGGAGCAGGGTGGGAATCTCTGGGAATCTGCCCTCTGAGGTGGGGGTTCCCCCAGCCCTCCTCAGTGTCTTCCTATTTATTCCCTAGAGGGCCGGCACCTCCTCCCTTCTTCTGGGGCCATTTCCCTGTCTGGGACCTACCAGTCTCACGGCAGCGCAGTACAGGCCGGGGTTTCTTCTCTCTATGGTGGGAGGTCCCTCAGTTCTTCCTCAGGGCCCTCACCCTGAGGACTGGCCAGGTCTAAGACTCTTCCCCCCGCTAACTTGATTCGCGCCTCCTCACAAATGCCTTCGATCCGTCAGATTCCCAAGATGGCCGTCGGGAAAGCACATCCGGGAACCCTGCCGTGGTTGTCCAGGGCTGACGCAGCGTCAATGTGGGGCGGGGCCTCCTCTCTGAGGAGGAACCACCCCCCACCTCTCTGCTTTTTTTCCATCCCTTCCTCCCCACCTCCCAGCTGCCCTCCAACCCTTCCTGCTCACTCCCTAAGCCTTGCGGACCTCTTCACTCCCACCTCCCCAGTCCTTGACACCCCACTCTCCTTTTTCCAGGGGTGTCAGCAGGGAGTGGCTTGGTGCAGTCTGCGCCTCCCCTCCGTGTTGGGAGGTCACCGTCCTTCCACATCTCTCTTGTTTTTTGGCCAGTTCTGGGACTTCTTTCTCTGCTTAACTGAAGCTGCCCTCCTCAGAGACAACAGCCTCCCCTTCTGCTGACTCTCAAAATGGAAGTCAGAAAATTGTACATCTGGGGACCCTGATGGGGTCCTCCAGAGCTGGCAGCAGGGACAGGGGAGGGGCACTACCAGTCATGGGTGTTCCCTTCCAGCCTTCCTGAGAGGCTGTGCCTGGACTCCTGATACTGCCTGGGATGCCTGACCCTGTGCATCTGAGTCTTTCACCTCCGAATAAGCCCCTCCCATCCCTGAGACCTGCAAGGTGCAAGAGAGGGAGAATCACATCCATCCACAGTGGGATAGGGCCTCCTAGCCCTAAGGCAGGCCTCCACTGCCCTCTGAAATGGGGTGGGAATGCCCCTCTGTCTTTCTCAAGGTATGACTCCTAAAAGAGCCTATACTCCTTCCTTCTCCTGTCCAGACAGCAACATTTGTTCCTTCGACCTCTAAATTCCATTCCAAGTTTTTCCACTTTACTGCTGTGAGTGAAATTAGTGTCATCTCTCCCATACCCTGTGTTAAAGGCTTCCTTATTGTTGCTTCTTTTCCTATCCTAGTCCCTGAAAAAAACCACTGTCTTTTCAGCAACCCGTGACCCTTTAAAAAACCAATACGTGATTAAAGTTTTAAATACACACATCAGATTTAACTAGAATGTGAAGTTATATGTATTTTGGAAAATGCATGGACTCCCATATCTACCAACCAAGTATCATACTGACCAGTTCCACCTGCCTAAACTTCTCCTGTGCATCCCTTTTGAGGTCAATCACCGCACTTCTACAAAGCTCCTAGCAACTGTCTTCTGTTTTCAGTTCCTATACTTTTAACTTTTCCAATTTGTCATATGATTAGCTTCATAAAATACTGACTTAAAAGTGTGCCTGTACTATTTTTTATCACAACTAGCAAGGAATGAGAATTTCTGTTATTCTATATCCTCTCTTACATTGAGTATTTTAGATTTTCAGGTTTTAGCCATTCTCATAAGCATGTATTGGAACCTTCTTTGGTTTTTGTTTGCCTCTTCTTAATGACATATGACATTGGTCATCTTTTTATATGCTTTTTTTCCGTTTGCTATATTCCCTTTCGTAAAGTGTCTATTCAAATCATTTGCATCGTTTTATAGATGAATAAACTTCATTTTTAGAGCATTGCTAATTCAAAAATACAAAGAGAAATCTTCATCAGAATTAGAGTTCCTACATAATCTACACCACCCGCCCTGCCCTGATTGCTGCACACACACACAAAGTCTATCTTTTTATTTACATTTTGTATTATTATGACATGTTTGCTACAACTGATGGAACTGTATTGATACCTCACACTTAAGTCCATGGTTTACATCAGGACTCACTCTTAACGATGGGGATATTATACATTTCGATAAGGGTGTAATGGCAAGTATTCATCATTGTATTGTCCCACAGAATTGTTTCACCATCTTAGAGCTCCTGTGTGTTCCACCTAATGAATCAATTCCCCTTGCCCCAACCCCAGCCCTCAGCCCCTGGAAACCAGTAATATTTTTAGTGTATTCATCATTGCATGTTCCAGAATGTGGTATGCTAGGAAGCCTTTTTAGATTTTCTTCTTTCATTTAGCAATATGCTTTCATGATTCCTCCAGGTCTATCCCACTAACAATGACTGAAAGTTCCTGGTGGTCAACATGCATGTCAACATTTGATGTTTCAGTGTTTTAGATGTCAGCCATTCTCCTGGGTGTAGAGCGCTATACACCCAGCATCGGGGAGGGGGGCCTCCTCTCTGCAGAGGATCCGCCCCCACCTCTCCACCTCTTTCCACCCTTTCCTACCCTCCTCTCCACCTCCATCCACTTTTTCTTGCCCACCTCCCTACTCCATTCCACCCATTACTGTTCACCTTCCGCCCCCTTCTACCGGTTCCTGTCCATCTCCCCACTCCCTCCCACCCTTTCCTACCCACCTCCCTACCCATTCCACCCATTATGGCTCACCTCTTCACCCCCTTCCACCCACTCCTGCCCACTTCCCCAACCCCTTCCACTTCTTCCTATCCACCTCCACGTGGCTGGCCCACTTCTTCCTGCCCACTTCCCTGCCTCCTTCTAGCCCTTCCTGCTTACCTTATGGTCCCCCTCCACCTTTTCTTTGTCACTCCCCAGCCCACCTCTTTCTTCCCACCTCTCTGCTCTCTCCTGGTCACCTCCTTTCTCCAGGTGTTACAGCAGGTTGTGACTGGGCGTGATCTGGGCCTCCCCTCCGTGTTGGGAGGTCACTGTCCTTCCACAGAATTCTCTTCTTGTTGAGTGGCCAGTCCTGGGGCTCCTCTCTCCACTTAACTGAAACTGCCCTCCTCAGAGAAAACTTCCCCTCCGGCAGACTCCCAAAATGGAAATTAGAAAGTTGTACATCTGGGGACCCTGATGGGGTCCTCCAGAGCTGGCAGCAGGCATGGGGGCAGGGGAGGGGCACTACCAGCCATGGGCATTCCCTTCCAGCCTTCCTGAGAGGCTGTGCCTGGACTCCTGAAACTCCCTGGGCTCCCTGCCTCTGTGCATCTGAGTCTTTCACCTCCGAATAAGCCCCTCCCATCCCTGAGACCTGCAAGGTAGAAGAAAGGGAGAATCACATCCATCCACAATAGGATAGGGCCTCCAAAGCCCATGGCAGGGCTCCGGTGCCCTGTGTCTGAAATGGCATGGACAAGACTCTGTCTTCCTGCAATTATTATTCCTGACGGGGCCTCAGAGTCCCTTCCCTTGCTGTCCAGAGACTATGATCTTCAGATCAAGGTTCCCATTTCCATGAGACCCCAAGCCAAGAGGAAGTGAAAAGCCCTAGCATCCCTGCCTGAGGGCCCTGCCCAAGGCCTCTCAGGGGTGAAAACAGGGGCTGGTTTTGTGTGTCCTTCTGTTTCTTGGAAGGGATGTCTCACCAGTCCTTCCTCTATGTCATCCTGGGGATGCCTGGAAGAGCCTGAGTCCCTTCCCCTCTCATGATCTGAAGTGAGACTCACTTGAGCACAGCCCTCTCCTCTTTCTACCCTCTAAGAAGTCAGGGGACACCACAGTGGGCCAGCATGCCCCAGGGCCTCCCATGGCTGACAGCAGGAGGGAAGCTGGATTCTGTGGATCCTCCTCTTTGTGGGCAGGGAGTCTCTGCAGTTCTCCCTCAGAGGCCTCATTTGACTACTGGTTGGTCCTGGGTCTCCCTGTCCTTCCCAGGATGGCAGTATGACACAGGGGAAAAATAATGTGACTTTACCCTGAAGAAAGCTGAACAAACACTACGTTGCCGTGGTGATCGAATTAACATCATCAGTGACAAATTATGTTTGTCCTATATATGGTGGGTATGACGTGGAATACTTGGGAACTTTTTGCACTATCTTAGTAATTTTTCCATACATCTAAAATTAACCTAAAATAACAGGGTTTTTTTTAATGTGATAATGTTAGCAAACTAGGTAAAATTTTATTTAACTCTTGATAGTAAATATTATACTTACCTGGGAAAATTTGAAACTTCTGCTTTGAGATTAGTAACCAAACTAGAATCCTGCTATCACAAATTTCTATTCAATTGTCTAATAAAGGTAGTAGCCAGTGAAGTAATATATAGCAGATATAAAAGCAGTAAGGATGTTAATGTAGAAAATAGTGTTTCCATGAGTAACAGATTATTAGACTGTTTATGAAAAAAAAAATCAGAATTAAAGATAAGCATCCTAATCTATAAATCAGTACATGTGCTTGTCAGATAAAAGATCACTGTACAAAAATGATTCTTGCTTTTTTTACAGGAGCAAAGAGTATGAAAAAAATGGTAAACAAAATGTAACTTGTAACATATCATACCAAAATATCAATTAAAATAAATTTACCAATAAAATTTAACAACTTCACAGAAAATCATAAGTGTAGCATTTAGGTTAATTGATGAACCCTACATAAATTTAGAGTTTTTTTAATTTTAATTTTTAATTTGGGGGTGTATTATAGGTGTATATTTTTATGGGTTACATGAGATATTTTGATACAGGCATGAAATAGGTAATAATTACCACAGGGTAAATGGGGTATACATCAATTTGGTATCCGTTGTGTTACAAACAATCCAATTATGCTGTTTTATTTACTTTAAATGTTCAATTAAATTATTTTTTCACTACTATCACCCCATTGCGCTGGCAATTACTAGGTCTTACTCATTGTTTCTATGTTTTTCTACCCATTAACTCTCCCCACTTTCTCCCCACCCTCACTACCCTTCTCTGATAAGCATCCCTCTACGCTCTATCTCCTTGAATTCAATCGTGTTGATTTTTAGCTCCCACAAATAATGAGAATATACAGTTTGTCTTTTTGTGCCTGACTTATTTCATTGAACATAATGACCTATAGTTTTGTTCATGTGCTGCAAATGACTGTACCTCCTTCTCTTTTATGGCCAAATATTACTCCCTTGTGTATATGTACTGTAGTGAACAGTGCTGCCATAAACATGGGAATGCGGATATCTCTTCAATATACTGATTTCCTTTCTTTTCTGTGTATAGCAAGCAATGGGATTGCTGGATCATACGATAGCTCTATTTTTAGTTTTTGGAGGAACCTCCAAACTGTTCTCCATAGCAGCTGTACTAATTTACATTCCCACCAACAGTATGCAAGTGTTCCCTTTTGTCCAAATCCTCACAAGCATTTGTTACTGATACTGAAGCGGGGCAGGGAAGTGCTGGGTAGAGGAGGGCATGGTCTTTGGCTAGGGCTGTACTCCTGGGCCTGTGCCCAGCAACCTAGGTGAGGACAGTCATGTCTTTCTTCCTGCCCAAATGTTGCATTTCCCAAGACCACCCTGGCCTGCCATGTCCCCATCCTGTGCCTATAAAAACCCCAAGACCCTAGCAGGCAGACACACAAGCGGCTGGACATGGAGAGAAACACATCTGCAGAAGAAGACACAAGTGGCTGGACATTGAGAGGACATCGAGGGGAGCATGCCAGCCGAAGAGCACATGACACACACGGGCCCACCAGCAAGCTATTGACCAGGAGAATGAGGTGGAGTTTGGTTGGGGCAGTCAGAGGAGAGCCCAGGCTGCCGAGCGGCCTGACTCCAAGGGAAAACCATCTCCCTTCTGGCTCCCCCATCTGCTGAGAGCTACTTCCACTCAATAAAACCTTGCACTCATTTTCCAAGCCCTCGTGTAATCCGATTCTTCCAGTACACCAAGGCAAGAACCCCGGGGTACAGAAAGCCCCATCCTTGCAATGAGGCAGGAGTCTAATTGAGCTATCATAAGCCGTCTATGGATAGCTAAACTAAAAAGAACCCTGTAACACATGTCCACTGGGACTTCAGCTATAAATATTCACCCCTAGACACTGCTGTGGGGTTGGAGCCCCACAGACTGACAGTCTGTATGCTCTCCTAGAGGTTTGAGCAGCGGGGCACTTAAGAAATGAGCGACGCCCTCATCGTTTGCCCTGCAATGGGGATAAGGAAACTTTACCCGTTTCATTATTCCTGGACTTTTGGATAAAAACTGTTATAACTGGGATGAGAAATCTCATTGTAGTTTTTATTTGCAATTCTCTAATCAGTGATGTTGAGTACCTTTTGATATACCTGTTTGCCATTTGTATGCCTTCTTTAGAGAAATGTCTATTCAGATGTTTTGCCCATTTTTAATCAGATTATTAGATTTTTCCTATAGATTTTTTCCTATGCCATTATTATATAGTTATATATCCTTGTATATTCTAATTATCAATCCCTTGTCAGATAGGTAATTAGCAAATATATTCTCCAATTCTGTGGGATGCATCTTCACTTTGTTTACTGTTTGCTGTGGAGAATATTTCTAACTTGTTGTGATCCTATTTGTCCATTTTTGCTTTGCTTGCTTGTGCTTATGGGGTATTACTGAAACAATCTTTGCCCAGTCACATGTTCTGGAGAGTTTCCCCAAAGTTTTCTTTTAGTAGTTTCATAGTTTGAGGTCTTATATTTAAGTGGTTACTTCATTTTGATTTGATTTTTGTATATAACAAGAGATAGTAGTACATGGTTTCAATCTTCTGCTTACAAATATGCAGTTTTCTCAGCACCATTTATTGAAGAATTGATGAACCCCTACATAAATTTAGGGTTTTTCTAATTTTAATTTTTAATTTGGGGGTACATTATAGGTGTATATTTTTATGGGTTACATGAGATATTTTGATACAGGCATGAAATAGGTAATAATTACCACAGGGTAAATGGGGTATACATTACATCAATTATGTATCCGTTGTGTTACAAACAATCCAATTATACTCTTTTATTTACTTTAAATGTTCAATTAAATTATTTTTTCACTACTATCCACCTAGGAATTAATTTAACCAAATAATTGAAAGATCTCTATTATGAAAACTATGAAACATGCAGGAAATTGAAAAAGACAAGCAAGAAGTGAAAAAATATTTCATGTTCATGGATTTCAAGAATCAACATTGTTAAAATGTTCATACTACCCAAATCAATCTACATATTTAATGCAATTCCTATAAAACTACCTATGACATTCTTCACAAAAATAGTAAAAACAACCCTAAAATGTATATGGAACCACAAAAGACACAGAATAGCCAAAGACATCCTAAGCAAAAAGAACAAAACTAGAGGAATCACATTACCTGACTTTAAGTTATACTACAGAGTTATAGTAACCAAAATAGCATGGTACAGACATAAAATCAGACAAAAATAGATGAGTAGAACAGAATGGAAAACCCAGATATAAATCCATGCATCTATAGTGAATTCATTTTTGACACAGGTGTCAAGAGTATACATTAGGAAAAGGAGAATGGTGTATCCATTTTTCTTATTTCAAGTTAACATGAGGCTTGCAAATACTATCTTATAACCCGTTATTTTAAACTGATAACAACACTGTTTGCATAGACAAACCAACAAACAAGCAAAAAGGAAACTAATAAAAACTGTACGCCTTAGCTTTATCCCCTTGCTTTTTAACTTTTTGTTTGTTCTATTTACATTTTATTTTACTGTCTGTGTCTTGAAAATTTGTCGTTGTTATTATTCTTGACTGGCTCATCATTTAGTCTTTCTACTTAGAATAAGAGTAGTTTGCACACCAGTTACAGTGTAATACTATTCTGTGTTTTTATGTGTACTTACTATTACTAGTAAGTTCTGTACCTTCAGGTGATTACTTGTTGCTCATTGACATTCTTTTCTTTCTGATCCAAGTACTACGCCCTTTAGCATTTCTTGTAGGACAGGTCTGGTGTTGAAGAAATCCCTCAGCTTTTCTTTGTTTGGTAAAGGCTTTATTTCTTCTTCATGTTTGAAGGATATTTTCACCATGTGTCCTATTCTAAGGTAAAAGTTTGTTTGTTTGTTTCCTTCAGAACTTTAATATGTTTTGCCACTTTTTCCTGGCCTGTAAGATTTCCACGGACAAGACTGCCGTCAAACACGTTGGAGCTCTGAGATATGTTATTTGTTTATTTTCTCCTGCTGCTTTTAGGATCCTTTTATTTTCCTTGACCTTTGGGTGTTTGATTATTAAATGCACTGAGGTAGTGTAGTCTTTGGGTTAAATCTGCTTGGTGATCTATAACTTTCTTGTACTTGGATAGTCACATCTTTCTCTAGGTTTTGGATGTTCTCTGTTACTATCTCTTTGAATACTTTTTCTACCCTTATCTCTTTCTTTTACCTCTTCTTTATTGCTAGTAACTCTTAGGTTTGTCCTTTTTGTGGCTATTTTCTGGACTTCGTAGGTGTACTTCGTTGTTTTATTCTTTTTTTGTTTTCTCCTCTAACTGTATTTTCAAATAGCCTTTCTTTAAGCTCACCAATTCTTTCTTCTGCTTGATCAATTCTGCTTATAAAAAAACGATGCCTTATTCAGTATGTCAGTTGTGTTATTCAACTCCAGAATTTCTGATTAATTGTTTTGAATTATTTCAATTGCTTCGTTAAATGTATGTGATATAATTCTGAATTTCTTCTTTTTATTATATTAAATTTCTTTGAGTTTTCTCAGAACTGCTATTTTGAATTCTCTGTCTGAAAGATCACATTTCTCTGTTTCTCTAGGATTGGTCCCTGGGTGTCTTATTTAGTTTATTTGCTGAGGTCATGTTTTCATAGATGGTTGTGATGCTTATGGATGTTCATCTGTGTCTGGGCACTGAAGAGTTAGATATTTATTACAGTCTTTGCAGTCTAGGCTTGTCTGTATCCATCATTCCTGGGAAGGCTTTACAGATATTTGAAAGAACTGGGGTTTTGTGATCTAGGCCATATCTGCATTAGGTGCACCCCAAGGCCAGTAGCACTGGGGTTTTTGCAGACTCTTAGGGGTATCATCTTTCTCCCGACCAAATGAAGTCTCTCTGTGTGGAGCTGCCTGGAGCTGGGGGTGGGTGACACAAGCTCCCCTCTGGCCACCATCACTAGGACTGTGCTGGGTCTGATCTGAAGCTAGCACAGCACTGGGTCTTGCCCAAGGCCCACTCTAACCACACCAGGCTATTGCCTATATTTTCTCAAAGCCCTGTGGTCTACAATCAGCAGGTAGCAAAGCCAGCCAGACTTGTGTCCTTCCCTTTACGGTGGTGAGTTCCCACAGGACCAGGGCAGGTCCAGACGTGCCACCTGGGATCCAGGAACTAAAAGCAAATACCTTAGAAATCTTCCTGGTGTTTTATTGTACTGCAGTTGAACTGGGACTCAAACCATGAGACACTGCCTTTTCCACTCTTCCATACCTTTTTCGTAGGCAAGGGAGCCTCACCTCATGGCCATTACCCCGACTGCCAGGCTACCGCTGATTTTCCCTGAAGGCCCAAGGGCTCTGCTGTCAGCTTGCAGTGAATGCTGCCTGGCCTGATACTCACTCTTCAGGGAAGTGGGCTTCCTTCTGGCCCAGGGCCTGTCTAGAAATGCTGTTCAAGAGCCAAAGCTTGGAATTGGAGACCCTAAGGTCTCCTGTTTGGTGCTCCTGTTTGGTTTTAGAGCTCCTGTTTGGTGCTCTACCTCTTTTTGGCCAAGATGATACCACAGGTGTAATACAAAGATCCCTTTACTTTTCCCTCTGCTTTTCTCAAGCAGAAGCATTCTCTCCTCGTAGCCTCCACAGCCGTGGATGTGCTGAGTCTCACCTGAAGCTGGCAAGTCTCAGAGTCTCACTCAAGGCCTATGGTGTACTACCTGGGTAATGCTGCTGGTCATTCAGAACCCATTCACCACCTTTACTCAGCAGGTGGTGGATCCTGCCAGGACTGGATCCTTTCCTTTGCTGGTTTCCTCTGGACCAGGGTTTGTCTTGAAATGTCATTTGGGAACTTGCGCCTGGAATGGGGGCCTCATGACTCTGCCCAATTCCCTATTCTACTGTGTCTGAAATAGTATCCAAGATGCATGACAAAGTCCTATTTGGTCTTCCCTCTACTCTCCTCAAGTGGAAGGACGGGATCTCTTTTGGGACCACAAGCTGTGCAGCATGGATTTGAGGGAGGAGTGGAGCAAGCCCTCCTTTAGCCATCCTAGCTGATGTCTCAATAGCTTGCATTCCCCCTAATGCCACTGGCTCTTGTCCCAATTCAGCCATAGGACTCCCCTAGGAGTTGTAGTCCCTGTGGCTTGGACTGCCTTTCAAGTTTATTTACAGCCCCAGAGCACTTTAGCCTATGGTGGCAAGGCTTGCTGGAACTCAAGTTCCAGCTGTTGGGATGGCCATTCCCCTCTGGAAAGGGCTGGTTTAAATATTTTCTCTGTGTGCAGGCATCAGTGGGGTTCAGCCTAGTTTTGCTTTCTGCTATGACAGGACAGCACTGAATTCAATGCATTGTCTCACATTTGTTGTGCTCACCCTCTCCCAAGCACTCAGATTCTCCCCACGCCACACAGCCACTGCCTAGAGATGTGGGAGCAGTGATGTAAGTAATCCAATACTCTTTCCTATCTTCTTCAATGCCTCTTTCAGCAACACAAAGTTAAAAGCAGGTACTGTGAGTGCTCAGCTGATTTTTGGTTCTTATGAAGGTACTTTTTTTGTGCAGATAGTTGTTAAATTGGTATCCTTGCAGGGGAGATGATTACTGGAGCCTTCTACTCCATCATTTAACTCTACTCTTCTCCCCTACAATAATTTAAAACTATATATGTACATAGATATTAAAATTCCCTATTGATATGGTTTGAATCTGTGTCTTCACCCAAATCTCATGTCAACGTGTAATCCCCAATGTTGGAGGTGGAGCCTGGTCAGAGGCGATTGGATCGTGGGGGCAGATTTCTCATAAATGGTTTAGTATCATCTTCTTGGTACTGTTCTCAAAATAGTGAGCTTGAACTCAGTCTGGTCATTTAAAAGCGTGTAGAAACTCATTTCTCTCTCTTTTCCTCCTGTCTGGCCATGTGATGTGTCTTCTTCACCTTCAGCTTCCACCATGATTGTAAGTTTCCTGAGGCCTCTGTAGAAGTCAAGCAGATGCCAGCATCATGCTTGCTGTACAGCCTGCAGAACTGTGAGCCAATGAAACCTTATTTCTTTAAAGTTATCCAGTCCAAGATATTTATTTGTAGCAATGTGAGAACAGCCTAACACATATATTGTAAATATGTTAGTTCTCCTGAAGATTTATCTACAGTTTGATTGCAATGCCAATTTTAAGGAACCAAACTTTGTATGCAAATGTGTGTGTAAACTTAATATGATGATTCTAAAATTTAAAGTTATGCCTATGGTCGAGCATAGCCAAGACACTCTTGAGAAAATAGAATCTAAAAGCAGCAACTTTACCAGAGAGTAGGGATTACTAAAAAGTTATAATGGGATTTTGTGGTTTAGGCACAGGCGTTGAGAAACAGACCACTGGAAACTAATAAGGAGTCACCCAAAACACCTTCTTATGTACCTATACTAGATTGTGACAATAACGTGTTTATCATAAAAAATTTAAAACCTACATAAAATTATATAGAAAAGCAAAGTGGACTTTCTTATATTCTATCATGAAGAAAGCCAGTATTGTGTTCTCACTTATAAATAGGAGTTAAATAATGTGTACCCATGGATGTAGTGTGTAGTATAACAGGCAATCGAGACTTAGAAGGGGAACAGAGCGGGAGAAGATGGATAATGTGAAATTACTTAATGGGTACAATGTACCTTATTCGGGTGATGAATACCCTAAATGCCCTTATTTCACCACTATTAAATCTCTGCATGTAACAAAATTGCATTAGTACCTCATAAATTTATACAAATGAAATAAAAGGAAGTCACCATTATGGGCCAATTAGGGGATCAACAATGCTGCATGAGGAAGGATTGGAATCATCTGGGGCACTGATTCCAATCAGTCAAGTCAGTAACAGAAGGAGTGGAGATGATGTATGGGGGAGGAAGAGGGGAATTGGCAGCTCCTCTTGACCTTATTCTCATACATAGATGGCCTTACTACCTTTATGAATCTTCATTTTCAAAGAGCAAAAGCAAAAACTTAGTGCTGATTTGGGATCAAAGCAACCTGGGCCAATGATATGAGGCCAATGACCTCCCAAACTACCAGTTGGGATGATGATCTTTGGAGCTCTGGGGATCCAAGAAATATAACGTGGACAATACTGTTCCAGGAAAGCATGACAGGGTAACGTTGTTCTGACTACAGACACCTTGAACAGGCCCAAGAACACTTTCCTGACTGGGAAGTGGTGACAGATTGCCCACAGGTGATGGAAGTAGAGGCCTACCTCCTTCCGCATTTTGGCTAGGGAGATTCCAGTGATGGTAGGGTGAACTCCTCTTTTTCCAGCACAACACCAACCAGAAATCTGTCTTGGAATTGGAGGTTAGAAAATACAAAAAAATTCTCACAGTAATCTATGAAAAAGTTAATCATGGCTTAATTTATTTCTATTAATATGAAAGGTGGCAAGATTTTTATTGATGACCTTTATTCCTCTCCTTTCCTTTACTTCCATCTAATCCATCAAAGGATTCTGTTCCATTAACCTCTAAAATCCATTCCAAATCTATCCATTTCAGTCAATTTTCATTACCACTGCTGTGATGAAGCTACCATCATCTCTCAAATAAACTATAGCAATAGCTTCCTTACTGGTGCCTCTTTTTTCCAGATTTACCCTTGTAAAACCCATTCTGCTCAAAGGAGTCAGGGATCCATTTAAAAATGTAATCCCTGGTTGATTTTTTAAAAATTGCATACATGAAAGTTTACTGTAACATGCAACATGAAAGTTGTATGTATTTTAATAAATGTATAGATTCCTATATCTACCACCCAAGAATCATACAAAACATTTCCATCAGCCTAAAATTCCCCAGTGTGTCCCCTTTGTAGTAAAATAGTATACCCTCCTCACTCCCTAACCCTGTGGTTTTTGGTGTACTTATAGTTGTACTTTTTTCCAGAATATGCTATAAACAGAATCATACAATACTATCTTCCAAGAGGCTATATTATTTTTTTATTACAACCAACAAGGAATGAAAGTTCCTGAATCACTATATCGAAGGAACACCTACACTCCGTGTTTATTGCAACACTATTCACAATAGCCAAGATGTGGAATCAATCCAAGTGTCCATCAATGAATAAATGGATAAAGAAAATGTGGTACAGATACACAATGAAATACTATTCGTGCATAGAAAAAAAAAATCCTGTCTTTTGCAGCAACATGGTTGAAACTGAAGGTTATTATGTTAAATGAAATAAGCCAAGCACAGAAAGATAAAGTTCTCATTCATGTGTCGGAGCTAAAAATGTTTATCTCATGGAGATAGAGAATAGAATGACAGTTAATAGAGGTTCAGAATTGTCATGGCAAGGGGGCTGAGATTGAAGAGAGGTTAGTTAATGGGTCCAAACCTACAGTTAGATAGAAGGAATCAGTTCTGGTGTTCAATAGCACAGTAGGGTGACTATATTTAAAAACAATGTATTGTAGTTTTAAAAATAGCTAGAAGAGAGAACTTAAAATATACCAACACATAAACATGATAAATTGGGTGATGTGAGCTCTGTAATTTTGTTCTTTTACTTCAATATTATGTTGGTTATTCTAACTGTTTGCTTTTTCATGTAAACTCTAGAGTATTTTGATGTCTAAAAAATAACTTCCTGGAATTTTGATTGGAATTTCATTGAATCTATGAAGAAATTTGGGAGCAGATGACATACTAACAACATTGGGACTCCTAAATCATGAAAATGGAATAGCTCATCATTTTTAAAAATCTCTTTTCAGTGGTTTTTTATGAGTGTGTTTTTTTTGTTTCCCACATAATAATATAATTTGGACAGAATATAAGAGTTTCCATTTTTTTCCACATAGTCAGGTGCATGTGTTTTTCTTTGATAATAGACATTCGTTGTTGTTTTGAATTGAATTTCCCTGATAACTAGTGATGTTGAGTGTTTTTTCATATTTTTTTTCATATACCATTGGCCATTTGGATGTCTTCGTTCAAGAAATATTTACTCGGATTCTTTACCTATTTTTCAATTGTATTATTTGGTTTGTTGCTGTTGAAATGTGTGGGTATTTTATGTATACTCTTTATTAATCCCTTGTCAAATGGATAGTTTGAAAATATTTTCTCCCATTTTGAAGATTGTCTCTTCACTCTGCTGATTATTTTCTTTGCTATGTAGAAGGGTTTTAGTTTGGTGTAATTCCATTTGTCTATTTTTGTCCTGGTTGTCTGTGCTTCTGCAGTCTTATCCATAAAAGCTTTGCCAAGACATTTTTCCTGAAGCATTTCTTCTCTGCTTTCTTGTAGTAGTTTTCTAGTTTGAATCTTACATTTAAGTTTTTAATCCAGTTTGAGTTGATTTTTGTATATGGTGAGAGATAGGTTGTGTAGTTTCATTTTTCTTCATATATATATATATTCAGTTTTCCCAGCACAAGTTATTGAAGAGGCTATCTTTTCCCTAATGAATTTCTTGGTGCCTTTGCCAAAAACTATTTGGGTGTAAACAAGTATATTCTCTTATTTCTTCTATGGGTTTTGTTTTAGACAGTTTTTACTTCTATTTTACTATTGACGGAGAGTTTTGCTGTGTATAAATTTCTAGGCTTGTGTTTTCTTTTTCTTTCAACACTTTAAATATTACATTTTACTCTATTCTTGCTTGCATGATTTCTGACAAAAGGTCCTCTGTAATTCTTATCCCTGTGTCACTATAAGCAAAGTTCTCTCTCTCTCTCTCTCTCTCTCTCTCTCTCTCTCTCTCTCCTCTCTCTCTCTCTCATTCCTCTTCTGGGATTTTTTTTCCTTTTGTTTTCTCTTTGATTTTCTACGAAAAGAGTCTAAATAGAAGGCTGTTGCTGTAGTCCAGGAGTGAGAAAGCATGGGCCTGACCTGGAATAACATTAGAGAAAAAGGGAAGGAGGCAGAAGTGGCAAAATATATTACCACTGCTTGTATCTGACCAGGAGAACAGAAAAAAAGCTCTCAAATGATGTTAAAACTTGGACCTGGGAAAATTATCAACCTGTCAGATCACGAAAGTTTCACCATAAAATAGGTCTTCACTGAAGGCCTGTGTTATTCAGGAAAAAGATGGCTTCAGTTTGAGACACAATGTCTGGGATGCATGGCAGGTCATCTGCAATCTCTATTGCTATGTCCTCTCTCTGGTAACTGAACCTACAGTGTAGAGTAATATGGTTACAGACACGGGACCTTTACTCAAAATACACCAGTTTGAATCCTAGCTCAACAGTTTACCAGCTCTGTGATCTTGGGCAAGTCGGCCAGTCTCTCTGTGCCTCAGTTTCTGTATCTATAAAACTGAGAAAATAATTGCATATATTTCATATGGCTGTTGTGAGGATTAGATGTGTACGCACACACACATTTATGCAAACATATATAAATGCATCTCTAAAAATTAATATATATACATGTATAACTACATTTATATATTATACATAAAAATGTATATTTAATGTGATATATATTTATTATCTTTATATGTAACTATGTATAACATATGTTATATATTAAATTTTTATATATACATGCATACATACATGCAACATTGTATTCTCATACAAAACCTCAGAGAGTTCCATGTTTATAGGATGTGGTACTATATTCATAAGTTCTATATTAATATAATGTGTATATATATATTTAAACAGGATCTGGGATATTTTGAGTTTTTCCTTTTATTCATTATTATTGTCTCACACAGCTTCAACTACACTGTTTCTATTTTGAGATTCATAAGTAGGACAGGGAGAAAGAAAACGTCTCATTGAATAGGAGGGAAAGAGTATTAAGGAAGGGGAAGGAACCAGCTGAGAAGAGCAGTACAAAATAATGCAGACAATCCCAGGAAAGTGAAAAGACAGTGAACGATGTTGAACTTGGAAGTTATAAAGTTTTCAGAGACTTCAGTAGAGCAATATAAGTAGAGTAATGCGGATAGATAGAAGTCACATTTCAAAAGGGTCAGGAGGAGGTCTGCATCAGAAAATTAGTGAAAAGAAAGCACGGTTTTTCTTTTCATGGATTTTATCCTGAGAGTGTGGATTAATCCAAGGAAATTTTTTATTATTTTGAAAAATAGATGGTTGAGAATTATTTTAAGAAGAGCCAAAGGGCCGGGCGCTGTGGCTCATGCCTGTAATCCCAGCACTTTGGGAGGCCGAGGCGGGTGGATCACGAGCTCAGGAGATCGAGACCATCCTGGCTAACACGGTGAAACCCCGTCTCTACTAAAAAATACAAAAAATTAGCCGGGCATGGTGGCGGGCACCTGTAGCCCCAGCTACTTGGGAGGCTGAGGCAGGAGAATGGCGTGAACCCGGGAGGCGGAGCTTGCAGTGAGCGGAGATCGCGCCACTGCACTCCAGCCTGGGCGACAGAGAGAGACTCCGTCTCAAAAAAAAGAAGAGCCAAAGAATCTGATGACATAAGAAGAATGGTAGAAAAGGAGAGCAGAAAGAGAAGGCAGAGGGGTGAAAATCACATGGAGGACTTAAACTTGCAAAGTGAAGTAAGAGGGGCCCAGAGCTTCTTAACTAGAATCTGAGAGTGAGGTGGACTAGGACTTCAGAAGAATGACGGAGATTTGGCAACTGCAACTGAGGAAAGAAGAGAAATACTCAAAGAGATCAAATTAAAGACTAGTTAAGAGACAGAACGGTGGTCTAAACGGTTTAAGCACAAACACCAAAATGACCCATGGGAATGGAATGCATCTTCTTGAAAACAGTGCTTTGGGCAAGTATCGATTTAATGCCCAGTTTTTCATATATTGGTTTGACAAGGTCGCATTGCTTTCTGTTTTTAAAATATGCTGGTGAAAGTCATAGAATATCAGTTATAAGCAAACAGACTACTAGGGTTTACTCTTTCTAGTTGAAGGCCATGTATCATCCTAGTGAAAAGGATAACTCTAGAGCATGAGTTTTTATCCTGGGATCTGTGGATGGAATTCAAAGAGGTCCTTAACTGGGGTGAGGAAAAGGGCATACATCTTTGTTTTATTAACATTTACTTGAAGTTCAGCATTTCCTTCCAATATGAATATAGGCAACTAAGCAATCATATTAGCAAATGTGTGATTTTTGTCTTCAGTAGAAATTATAGGCATTTTCATATAGCTGTACTGGTATTACAGATATCTCAAAATATTATTCACTTTCATTGTTACTTTGGAAGTGCAGTAGTTATTTGATCTGTCCCTAGATCTTGTTATTTAAAACATTACTAAAGAAGCACATGTTACTATATCCTACATTTATTTTTAAATAACTAAAATAAAATATACATATTATTTTTCCTTTGGAATCTGATGTATTTTATTTTATATACTTACAAGTATTATTCTTAGAAGGGTTCATAGGCTATACCAGATCTTCACAGTTAAGAAAAGGACAAGAAGCACTGAATCTACTGTTCATAGAGACTTGGCTGGCAATCCTGACTTCCTATTCCTAAGTGTGTAAAGTTAGGGAAGTTATTTAATCTCTTTTTATCTCATTTTCGTCATATTTTCAAGAGATGAAATTGTCATAAATGTACTTCTTCTCAGATTTGTTCCTAAGCTTACATAGCAGTCTGTATATTAAGTGTCTCTCACATAGAAAATACTCAAGGGTGGCTGCTTTTTTTTCTTTATTACTTATCCCATGGGTGTACAATCTCTTTGTTTGCTCCCCTGAGCCACGTTGTGTCTTGGGCCACACATATAATACACTAACATTAACAATAGCTGATGAGCTAAAAAAATAAACTGCAAAAAACCTCATAAAGTTTTAAGAAAGCTTACAAATTTTTGTTGGGCCACATTCAAAGCTGTCCTGGGCCTCATACATCCCAGTTGGGTAAGCTTGACTTATGCTATACGAGTGGTTCTCAAATGTTGTTTCGCAGACCACTAGCTGGCTTCGGGCTTATGTGGGGGGTCCATTTAACCTATGGGTTAGTCTCTTGCAGTCCTAAATTCCTGAATCAGAATATGATTTTAAAGTTGTTACTTACCCTTTCTCAAAGCCATGGTGGTGGCTAAATTTCCTCTTTTTAAAAAGGGTCTGAAGAACATTGCTTTATTATCACTTCTACTGAGACGGTAGACGGTCTAACATTGCATACAGTTCAGCTCAGTGATGCAGTGATTTATTTCATTTTTTTACATCTCAATTATATGTATAGATTATATATATATATTCATATGGAGTTATATGTCCAAATATTGTATTTCAGTGACCTTCTGTGTGTGTGTATATATACATATACATATATACATACCTATATGTACATATATACATACCTATATATGTATAAACATATATACTCACTCTATGCATTTTTCACTCCAATATTTCTATTCTATTCTTTTTTATTTAAAATTTTTTTAAGACAGATACTTAACCACTAAAATAGTTTGAAATTATTATTATTATAGTCTCTGGAGTCTTACTGCTTGAAACAACCAAATCTTTCTTGACGTTCTGGTATTACCCAATGGCTACTGGCATCTGAGTCTCAGATTCTGTCTTTATCTTTGAAATCAATCAGGGGAAGAAATAAGAAAACTTTCCTCCTACCTATCCTGTCTCATGCTTTCTTCTGTAGTGTAAGTACTCTCACTAACTTTATTGCAGCATCTCACTTCTCCCACCACAAACACAAGTTCAACACAGTGTCCAGTTTCTTGGAGGAGTTTCTCATGCTTTATTGTTTTGATTTTGCTGTACATATACACACACACATGCACACACGTGTGTGTGTATATATATAGATATGTATACATACACACATGCATATATATATATATATATATATATGTATATATACACACATAATAAATTTCTCCCTTCTACAGTTCTCCAGGGTTGATTTTAGGAGCAGAAGACCACAGCCTGAACTTGATTATCATCTTGGCAGCTACAGGTAAGATACTAAATTTATAAAGAATTTAAGGTTAATTGATATTGTGATAATATTCTGTTCCCAATCAATATATAGGCTTAGTGATTGCCTTGAGGATGATAATTGAAATGTAAATTTATAATAATCTAGTTGGATTAATACCAACTTAACTGTAATAGTATGCAAAATTTTTACCCCTGCATAGCTTTATTTCCTCTCCTCCTTCATGAATTTATTGACATACAAATTGTATCTTCATATACAGTGTACACATCAATACAGATTTATATTTATTGCTTTATCAAGCTGTCTTTTAATCACATAAGGAATTTTAAAAGTTGCAAACAAAATCTACATGTATACTGTCTTTTATATTTACCTGTGTTGTTACCTTTACTGGTGTTCTTTGTTTCTTCATGTGGATTTGATTTACTGTATAGCGCCATTACATTTCATCCTGAAGGACTCACTTTAATGTTCCTTGTTTGACATATTTGCTAGCAACAAATTCTCTCAGTTTAAAAAAAAATATTTGGGAATATTTTTATTTCTACTTCAATGTTGGAGGATACTATGTTGGATATAGTATTCTTAGCTGGTGGCCGTTTTCTTTCAGCATCTTGAACAAGTCATCCCAGTGCCTTTAGACATCTTTGGTTTCCAAATGAAAATCAGCTGTTAATAATGTTGAAGCCTCCTTTTATGTCCTGAGTTGTTTCTTTGCATGTTATCTATTTGTCCTTTTACATTATGTTAATGAAATTTCTAGGTGTGGATCTTTTAGGGATTATCTTACTTGTAGTTTTTTGAGCCTCTTTAATGTGAAGATTGATTGTTTTAACTAAATTTTTAGTGTTTTGGGCCTTTTTTAAAAATACTCTGTTAATTTATCTTTCTTCTTGTGCAACTCCCAGTGTTATGCTGCATGATTGTATCTCACTGATCTCTGAGGTTCTGTTTATTTTCTTCACTCTGTTTTCCTTCTCTCCCTCAAACTTTACAATCTCAATTTTCCCATGTTCAAGTTCACAGGCTTTCTTCTGCTGTTTCTTTTTTCTGAGAGCCTTATGTGAATTTATTTTAATTATTTTGTTTTTCAACTCCAGAGTGTCTGATTTTTTTTCTTAAATAGTTTCTATCTCTTTTTAAATGTTCTCTGTTTCATGAGTTATTTCTGTCATACTTTCATTTGGGTCTTTAGGGATGGTTTTATTTACTTCTTTGCATATAGATTAAATAGCTGGCTCAAAATCATTGTCTAGAACGTCCAACATCTGGGTTTCCTCAGCAACCGTTTCTATAGATTTTTTAACTTTTTTCTTATGTATTGGCCATACTGTCTGGTTTCTTTTTGTGTCTCATAATTTTTGTTGAAAATGTAGCATTTTAAGTAATAAGATGTCACGAATTTGACAACAAGATTCTACTTTCTCTGCAAGATTTTTGTTGTTTCTTTATTGACATTTCTGAATTAATTTTGTAAGATTTATATTCTTTGTTATGTGTAGGTATTGAAGTTTCTGCTCAGTTAGCTTAGTGATCACCCAATAATTGAAAACAGGTGTTTAAAATGCCTGCAACCAACAAGTCCCCAGTCTTTGATGAGGTACTCAGTGTGCATATTTGGCTGGGACTTCTCCACTTAGGTAGTTTACAAATCTGCTTTAGCCTTGAATTCCTGCTTGTACTCAGAGACTCATAGTAATAAGATGTGAGAGTTTAGGGTCTTCTTAAGTGTCTTCTGAGCATGCACACATACACCTATGTACATGTATGGCCTTCTAGATCCCCATAAATACGTTAGTGTTTATCAAACTCCGATGTACATCTTATTCCCCAGCTATTTCTTTAAACTTTTTGTTTATTGTTTGGCCTAAATTATTTTTCACTGCCTTAGGTCGCTGTGGAGTTAAACAATCACCCATAGAGGTTTCAGACAAATGCCCTCAGGGAAAGAACTTTTTCCACTGTGTGAGATCTGATCTCACTGGGTGTGAGATCTTTCAGGGAATCACCACATAGTTCAATTAATGACAAACCTCTGGGAATGGATCTTTAAAGTAGCTTCAACCCTGTTCTTTCCCCTCCCACTAGCTTCCAAGCTGCTGGTTTTCACTATGATTTCAGGCTATTGATATTTATTTTACTCCGAAGCTGGAGAAGAGGGGTTGAAATAGGACAAGTTACAATGCTGTTATAAATAAAGTTTCGGTACCACAAAAGAAATAGCACTTGAGGATAAAATTTTCTTTTTTTCTTCTCAGCAAGGCAATGTACTTCTATAGAAGGGTGCGCCCTCACAGACGGAGCAATGCTGAGCACACACCTGGGCAAGGGAGGGGAAGGGGTTCTTATTCCTGATGCACGTGGCCCCTGCTGCTGTGTTGTTCCCCTATTGGTTAGGGTTAGACCGCACAGGCTACACTGATTCTGATTGGCTAATTTAAAGGCAGTGACGGGGTGAGTGGTTTGGTGGGAAAAATGGTTATTGCAGAGCAGGAAATCAGAATGAGTCAGGGTGGGGAATGAGTCAGGGTGGAGCAGGTAATCGGAATGAGTCAGAGTGGAGCAGGTGATCGAAAAAGGTTGCTTTACAAGGAATTTAAGTTTAAAAGTAGAAGGCAAAGAATTGAACATGGGGACATATTGATTCTTTGACGAGAAATTTGGAATTCATATCTATCAGTACCATTAAACTCATCTTCTTACTTAGATTCAGTCATATTCATTTAATAAACACTCCCTGGATTTTTCCAATCCTTTGGTTAATCTATGGAGTTCTGAAAATGTCAATTCTGACCATTTATGTTAGTGTTCTCTTTGCGTTTATTAATGAGAGTGTTATTGGAAAGGGATCCTGATCCAGACCCCAAGAGATGGTTCTTGGACCTTGTGCAAAAATGAATTCAGGTCAAGTCCGTAGAGTAAAGTAAAAGCAAGTTTATTAAGAAAGCAAATAAATAAAAAAATGGCTACTCCATATGCTGAATAGCAAAATGGGCTGATCAACTAAGAATACTTAAAGTTATTTATTGATTACATGCTAAACAAGGGGTGGATTATTCATGAGTTTTTTGGGAAAGAGGTGGGCAATTCCCAGAACTGAGGGTTCCTCTCCTTTTTAGACCATATGCGATAACTTTCTGACGTTGGCATGGCATTTGTAAACTGTCTTAGCACTGGTGGAAGTGTCTTTTAGCATGCAAATGCATTATAACTCACTTATAATGAGCAGCGAGGATGACCAGAGGTCACTTTCATTGCCATCTCGGTTTTGGCGGGTTTTGGCTGGCTTCTTTACTGCATCCTGTTTTAATGGCAAGTTCTTTGCGACCTGTACCTTGCACTTGTCAGGCCTCTGAGCTCAAGCTAAGCCATAACTTAGTATTTAGTGGCTCCTGGTTTTACCTCAAATCGCCACCCTTAAGTCTCTCTTGAAGTGGATAGAAGATCTTCAGTGGCAAGCACCACCTACCCCTTCTCTCTGTGTCCCTACCCACCCCTTCTCCACTTTCCTGGGGGGCAAACACCTCCCACCCCTTCTCCACTTTCCTGGGGGGCAAGCATCCCCAACCCCTTCTCTCCATGTCTCTACTCTCTCTTTTCTCTCCACTTTCCTGGGGGGCAAGCACCCCCCACCCTTTCTATGTGTCTACCCTTCTCTTTAAACTTGCCTCCTTCACTATGGGCAACTTTCCACCCCCCATTCCCCCTTCTCCCTTAGCCTGTGTTCTCAAGAACTTAAAACCTCTTCAACTCTTGCCTGACCTAAAACTTAAATGCCTTATTTTCTTCTGCAATACGGCTCGGCCCCAGTACCAACTCGACAGTAGTTCCAAGTAGCCAGAAAACGGCATTTTCGATTTTTCCACCCTACAAGATCTAAATAATCCTTGTCATAAAATGGGCAAACGGTCTGAGGTGCCTGATGTCCAGGCATAGTTTTACACATCGGTCCCTCCCTAGTCTCTGTTCCCAATGCAACTCGTCCCAAATCTTCCTTCTTTCCCTCCCGCCTGTTCCCTCAGTCCCAACCCTAAGCGTCGCTGAGTCTTTCCTCTCGTCTTCCTTTTCTACAGACCCATCTGACCTCTCCCCTTCTCCCCAGGCTGCTCATCGCCAGGCCGTGCTAGGTCTCAGTTCTTCCTCAGCCTCTGCTCCCCCACCCTATAATCCTTTTATTACCTCCCCTCTACACACCTGGTCCAGCTTACAGTTTCATTCTGCGACTAGCCCTCCCCCACCTGCCCAGCAATTTCCTCTTAAAAAGGTGGCTGGAGCTAAAGGCATAGTCAAGGTTAATGCTCCTTTTTCTTTATCCGACCTTTCCCAAATCAGTTAGCGTTTAGGCTCTTTTTCATCAAGTATAAAAACCCAGCCCAGTTCATGGCCCGTTTGGCAGCAACCCTGAGACGTTTTACAGCCCTAGACCCTGAAAGGTCAGAAGGCCGTCTTATTCTCAATATGCATTTTATTTTATTACCCAACCTGCTCCTGACATTAAATAAAGCTCCAAAAATTAAATTCCAGCCCTCAAACCCCACAACAGGACTTAATTAACCTTGCCTTCAAGGTGTACAATAATACAGTAGAGGTAGCCAAGTAGCAATGTATTTCTGAGTTGCAGTTCCTTGCTCCACTGTGAGACAATCCCCAGCCACATCTCCAGCACACAAGAACTCCAAACGCCTGAACCACAGCTACCAGGGGTTCCTCCAGAACCTCCTCCCCCAGGAGCTTGCTACAAGTGCCAGAAATCTGGCCACTGGGCTAAGGAATGCCCGCAGCCTGGGCTTCCTCCTAAGCCATGTCCCATCTGTGCAGGAACCCACTGAAAATAGGACTGTTCAACTCACCTGGCAACCACTCCCAGAGCCCCTGGAACTCTGGCCCAAGGCTCTCTGACTGACTCCTTCCCAGATCTTCTCAGCTTAGTGGCTGAAGACTGATGCTGCCCGATAACCTCAGAAGCCTCCTGAACCATCACAGATGCTTTCGGTAACTCTTACAGTGGAAAGTAAGTCCATCCCCTTCTTAATCAATACAGAGGCTACCCACTCCACATTACCTTCTTTTCAAGGGCCTGTTTCCCTTGCCTCCATAACTATTATGGGTATTGACGGCCAGGCTGCTAAACCTCTTAAAACTCCCCAACTCTGGTGCCAACTTAGACAATATTCTTTTATGCACTCCTTTTTAGTTATCCCCACCTGCCCAGTTCCCTTTTTTGGTTGAGACATTTTAACTAAATTATCTGCTTCCCTAACTATTCCTGGACTACAGCCACATCTCATTGCCACCCTTCTTCCCAACCCAAAGCCTCCTTCATGTCTTCCTCTCATATCCCCCCCACCTTAATCCACAAGTATAGGATACCTCTACTCCCTCCTTGGCAACAAATGATGCACCACTTACCCTCTCATTAAAACCTAATCACCCTTACCCAGCTCAATGCCAATATCCCATCCCACAGCATGCTTTAAAAGGATTAAAGCCTGTTATCACTTGCCTGTTACAGCATGGCCTTTTAAAGCCTATAAACTCTCCTTACAATTCCCCCATTTTACCTGTCCAAAAACCGGACATGCCTTACAGGTTAGTTCAGGATCTGTGCCTTATCAACCAAATTGTCTTGCCTATCCACCCCGTGGTGCCAATATACTCTCCTATCCTCAATACCTCCCTCCACAACCCCTCTATAACCCATTATTCTGTTCTGGATCTCAAACATGCTTTCTTTACTATTCCTTTGCACCCTTCATCCCAGCCTCTCTTCGCTTTCGCTTGGACTGACCCTGGCACCCATCAGGCTCAGCAAATTACCTGGGCTGTACTGCCGCAAGGCTTCGCGGACAGCCCCCATTACTTCAGTCAAGCCCAAACTTCTTCTTCATTCATTACCTATCTCAACATAATTCTTCATGAAAACACACATGCTCTTCCTGCTGATCGTGTCCTGCTAATCTCCCAAACCCCAACCCCTTCTACAAAACAACAACTCCTTTCCTTCCTGGGCATGGTTGGATACTTTCACCTTTAGATACCTGGTTTTGCCATCCTAACAAAACCGTTATATAAACTCACAAAACCAAACCTAGCTGATCCCATAGATCCTAAATCCTTTTGCCACTCCTCTTTCTGTTCCTTAAAAACATCCCTAGAAGCTGCCTCCACACTAGCTCTCCCTTACTCAGCCCAACCGTTTTCATCACACACAGCCAAAGTGCAGGGCTGTGTGGTTGGAGTTCTTACACAAGAGCCAGGACCACGCCCTGTAGGCTTTCTGTCCAAACAACTTGACCTTACTGTTTTAGCCTAGCCCTCACGTCTGCATGCGGTGGCTGCTGCTGCCCTAATACTTTTAGAGGCCCTCAAAATCACAAACTCTGCTCAACTCAGTCTCTACAGTTCTCATAACTTCCAAAATCTATTTTCTTCCTCACACCTGACACATATACTTTCTGCTCCCCGGCTCCTTCAGCTATACTCACTCTTTGTTGAGTCTCCCACAGTTACCATTGTTCCTGGCCTGGACATCAATCTGGCCTCCCACACTATTCCGGATAACACTCCTGAACCCCATGACTGTATCTCTCTGATCCACCTGACATTCACTCCATTTCCCCATGTTTCCTTCTTTCCTGTTCCTCACCCTGATCACACTTGGTTTATTGATGGCAGTTCCACTAGGCCTAATTGCCACTCACCAGCAAAGACGGGCTATGCTATAGTATCTTCCACACTTATCATTGACGCTACTGCTCTTCCCCCCTCCACTACCTCTCAGCAAGCCGAACTCATTGCCTTAACTCGAGCCCTCACTCTTGCAAAGGGACTACCCATCAATATTCATACTGACTCTAAATATGCCTTCCATATCCTGCACCACCATGCTGTTATATAGGCAGAAAGAGGTTTCCTCACTATGCAAGGGTCCTTCATCATTAATACCTCTTTAATAAAAACTCTTCTCAAGGCCGCTTTACTTCCAAAGGAAGCTGGAGTCATTCACTGCAAGGGCCATCAAAAGGCATCAGATCCCATCACTCAGGGCAACGCTTATGCTGATAAGGTAGCTAAAAAGCAGCTAGCATTTCAACTTCTGTCCCTCATGGCCAGTTTTTCTCCTTCTCACTGGTCACTCCCACCTACTCTCCCACTGAAACTTCCACCTATCAATCTCTTCCCACACAAGGCAAATGGTTCTTGGACCAAGGAAAATATCTCCTTCCAGCCTCACAGGCCCATTCTATTCTATCATCATTTCATGGCCTCTTCCATGTAGGTTACAAGCTGCTAGCCCGCCTCTTAGAACCTCTCATTTCCTTTCCATCATGGAAATCTGTCCTCAAGAAAATCACTTCTCAGTGTTCCATCTGCTATTCTATTACTCCTCAAGAATTTCTCAGGCCCCCTCCCTTCCCTACACATCAAGCTCGAGGATTTGCCCCCGCCCAGGACTGGCAAATTGACTTTACTCACATGCCCCGAGTCAGGAAACTAAAATACCTCTTGGTCTGGGTAGACACTTTCACTGGGTGGGTAGAGGCCTTTCCCACAGGGTCTGAGAAGGCCACTGCAGTCATTTCTTCCCTTCCGTCAGACGTAATTCCTCGGTTTGGCCTCCCCACCTCTATACAGTCTGATAGCGGACTGGCCTTTATTAGTCAAATCAGCCAAGCAGTTTCTCAGGTGCTTGGTATTCAGTGAAACCTTTATATCCCTTACAGTCCTCAGTCTTCAGGAAAGGTAGAATGGACTAATGGTCTTTTAAGAACACACCTCACCAAGCTCAACCACCAACTTAAAAAGGACTGGACAATACTTTTACCACTTGCCCTTCTCAGAATTTGGGCCTGTCCTCGGAATGCTACAAGGTACAGCCCATTTAAACTCCTGTGTAGATGCTCCTTTTTGTTAGGCCGCAGTCTCATTCCAGACACCAGACCAACTTGGACTGTGCCCCCAAAAGCTTGTCATCCCTACTATCTTCTGTCTAGTCATACTCCTATCCACTATTCTCAACTACTCATAAATGCCCTAATCTTGTTTACACTGCCCATTTACACTGTTTCTCCAAGCCATCACAGCTGATATCTCCTGGCGCTATCCCAAAACCGCCACTCTTAACTCCCTTTTAAAGTAAATAAATAATCTTGGCTGACAGGGCTATGCTGAACCTCCTTAGGGACTCTCTAATTGGATGTCCTGGGTCCTCCCAATTCTTAGTCCTTTAATACCTGTTTTTCTCCTTGTCTTATTCTGTTCTTTTTTCAATTCATACAAAACCGTATCCAGGCCATCACCAATAATTCTATACGACAAAAATGTTTCTTCTAACAACCCCACAATATCGCCCCTTACCACAAAATCTTCCTTCAGCTTAATCTCTCCCACTCTAGGTTCCCACGCCGCCCCTAATCCCGCTCGAAGCAGCCCTAAGAAACATCGCCCATTATCTCTCCATACCACCCCCAAAAATTTTCGCTGCCCCAACACTTCAACATTATTTTATGTTATTTTTCTTATTAATATAAGAAGACAGGAATGTCAGGCCTCTGAGCCCAGGCTAAGCCATCATATCCCCTGTGACCTGCACCTATACATCCAGATGGCTTGAAGCAACTGAGGATCCACAAAAGAAGTGAAAATAGCCTTAACTGATGACATTCCACCATGGTTATTTGTTTCTGCCCCACCCTAACTGATCAATGTATTTTGTAATCTCCCCCACCCTTAAGAAGGTTCTTTGTAATTCTCCCCACCCTTGAGAATGTACTTTGTGAAATCCACCCCCTGCCCGCAAAACATTGCTCCTAACTCCACCGCCTATCCCAAAACCTATAAGAATTAATGATAATCCCACCACGCTTGCTGACTCTCTTTTTGGACTCAGCCCGCCTGCACCCAGGTGAAATAAACAGCTTTATTGCTCACACAAAACCTGTTTGGTGGTCTCTTCACATGGACACGTGAGACAGTACTGACCTCCTGTCTCATCCTGTGACATAGAATGCCTAACCTCCTGGGAATGCAGCCCAGTAGGTCTCAGCCTTATTTTATCCATCCCCTGTTCAAGATGGAGACAATCTATTTTGAATGTCTCTGACAAGAGGATTTCCAGAGTTCCTTTTTTCACCATTTTTACCCACAAGTCTGTCTATTTCAGTTTTTTGAAAAATAAAAAATAATCACTTTCTTTGATATCCTGCATTGAAGTCATTTTTTCCTTAAAATTTTACATAAGGTTTTAATTTGGCCACAATTTTTATTTGTACTTTGTGAAACTAAAACACTTCAGAGCAAAGCAACTCCCTGCGAGGTAACAGGAGCCATGCTTCTCTGAGTGCAGAGTAGAAAAAATGGCCAGAATATATTTCCAATAGACCTCTGAGCAGCCACAAAGAGATAGAAGAATATCTAGCTAAGCAGTACTTGACACCCTGGCTTTCACAGATTCTAAGCGTGCTGTTCCCTCTACCACTGTCCTTTGAAATGCTAATTAGCAGATTAACCACCTTTCACAGATCTTTAAGTACTTTTTCTCCTTAATTTAAAGGTCTTTGTTCTGTGAGATCTAAAACTAAGTCCATGACAGACTCAAAAAATTCACACTTCCTCTTGTTGCTTTTGGGATGCATTTGTTTATGTAAAGGTTGGGGCAGATGTCTGCCTAGAGTTTAAAACAGTTGTAGCCACTTCCTCTGAAAAAGTTTCCTAGCCTCTCAAGACTTTTGTTCACTTTCACCTCCCCAACACATGCTTGCATTGCACTTGGTTATACTCTGTACCTTTTACTACCATTTAAAAATTATCATTTTACTTTTCAGTATTCCCTGGTAGACCATACATTTTTCCAGGTCAGTGGTTATATTTGGTTTTAATCAATGCCCTGAGTATAGTATAAAGTCAGTAAATGACTGTTGATTTACTCCTTCATTGATTAGTTGACTTAAAAAATAGATTTATGAAAGACATAACAATATTTTTGATATTATATTGACAAAATAAAACTCTTCTGACTCCCAGAAATAAAATTCAATTAAAATAATGTCTGACTGGCAATTCTGCTTTGCTTTAGCTGTTATTTAAAAATTTCAAAACTAGAAGTGTTGGAATTTGAAGCAAGGCAACGAGAAAATATAAAACACTTAGAGCATAATTGATAGTTGAATTTGAAACAAAGCTAAACTTTTTTTTTATGAGACAGAGGAAGACATAGACAAAGAAGAGAGAGAGAGAGAAACCAGCAGAAGAGGAAAGAGAGATAACAAATAGATTCCAAATTTAGAGGGGATGGAAATGAAAAGAGAAATAGAAGAGAAACAAAAATGGCTTTAAGTACTTTACTTTAATTTTTAATATTTATTGGTTAGTCATCATTTTAAATTGATTGATGTCTTTCAAAAGTATTTCTATTAACAGTTTAATCTTAAATGTGACAGAATTAGTTAAAACGTACATGGTATAGCTATTGACAAAAGTGTCTTTAAAATCTGGAAAAGCTGATAAATAGAGTGTGATATTAAGACATCCTGAGTACAAGACAAATGTTCCCATGTCTCTTAGCTGTGTCACATCAAATGGTATGTACTTTTAAAAATGTCATTGTTTTATTCTTAATTTATTCTGAAACTTAAAAGAGGAATTCCTGACTCCAAAACAACAGAGAAAAAGCTATATTCTTCCTCAAGCCTAGTTTTATTGTACTGCTTGTGTGGACTCTTAGTCCATTTGGCTCTGGAAGTTGAACACATTCCTACTGATATTTACATGAAAGCTCTTAAATTCTAAGAATTGATTGAGGAAGGGGGACCAGTGTAAACAATGATACTGTTACATGGCAGAATAGGTATTATGAAATGCATTTGCCAAACTGAAATAGTATGAGTTTAACAAAGCTAATAATTACTTCTGAGATCCAAACTGCATGTATGTACCCATGTGTACACACTTTTACGGATGTATTGGCAGGGGGTATGAAAGAGAGCTTCTGAAGTAGGCATGAAAGAAGGCAGAAACAAATATAATTTATAATTTAATTTGCCTGACTTTAAGTTCCTTACCCTTTTGTGCAAAAGGTGAGACAAATACAGAAATGACAATATTAACTGTGCCAGAATATAATGTGAATCAAGATAAACTATAAAGGACAGTGTAAGATCAGAACAGACAAGAGTATAACATCTCCATGGGGACAGAGAGAAAGTTTAATAAAAGACAGGAGTTAGCACTTGGAGTTAGGTAGCATGAAGTGGCCCCATCACAGCATTGTTATTACTTTCTCTAGCAAAGTGCATCAGCCCCAGGTGCTGTACTACAGTAAAATGTTTCTTATGTTTGGAACTCTTTTTTCTAAAAAGCTGATGTAGGAAATTGCCTGTTAACCTCCTCATAGGTTTCTGCAAAATATTGAGTAGATGTAGATAGGAATAGCTTTGCAACTCCTCTTTGCCACCTGCAATATAAGGATCTGAGCCCATTTGACTATAAAACTCCCAAGTACACTTCCTTTCCGTTGTAGCACTTATAAACGAATGACACAGAGGTTTCCCCCAGGTAATTCTGTTTCTTCAAAATTGCTTGGTTGACATGTTATTCTTCCCTCCTTCTCCTCAGAGTTCTTGTGAATTTCTCAACTGGAAGACAGGGACTCTTTACGTAGTTAAATCTGAATACTTATTAGACACTTGGGAGGGGCAATGAAAGAGCTTTTGGGAAACTGGTAATATTTTATGTCCTGATTCATCTTCTCATTGTATGAGTTATGCTTAGCTTGTGAAAAAAATCACTGAGTTTTTCACTTATATGCATATCTTACTGTGCTTTCTGTTGCTTATCACAGAATACCTGAAACTGGGTGATATGGTTTGGCTCTGTGTCCCTACTCAAATCTCACCTTTAATTGTATTAATCCTCATGTGTCATAGGAGGGACCCAGTGAGAGGTAATTGAATCATGGGGGCAGGTTTTTCCCATGCTGTTCTTGTGATAGGGAATAAGTTTCACGAGATGTGATGGTTTTATAAGGGGGGGTTCCCCTGTATACACTCTCTTGCCTGCCACCATGTAAGACATGACTTTGCTCCTCCTTTGCCTTCCGCCATGATTGGGAGGCCTCCCCAACCATGTGGAATTGTGAGTCAATTAAACCTCTTTCCTTTACAAATTACCCAGTCTTGGGTATATCTTTATTAGCAGTGTGAGAACAGACTAATACAGTAAATGGTTATCAGGAATGGGGTGCTGCTGTAAAGATACCCAAAAATGTGGACATGACTTTGGAACTAGGTAGCAAGCAGAGGTGGAACAGATTTGAGGGCTCAGAAGAAGACAGAAAAATGTGGGAAAGTTTGGAACTTCCTAGAGAGTTGGAGGGCTCAGAAGACAGGAAGATGTGGGAAAGCTTGGAACTTCCTAGAGATCTGTGGAACTTTGAACTTGAGAGAGATAATTTAGGGTGTCTTGTGGAAGAAGTTTCTAATCTATAAAGCATTCAACAGGTAGCAGTGCACAAAAGTTTGAAAAATGTGCAGCCTGATGAGGCTATAAAAAAGAAAAACCCATTTTCCAGGGAGAGATTCAAGCCTGCTGCAGAAATTTGCATAAGTAACGAGGAGCCAAATTTTAATCGCAAGACAATGGGAAAAATGTCTTCAGGGCATGTCAGAGGTCTTTGCAGCAAGCCCTCCCATCAGAGGCCTGGAGGCTTAGGAGGGAAAAATGGTTTTATGGGCATGTCGCAGGGCCCCCCTGCTCTATGCAGCCTCAGGACTTGGTGCCCTGCCTCTCAGCTGCTTCAGCTCCAGCTATGGCTAAAAGGGGCCAAGGTACAGTTCAGGCCATTGCTTTAGAGGGTGCAAGACCCAAGCCTTGGCAGCTTCCATTTGGTGTTGAGTCTGTGGGTGCACAGAATCAAGAATTGATGTTTGGGAACCTCTGCCTAGATTTCGGAGGATTTATGGAAATACCTGAATGTCCAGGCAGAAGTTTGCTGCAGGGGCAGGGCCCTCATAGAGAACCTCTGCTAGGGCAGAGCAGAAGGGAAATTTGGGGTGTGAGCCCCCACACAGAGTCCCCACTTGAGGTACTGTCCAGTGGAGCAGTGAGAAGAGGGCCACTGTCCTCCAGATCCTGGAATGGTAGATCCACCAACAGCTTGCACTGTGCACCTGGCAAAGCCGCAGACACTCAACACCAACCTGTGAAAGCAACTGGGAGGGGCGCTGTACTCTGCAAAGCCAAAGGAGCAGAGCTACGCAAGGCCATGGGAACCCACCTCTTGCATTAGGGTGACCTGGATATGAGACATGGAATCAAAGAAGATCATTTTGGAACTTTAAGGTTTAATGAATGCCCTATTGGATTTTGGACTTGTGTGAAGAAATTGTTTTGGCCAATTTGGAAAGGGTATATTTACCCAATGCCTGTACCCCCATTGTATCTGGGAAGTAACTCACTTGCTTATGATTTGACAGGCTCATAGGTGGAAGGGACTTGCTTTGTGTCAGATAAGACTTTGGACTGTGAAGTTTTGAGTTACTGCTGAAATGAGTTCAGACTTTGGGGGACTCTTGGGAAGGCATGATGGTGTTTTGAAATGTGAAAGGGACATGAGATTTGGGAGGGGTGAGGGTGGAATGATATGATGTGGCTCTGTGTCCCCACCCAAATCTCACCTTGAATTGTAATAACCCCCACGTGTGTGGGAGGGACTTGGTGGGAGGTATTTGAATCACAGGGGTGCATTTTTTTTTTAGCTGTTCTCGTGATGGTGAATAAGTTTCACAAGATCTGATGTTTATAAGGGGGAGTTCCCCTGCACACACTCTCTTACCTGCCACCATGTAAGATGTGACTTTGCTCCTTATTTGCCTTCTGCCATGATTGTGAGGCTTCCCTACCCACATGGAACTGTGAGTCCATTAAACCTCTTTTCTTTATAAATTACCCAGTCTCAGCCATGTCTTTATTAGCAGTGTGAGGACAGACTAATATACTGGGTAATTTATAAAGAAAAGGAATTTACTTTTTATAGTTTTGGAGACGGAGATGTCCACGGTTAAGGGGCTGAAGCTGGTGAAGGCCTTCTTGCTGGTGGGGACTCTTTGCAGAGTCTTAATGCAGTGTAGGCCATCACATGATGAAGAGGCTAAACATGCTAGTTCAGGCTTTTCTCCCTCTTCTTACAAAGCCACTGGTCTCACTCCCATGATAACCCATCAATGCATTAACCCATTAACCTATTAATCCATGAATTAATTTATCTATTTATAAGCACAGAGCTGTCAAGACTCAATTACTTCTTAAACGCCCCGCCTCTCAATACTGCCACACTGGGGATTAAGTTTCAGCAAGAGTTTTGATAGGAGACCAATACTTCAACCATAGCAGTACACTCTTCTATCTATAAATTATATTTCACCAAAAAGTTGAAAAGAAAAATTTATTAATAAGAAAACACCAGATAAAATATTATAAATATTTTAATTATAAAAATATAATTAATTCAGCCTTACTTCAGTGGTTGCTATATGAAGTTGTCAAGCCTATGTTTCCATTCTGCCAAAATTTAGATACAGAGTGTCCATTCGTGAATAAACAATGGCTAAATCCTTGGGGAACCTGTACAATGGGGCTTTTTGATTCCTTGTCATGCTCTTGAGAAGATTCACACAGAACCCATATTGTGTGGAGTTTGCTGCTAATGATGACTAGTTGTCTCTGCATTCTACAGACACACTGCCCCCAACTCCCAGGCCTTACAGGCCCATACACACACTTATTTCTGTCAACTATTCCAAAAAGTTGAAAAAAATGTTTCCTTTACCCTGTTACTCCATCTTGTCCCAACCTTTTCCTAGATGCCCTCCACTTGATCCTTTATTGAAATCTAGATTTTTACTTTTAGATCTACCAGAGGTCTTGTGTCTGCACCAAAGCAATTTGCTGGTGGCTCATCTCATGATAGAGAACTGTGGTGTTTGTCTACTCTCCACTGTAGCATTACGTTAGAAAAGAGATTTTGTATAGATTTGTGACATTTTGCTTTCAGTGCACATACGTCTAACTTCTTTGAAGCACTCCCTGCAACTCTCTTCATCCTTTTATTTTTCAGAAATCAGGACCTTCAGAGATGAAGTTTGATTACCCCACAGGTAGCTGAATATTTCATAATCAAATGCCCTTATGAATATTTTCTTTTATTATTTTTTTCATAGATAAGTATCAGTCTACATTAAACTTGGGAAGCAAATCATCCTTAAAGCAGCTATACAAATGAAAACAAAATTTTGGTTCACCTTGCACTTTCCAAAAGTTGTATATTCTTTTTGTTCTCCAATTTATACTTTGCATTGGAACTGCTGCCCCTCTTCCCCTGAAGTATAGCGACTAACACACAGCAGGCCCTCAACAAATGCCTGTTAAGGGTACGAAAGTTTTTCTCCTGTGCTTCTGACTTTGAATTCACTTTCTTTATTCCAAATGATGCTGAAAAACAAGAAAACTAAATAACCTTATCAGTGTGCTGAGAAGTGATCAAAATGAAGATAATGGAGAATATCATACTTTTATTTTTGGAAATCCCTGGGTAAAGAGCTTGAATTAGGGGAGGGATAGAAGGGAGAGTCACAAAGAATGTCTTGGTCCAACCAGTTCTCATCTCTACTGTTGCTGGTTTGCCTTGAGTTTTGGTAACTAGACTAGCAAATATAAAGATACCCCTTTCTGCATGACATTCATATGTGGCTTCATTTCAACATCATTAATATTTTATCACACAATATATTTATTTAAATGTGTAATTTTGGAAGCATTGCTGTATTTTGAATTACAAGTTTAATTGTCCTGGGAACATATATTCCCTGAAAAATAGGTTTGCACAATCTAATGAATGTTATGGAACAAAAAGGTTCTTTTGAGAAGAAAGATAAGAGCTGATATCCTTGTATTCAGACAAAATGCTTTCCAGTGCTTTGCAAATAATTTACTACTTTGCTTCAATCCTTATACTTTTTAACTTCTCTGCGGCGTTTGGCACTATGACCACCTTTTTCTTGCCGGCTACCCTTCCATGGTTTCCAAAATACTTCATTCTCCTATACCTCCTTCTACATCTCTGATAGTGTCTTCTCAGGATTCATCCGTGACTTCTCTAGTCCTCAAAACGTAAGCATTTCCTAAAGTTCTGTCTTTGCATTTTCTTTCTTTCTTTCTTTTTTTGAGACGAAATTTCGCGCTTATCACCCAGGCTGGAGTGCGGTGCTCTCTGATCCCGGCTCACTGCAACCTCTGCCTCCAGGTTCAAGCGATTCTCCTGCCTCAACCTCACAAGTAGCTGGGACTACAGGTGCCCACCACCACACCCAGCTAATTTTTGTATTTTTGGTAGAGGCGGGGTTTCACCATGTTGGCCAGGCTGGTCTCGAACTCCTGACCTTGGGTGATCCGCCCGCCTCAGCCTCCCAAAGTGCTGGGATTACAGGCGTGAGCCGCCGCGGCCAGCCTGCATTTTCTTTCTTATCCCTATGGGCATGTACCTGTTTATCACATGAGAGCGAGTATAGGTTTTATGTAAATGTCCCTCAAATCCATCTCTAGAGTAATTTCCTTGACAAAGCAAAATGAGTATAGTTGTGAATGAAGAGTGAGATTATTTGAGCTTAAGGTTAGAGAAATAAAGCCGTTTCAGGTGTTATAGGCTCATGAGCTATAATTTGCTGACCCCTTAAATAAGGGAGTGACCAATAATTAGTTGGTAGAATAACAAGGAGACTTAAAAGGTGATATAGCTGAATGCCATGAGCCTTCAAAAAGCAATGGTTTTTATATGACCATGGTTGAATACTAGTCTAGAAGTAGGATAAAGACACTTCTTGACCTTGAATTAGTTGGGGTATAGAAAACATAAGCATAATTTATTTTGAGAGGGCTTTAAGAAAAGTGATGAATACCCAGTATCAGTAAAGACAGGAGAGAATATCTAATAAAGAGGTTGAAGATGAGATTGTAAACCGCAGAATGGAGGTATGGATGGCAAGGTCAAGATTTCACTGAAGTCTTCTAAAGCCAATACCAATTCTATTTTCATTACCTTAGAGCTGAAAAACAACTTCTCATTAATTAAATGCTTTCAGTGCTTTGAAAGGTATGCATTCTTCTCATATTGCATCCTGAATATAATTCAAAGTCAGGTAAGTTCTGTCCCTGTTTTGATTTTTTTTAGTACCTTTGCAAGACTCTTTATATCAAGACTCACACAAGAGAAATTTGATTGTCAACGTTTGTTTATATACATATGTATATGCATTACCATACTGCATTCGCTGGCTATTGGTCAATTTGAAATATGTTTCATAATAATTATATAATTTATAATACAGCTTTATTTTAGAATGCATTAGAATTAACCCTCGAGTTCTATTCCATTCACTATGGTAACCATAAGGAAACCTGGCTTTAAACTTTTGGTAAGGTCCACAATGATTTATTATGCAAAACTACAGCAGGGCAAATTTTAGCTATAAAACGTGACCTTTTTAGTGTCCTATTTCCTGAAACATGGCCCAAAGTTATTTGATTTTCCACAGTTATTCAATATCATAAATTGTTGCTGTTCTCTTCAAATTGAAATGTATTGAGCACTGTTATTTTATTGTAGAGCAAAACAATAGCAAGCCAAATTGAATACAAACACGAACACATACATGCACAAACACACAAGCAGGGACATTTGTACAACACGTGCTCAGGGAATATCCTCCCAAGAAGAAAATCTCTGGCAAAGCTCTTATTTAGCTTCCTTGTCTTTTGGATACATGATTTAAGATATTTTCTCCATCCTATTCAATTCCGATAAGATTACTTCTCTTATCTCATGTGGCCATTTTTATCCCATAAGATGAATTTTCGTCCATCTGCATTATTTCCACCACCCAGTGGATTTTGTAATGATCTCTTTGTTTTATATCATTAATATTAATATCTACATGGTTTCAGTACTTTTTAATGTGCTAGGCACTGTGTTATCTTCTTTACACGTACTAATATATTCCTCACAACAGTTCCATGAATTACTTTAATTTTATGAGTGCAGAAACTAAGGCTCAGAGACAGCACATGGCCAGAAAATGCTGGGAACAGATTCTGAACTACAGTTTACCTCACTTCAAAGCAAACGTTCTTTCTACAACACTGAAACCCCAGTGAAGTTTGTAAAATGTCAAGCAATGCATTCTTCTTTTAGAATTATGATAAGGAAGCCATGAGAAGTGAAATTGTTACATAGCAAAATATTTAGAATAAGGAAAAATACAAATAAGGGAAAAGAAGAAAATAAATATTACTTGTAATTCCATTCCGCCAAAATAATTACCTTTACCAATGTAGTGTTTATTGTTTCAGATGCTTTTTCTTATATGTCATAATACAATATTTTAAAATAAAATGGTTATTTTATTGATGTATCCTGTGTTTTTCTCCCCATTAGTAACTAGTGAATATTTCTCAGTGTCAGTAAGTTTATGTTTGTCAGGTTAGATTTCAAAAAAAGCACATCTTTTCATTGTCTAAAAATAGTGTCAGTTTTTAACCAATTCTTCATTGTTGGATATATTCATTACATAAAATATTTTTAAAAATTTGTATTATTAAAATGATATGATCAAAATCTTAGTACATTATAGGTCTTTATACACCCCTAAGTATTATCTTATGATTACAAGAATGATTATTTATTATTCATTGGGATTCAACAATTTTGCATTGAGAGCCTTTGTGCTACCTGGTATGACACTAGAAGACAGAATAGGAGCCCCTGAAAAAGAGCACACTTACTTATATACAGAAACTTGATATATGACAGAAGTGACATTACGTATAACTGGATAGAATTGCTGAAAAAATTAGTTAGCATATAGAAAAATAAAATTAAAGTTTTCCTTAATACAATAACACAAAAATACCTTCCTGGTGGATTAAAGTTGTGTTTGGTAGTAAAGAAGAATCCCTTAAATAAAAACCTAAAAAACACAAACCGTAGCAGACAATATTGATAATTATGACTATAATGACATTTAAACCTTCTGTGTATCAAAAAAACCTTCAGAGTTAAATGTAAGCAAGGCTTTGTAAAAAAGCTCAATGAGAGTGACATCAGCAAGGTCGTGGAATAGGACTCTTCAGCTTGTCCTCTTGCAGAAATATCCATGTAAAAAACAATCAGCCAGGCACGGTGGCTCACGCCTGTAATCCCAGCACCTTGGGAGGCTGAGGTGGGTGGATCACGAGGTCAAGAGATCAAGACCATCCTGGCCAACATGGTGAAACCCCGTCTCTACTAAAAATACAAAAATAAGCTGGATATGGTGGTGTGTGTCTGTACTCCCAGCTACTTGGGAGGCTGAGGCAGGAGAATCACTTGAACCCATGAGGCGGAGGTTGCAATAACAACATGACATTCATATCTGGGCCTTCATTTCAACATCATTAATATTTTATTTATTAATCACACAATTTATTTATTTAAAAGTGTAATTTCAGAGGCATTGCTGTATTTTGAACTATAAGTTTATTGTCCTAGGAACATATATTTCCTGAAAAATAGCTTTGCACAAATAAGAACAAATGAGAAAAGACACATCGAAGATGGTAGGAAGGACCGTTTCACATTATCCACCTCACTCTTCGCCCATTCCAGGCAGTGAAATATGGAGAGAGATACCCTTTTATTGGGAGGAGAGGGAAATGAGCACAGGACATTGCCTTGGACCCCAACACTAGGTTTCCCCAGTAAAACCCAGAGCCTAGCATGACCTTACAGGCCCTGACTCTAGGATGATACTCACAGACTGAACTTCTAGGCCTTCCCTAATACCAGGCCAACACCTCAAACCCAGGCTCCAGGGTGACCTCACAGCCTCAGGTTTCAGGCTCACCCCAGAGGTCCCAGACTCAAGATCAGCCCCAGCATCAAGCCAGCACCCATGAACACAGGCTTTAGGAAATCCCCATCAACAGAATAGTCCCCTTAGCTTTAGAGGCTAGACCGGTTCCTGCAGACTCAGGTTTCAGGTTCACCCCACCACCAGGTCTATCACAGCTCTAGAGTGAATTCCACAGACTCTGGTTCTAGTTATGTCCAAGGTTGCAGGTCCACTCCACTGCCAGACCATCCCCAGTGATTTCAGACCACAGAGGGACCCCAGCACATATGGGCCCTGCAGACCCGACCACTATGCCTAATCCAGCACCAGTATGGCTCCTGCAGCCCCACACTCCAGGTGGGGAGCTGCAGAACCAGATTCCAGGCCCTTCCTAGTGCCAAGCCAACACTCTGGACATCCCAGGTCTGGGCTAGCCCCTGCTGACTCAGAACACAGTCTGCTCCTTTGCCCTGCTCACATGCATAGTTCCAAGCTCAAGTTCATCTTATCACCAGGCCAACCCCTATGGCCTCAGGTCCCAGTCTGGTACCTTGAGACCCAACTTTTAGGCTGGCCTCTGTAGCCCCAGATTCCAGGCCAGCACTCATGGATCCTACCATTAGGCCCACCTCAGTACCACGACAGTACCCTCAGACCACAGCTCAAGGCCATCCCCTGTGGCCTCAGGCACCAGACCAGCAACCACAGAACCAGCCCTCAGGCCAACCCCCTATAGACAGAGGATTCAGCCCACTCAGTGCCAGGCCAGCCCATGAGGCCCAACGCACCAGGAGACCCAGGGTCCAGGTACGCACCAGAAGACCAAGGGTCCAGGCTCATTCCTCTAGACCCCAGGACCAAACTGACCCCCAAGGACCAGGCTCCACGGTTTCTCCTGAGGACCCACTTTCCAGTGCTACCCCTATTGCTGTATGACACAGGCCTGCTCCCATAGACCCAACCTCTAGGTCAACCCTCCAACCAAGTTGACCCTCATGACCCCAGGCTCTAAGCCAGCCTTAATACACCTAGCTTACAGGCCAACACCCACACACCCAGCCTCCAGGCCTGCCCCTGTGGAACTAGGCTCCAAGCTAGCCCCTACAGCCCTAGGCACCAGGACAGCATCCATAGACCCTGGTTCCACGTGCCTCTGTGGATCCAGGGACCAGGCCTACACCAGCACCAGGCTGGCTCCAGAATTCTGGCCAGTTCCTGCCACCCTAGGTCTCATGGACCCATAATCCAACCCTGATTCAGCAGATCCAGGGTCCAGGTTCATCCCAGTAGATGGGCCTAAGCTGGCCCCCCACAGACCCAGGACCCATAACTGCTTATCTGCTAACCTAGGCACCAGGCCAGCCTGCTTAAAGACTCCAGCACCAACCTGCTATGTGGACCTACATACACTTAAAGAACAAATACCAACCTTTCTCCAAGTCTTTCAAAAAAATTGAATAGGAAGAAATACTTTCAAACTTTTACAAGGTCAGTAATACCTGACATCAAAGCCACACAAGGACACTACAAGAAAATAAAATTACAGGACAATATCATAGATGAACACAGATGTAAAAATCTTCAAGAAAATATAGGCAAACCAAATATCTCAGCACATTAACAGGATCATTCACCCTGATAAAGTAGAATTTATCCATGGGATGCCAGGATGTTTTAGCACACACAAATCTATAAATATGATACACTAAATTAACAGAAGGAAGGACTAAAACCATACAATGAACTCAATATAGAAAAAGCATTTAACAAAATTCAACATTCTATTATGATAAAAACTGTCAACAAATTAGGAAGAGAAGTAATGGATTTTAACACAATAAAGGCCATTCGTGTCAAGCTCACAGCTAACATCACATCCAACAGTAAAACATTGAAACCTTTTTGTTTTTTCTCCGATCAGGATCAAGACAAGAATGCACACTCTCACATGTATGTTCTTTTTTGTTTGTGTTGTGGCCATTGAAATCCTAGTTCTCTGGAGGTTTATCCTGACTTAGGAGCGGTGTGAGGTAGAGACACTGCAAAATTGGCACAATCAGGCTAGGTGAAGCAATTCTTAAATTGGATTCAGCTGAGAACATGATTCAATTTGAGAACTCATACACAGCACTGTATGTCTTGCCCTGTGAAATTAGGCAAAAGAACAAAATTAAAGACACCTGTGTCGGAAAGGAAAACTATAAATTGTCTCTGTTGGCAGACATGAGGTTATATATAGAAAACCTTAAAGACTCCACCAAAAGAAAAACACTTGTTAGAAATAATGAACAAATTCTGTAAAGTTTCAGTATACAAAATGAACATGCAAAAACCAGTAGCATTTCTATACAATAACAATGGAATATGCAAAAGAGACATCCACAAAACAGCATCATTTACAAGATCAACAGAAAAGATACATCGAAATACATTTAAAGAAGGAGATGAACAATATGCATATTGAAAACTATAAAACATTGATGAAAGAAATTGAATAAGCGAAAATAAATAGAATGATATTCTTTACTCATGAATTGAAATAATATCGTTAAAATCTCCACTGTGCCCAAAGCAATCCACAGGTTTAATGCAATTCCTATCAAAATCCCAATGACATTTTTTTCACAGAGATAGAAAAAATAATCTTAAAGTTTGTATGGAACCACAAAAATACCTGACTAGCCAAAGCAGTCTTGAACAAAAAGAATAAAGCTGGAGACATCACAGTACTTGATTGTATCATATACTACAAAGATACAGTAATCAAAACAGCATGATTCTGGTTTAAAAAGAGACACAGACAACAATGAAATAGAATAGAGAGCCCAGATATAAATTCACACACTTATAGTATATTAATTTTCAACAAAGATTGCAAGAATACACAATGGGGAAAGAATAATCTTTTAAATAAATAATGTTAGGGAAATATTTTATCCACATACAAAATAATGACATTAGACCCTTGTATCACACCACATACAAAAATCAACTCAAAATGGACTAATGACTTAAATATAAGACCTGAAAATGTAAAATTATAATACTATAAAAACGCACAGGGGAAAAGGTCCATGACATGGTCTTAGCAATGATATTTTGGGTATGATACCAAAAGCACATGCAACGATAGCAGAAATAAACAAAGGGGGGACTACATCAAACTAAAAACTTCTGTATAGCAAAGAAAACAATTGCCAAGATGAAAAGACATTCCATTCTGCAAAATGTGAAAAAGATATTTGCAAACCATATATCTGATAAAAGGTTAATGTTCAAAATATGAAAGAAACACAAAATTCAATACCAAAAAAAATAAAAATTTAAAATGGGCAAAAACATGAATAGACATTTTTTCAAAGAAGAGATACAAATGGTCCAACATGTATGTGAAAAGGTGCTCAACATTACTAATCATGAGGAAAATGCAAATCAAAACCACAATGCAATATTAATTCACACCTGTTGGGATGACTATTATGAAAAGCTAAAAAGATAACAAATATTGGTGAGGATATGAGGGAAGGAACACGCTTACACACTGTTGGTGGGAATGTAAATTGTACAGCTACTATGGAAAATAGTTGGTGGTTCCTCACAAAAGTTAAAAAGAGAACTACCATATAATCTAGTAATAGCACTACAGGGTGTATGTATATATGAAGAAAGTAAAACTAGTATGTCAGAGAGCTATCTGCATTATCATGTTCATGACAACATTATTCCCAATAGCTAAAATATGGAAACAAACAAAACAAAACACCCACTGTGTGTGTGTGTGTGTGTATATATATAATGTGATATTATTCAGACACAAAAATAAAATAATCCTGCCATTTGTGACAAAGCTGAGTCTGAAAACATTAAGTGAATTAAAACAGATGCAGAAAGACAAATTCTTAATGATCTCACTTGTAGGTGAAATCTAAAAATGTCAAACTCAGAAACAGAAGGATGGATATCAATTGATTGATGGGTGGGGTAAATGGGGAACTGTTGTTCAAAGGGTATAAACTTTAAGTTGTAAGATGAATAGGTTATAGAGATCTAGCATACAACATGCAGCATAGAAACTATATTTAATAACATATTTTAGACATTCATTTGCTAAGGGAGTGGATCTCAAGTGTTCTCACAACAAAACTAAACTGGTAACTGTGTAAAATTATTGACACGTCAATAATTAAATGTACACTTGACTGGCAATTCTACTCTGAGATATTTATCCAAAAAGGAAAAAGATTGAAAAGTTATTTTTGATGATTGCATAGTATTCCATGGTAAGACCAAGATACATGAAAACCGATGTTCTTACAAAGATGTGTTCTCAACAGTTCATAGCAGCGTTTAAAAAATATTAATAGTTCTAAACTTGAAACAACTCAAATATCTATCAATTAGTGAATAGACAAATTGTGATATAAGTAGAATACTGCTAAGCAATAAAAAGTAACAAACCATTGAAATATCTAATAAAATGAATGAATCTCAAAAGCATTGTCCAGAGTGAAAAAAGCCAGACATAAAAGTCTACAAAGTATTTGATTCCATGTATAATAAATTCTAGGAAAGGCAAAAATATAGTAATAGAAAGTAGATTCGTTTTACCATAAGACAAGGGGATTGATTGAAAGAGGAGGAAGAAATTTTTTAGGGTGATGAAAATGTTCTCTATCTTGATTGTGGTGATGTTTACACGACTATAGGCATTTGTCAAACAGATCCAATTATACACTTAAAATTGGTGAATGTTACTATACATAGATTATACCTCGTAAAAGCTTATATAAAGAAAAACATTTTCACAACTGTTTTTTAAAATTTTTTATTTCAGCTCCAGGTAAAATATATGCACCCTCTTTACCTGGATACAATGGTGATGCTGTGGTTTGGGGTGTAAATGATCCTATCACCCAGTTACTGAGTAGAGTACCCAATAGTTGGTTTGTCAACCATTGCCCACTTCCTCTTCCTTCTTAGTGTTGTCCCTGGGTTTTATTATTGCCGCCTGTATGTAGATGAGTACCCAGTGTTTAGCTCCCGCTTATAAGTGAGAACATGTGATATTTAGTGTTCTGTTCCCGTGTTAATTCACTTAAGATAATGGCTTCCAGCTGCATCCATATTGCTGCAAGCACATGATTTCATTCTTTTTAAGTGGTTGTGTAGTATTCCATGGTATTTATGTATCACATTTTCTATATCCAATCCACAGTTGATGGGGACCTAGGTTGATTCCCTATCTTTCGTGTGAGTGAATGTGTGGTTTTAGTAGAAAGATGTGTTTTCTTTTGGATATGTAACCAGTAATAGGATTGTACTGTTTCATTCTCATCTGGAGACTTTGGCACTTTTAATTTTTGTAATTGCTTTTGTGCAAGAAGGATATTTTCTTTTGCTTTCTTTCCCTGTGATATTATTTTTCCCATTTCCTTTCTCTCTCTTCCGCACCCCAACATCTGTGGGAGTGTTTGTGATTGCAGAGAATGCTGGGTAGGGCCTTTTGGCTTTGCTTCTGTAGCCCTATGTACTTCTTTCCACAGGTTTTATATTGGGCTATGCAGTTCAGTCTACAATCTAGTAAATGTTACTTAGAGGTAAGATCCTGCTGTGGCCAACATGGCTGCATATATAATTGCTCTCTGTTTACTGGCAGCAGCTCTTTGTTGCTTCAGTCAGTGGGCTGATTTGTGGAATGCACAAGGAGCTGAGCTCCCTGTTCTGTGCTCAGGGTGGGCAGGGGACATGAAGTGCTGGTCCAGACTGGGCAGGTTCACCTATTGGTCCCCTGGTGGTAGGCAGAAGCACCATCACTGAGGAAGAATTCAGCATGTGGCCACTAAGCACCTAGAGGCATGCCTAGGCATGGAGCTGGGAAATCTACTCAGTCCCATGTTCTCTGCACAGGCGTGGTGGGTGGCCAGAACTCCTAATCCAGGAGAGAGGGTGCTCCAGATTCTTGGAGATCTGCCTGGGCGTGGAGAGGAGAGGGCCCTCCTACATGACGATCTATGTCCAGAAAGGGTGAGGCAACTCAGGCTGCTGCTTTAGGCAAGCAGATGTTCTGAATGCCGAGAGATCTGCCAGGGTATGTTCCAGAGACGGCCCCCTACACCAGGATCTCTGCACAGGAAAGGTGGAATGGCTCCGGCTACTGATGCAGATAAGCTGTTGCTTCCAATGCCTGGAGATGTGCTGGGGCTTGGAGCAGAGAGGCCCCCCTGTGCACCACCATCTATGTACAAGAAGGGTGAAGCGGCTCAGGTTGCTGACACAGATGAGTGGATACTCAGAATGCCTGATGATATGTCTGGGTGTGAAGCAGAGATGGCCTGCCTGCACCAATATCTCTGCACAGGAGGGGTAGGGTGATTCTGGCTGATGGAACCGGCAAGCACGTTCTCTGAATGTCTGGAGATCTGCCTGTGTGTGGAGTGCAGAGGGCACCTCTGCACTCAGAGCTCTGTAAAGGAAGTGTAGGGCAGCTCAGGCTGCTGATCCGGGCCAGCTCAAGATCTGAATGTCTGGAGATCTGCCTGGATGTGGAGCAGAGAGTGCTTCGCTGCACCACAGTATATGTCCAGAATGGGTGAGGCAGCTCAGGTTTCTGAACCATACGAGTGGGTGCTCCAAATGCCTAGAGATCTGCCTAGGCATGAAGCAGAAAGGACTTCCCCATACCAGGATCTCTGCACAGAATGGGTGGGGCAAGACAGGCTGTTTATCCAGGTGAGGAAGTGCTTGAATGCCTGGAGATCTGCCTGGGCATGGAGCAGAGAGAGCCCTGTTGTACTCTGCAGGAAGGGTGGGGTAGCTCAGGCTGCTGAACCAGGCGAATGGGTGCTCTGAATACCTAGAGATCTGCCTGGGAATGGAGCAGACAGGACCCCTCTGCACCACATTCTCAGGGGAGCAGGCTGGGGTACCCAGCAATGGCACATGCATATCAGTTTCAGGTCATCAAGCTGGTCCTGGCTGCAAGTCTCACCACCTTGGAGAAACTGTAGCTGTAGAAGCTCTCCTCCTGCCCCAGGCTTGTGACAGGGAAGAGCACAATTATAGCACCTAATGTTAAGACACTTTCTACAGTTCTGGCTGTGGAGGCTCCCACCCCGCTCCAGAGCCAGCACTCCAATTTCTGGCCTGACACTAAAATGCCTGCATGGCCACACTGCTGGGTCACCTAACAATGGCTGACTTTGTATGTGACCAGATTTAAACGGTGTCCTGTTCTCAGCTCTGTGCCTGGATAATGTTTGCAGCTTTTCCTGGTGTCTTTCCCTTATAGTATCTCCAAGCCTTTCTCGAAGTTAACTCCAGGGCCTGGGAGAAACAAAGTGTTCTTTAGAGCGGGTTGGTTGAATCTCCATGGAAAAGTGAGTCACAGAGGGCGGTTCTCTGCCCTTCTCATGTACTGGGCCCTCACTCACTTTTATCAGCTAGATGCTGTCATGGGGGCTGCTTGCCAGCATTCTCCTCCCCAGGACCTGGGGTATCCTTCATGATTCTAATGGATTCCCATTTTCCTTCTTGAATTGAAGCTCACAGAATTAGTCTTTATGTACTGTGTTTCTATTTCCAAGTGGTGGAAGCATGCTAAAATCCTTTAATCTACCACCTTGGAAAAAAAAATCACAATTTTTCTGAAGTGAGATTTGGCACTATCTCTGATTTTCACAGTGTTGGCTTTGTTCTCAGGTACATTCTCTCCACATTTTGGTAAACATGCTTCTAGGCTTACGAAGTCCTGTGACCCTTGATCTGAGTTCACCAAAACAATTCCCTAGTTCGAATTGTGTTATATGCCCTTCCCTGAACCAATCACTGTGGATAGGGAAATGAGGCAATTCTGTTGTTAGGACTGAGTCATATGTACACTTCGGAAAATATGGTTCCTCATATACACAGGGAAAAGACACTAGTGTGATGTTGTCGGTGGAAAATGAAAGGAATTCTTGGTGGACCAAAGTAATAGCTGTAAAAACTATGAGGTCATTGTTAGCTTGCAGCTGAAAAAAATTGCACAAAATATTTTTCCTGGAAACAATCATTTTACTTCATTATTTTGCAGAAGTGTTCTATGAATACTTTCTACTTTGTTATACACAATATTAAAAGGGTGTGTACTCAATGGTTGAGAATTAATGAAAGTAACACTTTTTAGTGTTTCTTCAAGGACATAAGTGAACCTGGCAATTCATTTTCTGTGAGTGTGGTGGTGAATAATACGAAGATAATACAGATGAATGCTACTCTCTTGGTTCATGTTAAGTCTCCAACAGTTGTCCCCACTATTGCTTTTGCACCATCATTGGAAGCGTCCACATAATGAACAAGCAAAATAATGTCTGTATACAATTATAAAAATAGTTTTGACCTCATGAACTCCTGAAAGTGTCTTAGAAACTCCCAAGGGTCCAATGATGACACTTTGGGAACCACTGATCTATGTGATTCAATAGTATTTACACTGAATTAATTTTCCAAATTTTTATACATTTTGTACTTTCAGCTAACATTTGAAGAAATGTGTATTAGGACAATATACATTTCAAAGATATGAAATGTTTTATGGTGTAACACAAAATCTGAAATATAGATATTTTACTCTTGATAAGAAGTGAAGGAAAACAAGATTAGGATTTGCTGTACAATTCTAATGCCAAATCTAAATTTTTATTGAAAAGTACAGGTATTTCTATTTTATTGGTAGATGTGTGATATGGCTTGGCTCTGTGTCCCCACCCAAATCTCACCTTGAATTGTAATAATCCCTACGTGTCTTGGGAAGGACCTGGTGGGAAGTAATTGAATCATAGGGGTGGGTTTTTCCGTGCTGTTCTCATGACAGTGAATAAGTCTCACGAGATCTGATGGTTTTATAAAGGGGAGTTTCCCTGCACATATTCTCTTGCCTGCCACCACGTAAGACGTGCCTTTGCTTCCCCTTTGCCTTCTGCCATGGTGTGAGGTCTCTCCAGCCATGTGGAACTGTGAGTTCATTAAGGCTCTTTGTCTTTATAAATTACCCAGTCTTGGATATGTCTTTATTAGGAGCGTGAGAACAGACTAATACAATGTGCTACATAAAAGCTGTGTGCATATCAAGCTGTTCATGAAATATCATCCCATTTTGAATGTGCTAGAGTTCACTAAGAGAAACCGAAGTAAATTATTTTAAAAGGAGAGGTATTTTATATTATAATAATTACAACAGTCATTTTGGTAACTGTTGCACTTTTGGAGCTTCAAAAGGATTAATTTTTTTGTTAACCTTATTCCTTTTAAATAATTTTCCTGTGATGTCATATTTATACACAGGCCCAGTGGAAGTACAGGTTGATCATTAGCAAAAGCAAAATGGCCTCCTCAATATTTATTATGAATAAAAATGTTTCATTAGTTGGTATCAAGAGATATAACATAGGTATTTGGGTTTGGGGCTCTTTGTGGATAATCATAAGATCAAGAAACACTGGGCCTATATTCCCATATAGAAACCATAAATTGATGGTTACCCATTTTGTATAGGCATTTACTCTCCAGTTTACTTCCATGCCAATTAGTCCTTATTCTTTTGCATCTCTCTCAATTCATTCATTTATGTTAACTACAAGGGGCTTGTATGCATTTGAGCATAGAACCTGTGTTATGTAAATTGTATCCTTGTGTACATTGAGGATATCATCTCTTGTATGATAAAAAGTGTCTTTGTCTGGGAATCATGAAACCTGAACTCTTGTTTGCACTTCCCCATCAATTCGCCGTAAATTGACATCTATTAAGTGAAAGGTTTAGGCCATAACTATTTGCTTTTTAAGGGTTTTTTTTTTTTTTTTTTTTTGAGACAGAATCTCATTCTGTCACTCAGGTTCAAGTGCAGTGGCGTGATCTTGGCAAACTGCAACCTACACCTCCTGGGTTCAAGTGATTCTCATGCCTCAGCCTCCCAGGTAGCTGGGATTACAGGCATATACCACCACACCCAGCTAATTTTATGTATTTTTAGTAGAGACGGGGTTTCACCATGTTGGCCAGGTTGATCTTGAACTCCTGACCTCAGGTGATCCGCCTGCATCGGCCTCCCAAAGTGCTGAGATTACAGGTGTGAGCCACCGCACCCAGCCCTAAGGGCTTTTTTAAACTAGTGTGTTTCTATATTTTTTTAATTTTTAATTTTTATGGATGCGTATTAGATGTATATATGTATGGGATACCTGAAATGATTTGATACAAACATGCAATGCGTAATAACCACATCATGGAGAATGGGGTATCCATCCTCTCAAACATTTATCCTTTGTGTGAATGTTTCTATTTCTTTGCTTTATAATCGTCCTAGAATCACAACACATGGTCAGACACGTTTTGTTTTTAGTGTTGAATGTTAATAATTACACATTGCCCAAAGCTCACAATGACATTTTATTGTCTCCTTTGGAAACCAAGGCAACGGTGATCTCAACTTCATAAATTCTTAAGCAAATGACACATCAAATCCAAATGTTCGGATTGACCACATTACATTAGAGTGCAAACATATCTGAGCTTTATTTAAGAGTGACACCATATTTGCTATTATTTAATTAAATGTTCTTCATAATTTCTTACTCTATACTGCCAATATAGATTAAACACTTGATTGCCAAAAAAGAAAAATAAAACAAAGACAAATGATCGGACTCTATGCAAAGAAAGTTAAAATAATTTTGGCAGTCTTCCCATCAACCTAATGGGATCAGTATGTCTTCTGGATGCTCTACATAACATCTGATCTTTCTTCCCTTGATGGTTAACACAGTGTTCCTCTGTTTTCAGAACAGAGATATTATAATTTTAGTATCATTTTTAAAAGATTTCAAGAATACCCTTTCTTACTCTGTCCATTGTTTCTACCTTTCTTCGTTTTGTCCTTCTTAGCCACTTACTTATCTAACATCAATGCTATCCAACATGGTGGGGGATATAGTCTTTGCCCTCATGGGTTCACAGTAAAATAGATGAGATGGGCATACATATTTTTACACGTAATACAGTGTGATAAATTAAATAACTGAGGTAAGGGCCAGGTACAGTGGTAGAATAAGGAGGAAGTGGTGACATTCACTTGAGCAAGTCAAAAACATTTCTACCAAATAGGAGATATTAAGGAGTTATTTGAAGGATAAGGAAATTTTTTCTAGGAAGGTAAATGGGGACAGGGCATTCCAATCAGAGATGGAGCCAATAAGTAAAGCATGCTGGCATCTAATAACATAGCATATTTAAAAAATATTAGGTTGGTGCAGAAGTAATCACATTTTTTTTCCATCAAAAAATGGGATTTTTCGCCATTATCAGGAAATTTAGTATTTCTGAGCCATGGATTTGTGTTAAGAGATGAGGCAAGGGCAGGTTACAGAGTGTAGAAGCCCTTGTATGGTGTATTAAAGAAACAGTAAGCATTTTTAGGCAGGGAAACTACATGGTTAAACTCATGTTTTAGAAAAGATCATGCTGGCATCAGTGTTAAAGATAACATGGAGTGTGAAAGACTCATCTATTTCTTTTATCTTCAGCCACAGAATGATAAAACTAGGTGCATTTGAGGGGTTTATTTTCTCTCAGATGGTCAGTGGACTCTTCAGACACAAAGGATAGTTCTAACAAGAGATTAAGCCCAAACACTTCAGACTTGCCTGCTAGATCTTGCTTTTACAAATGCTAACTCTTCAGTCTCTACCTAGCCCTTGGGCCACCTACTTCTCCAAATCCTTGGCTCATTTGCCATTCCATCCACATTGCTCGAATTTTGGATTAAGTTTATTTAGTGGTAGTTTTCAGCTCGATTCAAACAATTTTATTTGGAGGAGTAAAATTTTATGGTGACTCTGGATCATTTGTTGGGAATAAAATGACACGTTGCTCTTGCTAAGCCTTAGGTACAGCTTTCAAATGATACTTGTTTTCCCAAGCTGTTTCACCTGCATTTGGCACCACTCAACATTGAGCATTCTGTTGCTCCCACAGACCTTGTATTTAATGCAATTAGAGAAAAAAAAATTTTCAAAAGTTCTGCCGTTGGAAGACTCACACACAGTGTTGGCATTTGGGTTTGACGAGATGACATTTAGATTTATTTATCTAAGCCCCAAACACATAATATCTCTGGTATGATTAAGTATTTTGGCTTAATAAACATGTTTAAAATCTGATCTAAGGAAAACTAATCATACTACTTCTAAATGTCTTAAATATCATCATGATCCTTTTTGTCACTAATGATAACACAAAAATTATGGGTAGGTTGGCATTTATTAAAGGATAGCAATATCATTAAGATCAAAGCCTTTGGAGTCAGAGGGGTCTGAATTAAGTGTTAAATCAATTGCTTCTACTAACTAGCCTTGTGACATTGACTAAGTTACTTGACCTCACTGAACTTCAGTTACTTTATCTGAAGAGTGAAATTAACAATATTGCTTCTATGTGGAGGAGTGAGTATTCAATGAGATTAAGCACGTGGAGTGCCTGGCAAACAATATTCTTTATAATTCATATTATTGTAGTTGAAATTTAACATCACCTTGTTCAGACTTGATATTTCTGTTTAGAAATAAGATGGAAGGTGTATCAAGGAATGGATTTTCCTTCCTTCCTAAACCAATCAAAAAATCAGAAATATTTATTAGACAATGTTTTCAAGACATTAGACATCAGACAACGAAGGATGTGGATCAATCAAAGATGAAGAATGCACAAAGTGAGCCCTACAGTTATCCCACCTGCCTGTTTTGTGAGAGTTTCCAGTCTGTAATCCAGAGAGGGGAGATTCAGGAAAAAAAAAAAATTAAAACAGGTTTTAATCATGAAGTTGAATAGGTTGTGTTGAGAGTCTAGTGAAACCAACGTAGCTGGAATTCACAGGACAGAGTAACAGAGAGGGAAGAGCTGCACAGAGAGAGACAGCTCAAAAGATCTGCAGAGGATTTCCCTCAAGTATACAGGAGAGTACTAATCAGAGCATGCATGTAACAAAACCAGCACAGGCCCAGGAGAAAAAAGAAGAAAAAAAAATCCCCCCCAAATCAGAAAAGATAAGAAAATCACTGACTAATGCTCACATAGCGCCAGAAATAGTGCCCATTGCAAACAGCCAGGCTGAAAATCCTCATAATTCATGTAGCACTGAGTTGTTTACACAGAAGGATCTTGCTTTAGTAATAGGAATAATAAGCCATAGACTGAATACGGTTCTAGTTCCAGCTAGCAAATCCTAAAAGCAAGATATGAAAGGATTAAGTTGTTTCCAGGCACCTTTACTGTATCCCAGAGCAACGCTTAACAATATTTATGCCCAGGCTGTGGTGCATGCCTGTAATCCCAGCACTTTGTGAGCCCAAGGTGGTAAGATCTCTTGAGCTTAGGAATTTGAGACCAGCGTAGGCAATATGGCAAAACCCTGTATCTATAAAAAATATGAAATTTAGCTGGGCATGGTGGTACATGCCTGTAGTCCCAGCCACTAGGAAGGCTGAAGTTGGAGCATCACTTGAGCCCTGGAAATCGAGGCTGAGATCGTGCCACTGCACTTCCACCTGAGTGACACAATGAAACTCTGTCAATAAATAAATAAAATCTATAAAAATATGAAAAATATCAGCGCCTGAAAAGATAAACTTCACAACATCTAGTATTCAATAGATTATAACACATGAAAAGAAGCAAGACAATATGAACAATTATGAGAAAGAAATTTCATCAATCAAAATCAATTCAGAATGAACATAGAGTTAGAAGTAAGCAGAAAATAACACTAAGATACTTATTTAACTGTATCTCACATGTCTAAAAGTTGAGACATGGATGATTAAAAATATCCTCAAATTAAACTTAGATTAAAAATTGCAATATGTGAGATGAAAATACATTGGATTAATAGTAGATTACATATTTCAGAAGAAAAGATTAGTGTACTTGAAGTCATGGCAAGAGAAACTGCTCAAAACTAAACAAAAGAGAGAAAAAGAGTAAAAACACTGAACAGAGAAGCAGTAAACAGTGGAACACATTTAAGCAGCCTAATACATGTATCTATTACACATATCTGCATTATATGCATATAATACATATTTCCACTGCCGCTGGACCTGAGTTCACAGGTGTTCATCTTTCTCCCTTAAATGCTTGTCATTTGTTGTTCCAAAAATGTCCTAGGCTCTGGTAGTTTCCTGATCACTTTAGCCATGTTGATGCCAACAGTAGTCTACCCTAAGACTTTTTCCCTCACTCTATGTATTCTCCTTAGGTCAATGAGGAGCTACATCCTTCAGCTTTTTTGGTCAGTGTGGTTCTCTCTCATCCAATGGTAGCCCTGGAGTCGCTTAGATAATGGAAAGCATCACTTTCGACAACATCATGGAAAAGGGTTGGGAAGCCAAGATTTCTTGGTTAAATAAAGGAGGTTTTTAATTATCACCACTTAAAGATCCTTCCGCACCTGATCTGACACCTCTTCTCACTTCCCCAGATTCAATTCTAGAGGTACACATGTCAGGGAGAGGGTATTTCCTCCAAGTCATTTTCCCTGGCGACTCCATTCATGGTTCATTGTGTTGTCTCTCACACTTCACCATTATCTAGCGTTTTGGACATTTTACCAAAAATTCCATCAGGTTAATATAGTCACAGTTTAGTCTCAGTACAGATGCAAGTCATTGCACTTCCCTCTGACAAAAATGTTTTTATGCATCTTTCATTTCTTGGATACTACCAGGTAACCTTCCATTTCTACCCCCTTTGTCCAATGTCCATTTAGATCCTCTTGGTTTTCTGTTTTCAGTCTGTTAAAAGTGATACTATTGATAGAAGCAACAATATAGATGAAACTCAGAATAATTACATTTAGTAAAAGAAGTCAGACAATTGCGTATGTTGCATGACTCCGTTTATATAAAATTTTAGAAAGTGCAAAGTAAGCTGTGGTTTCTGAAAGCAGCTCAGTGGTTGCCTGGATTTCAGAGGGTTTGGAAGGGGTGAGTAAGGAGAAATTGCAAAGAGGCATGAAAAAAATTTAGTTCTAATGAATATGTTCACTATCTTGATTGTGGTGATGGTTTCACAGATGTATGCCTATATTAAAATTTATCAGATTGAATACTTTAAGTATGTTCCATTTATTGTATGTCAATTACACTTCAATAAAGCTGTCAAAAAGTAAACAGGCAACATAATTAGCACCCCTTACACAGAACAACTCTCAGGAACCTTTTAAAATATTTTAATCAGTATGTTGGTGAAGATTAATAAACAAAAACTTAAGAAAACTTAAACATTTTCTCTAAAATTGTAAAGCCTTCTTTTAAATTCCCCTTAATTTGATTAAACTGAGTTTTTAAATTATTACTGTTATTTTTGCCTGTCTTCATTTTCCTAAAAAAGAGAAATTCTTCTACAGCAATAGTTTGTCATTCAGGTAAAATCCACACTACATTGAGGCTTAAATTTCTAATTCCCTACTCTCTAGTCAGACATTGCATATTATTGTTTGATCTTAGAAAAGAAAAATGAAGTGAGCATTTTAAAAAGCTGAAAAATAATTACAGTAAATTAAGTGAAATCTATAACCATTGGAACCAAATATTATGTTACATACACACGAAATCTATCATGCCACTTGGATTTCTAAGGCTGTTTTTCTTTAATTCATTTATTACATCTACTTACCTTATGTTTATTGAATGTTTCCTATGACCTAAGCACTCTGACCAACATCAAATGACCTAAATTAAAATTTCAGCTTTACATTACGGTGGGCAGAATGAAACCTCCCAAAGCTGTTCATATCCCAGTCCCCAGAACATGTGAATGTGTTGCCTCACATGGCAGAAAGGACTTTGCAGATGAGATTAAGTAAGGTTAGGGAATTTGAGACGGAGAGATTATCCTGGATTATCCAAGTGGGACCAATCTAATAATATGGATCTTTAAAAACAGAGAACCTTTCTCGGCCATGGTGAGAGAGATGTAATTACAGAATAATGGTCAGAGAAATGCAATGGCTTTCCTTCCACAAACTTCTGTTTAGCTTGGAAGCTTCTGTTCTGGTAAGAGAAGGCATTGCATCTTAATTTATCTACTTTCACTAAAATTAACTTGCAGAAGAGAAGCCATTGAATCATAATTTATCTTCTTTTAGCTAAACATCTCTCTCTCTTCCTGTCTCTCTTTTTCTCCTCTCTCTCTCTCTCTCGTGCGTGTGTAAACACTTAAAATGAGATCTATCCTCTTCACAAATTTTTAAGGAATGTGGACAACTTCTAGATACCACAACCTTAATGGAAACATGAACACTGTATTATTATTGATTACTTTTGATATTAATGTGGTCAGGAATCTATTGCTCGTTGTGTCCTAATTCCCTAAGTCCAAGTATAATAAGAGTTAAGCAGAACTGCGATTCAAACAGTGAGTCGACATTTCAAAATTAACTTTGTGACAAAAAAACCTGAAGGTCATCTCTTGAATCCTCTTCTTCCTCATCAGTGAGCACACGTCCAGTGGTTTCGCTTCTTCAAACTTCTGTCCTTGCTTTTTACATTTCTCTTCTTTAGCGGAAATTGTGTGTGTATTTGTGTTTTGTGTGTGTGTGTGTGTTAAGAATACTTAACATGAGGTCCATCCTCTTAAATTTTCAGGTAAACAATACCTATTGTTAACTATAGGCAGTGTGTTGTACAGCAGATCTCTGGAACTTAGTCATCTTGTACAACTGTAACTTTACACCCATTAAAAAACTCCCCACATCTCTATCCTCCCATGTCCTGGTAACCAGTATTCTATTGTCTACTACTATACCTTTGACTATTCTAGATGCTTCCTATAAGAGGAATCAGGTGGTATTTGTCCTTTTGTGAGTGACTTATTTCACTTAGCAAATGTCTTTCAAGTCCATCCTTGTTGCCCATTGACAGAAGAATGAATAAAGAAAACAATTTCTGTCCCTTTTAAGGGCTCACAACACTAAAGAATTTACATGAAAGGGCCGTGATTGATTGAGCAATCTAGGGGGCATGTGACAGGGGCTGCATGCATCAGTAATCAGAGTGAAACAGAACAGAACGAGAAGTTTCACAATGTCCATACAATGTCTGGAATCTACGGATAACATGGTATAAACATTCAGTGAAATATTATGCAGCCTTTAAAAAGAAGGGAATCCTGCCATTTGGCTAAAATTCTGCAGGTAAATTTATTTCTGTCTTTCCTGAGCACAAGCCAAAGATAAATAGGATTCTGTTGCAATGAATGAAACTTAGGGTAAATGTTGCAAATAACTGTTCAGTTTTGGAAAGGATCACAATAAAAATGGATTACTCTTGATAGACTTGGAAGATATAGATGGTCGATTGAAGTTTGGATAAAGGCACTACCAAATACTCAAGCTAGTCTTTTAAATATATAGTTATATCATTACAGGTATGACTGAAGTAAACTGAACTGTGACATGTGGCTAGCACTAATTGCAATGTTTTATTGAAATGATAATACAAGGTAATAGGTTCAGGAATATTTGAGATCACATTGACATTTCATTAAATAATTAACCAGTGGGTGTCACAGTATAGTGAAGAAAACATGGTTCAGGGCCAGAATTTTGGTTCAAATTCCAACAGCATTGGTTAATTGTATTTATAAATCACTTAAACTTTCTGAGACTCAGAGTCTTCATCAGGAAATGGCTATAATTCTAGATCTCAACAAGATCTTTTGTGTTTTTGTAGATGCAAAAATTAACAAATATAGAAGTAACATGAAAATGGTAATGTATTATATGCCTCAGATTTTATAGTATTTTTGTATTATTTTCATATTAAAAGCATCCTTACAAAGTAATTACTTTTTATCCCATTTAGTACAGTTGGAAAAGACTCAAAATGTAATTGATCACTCACAGTCTCACAGTCTATGAATGTCAGAATTATGCTTTTAACCCAGAAGTTCTTGTTCCAAATTCTGGGCATGCAAACGTTCTTACATAAGCCACTGTTTATATTATTGTTTTTGATTTGTTTGTTGAAATCAGGTTAGCAAAGAAAGAAATATGGAAAAGGCATTAAATAGGCTTATTACTAGAGTTTGATCTCTCTCTTCAAACCAAACAGACTAAAAAATATTTAGGGTCAGTCTTAGGAACCTTGAAAACTTCCAAATATGAGTAGAATTCATATATACAGACTCAGCATTGAAATTAACTTAACGTTTCGAAGATTTCATATTCCTATTACTTGCAACTAAATTTGGATGGGGCCAATTTTGAGCCATTCATTCCTAATTGAAGCAGTTTAATTTTATATGCCTACTTATCAGAAAATACGTTAAGGAAACCCTAGTGGTATGATGAAGTAGAGTGCCTTTCACAGTCTTCTTCAATATCAATATGCAATCGCATATTGAGGACATTTATGATGACACAGTGTTATCAGACTCTGGAGTCATGTATTAGACTCCAATTAAATGTCAGTGACAAACAAACTTGGTCTTGAGATAATTAAATGATTTGTATACCAACTATTGAAAATAAATTTAAAAAACCCCTTGTACTTGGCATTTGCACATTGGTGGGTTTTAGGAAACCCTTGAGCAATTTGACCTTCTCAAACTGGAAATGTAGAGATGAAAAATGATCCTTATATAAAAATTGGAAACTTAGAAAAAAATCCAGAAGTTAAACTTCAGGAAAACTGAAAAGTAAACTATTTGGACAACCTTCCATTATTTTAAAAATAATAAATCTAGATTAAGTAAATGAATAATGATCATGCTCCAAATCGGATGTTTTAGAAGTATGTAAGTAGCAGATTTAGCAATTGATCTAGATTTTTCCCCACATTAAGAAAACATAATCATCATTTTAACCATTGACAGTTGACTTTTACTCCAGCAAAATGAATCAGTAGATCAATAATTAGTCCCTGCTTTTATGACTTGAACATTATTAGGCTTAACTCTGTTGTCTAGGAGACTTTATTCTACAAAGAACTTGGTTAGGAAGGTTGTAATTGTTGCACTACTCTTCAAATTTGAGATGTTTCCAAAAGGAATGCTTTCTTTTCATTTTAGAAGAACCACAGTGAAGGAAATGTAACATTTATTTCTTTCAAATGGTAATTCATCCCTTATAGAGGAGGACGTTTTAAAGAGTAAAAATATGTTATTATCTGCATAATAGTTTGCATTAGAGTTACCAGGAAGGCATTTTCTTAAAGGTGCAAATCATTCTAATAAGTAAAATGAAGGGTGGTAATAGTGAAAACTGAGAATTTTCTCCCTTACCCACTGCAAAGTTCCCACCTTGTTAGGCATATCTATCTATCTATCTATCTAGATATAGATATAGATATAGATATAGATATAGATATAGATATAGATATATGCACACACACACAGAAATATATATGTACATATATATATATATCTGCAGTAGTGGATTATTTACATTTCAGTGAAATCTGATGGCTTTCAGATTTTCTAAGGGCATTATACACTACCTATCAAATATTATTAATGTTATTTGTCCTAAAGATAACATTAAAATGTCCTGGAAGCAAACAGAGAATGCAAAATACAGTCCGCTTCTCACTTTCTCCCCCTTACAAAACTATTTCAAGCAATTTTTGCATAGCTGAAATTTAATGCTTATCACACATCCATATACAAAAATTCAGAGATGAAATTGAAATGGGGTATTTGTCCTACTATGCCGAGAGCTCAGAAATTATTCTTGTTGAATTTCAGTTTTGTCTTTCCAGCAAAAGAGTTAACATTTGTTTAAATGAGATTTGTATTTTTCTCTCTTCTGTGTGTGTGTGTATGTTGGGCCACGTGGTGAAACACACATTAGGAAAATTACATTTTATGTTCACATAAGTAAAATCATATCTTGCCATATAGGGAATGTAAAAATTTTGTGAATAAAGAGCTCATAAAATAACACAAATTATGGAGTCGTATCTGAATATGATTGCATCACGTACACTTGGTTTTATCTGAAGTTGAAATTATGACATAAACAATCTCCTAAATACATATTATATATTTTATTAACATAAAAAACCCTTTTAATAGAACTGCTTTCTACTTCAGGAGCATGTTTTACACAGCAGGATTCTTTTCTTAGGCTTAAATCTAATCGTTGTTTACTGCAAAGCGTCCATTTCTAAATGTGCTTGAATCATTAAGCTTCAGCAGTGTTTGCTAGTTCATAAATGAAGGTGATGTATCTGCAATTACTTTTCTTACTGTTGGCAGCAAAATTCCCTGTGACTTCCTGGATTATGTTATCATAAAGTTCCGGTGCTGTAAGAGAAACGGACAAGTGGAGGCAAACGGGCTTCATAATATTAAACTAATTGTCATCAGGTGTCAAAGACTGGAGTTATTTATAGGTACCTTAATTGATTCATAGCTCAGCAAGATTTTATCTTTTTGTTGCTGTTGTTGTTGTTGTTCTGGCTGACAGCAGATAACTGGATTTAAGGTCCCAGAGTAAAAGTTTAAGATTATGCTAGGAGGTACCAACCTTGGGAAAAATGTCTTAGTATCCTGTAGAGGAGGAGATGGAAATAGAGATTAGAGGCCAATAAACTGAAAGAAAAAAGTATGTTAATAATTTCAAAGAAGAAATTGCATTATTTTATGGATCACACTGTGATGCTTATGTGTATGTATCCTGTACAGAGAACTACAGAAATACCTCAGGAATATGGCAGGTTCGGTTGCAGATCATATTAATAAAGCAAACGTTACAATAAAGGAAGTCACACACATTTTTTGGTTTTCTACTGCATGTAAATGTTATCTTCACACTATACTGTAATCTGTTAGTTGTGCACTCGCATTATGTCTACAAAAAATATATGCACCTTAATTTAAAAATACTTTATTGCTAAAAAATGCAAACTGTCATCTGAGCTTTCAGCAAGTCATAGTATTTTTTCTGGTAGAGGGTCTTGCCTCGATGTTGACGGCTGCTGACTTATCAGAGTGGCGGTTGCTGAAAGTTGGGGTGACTGTGGCAATTTCTTAAAATAGCACAACAATGAAGTTTACCTCATCAATTGACTCTTCCTTTCATGAAAGATTTCTCTGCTGATAGTGAGAGAAGAGAGAGACACCCCCCCCCCCCATATTGCTCTATATGGTTTTATACTCAGTACCTGTTTTAAGAAGAAACAAGGAAGCGAAACCAAAGGCGGGCAGCCCAGCGCCAGGCACCAGACCCAAAACCAGGCCTGGGCCTGCCTGACCTTAGCCTGTTAGTTAAAATTCAACCCATGACCTAGCAACCGATGTTATCCATAGATTCGAGACATTGTATGCACATTGTGAAACTTCTCGTTCTGTTCTGTTTCACTCTGATTACTGGTGCATGCAGCCCCTGCCACATGCCCCCTAGATTGCTCAATCAATCACGGCCCTTTCATGTAAATTCTTTAGTGTTGTGAGCCCTTAAAAGGGACAGAAATTGTGCACTCAACAAGCTCGGATTTTAAGACGCTAGTCTGCCGATGCTTCCAGCTGATTAAAAGCTACTTCCTTCACTATCTTGGTGTCTGTGTGGTTTTGTCCACGGCTAGTCCTGCTACATTTCTTGGTTCCCTGACCTGGAAACGAGGTAACTGACGGACAGCTGAGGCAGCCCCTTAGGCGGCTTAGGTCTGCCCTGTGGAGCATCCCTGTGGGGGACTCCGGCCTGCCTGAGCGACGCGATCCAAAGAGCGCTCCTGGGTAGGCAATTGCCCCAGTAGAACGCCTCGCCAGAGCAGCGTGTGGCAGGCCCCCGTGGAGGATCAATGCAGTGGCTGAACACCGGGAAGGAACTGGCACTTGGAGTCCGGACATCTGAAACTTGGTAAGACTAGTCTTTGAAACTTGCCCACTCCATTTGAGTGGAAGTGTGGCCTGATCACCCATGGCGTGCCTGTATCGGCACTTTTGTTCTGGTTTTGACTTGACTTGAATTGCTTGATACTTTGGTTTTGGTTTTGACTTGGCTTGAATTTCTTGGTACCCTGATTTTGGTTTGGTATAAACGATAAAGGTGTGTGTTTGCCCTCTTTACCCATTCTTTGTTTTGTGGTGAGAGTGTGGTGTGAGCATGATATTTTGTTTTGAGAAAATATGGGCCGGGGCAAAGTAAGCCCACTCCATTAGGAACTATGTTAAAGAATTTCAAGAAAGTATTCAAAGGAGACTATGGAGTCACTGTGACTCCAGGAAAACTAAGAACTTTGTGTGAAATAGATTGGCCAGAATTAGAGGTAGGTTAGCCATCAGAAGGAAGCCTGGACAGGTCTCTTGTTTCAAAGGTATGGCACAAAGTAATTGGCAAGCCAGGACACCCAGATCAGTTCCCATATATAGATTCCTGGTTACAGATAGTTTTAGATCCCCTGCAGTGGTTAAAGGGACAGGCAGCAGCAGATAACCGAGCCAGGTCAGGAGATAAAACCGGCTCTAGCAGCAGTACTAGTAGCAAAGGGACAGTTAGTTAAGGAAGGTTATCGCTCCACCTGCCAAGGGAAGCCAGCCCCTAAATTTCTGTCTGACCTGGAGCCCGAAGACTCATGGCAGGGGATGGCACCGACAGTGCCCCCCCTTACCAAGCGGAGAGGCCCCCTACTCCTGAGCCCACAGCCCCTAGACCACCGAGAGTAGACAAGAAAGGAAGCAAAGCTGCAGGAGAAACTCCTCCCTTGGCGGCCAATTTACGGCCCAAGACTGGAATCCAAATGCCCCCGAGAGAGCAGTGATATACTGGGGTAGATGAGGATGGACACATGGTGGAAAGGCGTGCCTTTGTATATCACCCTTTCACCTCTGCTGACCTCTTCAGTTGGAAAACTAATACTCCATCTTACATTGAAAAGCCTCAAGCTCTAATTGACTTGCTGCAAACTATTAGACAGACTCATAATCCTACTTGGGCTGATTGCTACCAGCTACTCATGTACTTCTTTAATACAGACGAAAGGCAAAGGGTGCTCCAGGTGGCAACTAAATGGCTAGAGGAGCACGTCCCAGCCGATTACCAAAATCCCCAGGAATACATAAGAATTCAGCTGCCAGGAACGGATCCTCAATAGGATCCAAATGAAGGACCAGATATGGAGAGGTTAAGATGATACTGGAAGGCATTAATTGAAGGGCTGAAAAAAAGGGGCTCAAAAGGCCACCAATATAAATAAAGTTTCTGAAGTCATCCAAGGAAAGGAGGAAAGCCCAACCTAATCCTATGGAAGACTGTGTGAAGCCTATTGTATGTACACTCCTTTTGATCTGGAGAGTCCTGAAAATCAGCGTATGATTAACATGGCCTTAGTTAGTCAAAGCGCGGAAGATATCCGGAGGAAATTGCAAAAACAGACTAGTTTTGCAGGGATGAATACCTCACAGTTACTGGAGATAGCAGATCAAGTATTTGTAAATACAGATGCAACAAGCCACTGAGAAAGCCGTAAGGAAGGTGAACGCCAGGCCAGGCAGAACGCTGATTTGCTGGCTGCAGCAATTAGAGGAATCCCCCCCAAAGGGCAGGGAAAGGGGGGTTCCGGGAGGAATGCCCAGACTAATCGCTCACGTCTGCAGCATAACCAGTGTGCCTACTGTAAAGATATAGGACATTGGAAAGATAAGTGTCCCCAACTAAAGGAGAAGCAAGATGATGCCGAACAAAAGACCACGGATAAAGATGAAGGGACTTTGTTCAATCTGGCCGAAGGGCTACTACACTGAGGGGGACCGGGCTCAAATGCCCCCAAGGAGCCCATGGTCAGGATGACAATAGGGGGCAAGGACATTAAGTTTTTGGTCGATACCGGTGCCGAACACTCAGTAGTAACCACCCCGGTGGTCCCCTTATCTAAGAAAACCATTGATATAATCCAAGCAACAGGAGTCTCTGCCAAGCAGGTTTTCTGCCTACCGTGGACATGCTCAGTGGGAGGACCTAAAGTGACTCGTCAATTTCTGTATATGCCTGACTGCCCCTTGCCTTTGTTAGGGAGAGACTTGCTTCGTAAGCTGAGAGCCACCATTTCCTTTACAAAACAGGACTCTTTACAGCTGAAGTTACCAGGAACAGGAGTTATCATGGCCCTTATAGTCCCCCAAGAAGAAGAATAGAGACTTTTTCTAACCGAGCCAGGTCAGGAGATAAAACCGGCTCTAGCTAAGCGATGGCCCTGAGTATGGGCCGAGGACAATCCTCCAGGGCTGGCGATCAATCAAGCCCCCGTACTCATAGAAGTTAAGCCTGGGGGCCAGCCAATTAGACAAAAGCAGTATCCGGTTCCCAGAGAAGCTCTTGAAGGAATACAGGTTCATCTTAAACGCTTGAAAGCTTTTGGAATTATAGTTCCTTGCCAGTCTCCATGGAACACCCCCTCTTACCTGTCCCCAAGCCAGTGACCAAGGACTATCGACCCGTACAGGACTTACACTTGGTTAACCAAGCTACAGTGACTCTGCACCCAACAGTTCCTAACCCTTACACACTGTTAGGATTGCTGCCGGCTGAGGACAGCTGGTTCACTTGTCTGGAATTGAAGGATGCCTTCTTTAGCATCAGACTAGCTCTTGAGAGCCAAAAGCTGTTTGCCTTTCAGTAGGAAGATCCGGGGTCAGGTGTCACTACTCAGTACACTTGGACTTGGCTTCCCCAGGGGTTTAAAAATTCCCCCATCATCTTTGGGGAGGCAGGCGTTGGCTCAAGACCTCCAGAAGTTTCCTGCTAAAGACCTAGGCTGTGTCTTGCTCCAGTATGTGGATGATCTTCTGCTAGGACACTCCATGGCAGACAGGTGTGCAAAAGGGATGGTTGCCCTGCTTCGACATCTGGAGGACTGTAGGTATAAGGTGTCCAAGAAGAAAGCTCAGATCTGCAGACAGTAGGTACGCTACCTGGGATTCACTATTCGGAAAGGGGAGCGCAGCCTGGGGTCAGAAAGAAAGCAGGTCATCTGCAGCTTACCAGAACCTAAAACCAAAAGGCAAGTAAGGGAATTTCTAGGAGCTGTGGGGTTTTGCAGATTACGGATTCCAAACTTTGTGGTGCTAGCCAAATCGTTGTACGGAGTTACAAAGGGGGGCGATCGGGAGCCTTTGGAATGGGGACCTCTGCAAAAGCAAGCCTTTTGCAAGTTAAAGGAGAAACTTATGTCAGCCCCAGCCTTAGGACTATCAGACTTGACAAAGCCCTTTACACTCTATGCGTCAGAAAGAGAAAAAATTGCAGTCGGAGTTTTAACCCAAACTGTGGGGCCCTGGCCAAGACCAGTGGCCTATCTCTCAAAACAGCTAGACGGAGTTTCAAAAGGCTGGCCTCCATGTCTGAGAGCCCTGGCAGCTACAGCCCTGTTAGCACAAGATGCAGACATGCTAATCCTTGAGCAAAACTTAAGTATAAAGGCACCCCATGCGGTGGTAACTTTAATGAATACCAAAGGACACCATTGGCTAACAAATGCTAGATTAACCAAGTACCAAAGCTTGGTATGTGAAAACCCCCGCATAACCATTGAAGTCTGTAACACTCTGAATCCTGCTACCTTACTCCCAGTGTCAGACAGCCCTGTCGAACATGACTGTGTGGAAGCGTTGGACTCAGTCTATTCTAGCAGACCCGATCTTCGAGACCAGCCACGGGCATCAGTGGACTGGGAGTTATACATGGACGGGAGCAGCTTCATCAATCCACAAGGAGAAAGCTGCGCAGGATATGTGGTGGTAACTTTGGATGATATTATTGAAGCCAAACCATTGCCTCAGGGCACTTCAGCCCAGAAGGCAGAACTCATTGCTTTAACCCGGGCTCTAGAACTCCGTGAAGGTAAGACTGTAAACATTTATACTGACTCTCGATATGCCTTTCTAACCCTTCAAGTACACGGAGCATTATATAAAGAAAAAGCCCTGTTAAATTCCGGGGGAAAGGACATAAAATATCAACAAGAAATTCTGCAATTATTAGAGGCAGTACGGAAGCCCCAAAAGGTGGCAGTCATGCATTGCAGGGGACACCAGTGAGCTTCCACCTTGGTAAGCCAAGGAAACTCCCGAGCAGACACAGAGGCACGAAAAGCAGCATCTACTCCTTACCGGGCATCAGTCACAGCCCCCCTACTCCCTCAAACACCTGATCTGGTCCCTACTTATTCTAAAGAGGAAAAAGACTTTCTTCAGGCAGAGGGAGGACAAACAATAAAAGAAAGATGCATCAAGTTACCAGATGGGAGAATAGCTGTGCCACAGCTGCTAGGAGCCGCAGTCGTGCTGGCTGTACATGAAACTACCCATGTAGGTCAGGAGTCACTTGAAAAGCTGTAAAGCCGGTACTTCTACATCTCACACTTGCCAGCTCTTGCTAAAACAGTAGCACAGCGATGCGTTACCTGTCGACAGCACAATGCAAAGCAAGGCCCCTCTGTTCCTCCCGGCATACAAAGCCTATGGAGCAGCTCCCTTTGAAGATCTTCAAGTGGACTTCACAGAGATGCCCAAATGCAAAGGTAACAAGTATTTACCGGTTCTAGTGTGTACTTACTCTAGGTGAGTAGAGGCTTATCCATCACGAACTGAAAAAGCTCATGAAGTAACCCGTGTGCTTCTTCGAGATCTCATCCCTAGGTTTGGACTGCCTCAATGGATTGGCTCAGATAATGGGCGGGCATTTGTGGCTGACTTAGTACAGAGGACGGCAAAGGTATTGAGAATCACTTGGAAGCTACGTGCCGCCTACCGACCTCAGAGTTCCGGAAAGGTGGAGCGAATGAATCGGACTATCAAAAATAGTTTAAGGAAAGTATGTCAAGAGACAGGATTAAAATGGATACAGGCCCTTCCTATGGTATTGTTTAAAATTAGGTGCACCCCCTCTAAGAAAACAGGATACTCCTCTTATGAAATATTATATCGTAGGCCTCCTCCTATACTGCGAGGACTTCCAGGTACTCCCCAAGAATTGGGTGAAATTGAATTACAGCGACAGCTACAGGCCTTAGGGAAAATTACCCAGACAATCTCAACTTGGGTAAATGAGAGGTGCCCCCGGTCAGCTTATTCTCCCCAGTTCACCCTTTTTCTCCAGGTGACTGTGTGTGGATCAAGGACTGGAACTTAGCTCCCTTACGGCCATGATGGAAGGGACCCCAGACTCTAAACCTGACCACTCCCACAGCTGTGAAGGTAGAAGGAATTCCGGCCTGGATTCACCACGGCCGCATAAAGCCTGCAGCCACTGGAACCTGGGAGGCCAAACCAAGCCTAGACAATCCGTGCAAAGTAACCCTGAGGAGGACGACAAGCCCTGCTCCAGTCACACCCGGAAGCTGACTGGTCTATGCACGGCCGAAGCATGAGGAAAATCGTCGTGGGACTTATTTTCCTTATAACATGGACTTGTGTGGTAAAAGCTTCCACTGCTTCTTCCCACACAGAGGACTGCTTTCAGTGCATACATGAGGTCACTGACGTAGGACAACAAGTTAAGGCAATCTTTTTGTTCTATAGTTATTATGAATGCTTAGGATTTCCAAAAGGAGCATGTTTGTATGATAACACTCAGTACAAAGTCTGTAATCCAGGAGTGACCAGCCCGATGTGTGCTATGACCCCTCTGAACCTCCCATTTCCAGTTTTTGAAATAAGATTAAGGACTGAAGACTGGTGGGGACTCATAAATGATACAAGTAAAGTATTAGCTAGAACAGAAGAAAAAGGGGTGCCCAAACGCATAATCTTAAAATTTGATGCTTGTGCTGTCATTAATAGCAATAAGTTAGGAGCAGGATGTGGCTCTTTTAATTGGGAAGAAAGCTACATGACTGAAAATAAGTACATCTGTCATGAATTAGGATTGCGTGGAAAGGAATGTGGGTACTGGTCTTGTGTCATTTAGGCTACTTTGAAAAAGGTTGAAAAAGATCCTGTTTGGCTCCAAAAAGGGAAAGGAAGCCCCTCCTGCACGAGTGGAAGCTGCAACCCTTTAGAATTAGTAATCACAAACCCCTCAGACCCAAAATGGAAAAAAGGAGAATACATATCTCTAGGCATTGATGGAAAAGGACTAGACCCTAAGGTAAACATTTTAATAAAAGGAGAGATTCGAAAATGCTCTCTAGAGCCAGTATTTCAGACTTTCTATGATGAACTAAATGTGCCAGTGCCTGAAATTCCAGGAAAAACTAGAAATCTGTTTTTGCAGTTAGCCAAGCATGTAGCCCAGCCTCTAAAATCACTTCATGTTTTGTTTGTGGAGGAAATGTAATAGGAGATCAATGGCCATGGGAAGCCCGAGAATTAGTTCCTACAGACCCAGTTCCTGATGAATTCCCGGCCCAAAAGAACCACCCTGACAATTTCTGCGTTCTAAAAGCCTCAATTATTGGACAATATTGCATAGCTAGAGAAGGAAAAGAATTCACTCATCCTGTAGGACGGCTTAGTTGTCTTGGACGACAACTGTATAATGGTACCACAAAAACAGTTACATGGTGGAGTTCCAGTTACACAGAAAGAAATCCATTCAGCAAATTTCCAAAATTGCAGACTGTTTAGGCCCACCCAGAATTCCACTGGGACTGGACTGTCCCCACAGGGTTATACTGGATATGTGGACGTAGAGCCTATGCTAAGCTACCTGATCAGTGGGCAGGTAGCTGTGTAATTGGCACTATTAAACCATCTTTCTTCCTACTACCCATAAAAACAGGTGAACTCGCTAGTATTCCCTGTCTATGCTTCCCGTGAAAAATGAAGCATAGCCATAGGTAACTGGAAAGATGATGAATGGCCCCCTGAAAGAATTATACAATACTATGGGCCCGCCACTTTGGCACAAGATGGCTCATGGGGATATCAGACCCCCATCTACGTGCTCAACTGAATCATATGGTTGCAAGCTGTTTTAGAAATTATTACTAATAAAACTGGTCAAGCCTTGACTGTTCTTGCCTGGCAAGAGACTCAGATGAGGAATGCTATCTACCAAAATAGACTAGCTCTCAACTACTTGCTAGCAGCTGAAGGAGGAAAATTTAACCTTACAAATTGCTGTCTACACATAGATGATCAAGGGAAAGTAGTTGAAGACATAGTTAAAGATATAACAAAACTGGTACATGTACCCGTGCAAGTGTGGCATGGATTTGATCGTGAGGCCATGTTTGGAAATTGATTCCCAGCAATAGGAGGATTTAAAACTCTTATAGTAAGAGTTATAATAGTAATAGGAACCTGGTTACTACTCCCTTGTTTGCCACCTGTACTTCTTCAAATGATAAAAAGCTTCATCGCTACCTTAGTTCACCAGAATGCTTCAGCACAAGTATATTATATGAATCACTATCAATCTATTGCACAGGAAGACATAAGTAGTGAAAATGAAAGTGAGAACTCCCACTAATAAAATGAGTGAGAGTCTCAAAGGGGGGAAATGAGAGAAGAGAGAAAGAGACCCCCCCTCCCATATTGTTCTATATTGTTTTATACTCAGTACCTGTTTTAAGAAGTAACAAGGAAGCGAAACCAAAGGCGGGCAGCCCAGCGCCAGGCACCAGACCCAAAACCAGACCCAAAACCAGGCCTGGGCCCGCCTGACCTTAGCCTGATAGTTAAAATTCAACCCATGACCTAGCAACCGATGTTATCCATAGATTCGAGACATTGTATGGACATTGTGAAACTCCTCGTTCTGTTCTGTTTCACTCTGATTACTGATGCATGCAGCCCCTGCCACATACCCCCTAGACTGCTCAATCAATCACGGCCCTTTCATGTAAAATCTTCAGTGTTGTGAGCCCTTAAAAGGGACAGAAATTGTGCACTCAACAAGCTCGGATTTTAAGATGCTAGTCTGCCAATGCTTCCAGCTGATTAAAAGCTACTTCCTTCACTATCTCGGTGTCTGTGGGGTTTTGTCCATGGCTCATCCTGCTGCAATAGCATTTTACCCACAGTAGAACTTCTTTCAAAATTAGCATAAATTCTCCCAAACCGTGCCACTGCCTCATCAACTATGTTTGTGTAATATTCTAAAAATTTTGTTGTCATTTCAAAAGTGTTCACAGCATCTTCACCAGTAGATTTCATCTCAAGGAACCACTTCTTCTTTTTTTTTTTTGCTCATTTATAAGAAGCAACTCCTTATCCATTCAAGTTTTATCCTGTGATTACAGCAATTCAATCACATCTTCAGGCTCCACTTCTAACTCCAGTTTTCTTGCTGCTTCCGTCACATCTGCAATTACTTCCTACATTGAAGGCTTAAACCGTCGAAGTCATCCGTGAAAGTTGGCATTAACTTCTATCAAATTCCTATTAATATTGACATTTTGTCATTCTCCTATGAATTATGAATGTTCTTAATGATATCTAGAATGGTGTATCATTTCTTGAAGGTTTTCAATTTACTTTGTGCAAATCTATCAGAGGAGTCACTATCTATGGCAGCTATAACCTTAAGAATTTATTTCCTAAATATTAAACCTTGAAAGTCAAAATTACTCCTTGATCCATGGGCTGCAGAAGAAATCTTTTGTTAGCAGGGACAAAAACAAAATTAATCTCCTTGTATAGCTCCATCAGAGCTCTTGGGTGATGAGGTACATTATCAATGAGCAGCAATACTCTAAAAGGAATTCATGTTTTTGAGCAGTAGTTCTCAACAGTGGGCCTAAAATATTGAGTACACCATGCTCTAATCAGATGTGCTATAATCAGATGTGCTGTAATCCAGGCTTTGTGTTCCATTTCTAGAGCACAGGGAGAGGAGATTTAGCATCATTCTTAAGTTTCTTAGGATTTTCAGAATGGTAAATGAGCATTGACTTCAAGTTAAAGTCACTGGATCTGTTAGCCCCTTACAAGAGGGTCAGCCCATCCTTTGAGGCTTTAAAGCCAGGCCCTGTCTTCTCTTCTCTAGCTATGAAAGTCCTAGATGTCATCTTCTTCTATGAAAGGCTGTTTCATTGACATTAAAAACCCATTGTTTAATGTAACCATCTTCATCAATTATCTGAGCTAAATTTTCTGGATAACTTGCTGCACCTTCTATATCAGTACTTGCTGTTTCACCTTGCATGATTATGTTATGGAGATGGCTTCTTTCTTTAAACCTCATGAAACCAACCTCTGCTATCTTCAAACTTTTCTTCTGTAGCTTCCTCACTTCTCTCAGCCTTCATAGAAATGAAGAGAGTTAGGGTCTTGCTTTGGATTTGGCTTTGCCTTAAGGGAATATTCTGGCTGGTTTTTGATCTATCCAGACCACTGAAAGTTTCTTCATATCAGCAACAAGGCTGTTTCACTTTCTCATCATTCATGTATTCACTGGAGTAGCACTTTGAATTCCCTTCAAAAACTTTTTCTTCGCATTCCCCACTTTGCTGACTATTTGGTGCAAGGGGCTTAGATATTGTCCTATCATGGCTTTTGACATACCTTCCTGCCTTCCTCTGTATGCCTAATAACTTCTAGCTTTTGAATTAAAGTGAGAGATGTGTGACTCTTTGTTTCAGTCGAACAATGAGAGGCCATTATAGGGTTATTATGTGGCCTAAATTCAATATTGTTTTGTCTTACGGAATATGGAGTACTGAAGAGTGGGAGAGAGACAGAAGAATTACCAGTCAGTGGAGCAGTCAGAACACACACATTTGCCATCTTTTATGGGCACAGTTTGTGGCAAGCCAAAACAATTACAAGTGTAACATCACTGATTACTGATATCAGATCACTGTAACCAATATAATAATAATTTAAAGGTTTGAAATATTGTCAGAATTGCTAAAATGTGACACAGAGACATAACAGAAACACATGCTGTCGAAAAAACACATAGATAGACTTGCTCAATACAGGATTGCCACAAATCTTCAATTTGTAAAAGATGCAATATCTGCAAAGCCCAATAAAATGAAGTACAATGAATTGAAGTATACTTGTACATTGTGTGCGTTCTTTGTTTGCTTTTATTTCTCTTAAGGGATAAATTTGACAAATGCTATTGGGCTTACACAAATATTACATAATATGTAAGACAGTACTCTATTAAATTAAAATTTTGAGCTAATGAAGCTTTAGAACAACATTAAGAACATGCTTGTTTGTAAAGGAATGTGGTTCTGAACAGGCGTCATGCTCTGTAGACAGAAAATCAAACTCCAAAACAATACACTTGCCATGAGAGAAACATGATTTCCTAGCTTGTAGCATCAGAATTTAAATTAGTATTTTGTATATTCCAGAGAAAATAACTAAGGACCACAAGTTATCATATCAAAATCAGCATACAAAAGTGTATATTGTTAGGGTGATTTTTTTTTTTTTTTTTTTTTTTGAGACAGAGTCTTGCTCTGTCGCCCAGGCTGGAGTGCAGTGGCGCAATCTCAGCTCACTGCAAGCTCCGCCTCCCGGGTTCACGCCATTCTCCTGCCTCAGCCTCTGGAGTAGCTGCGACTACAGGCGCCTGCCACCACGCCTGGCTAAGTTTTTTGTATTTTTAGTAGAGATGGGGTTTCACCGTGTTATCCAGGATGGTCTCGATCTCCTGACCTCATGATCCGCCCGTCTCGGCCTCCCAAAGTGCTGGGATTACAGGCGTGAGCCACCGCGCCTGGCCGTTAGGGTGATTTTTAATTAGTTTTAGTACTTACTCTGAGAACATTTTCAAAATACATCATTTTAAAGTGCATCTTATATAGGCAGCAACTTGATTTATATATTCCTGTGGTCACCTTTCCATGTGCTGTGTGAATTTTATTATATGCATTTGAAGAATTGAGGAAGTAAAGGGCCAGAGACCTGGTAAACTTGAGTATTGCCCTGAACCTGCACTTTCCACGTGTTGACTCACTTTCACAACAACTCTATGTGGTAGGTATGTACTACTATTATCCCATTTTACAGATGAAGTAAGCTAGGCTAACAAGGCCATTAAGTATCCTGCCCAAGATCATATCACAAGGAAGTATCAGAGTAAGAATTTAATGAGGAAATTTGTCTCCACAGCCTGCATGCTTAAACATAATGTTAAATAATCATGATAGGGCAGATAGCATTTAACATGACATATTCAACAAAGAGTTTTCTCAGAAAGGCAACATAGTTACCATGGTTTTTCAAATGTCAACTGTGTTCAGCATGTGCGTAGGTGCTATAGGGACATGTGACAAAAGTGCAAGCAATAGTACGAACTCTCATGGAACTTTGCATTGATGATAGTACGATATCCTAAGGTAAACAGCTTTCAGGCCGTGACTCTATGAGCCCTATTCATTCCATGAACAGTTTTTTTGTGGTAATTTTTAGTTTATTTTGTTATATGGTGGTTAATTTTTAAAATAATTATTTGTTTCCTCACTGGTTCATAAGCTCATTGAGTGTGGGAACCAGTCTGTTTTCATCTTTGAATCCTCAAAGACTACCACAACATCTGGCAAACAGTGGAGGTCAATAAATGTTGTTTATGTGAGAGAGAGGACATTTAGGAGACTTTTGTCTCCCTGCCTATCTGTGTTGGTCCATGCATAGTTCTCATTTAAATAGGCTTCTGATAATCAGAAGACAAAGGAAAAGTTGGAAAATCGATATTTGGTTCATAAAAATATTCAATTGAGTTCAATGCCATAGATAATTATTTAACATCAGTTTTGTGCCCACATCTCAGGTCACAGTATGAAGACAACTTATAAACTGCTAGGTCATATGCAATTAGACAGGGTTTTATCAAAAGTGACTGTATTAAAGACCACATCCTGGTTTTCATTAGTTTTTTACAGTTGGATAAACAATCCAGTTGTGAAGGCAAGTAGACCCTCCCACTTGCCAGCTTCGTCCACACTTAGTCTTTAGGTCTATATGACTGAATTTGGGTTGTGTAGCAACATTCTTCCTACCACAGTTTGGTGGAATAAGACAGTGCATAAATCCTCTTCCAGAAGTGGGATCAGTGCCTCCATTGGTGCACTGTTGGTACAGTTCCCTTTATTGCCCTTCGGTCCCTGTGTACCTTGATCTGGACCCAAATACATACCACTATGGCACAATGATCCTGGAAAGAGGAGTGAACTTGAATCCAGGGTTCAAACTTGTGGACTGTCCAGCCCAACTACATTACCAAGCTAATTGCTTACATGCATCTTCAGATTCAAGTTCTCCATAGTGAAATAATTTTAGGCCAAGCCCTGGCTCCCTCTCCTTCTCTACAATGTGTCTGACAATCAGTATGCAAACTTCAAACCGTCATCAAAATACTTCACTTTGTGAGTTATAAAATGTGATTAAAATACTGCTCCACCCGTAGGACGTATTCAATCTAATAAGTAACTAAGATAGCTTATAGAAAGAGATTTCTTCATTCACTGGTTTATTCCAAAAATACATACTAAGAACTTGGAAAAGAAAATGTTGTTGAAGCCCACATAGAAGACATTTGCTATGAGTGTCAGGGAATCATTTTCTTCAGAAGATCAGACTGCCATATGTGCGAAAGAAAAAGGAGAGGTATGCTTGTCCTGAAATGTCATCACAGAGATCTGAACACAAACACCAAAGGCTTCAGGGTAGAGAAAAACTATATTGTAGCACATGGTGAAATTGATCCACTTTCAATGTGACAAGCTGTGTGCAAATGGCCGTATCTTCCTAGGATAAAGGAAAGTCTTGTTAATGAGCACTGTATATTTAGGTGTAAATAAAGGTCCAAATCTGTGTTCTTCTTGATGTATCTTATTGGCATGTTGAACACCTTTTAACAAATCATTGCTATATGTTACTTCAATTCACAGACGGCTTCATTGGCACAACACGATTAAATATCAAATCATTTTTAGTGTGTTTTAAAAATAGATGAGTCAGATACACTTCGTATATTCAAATATCTAATGGTGGCAATAAAACAACTTCCCAAGCAACTGGCTGTTTTTGAAGGTTTTAGCAACCATTTGCGTTCTGAAATATGTGAAATATACTTCCTTACACAATATTTCAATATTTTCCAATTTCGACTCATGGTATTCACTTGATATTTTCGCTGAAATAGTCCCGCGGTATATAATGAAGATTGTAAAGAAATGTTTTGGAAATAGAGACTGAGTTGCCGGAACATTAAAACATTTATAGTGCTGGGTTACCAGAGAATATTTTCTGCAACACTGTACAACTCCATCGTACAACTTGGAGGCAAGAATATACCTTGAACTTCCGGCCATAATTTTATACTGTAGTTCTCATTGAAGAGGAAGCTGAGGCCAAGAGACATCAAGTGCATTGCTCAAGGTCACAAAGCTAGACAGTAGCGGAATAGAGACTAGAACTCAGGCCATCAGTTTTAAGGCTGCTTCTCTTTCACTTTAGCATAAAGTGGGCTTGTATTAGAGCACATTGGGGATTTATTCATGAGGATATTGTAAGGTAGCTTCTCTTCATGAGGTAAATTTGGAAAATGGTTTTAAAATCAAATGAATTTAGAAGAGGTGTGTGTGTGTGTGAGTGTGTGAGTGTGTGTTTGTGTGTGTGTGTGTTTGATGGGAATGCATTTCCTGAATGATTGCCTGTATCATAATAGAACTAACTTATAATGAGGCTTCTACGTGGAGTTACCTGTAGGTCCGTTTTGGATTTTTTAGATATGTACATCCTGGACACTTAAATTTGGAAGTAGTCTTGGGTCAGTGGTTCCTAATTTTTTAGGGTGTTAAGGATCTCTTTGAGTACTAGAGAAAAATATTCTGTAAATGAAAATACATAGGCTCACAAAGTTACATATACTATTTCCAGGGGTTTCTGGAGCCACAGTAACTCAGGATGCAATTCTTCCACTATCTCCAACCAAATCTCATTTGATAAATGAGTGTGTGGGAGTGAGGTTAGATCCTGCCTTACAAGTTGTTTCTTCTAACTCCTGCCCTTTGTGTAGAGAAATATACACGTAAACAGAGAGAAGGAGAAGGAGAGACTTCCAAAGTCCACACAGCCCTACCCCTTATTTTTGGATTTAGAGTACTACTATTCTTTCCATTAAACCAATTCATTGCAATAGTTTTGTCCTTTTAGATGATGTATGAGGAAAATGGTATCATATTTGATTATATATATTAGGTCATTTTTTTAACTGCAGAGCACTGGGGCACTAATTTTTATTCACAACTGTTCTAGGCATAAATTACAGAAAGGTTTTATATATTAAATGCATGTTATTAAAAGCTTATGTTATTAAAAGACCAAGGTTAGAACTTCACATAGATCCTATTTGTAATGTGAAATTGTTTATACACTACTCACTGCTGCATAGGTAATCCTGAGCTGAAATAACAACATTATGAGATAACTTTCTACCTCAGAACTTCATTCCTGCTAAGATTGTATAAAATGATTGGAAGTGGTTTTAGTCTTTAAGTCTCAAGTGTTTAGCTTGACAATTATAAAATTAGTGTATTTTTTAGACAGATGACATACTTAGTTACATAATTGTCAGAATTATCCAAATTACTTCCCATTAGTGCAGCAAAATGCGTGCATTTTGAAATGCATCATTTGGCTTATTGATGTTGTGCACAGTTGCCCCTCACATCCTTTTGAAGAACAGTTTTGCAAAGGCTTTTCTTCGTCATGAAAATCAGCAAATCATCAGTACCACCTGATTGAGGGAGAGATGAAAGAAACTGTTTCTCTACAGCACTGAAGAGCTAGCCTCTCCAAATGCATTGTCCTTGATCAAGACCTCCTAGTTTAATGGGCTTCTTGTCTATCCACAGGGAAACAAAAGACAGGGAAAAGAATTGAGAATGTTTATCTGAGATGGGCCAGTGCTAGGAAGCAATGTAGAGATTGGAAATATGCTCTTAGTGAAGCCCTGAACGTCAGTTGATCGGTCTGCAACCATGAGAGACTAGGTACACCTGCCTTTCTGATCATCATTCTTCATTGGTGTGATGAAAGCTTAAAGTAGAAATGCTATTGATTTTAACGTTTATATTCACATTCTTTCCCTGTCATAGGCAGAAAAACCCTTTGATTTTGCTCTGAGCAGCAAATAACTGTTGCAACAGAGACCTATATGTAGGCTGCAGCTTCCACTCTTATCACATATTATAGAGTTCCATTTATTTAATCATATTAATGGAATCTTATCAATTCACCTTCCAGCTTACAAACCTGTTTGCTCTCTCTTGCTACGCTGTCTCTTACAGGATTAGGTGCAATTTCCTCGGCTTGGCAAACAGCAGATTTCCTAATCTGACTTATTCTCCAAATTCACCCTCATCTGTCCCCTTACATAGAACCTACACTCCAGCTCACTGAGCTATCTAAAGGGTGACCTGTCGTGCCAGGCTTTTGATTCCTTTCCTTTTATTTTGCTGTTTTATGTGTTAGAATTTTCATCTCATCCTTTTGTAAGCAATTTTTTTCCTCCAAGACTCTGAATTGTATTCAAGTATTTCCCAACATGTCCCCTTCCCCATGACAGAGTTAATTGATCTGCTTTCTGTGTTCCTCAGCACTTAGAGGGCTTCTAGTATGGCATGGACCTAGTGTTAGTGAAGTTTATCTGTTTATGGGTGTTTTTGACCCTAGATCCAATGTCAGAAAATGTATTTTATCTTTGTTTTGTGTATCTATGCCACCATATTCACAGTAAAAATGTTAAGCTCCCATTCCTATAGTTCCCACCTCCACAGGGAGCATAAACAAATTGGTGACTTTGTGCTCATTAAAGTATCTAAAATATTTACTTTCAGCTCTGATGCAAACCATACATTTAGCCATTTATTTCTACACCATTAAAAAAGTAATAGTAGAATAATTATTGTATGATGAGTCATCTAAAATGACTTGATTATTAGCTTTTACAACTCCACTTGCTGTGTGATTTTTTTATTATCTTAAGTTGATCATCCAAATAACACGTGATCTTTTAAAAATAGAGATACCTCAATCCTATCCCCAAGAGATTAGATTTCAATTGACCTGGTGGGGGCAGACATCAATATTTCCAACACCTTTCCCAGAATATTGATATGTGCAGCCAGGGTCAAGAATCACTGGCCCAGAAGCTGGAATTGACAGTTGAAGTAATGCCAACTGTCTCTACTTGTTCTCCATTGGAAAGGATTACAGCCATTGTTTCTTGAGCATATTTTCTTGTATTGAGAACTTGTATACCTTGCATGCATTTCACATACTTTCACACACATTTTGCATACATTACATTACATATGTTATTATTACATTTATTGCTATTCCTTAGGTGGCACTTGGTAGATGAGCTAGCCATGGCAGCAGGTATTGCTAACAGTAATTAGTGTTGAACTTGAACATGTAGAAGTGATTTCTAATGATCCATCTGGCTGGGCATGGCTACAAAACAATAGAGTCTAACCCAAGAATCCAAAATAAGTTTTCTCTCAGTAGCTGCCTGGAGAGCTCAGTTGTCAATCCTCATTAAATTATAAGAGGGCGGCAAGGCGCGGTGGCTCACGCCTGTAATCCCAGCACTTTGGGAGGCTGAGGCAGGTGGATCACGAGGTCAGGAGTTCGAGACCAGCCTGACCAACATGGTGAAACCCCGTCTCTAATAAAAATACAAAAATTAGCTGGGCGTGGTTGCGTGCGCCTGTAATCTCAGCTACTCAGGAGGCTGAGGCAGGAGAATTGCTTGAACCTGGGAGGTGGAGGTTGCAGTGAACCGAGATGGAGCCACTGCACTACAGCCTGGGTGACAGAGGGAGACTTGGTCTCAATTAAAAAACAAAACAAAACAACAACAACAACAATAACAAAACTGTACGAAGGCTCAGTAAGAAAGAGTACTGTGGTACTGTGGTTATCTAGGCATATTGTCATAGTCCTGGGTTGGGGGGTAAATAGATGCATATGTATGGATGATAAAACTTTTTCTCCAGATATTTGTTTTTTTGGAAGTCTCTTTGCAATTCTGAGGATAGAAAATGATTCATTTGTTCCCGGCATAAAACAGAGTTGATTCAAGGACCTGTGGTGAAGTTTTGAATATCTCTTGCCATTTAGTGTCATGATTGCAAGATATTTGTCTCTTAATCCTCAGAAAGGCTGAGAACTGACATTGCCATCACATCTGTTCACTTCTCCCACTGAAAATTGGTATGGTGGTACTGATGAAGTAATTGAAACTACCAGAACTTGGGAATGCCTTGGACAGAGGTAAGAATTTGCCAGCCAATGAAAATATTATAAGACCTCTTTGTCCCTAGCAGAGAGCACATACTTCCCTTCTTTTGCTGCCTATGAAAAAGGAAAACTGATCTATAAAATGAAATTGGATCTGTGTACCTTTGAGATCCATTTCTACTTGATTTATGCCCTCTGTTCAGACTGGAATATGGTAAGATATAAATTGCTCAGGTATTCTAATAAATTTCCCTTCTCATCAATTCAGACTAGTCCTACTTCTGGGACAACACATTTTCTTAAAGGGCATCTAACTGTAATCCTTCATTGCATATTGAAAACTACAAACCTAGGGTTTGTTAGCATTTTTCCAACCTTTGCAATACCTCTCAGAAGGGCAACATAAAAAATGACATATGTCCCTTTGGTTGCAGAACATTATGAATTGGAAGTTGTAACACTAATGTAGTCATAGATGTTGGAGTGAAAATTGTAACAATGCCACATTAAGTGTATGCATTTTCTTTATTACACATCTAAATTCAGAAATATTAAAATGTAAAAAAAGAGATATATTAGAATCAAAGAAATATGGAAGTACCATCATCTTGCCTTTGTATAGAACTTTAGAGTTTACCAGGTTTTTCACAATTTTCATCTCATGGAATCTTTAAAAAGAAATCTGGGGAGTTAGGCCCAGAAAGAAAAACAAAAAACAAAATCCAAACAAAACATGACTATACCAATGGGATTGAGGGAGAGGGACGAAGGAAAAAGGCATCTTGGAACAAATGACTACTGATGTTTTCTTCACTTGGGCCTTTCTCCTTCAATCTGTCCCTGTCATTGGTTGTATAGTTGCACATTGATGAAGGAAGCCAGAAACACCTGAATGATTCTACTGAGAATCCTTCCAGAGGAATTTATTGGCACATATGAGCTCCAGAGTCTCTTGTTCTAGTGAATGTCAGGATGATTAAATACGGAAATAAAAATGGCATTTTGTTTTTTAGAAAGGTTATTACACTGTATTTTTTGGTGTTTTCTTTATAAATAGATGGAAAAGGCAATCATGATTAGCCAAGTAGTGATATTATGAAGATATGGTGGATATTCTTTACAGAGTAGTAAATTTTCATTATAATGGTGTTTTGCTTTTAGCATCAGTTCAATAATGTTGGAGTTAAATAGAGTGAGTTAAATAGAGAGAAGTATTTAATATTTTAGGCAATGTAATAATACATGCATTTTTCAGTGCAGACTAATCATCTCTAATATTTTAAGTCCTCCCTGCCATAGAATAAAATTAAAAGAAATATATTCAATATATCTTATTCTTAACATAATTTTAAAGTATTGATATCTTCATGCAATTATCAATAATTTTCTGTTTTAAGAAATTCTAATTCTCATGTATTCTTACAAGCCAAATGAAGGAGGTGCTTGCATCCTTCCTCTAAAGTATAATGTCATATAGGGTTTACCTGTATGTCAAAGTATAATGAAATATAAGGGTTACCTTTATGTCATTATACTTTGGAGGAGGGATGCAAGCACCTCCTAGCTTCAAGACTGGATCTCTACATTAGTCAAATATACCAGGTAATAATAGCTTCACTCTTACCTAAATGTGATTCAGGGGATAAATCTTTCAGTCTATGAGTCATATTTTCCGTTATCAGTGGTTAATTTCAGAAAAATAAGTTTTGCTGTTATTGATATTGTTACAATTGTTTTATTTTTATTTTGTTTCATTCATTACTTAGCTTTGTATTCCTATCCCTTAAGAATAATACTAAGTCGGGCACATTTCATTAGATTTGTCTCATATAGCAAAGCTTGTGCTCTTTTATGTAGAAGAAAACCATTTGTTATTACATAAACAGCTACAACAGAGACAAATTAAAAATTAAATTCATGACTCCATTCTCATTTACTGAAGGTCCTTGCGTTAGTTGGAATTGCTGTAAGGAAATACAAAAGACTGGGAGGCTTAAATAACAGATATTTACTTCTCACAGTTCTGGAGGCTGGGAAGTCCAAGGTCAAGGTGTTGCCTGATTCATTTCCTAGTGAAGGCCCTCTTCCTGGCTTGTTGATAGCAGCCTTGCCACAGCAAACTCATATGGTGAAGAGAGAGCAAGCTCTCGTGTTCTTCTTGTAAAGGCGCTAATTTAATCAACATTTTCCTACCCTCATAGCAATATCTAAACCTAATTATCTCCCAGTGACTTCATCTCAAAATGTCATCACATTGGGTATTAGGGCTTCAGCATTTAAATTTTGCAAGGATGTAATTCAACCCATAGCAGCTTTTTTTTTTTTTTTTTTTTTTTTTTTTGCAATAGCTACAAAAATACATTTTGTTTTTAAAAAAAAATTTTTTTATTATTATACTTTAAGTTTTAGGGTACATGTGCACAATGTGCAGGTTAGTTACATATGTATACATGTGCCATGCTGCTGTGCTGCACCCATTAACTCGTCATTTAGCATTAGGTATATCTCCTAATGCTATCCCTCCCCCCTCCCCCCACCCCACAACAGTCCCCAGAGTGTGATGTTCCCCATCCTGTGTCCATGTGTTCTCATTGTTCAATTCCCACCTATGACTGAGAACGTGCGGTGTTTGGTTTTTTGTCCTTGCGATAGTTTACTGAGAATGATGATTTCCAATTTCATCCATGTCCCTACAAAGGACATGAACTCATCATTTTTTATGGCTGCATAGTATTCCATGGTGTATATGTGCCACATTTTCTTAATCCAGTCTATCGTTGTTGGACATTTGGGTTGGTTCCAAGTCTTTGCTATTGTGAATAGTGCCGCAATAAACATACGTGTGCATGTGTCTTTATAGCAGCATGATTTATAGTCATTTGGGTATATACCCAGTAATGGGATGGCTGGGTCAAATGGTATTTCTAGTTCTAGATCCCTGAAGAATCGCCACACTGACTTCCACAATGGTTGAACTAGTTTACAGTTCCACCAACAGTGTAAAAGTGTTCTTATTTCTCCACATCCTCTCCAGCACCTGTTGTTTCCTGACTTTTTAATGATTGCCATTCTAACTAGTGTGAGATGGTATCTCATTGTGGTTTTGATTTGCATTTCTCTGATGGCCAGTGATGGTGAGCATTTTTTCATGTGTTTTTTGGCTGCATAAATGTCTTCTTTTGAGAAGTGTCTGTTCATGTCCTTCGCCCACTTTTTGATGGGGTTGTTTGTTTTTTTCTTGTAAATTTGTTTGAGTTCATTGTAGATTCTGGATATTAGCCCTTTGTCAGATGAGTAGGTTGTGAAAATTTTCTCCCATTTTGTAGGTTGCCTGTTCACTCTGATGGTAGTTTCTTTTGCTGTGCAGAAGCTCTTTAGTTTAATTAGATCCCATTTGTGATAATTAATTGTACATGTTGACTTGACTGGATTAAGGTATATCTAGATAGCTGGTAAAGCATTATTTCTGGGTTTGTCTGTGAGGTTGTTCCAGGGGAGAATGGTGTGTGTGAGTCAGTGAACTGAGTGGGGGAAGATCTATTCTCAAGGTGAACAGGGACCATCCAATCAGCTAGGGGTTGGGATAAGACAAAAAGGCAGAGGGAAGGAAAATTCTCACTCTCTTTTCTGGAGACAACAACTTTTTTTCTCCTACTCTTGATCATCAGAACTCCAGGTTCTCTGGCTTTCGGACTTCTGGACTTGCACCAGCAGCCCCTGGGTTCTCAGGCCTTGTACCTTGGACTGAGAGTTACACCATTGGCTTTCCTGGTTCTGAGGATTTTGGACTTGGACTGAGCCATGCTACCAGCACGTCTGGGTCTTCTGCTTGCAGATGGCCTATTGTGGGTCTTCTCAGCCTTCATAAATGCATGAACCAATTTCTTGAAGAGATCCTCTCTCCATATATATATATATATATATATATATATATATATACACACATACACACACATATATGTGTGTATATATATATATGTATACATATATATACATATACACATATATATGTGTATACATATATATGTATATATATGTGTATGTATACATGTGTCTATATATATGTATATATATACACATATATATGTGTGTATATATATATTTGGAGAACCCTAATACATTGCCTATTTTACCTATTATCTATTTTTAAAATGGTCAAAGAACTAAAAGAAACCATATCTTTTAAAAACTACTAAAAATGAACTGAGAAGACATAAAAAATAAGAATGGTCTTATAAAATGAAGACGTTGAATTAATAACCAAAAATCTTCCCATGAAGAAGAGATCAAGCACAAATGGCTTCCCTGATTAATTTCCCAGACATTTAAACAAGACTTTGATTTTTAGAGCCCACAAATAAGTGAGAACATGCAATATTTGTCTTTCTGTACCTGGCTTATTTCACCTAACATAATGATCTCCAGTTCAATCCATGTTTTCCATAGAAAAAAACATTTAAGTTAAATAAATAAATAAAACAATGAAGACTTAAGACCAATCCTTTCAAAAAAATTCTTTTAAACTCACTCTAATAGTCTAGTGTTACCCTGATACCAAAGCTGAAGATATCACAGAAAAAGAAAACAACAAACCAATATCTCTTATAAATATAAATGTAAAAAATCTCAATACAGTAGTAGAAATGTGATTCCAGTAACATTTAAAAAGGATTATATATCTGCAATAACCAACTGGTATATATCCCAGGATGCAAGTTTGGTTCAACATATGAAAATCAATCAATGTAATACACCATATTAATAGAATAAAAGAATTAAAAATGAGTATCTTTATAGCACACATAAAACACATTTGAAACAATCCAAAACCTTTCATGATAGAAATACTCAACAAACTAGGACTAGAAGGTCACTGCAACAATCTAAAAAAGGCCATCCATAAAAAAATCCAGTTAACATCGTAGCAGTGAAATTTTGAATGATTTATCACCATGATCATAAAGAAGACACAGATATCCACTCTCACCACTTCTATTCAGCATTTCACTGGAATCCAGCGTAAATTTTTGTGATCTTGGAATAGGCAATTGTTTCATAGCTATGTACCAAAAATACAAATAACCAGAGGAAAAAAATTGACGAATCGAACTTCCTCAAAATTCAAAAATGTTGTGTATCAAAACACACTATCAAGAAAGTGAAAAGGCGAATCCTCAGAAGGTAAGGAAGTGTCTGCAAATCACACATCTGATAAAGGATTAGTGTCCAAAATATATAAAGAACTCTTACAAGTCAACAGCTGAAAAACAAAAATCCCAATTTAAAGTGGGCAAAAGAGTTGAATAGATATTTCTACAAAGAAGCTCTACAAATGGCCAATAAACATACAAAAATATACTCAACATCATTAGTCATTATGAAAATGTAAATTAAAGCCACAATGAGATAGCACTTCAGATCCGCTAGGATGGTTAATATTTTTTTAAAAAGAGAGGGACAATAACAAGAGTTGGTGAGGATGTGGATAAACTGGGACAATCAAACGCTGCTGATGGGAATGTAAAATTATGTAGTCTCTGTGGAAAACAATTTGGTATCCTCAGAAATTACCCCTAGAGTCACCCTATGACCCAGCAATTACATGTCTAGGTATATACCCAAGATAACTGAAGGCTTATGTCTACAGAAAAAATTGTACGTGACTATTCACAGAATCATTATTCATAACAGCCAGGAAGTGAGAACCCCCAAAATGTTCATCACTTGTTTAATAAACGTATGTTGTATATTCATACATTATGAATACATAGGTATGAATATATGTATGTGTATTCATACATACATTTATGGCTGAACACTATTCAGCCATACATATGAGTGAAGTACTGATACATACTATATGGAAGAACTGAAAATATTTTTTCTATTTGAAAGAAACCAGACATGAAGCAAGATACAAAGAAAAGCATATACTGTATGATTGATATTTAATGACCAGAATAGGTAAGTCCATTGATATGAAAAGTAGATTAGTGGTTACCAGGGGATGGATGAGGAGAAAATAGGAGTTTCTTTCGGAGCAATGAAAATATTCGTAATTATATAGTGATGGTGTTTGCACAACTGTGAATGTGCTAAAACTCACTAAATTGTGCAACCTAAAAGTGTGAATTTTATGGTTTGTTGATTATATCCCAATAAAGTTGTCATGAAAGATGGATACAAATTATTATGAATTCAATTGTAAATCTAGTACAGACTCTGAAAGGACATTTATTTTATTTATTTTGTTGTCGTCGTTGAGACGGAGTCTCTCTCTGTTGCCCAGGCTAGAGTGCAGTGGCACTATCTTGGCTCACTGCAACCTCTGCCCCCTGGGTTCAAGCGATTCTCCTATTTCAGCCCCCCGAGTAGCTGAGATTACAGGCATGTGCCACCACGCTTGGGTAATTTTTAAAAATATTTTTAGTAGAGACGGGGTTTCACCATGTTGGTCAGGCTGGTCTTGAACTCCTGACCTCAAATGATCGGCCTCTCAAAATGCTGGGATTATAGGCATGGGCCACGGCGCCCAGCCAGGACATTTATTTTTGTGTAAAACTGTGCATGGGTGGTATAGTTGCTGGTCCCTGGATAATTCCAGTAACTTATTTATACATATACATAAAGCGCTTTATTAGAGATTCAGAGGCATAGTCTGGTTTATATTTAACTTCTAAAGGGTAAATTACTGGGTCTTCATTTCTCTTCTGAAAAACTGGTAGGAACCCGCTTTCCATGTCCTTTCTGCTTCTGTTGGGAGAATGTGTCTCTCTCTCTGTCTCTCTCTCTCTCTCTCTCTATATATATATGTATATAGACACATATATATATACTGGTGTCTAAATAAGATGCAGGTATGAAAGTAGCAAAGTTCATATTTCTTGAAAATTTTATTCAGTTTCTGAGAATGGTCATTGCTGGCTCTTCTTTGGAGTTTTTTTCTCATTAGAAATAAGACAATCAAACACACACCAATGGGTTCTGCAATGTTGGACATCGCCATCAGTTGCATGTTTTGCAAACACAGCTGAGTCCTTAAGCTTGGATATCACAGTGTTATATTTTTTTTACTCCTTTTCTCAGTGTTCACTAGTTTTGTCCAACACACCTTATTTTAATCCAAGCTGTAGTTGACAAACATGCTCTTTTTTTATGTCACGCAGGTACAATATAGGAGAATATAAAAGGGAACCATGTTCTCTTTCAGAAGCAGCGTGATCCAACCTGCCAAAATTTCACTGAAGTGATATAAATCCAAGAGTTGGTCAGATGTGTTTACTATAAACCTTCTCTGGAGTTTACAAAAATTTCCAGCTGAATAGAATTTGACACTTTAATAAAAGGAAGTGTGGCATTATGCTGCAGTTAGCATGCCTGACTAGAAACAGTCCAACGTGCTGAGAAGACTATGAAGCTTTCCCTCGTGCCCTTTCACTTGAATCCAGTAATCAAAAGATTGATTTAGTTCTCAAACTTAATTTGCAGTTCTAATTTTATTAATTTTCCAAGCCAGCTAGATCTTATTAATCTATTGGATCAGCTGCAGCTGTGTCCCTGCTCGAGCTATGGGATGTACCCACCATGCCTTAGTTATTCCTAACCATAACAAGAGAAAGGAACAACAACAACAAAACAAGTTCAGAGTCAATGCTCTTCTTTGAATCAAATCACGTTTCTGACTCCAGGAACTAGAATAATCTTTCTCTTTCAGATAGAAGGATGTAGAGTTTAAGGATTAGGGAAATTTCAATAAATAAGAAATTTCTCTTCATGAGTTTAGGGGAAAAATATCTAGGGCTATTCATCTAATGCACACCAGAGTACAAAGGCAAAACACAAAAAAGAATATTGAAACTCATAACAGGGATCATTGACCTGGAGTAAACATCTCTTAAAAACAAGGATCTTAACCTTTTTTCCTAAGCAAATGCAGAGGTACTTCCATTTTCTATATATGTTATGGTACATCAGAAAACCCTCTTATTTGACTGCTGACATGCACTGCTAAACTAACAGCCATTTATTGTAAAGCCAAGCTATCCAATTTTTCTCAGATGGTATAAAAGAGCTATTTTAAAATAAACTAGATGTTGGGAAAGAAGTTTAACTGTGCTTGTAGGACCCAGTGGTCCACTAAATACCTCTTTATTCCTCTTGAGCTATGGGATCAGGGAGTGCAGATGCCGGCTGCACTGGCCCTGCAAAATAAGAGGCCAATCGCCTATAGGAAGCAAGGAGGGACTTGAGAAGAGGGAGAAAACACCGTGAGCATCTGAATTTCTGTTTTATGGGCACGCTGGGACTGGAAAGCTGCCAGCTGACCTTGTCTCCCCACATCTCTTTTTTCTTTTGTCACCTGCCTCACTGCTCATTCGTCTCTCTTTGTTTCTTCTATTATATTTGGTGTTTCTACATTCCAGTGTGTTTTAAGATACTCTATGTTTCATGGTGTGTCTGGTTTCTATACTTCTTCTCTAGATTGATTAAAAATTCAGTATAGAAAGGTACTTAGTCTCACTCTTAAAAATATTCTGAGAGTATTCAGAAAATACAAGAGAATAAAACAGATCTATCCAATCTCTCTCTGCGGCTCTGTCTCTGTCTCTCTCTCTCTCTCGCACACACAAATTTAAAAACAACAACAAAAACAAAAAACAGAAAATACCCTTTACCTGTTCAGCATGAAACAATTGTCAAAAATGGTGTTGAGTTGTACCTTCAGAATCTAGGCCCTTACTATGTGTCACAGGGCATCATTTACACAGCCAAATGTCAGCCATAAATGTGAGCACAGTATTGCTCTGTGCTCTCACCCACATTCTGCTCTCAAGTCCCAGCGAACGATGTACTGCAAAGAGCACGATTTGTTAAATGTCCCTCAAAATACCATTTGGGGATGGGGATTTTTTTTCACTGGAATTCCATTAATCTCCCAGCTCCACTCCCCTACACCATGAATTTGTTTGCCTTATTCAGTACTATTCCTTCAGACCTTGAATAGGCCTCTTTGCTTTGGGGGTTGGAGGATACTGATAAAATTCTTGTGTGTTTCTGCTGATGGCCCTTTCTATTTTCCAGGCCTATGTTGTTTCTGATAGGCCTCCAGCACCCAAAGAGAAAGGCAATGTGAATTCTCTGAGAAAACTCCTCCTGGCATTCTCTCTTGAGCACAGCCAAGCATCTGGTGCCCGCTTTCAATAGCGAGAAGCCTGGAGAGCTGCCCAAGCCTATTCCCAGGTGGGGTTGAAAGAGATCCCAATTTCTGCAGATAGCGCCCATAAACTAGATTATAAACCAATGTAACATACTATAAGTGCCTCACAACTACAGGCTTAAACCAAGGCATCAAAATGGGAATGAAGGGCTATCACATTAAATGATTACAAAACAAATGCACTTAGCTAGGCATTAGGTACTTAGTTTTATCCTATGTGAAAGGAAATGAGGAGTTTTTCCAACAGCAGAGACAGCAACAGTGCTGCACCAAGTAGTTTTTCTGGGGAGCTGAGAAACACTCTTCCACTTAACTCTCCTCCTCCTCCCTGGCATTGTTCACTGTTGCTGCCCTTGCTCCTCTGCATGACCTGGGAGTCTCATTCATAGACTTAGTCCTTTGAGTGAAGCGTGAAGTGGAGAGGAGGGGGACGAAAATCATTGCCATACTCTGAAAATCTCTTGCCAAAATATTCATTTTTAGTTAAATATTTTTATTAACATAGTTACTATGATTAAGTATTACTACGTGGAAGGCAAAGAGAAACAGAGAGAAAATACTTTGTTCTCAGAGGTTGTATCAGGAAAAGAGAGAAGCATGGTATAGGCCAGTCTGGGTGGTAAACATTATCATGGCATAACACAAGGTGGCAAAGTCCTGGCCCAAGTTGATAGAACACCTGAAGCCAACACATGGGGAAAGAGATGAAGGAGTGTGACTGACCTTCCTAATGATCTATATAATTATGTCAGACAGGCAGCAAAATGAGTGAGGCACTGAAATGCTGTGGCAAATATCTTCTGTGTTAGCAGATGACATTCAAAGTTGGAAGAAAAGACAAGGGTATATGAAACTTCAGTTCAAAGGGAAAAGTAGAGGTAACCTCAAAGCTTGTGAGAAAAAAAATTAGGTTTGTGGGCATATGATTAGTCATTCATTATATACATTTATCAAGTGATGGCGGGAAGGAGGGAAGGAGGTGGAAGCAGCAAACATATGGCCATCAAGGAGCTAGCTAATACAAGCTGAGATGTGTGTGTGGGGGGGGGCCGGGGGGTTGGGGGGCGGGGGGCGGCACACACCACTTTTGCGTCCCTGGCCATTTTCTACTTTGCATTAACAGAATGGCCTCAGCATCAGCAGATTGATTTTTGAGTCCTTGCTTAGCTGTGGAGGCTGCAAAAGCTAATCCCTTCTCTTTAACTGTGGTTTGATATACGTCTGACTATAGATGAAGGTGTTGTGAGGGGATGGATCATTTGAATGTTAATTACATTATGATGATGAATAAACAATGGTTACTTAAAGTGCAGAGGTATTACAGGAGAAACTACGTTTGAAAATTTGCCATCTTAAAAACAATCTCAATGATTGAGTTTCAAATAAGTTATTTTGTTCTTCATTTGAATTATTCTAAGGACACAGTTATATGGCAAAAAATTTCCTTGTAGGTTTATAAATAGTTGAGCATTAATATCCAGCAATCTGGCTTCTCCTAGCATGCTCTTTTTACTGTTCACACCTTCGGAAGGGAAGATTTGATATGCTGTTTAGCCTTAACTATCTGATGTTTGTTGTCCCATGAGGTCAGATGAATACAGCTCCAGAATCCTGATAGGAGTGTTGCTTTCCACATCAGCAGAGGGTAGAAGTGCTGTAGAAATGATGTGCTCACAGTGTACAGAAGCAGAGAGACTACTTGGTTTGCGATTGGACATCACCTAGGTAAAGAAAGCTTGATTTGCAATGCACATCGTAATTGTGATAGATGAACTAGTGTGAGTTGAATCACTAAAAATAAAATAGCCATGACTTGTTGATATTGAGGTTGGCATGAATGTACTATTAACCTCTGATTTTTATTTTATTTAAAAATTTTTTTTCTTTTTAATTTTTGTGAGTACATAGTAGGTGTATGTGTTTATGTGGTATATGAGATGTTTTGATGCAGGGACGCAATGCGTAAAAATCACATCATGTAAAATGGCGTATCTGTCCCCTCAAGGATTTATCCTTTGTGTTACAAATGATCCAATTATACCCTTTTGGTTATTGTAAAAAGTGCAATTAAATACTGACCGGTTTTTAGAACAGATTTCACAGGACATCCAGAAACTTGGAAGAATTGCCCTTAGGCCTTGCTTATTATATTAGGCAAGAAATTTCAAATGTGTAATATTGTTTAAGTCTCTTAGAATTGGACAGAAGAGAAAATACAGATAATAAATAAATTTAGAGAAATTTAATATTTGCAAATACAAAAAGAAAGGGAAACAAGAGTAACCACAGAGTAAAATTTTCTTCCATGAAATTAGTGATAACAAGTTAAAAAAATGCTAAAATCCACGAACAGTAAAGTTGCATTGAAAATTATACACCAATACACTATTAGGGGCAGACACTGGCACTATATATAGGGAAAGATGTATGACAATATGTTGCAGAATGCTGTAGGTGTAAATACTCAGCAAGTTGAGTATTCTCTTTCTGTTAGGTATATTAAAGACCAAACTTTTGATAGATAAATTTGTCCTCTGTGGCATCAACTTCAGAAAATTGTGACTCTACCCTAAGCAATCCTCAAGCCTGTCACCTGACATTAGCGATTTGGTTTCTGTATGATATTTTTCAGACATTTGTTCTGAGAAGACAGGCCATAGGCTTTCCTATACTTGCAAAACAGTTAACACATGGTTTTAGATAGTAAAACCTCAATGCATATTTTACAATTAAATTTATACACTCAGTTTCTATTACCTCATAGGGTAAAAATGTGTGAGTTCGTGTCTGTGTGTGTGTGTGTGTCTGTGTGTTATAAATCATTGGTCAATAGTTCCTGGCAAATAATAAACATTTGTTCATTCATTCATGCATTCATTCAAAAATGTGTAACAGATGACAGATACTGTTCCAGGCACTATGATACAGGAGCAAAGCTTCAATTCTAGTGAGTAGAAATGGACAATAAACATGAAAAGTGATTACGTAATATGTTTGAAGGTAATAATTTATGTAGACAAAACATAGAACAGAATAAGAGGGACTCGAATTGCTTGTGGTAGTTTTTAACCTTAAACAGGATGATTAAGTCACGGGCCATGGAAAAAGTAACATTTGAATAAAGACTTAACTGATATGAGGGATAGAGCTATGTGGATAAGTGGGATAGGCATGTTCTGGGTATGAGAAAAGGCAAAAGCCCTGAGGCAGAAGTGTGGTCCAGAGGTTTGAATAACTGCACGGAGATAAGAGATAAGTGAGGCTGTAGTAGAGTGAGAGAAGAACAAATTCTAGGTAGTAAGAAATTCGGTTAAAGAGGTAATAGAAGGACAGATCAATAGGATATTATCGGCCTTATTGTTGGTCATACTGTGGGACAAATGGGAAGCCATTGCGGAGGCTTGAATAAATGAATGACATGATCTGACTGACATTTTAATAGGCTCATTCCAACTGCTCTATTGAGAATGTACTCCAGAAGGGCAAAAGTGAAGGCAAGGAGATCGGTGGGTGGCAATTGACGTAATCCAGTTGACAGGTGCCATGGCTTATACCAAAATAGTGGCAGTAGAGGTAGTGAGAAAAAGCTTCTGAATACAGAACTTGTTGAAGAACTGAGTAAATTAATACATCATGGTGTAGAACTAACAGAAAAATCACTAAATAAGCCATGGGTTAGCCACAAACTTATAATATCAAATAAATACTAAATATGTAAGTCAAACTCTACAGTATTCTCAAATTACAGATTATACTAATATCAACATATCATAATTTTTTTCATGAAAATTTTCTTCCCAAACATTTTTGACATTGTCCAAGAGTTACTGCGTATGCAGAAAAAAAGTGGAGAACAGCCTAGCTTGGCTAAGCTGTGGATGCTAAGGGGCCAGATGGATTCACTCACTGTTTGAGATTCTATACACTATTCTATAGTGAAATATCTATATAACCCATGATTTTGAAAGAATTTTGTTCTGACATTTAGGATTGTCTTGATCCTTTGTAAAAACGTATCCAGTTTGGAGCTCCATGGATGAAGAGATTTGTGGAACATGGAAAGGATTCAGAGGACTGTTACCAAGATGATTTAATCATTAGAAAATCAGCGCTATAAAGAAAGGTTAATAGAACTGAGACTGTTCAGCTTGGAAAATAGAAAGAAAGCCAAGAGGGAATTTAATAATGGTCTTTAAGTGTATAAAGAGCTATATTACACAGATAATGCTTAACAGCTGGTCTCAATCTTCTCTTAGGACAGAACAAGGAGAATGGAGTATAAATTGCATCATGAGAGATTTAGGAAAAATACTAGAAATAATTTTCTGACAAAAAAATACTGTTAAAAATTGAGCTAGGTTGCCAGTCCAGAGTACATCTGACAGTGTTTCTGGAATTCTCAGCAACTGATTCATTAATGTCAGTTCAATATACATTTCCTGAGAACAAAGTAGTTATTATGTGTTAAGATATTTTCTATGGAATGACAATGTTGCAATTCGTCTATTGGCCTAGAAGGAAAATGTGTACAATTTGGCTTATACAACTAGTGAGTTATAAATTCAGAAACTAGAAAGCAGAAACCTAAGGTGGCATGATGCAAGAACAGTTAACTTTGATGTGCAGGTATTGGTGCAATCTGGTAGAGGGGGAAGAAAGACGTAGAATGAAGAATAAGGGTCTAAAGGAAGGGGTGAAGGTAGGCTTTGAGAGGCACCTGGATAAAATTGAACCATAATATTCATTTTACTCAAGGACAAGGGCAGTGTGACAGGTATCCCTGCCCCTTTGCTTCACGGAAGTAGGGTGGGACAGTGGCGGAGAAGCTTGTACTGCACCAGCCAGCCCCATGAATGGAAAGGGATGCAAGCAATCAAGAGACAGGAATCCAAGATTCCTTTGTCCCTAGTCAAATTGAATTTCTAAACATGATCTTTATGATCTTTATTTCTCCTGTGTCCGGAATTGGTGGGTTCTTGGTCTCACTGACTTCAAGAATGAAGCCGCGGACCCTCGCGGTGAGTGTTACAGCTCTTAAGGTGGCGCGTCTGGAGTTCGTTCCTTCTGATGTTCGGATGTGTTCGGAGTTTCTTCCTTCTGGTGGGTTCGTGGTCTCGCTGGCTCAGGAGTGAAGCTGCAGACCTTCGCGGTGAGTGTTACAGCTCTTAAAAGCAGCGTGGACCCAAAGAGTGAGCAGTAGCAAGATTTATTGCAAAGAGCGAAAGAACAAAGTTTCCACAGTGTGAAAGGGGACCCCAGCGGGTTGCCACTGCTGGCTCTGGCAGCCTGCTTTTATTCTCTTATCTGGCCCCACCCACATCCTGCTGATTGATAGAGCCCAGTGGTCTGTTTTGACAGGGCGCTCGCTGATTGGTGCCTTTACAATCCCTGAGCTAGACACAAAGGTTCTCCATGTCCCTACCAGATTAGCTAGATACAGAGTGTGGACACAAAGGTTCTCCAAGGCCCCACCAGAGTAGCTAGATACAGAGTGTCCATTGGTGCATTCACAAACCCTGAGCTAGACACAGGTTGCTGATTGGTGTGTTTACAAACCTTGAGCTAGATACAGATGCTGATTGGTGTGTTTACAATCCCTGAGCTAGACATAAAGGTTCTCCACGTCCCCACCAGAGCAGCTAGATACAGAGTGTCGATTGGTGCACTCACAAACCCTGAGCTAGACACAGGGTGCTGATTGGTGTATTTACAATCCCTGAGCTAGACATAAAGGTTCTCCACGTCCCCACCAGACTCAGGAGCCCAGCTGGCTTCACCCAGTGGATCCCGCACAGGGGCTGCAGGTGGAGCTGCCTGCCAGTCCTGTGCGGTGCACCCGCACTCCTCAGCCCTTGGGAGGTCGATGGGACTGGGCGCCGTGGAGCAGGGGGTGGCGCTCGTCGGGGAGGCTGGGGCGGCACAGGAACCCACAGAGTGGGTGGGAGGCTCAGGCATGGTGGGCTGCAGGTCCCGAGCCCTGCCCCGCGGGAAGGCAGCTAATGCCCGGTGAGAAATCGAGCGCAGCGCCGGTGGGCTGGCACTGCTGGGGGACCCAGTACACCCTCTGCAGCCGCTGGCCCGGGTGCTAAGCACCTCATTGCCCGGGGCCGGCAGGGCCAGCCGGCTGCTCCGAGTGCGGGGCCCGCCAAGCCCACGTCCACCCGGAACTCCAGCTGGCCCGCCAGCGCTGCGTGCAGCCCCGGTTCCCGCTAGCGCCTCTCCCTCCACACCTCCCTGCAAGCTGAGGGAGCCGGCTCCGGCCTTCGCCAGCCCAGAAAGCGGCTCCCACAGTGCAGCGGTGGGCTGAAGGGCTCCTCAAGTGCCGCCAAAGTGGGAGCCCAGGCCGAGGAGGCGCAGAGAGAGAGCGAGGGCTGTGAGGACTGCCAGCACGCTGTCACCTCTCACTCCCACTGTAACTTTTTTGTTTTGGGGGAGGGATAGGGTTTTGACCAATTTTTTTCTCAGTTACTTTTTTTTTTTTTTTTAACTGTAGTGGGATTGAGAAAAGGGGTTAATTGAAAAAGAGAGTTTCTGTGGTTTCCATTTGAGGTCAAAGTCTGAAGCCAACATGTGATATTGATACCAACTCAATTCATTTCATATAACTTTAACTCATTTAATCTTTATTATGAGGTAGTGAAAGAAATACGTGTTCTTCTGAGTTTATATCCGGCCTCCTTAACAGCTGTGAGACCTTAAATAAGTTTCGTAATCACTCTGAGCTTTAAATTTTTTCGTCTTTAAAGTGGAGACAGTAATTATCTCAAGGAGTTTCTGTGAGAATTAAAATGCTTAACAAAGTACTTATCACCCAGTAGGTACTCATCATATGCTAATTCCCAACACCTATTACACATAACAAGCCCTCAATTATGAAATGACATCATTTTATGTTCTTTATTTGATGAGCACCTTAAACCTTTTTTACTTCAGTCCAAACCTCTCCACTTAGTTACCTTAACTCTTATTCATATGGTAAGACATCTGGGTTGCTCTCCTTAAGATATTCTCAAATGTATTAATATCTTCCTTAGGAAATGGGCTGCTGAGGATGGAAGACACATTCCTAAATATAATCCCATCTGTACAGAGTATTATGACCTTATTATGCTTTCCTTGATGCGGAAAATATATTTATATTAATACATCCTGAAATTGTATTGCTTTCTTGGCAGGCACACTCTACTTTTGACACAAATAGTGAGAGATTTTTAGAACCTAGGTTTTCCTCGGAGATGCTCTAAATCTAGCTCTGTTGGAAGGTAATGCACTGGAGCAAATGATCACATGTCAGTGTTTTGAGACCAATAAATCTGTGTTTCTCAAAGGCTGGGCAATTCTGAATGAATAACTTTTATGTCCAAAGTATCTAATTGAATTTATAACATATAATGTGGTATAATATAAAATATTCCTGTGAATTGGCCTACCTGTCATACTACTATATCAACTCTCTTTATTGCTAAACTTTATGGAAAAGCTACTTCTGTTTTCAGCTTTCAATTCCTTACTTATTATCTTCTCATCCTAAAGCAATCTGGCTTTCCCCTGAAACTGCTTTCCCAAAGGCCATCAAGGACTTAATGGTCCAACCCATTAGTTTCTTCTCAATTATTTTCTCTCTAATTACTCTGTGGCATTTGGCGTTATTGACCATTAGTATCAGTGCCAATTTAATCTGAAAAAAACAAACAGAAAGCACATGAATATTGAATGCAAAATATGAATGTAGAGAATTGTTTTCATGGATAAAAGAAGAACTGGGAAGTCAAAGAGTGGACAGTAAGATAACCCAAAGTTAGCAACATCAGAAATCACAACAGCCCAAGGCCAGAGGACAAAGGGAAGTGGCAGGGCTATCAAATCCCAAGAGATAAAATTACCCGGCTAAAACTAGAATTACAGGGAGAACTAAAGCCACAGAGGAGATGCAATTGCTACTTGAGATCTCATTTGAAACAAAGAGAATAATACTCTGGTTTCTGCTCACTTTCTACTCTCCAATGTTCTGTCAGTGCCTCTTATTAGCTGAACCCAGACGGATGTCAGCTATCAATGGAACCTGGGAAACAGATTTCAGAAGTTACTCCCTCAGCATTTGCCATATGGAACAGAGCAGGAGAAAGGAGAAAGGTGAGGAATGAATATGAAGGAGAATAGGCCCTGTAATGGCATAGTACTTTTGTCACTCAGCATTCATTCTCATACTTCTAACTACATACAACATCTTTACACTTCTACTTATTATAAGGCAAATATCTGTTATATAAACAATGATCACATCATCCACTCAAACAAGAAAGACAAAAGGACTCATCAGTCATTGTATTCATCCCAATTCCAGAATCTTTAGATAATACAAAGTTTATTCCATCAGATTCAAATATCACTCCTCATAGTTACGTGACATATGGACTAATTTGTAAAGCTGTGCACCTCTCACTCTCCTTATACAAAATATAGTATGGGTACCCTAATTTGTTTAACTATTCACAAAGGGAATAGTTGATATTTAACATTTCATTGAAGAGAAATATCTCTGCCCTGTTACCCAAACCAGAAAACTGCAAGGAATTCCAGAATCCTTTTCTTTCTTTCCCCTCATTCAGCCTATCATAATTCCTGCCAAACTCACCATTTCACCATCTCTCAAATCTTCCACTACCACTTTGGTAATTCAGGCTTTCATTGTATCCCATTTGGATACATGGAATAGTTTGCTAATTTGTCTCCCTGCCTTCACTGTTTCCCCTGGGTAATTAAAACTCCACACTTCCATTTAAGCCAGCAGAAACACAGATCTGATCATGTCATTTCCATTGTTCCTGCATCAATATAAAATTCAGGCTCCTTAACATGACTGCCAAGGTCCTTCACCATCTGTTAGCAATCTTCATATCCAGGTTCATCTTTTTCATTCCTAGATACATTTCTTTACTCCATGGAAATTAGATTATACAGGGTTCCTGAATGTGTTATAAATTTTTTAATCTTTAAGCCTTTAATAATTCTATTTTCTTTACCTGCAATATATGCCTACCCTCCTTACCTGTGAGAATTAAATTCACTCTTTAAAATTTTGTTCAAACATCACATCTTCTGTGAAGCCTCCTTTGATTGCCTACATTCCTATCCACCATCAGCTGTAATTACACCTTCCTTTATATGCCTTATACACTTAGTATATATTTTAATATATCACAGGTTGCATGATGTAACTTTCTGTTTTCCTATTGGTCTCTTCATCTAGAGTAACTTTGCTTCAGTAACTGCTAGAACATTTGGGACAAGGTTGGTGCCTTAGTTTGTTTTGTGCTGCTATAACAAAATACACAAGGCTGGGTAATGTGTAAAGAATAAAAAGTTTATTTTCTTCATGCTTCTGCTGGCTAGAAAGTTCAAAGGCATGGCGCTGGCTTCTGGTGAGAGCTTTTGTGCTGCATCATAACAGTATGGGAAGGTCAAAGGGGAAGCAGGCACCTGTGAAGAGGCAAATATTAAGAGGCACCCTGGCTTTATAACAACCCACTCTCATGGGAACTAATTCAGTTTTGCTAGAGCGAGAATTCACTACTGCAAGAGTGGCACCAAGCCATTCATGTGGGATCTGCTCACTAGGTCCACCTCCCAGCATTACCATATTGGAGAACAAATTTCAACATGAGGTTTTGTGGGTATAAACTATATCCAAACTATTGCATTCTAATTCTAGTCCCCCCAAACTCAAGTCCTTCTCACATAGAAAATATAATTCTTCCATCACAATAGTCCTAAAAGTCTTAACTTGTTCCAGCTCCAACTCAAAAGTCCCAAGTCTAAAACCTTATTGAGACTCAAGGCTGACTTATTCCAGCTATGAGCCTGTAAAATCAAAAGCAACTTACTTCCAAGATACAATGGTGGGACAGATATTTGATAAACATTCCTATTCTAAAGAGAGAAACTGACCACAATAAAGAAATCATAGTCCTCATGCAAGTCCTAAACCCAGCAGGGAAACTGACCACAATAAAGAAATCATAGTCCTCATGCAAGTCCTAAACCCAGCAGGGCAGACACTAAATCTTAAAGCTCTAGAATAATCTCCTTTGACTCTATGTTCTACTTCCTGAACACACTGATGTGAGGGCTGAACTGCCGAGACCTGAAGTAGCCCCACTCCCATGGCTTTGCTTCATGCAGCCAACATGGCTACTCTCGTGGATTAAAGTCAAACGCCTGCAACTTTTACAGGCTGATGTTACATGCTGCCAGTGGCTCTACCATTCTGGGGTCCCTGTGGTGGCTTCTTCTCTGTAGCTCCCATAGACATTATCCTGAGGATATTCTGTGGCAGCTCTGACCTCACACCTCACATTCCTGCTTAGCATTGCTCTAGTAGAGGTTCTCTGCAGTGGCTCTGCTCCTCTGACAAATCTCTGCCTGGGCCTGCATGCTTTTCTATACATTATTTGAAATCGCAGTAGAGGAAGTCCCACCTCAATAGCTCTTGCATTGTGTGGGCTTGCAGACTTAACAACACATGGAAGCTGCCTTACGGTCTGTGCTATCCAGAGCAACAGCCAAGCTGTACCTGGGGCCATTTGTGCCATGGCTGCTTTAGCTGGAGAGGCGAGGATGGGGGAGCAGCATCCAAAGATGGGCAGGGCAGCAGCACCCTGGGCCTATTCCCCAAGATCAATGTGTTATCCTAGGCCTCTGGGCCTGCGATGGATTGGGTAACCTTGAAGATCTCTGAAATGCCTTCAGGGCCTTTTTTCCATTTTTCTAACAATTATCACCTGGCTTGCTCTTCTGTTTTGCTAATCTCTTTAGCAAGCAATCCATAGGCCACACCTTTAGATTTCTCTCCTGGAAACACTGATTCTCTACCACACAGCCAGGCTGTGAATTTTTCAAACTTTTGTGCTCTGCTTTCCTTTTAATTATAAATTCTGCTGTTAGCTCATTTCTTTCCTGCCGTGACTGAGCATAAGCTAGTCAATGCAATCATGCCACTTCTTGATCATTTTCCTGCTCAGAAATGTCTTCCAGCAGGTATCCCAGTTCATCCCTCTTGAGTTCAGCCTTTCTCAATATCCTAGGGATGGATACAATGCAATCATGTTCTTTGCAACTGTTTAACAAGGGTGATCTTTGCTCCGGTTTCAGAATAAATACCCCTTACTTTTGTCCACATTTCTACCAGCAGTTTGGTCAAAACCAATTAAGCAATCTCTTCCAAACTTTTGCTGGTATTTTTGCCTTTTTCCGAGTCCTCACCAGAGCTCTTAATATTCCATTCACTGCAATGTGATCTCTTTGTAGCCTGTTCCTCCAAACTCTCCTAACCTCTGTCCATTGCCCAATGCCAAAGCTGAATCCACATTTTCAGGTATCTTTATAGAACACCCAGCTCCAAAAGTTCCAATTTTCTGTCAGAGTCCATTTTGTGTTGATATAACAGAATACCTGAGACTGGGTAATTTTTTTTTTTTTAAAGGTTTATTTAACTAGTGGTTTTGCAGGCTGGGTAGTTGAAGGCCTTGGCTTCTAGTGAGGGCATTCTTGCTGCATCTTAACATGATAGAGAAGGTCAAAGGGGAAATGGAGGTGTGCAAAGAGACAAAACCTGAGGGGCATCCTGGCTTTATAACAACCCACTCTCAAAGGAGCTAATCCAGTCTTGCCAGAGTGAGAACTCACTCACTACCATGAGAATGGCACCAAGTCATTCATGAGGGATTTGCCCCCATGACCTAAACATCTCCAACTGGGTCTCAACACAAGCACTGCCACTTTGTGAATAAAATTTTAACATGAGTTTTGGTAGGAACAAATTCAAACCATAGCAAACATACGCTAAATAGAGGTCTATGTGGATGAATACATGAACTAATTAATCATACATTTGATGGATGAGGACAAAATGTCTTAATGTTGGCTTTACATTTTATTGTATTAACAATTCTATGTTTAAGCTAAAATTATGCCTGAAGAATATACTGTGATGGAAGTCCACCCCCTTAACCCTGGAACTCAATTCTTCTGATTTCCTCTAGAGAAAATATGCTAGAATGAACTGTGATAGAGGTTTATGGGTTAGAGTAAAAAGCCTCGAAAGGCTGATATCAGGGAGATAATATGAATTACTGGAAAGAGCACCTGGCCCGTCGTTTGACAAAACTGTGTTCGATTTCTGGCTCTCCTCCTTAATTGCTCTTGTACCTTGATCAAGTCTGAATTTTCCAGTTTTTTGCATCAAGTCTCAGAGATTTTATATGAAGATTAAAAGGGGGCAGCAAGGCAGCATATGTGGAAATCGTACATAAATGAGTAAATACTACTATGCAAAAATAAGTGAGTGTATTAGTCTGTTCTCATGCTGCTAATAAAGACATACCTGACACTGGGTTATTTATAAAGGAAAGAGGGTTTAATTGACTCATAGTTCCACATGGCTGGGGAGGCCTCACAATCATGGCAGAAGGCGAGTGAGGAGCAAAGTCACATCTTACATGGTTCCATGGCTGCAGGCAAGAGAGCTTGTGCAGGAGAACTACCATTTATAAAACCATCAGATCTCATGAGACTTATTCACTACTACGAGAACAGTATGGGGGAAACTGCCCCCATGATTCAATTATCTCCACATGTCAGGACACTTGATGTGTGGGGGTTATTACAATTCAAGGTGAGATTTGGGTGGGGACACATCCAAACCCTATCAGTGAAGTAGTGTAATTAAATCATTAAATGTTTAGTATTTAGAGCCACACAGTCCTGGGTTTCTGTCTTAAATCTATTTCTTCTAACTTGTGTGAATGTTGCCAAGTCATATAACTTCCCTGAGCTTCAATTTCCTCATAATATATGTTACTTGAGCATTGAGTGGTACCTACTTTCCAAGATGGTAACTGTGATTAAAGCTCAACACAAATGCAAATTACATAACAAAATGCAAAGTGATTAAGTAAAATCTCAATTAGAATGCTATTAGTAGCTAACAATTATTGTTGTTGTTGTTATTATTATTATTATTATTTTTTGAGACAGAGTCTCGCTCTGCTGCCCAGGATGGAGTGCAGTGGTGTGATCTCGGCTCACTGCAACCTCTGCCTCCCAGGTTCAAGTGATTCTCCTGCCTCAGCCGGCCGAGTAGCTGGGATTACAGGCATGGGCCACCATGCCCGGCTGATTTTTTTTGTATTTTTAGTAGAGACGGGGTTTCACCCTGTTGGCCAGGCTGGTCTCCAACTCCTGACCTAAGGGGATCTGCCCACCTCAGCCTCCCAAAGTTCTGAGATTACAGGCTTGAGCCACCACGCCCGGCCTGTTGTTATTATTATAACTCGCAACTCATGATCAGAGTATCAAATCACACCAGCGAAGAGATATACCAACATGGAAACTGTCACAAAGATTAGTAATTTCCAGTCGTCTGGGGAAATTGCCCAAGACGTATATTTCCAGTTATCTTCATATAGTTTGGCACTATGATGCTCTGAAATACCATATAAAGCACATAGTGTATTTCTATTGTAGCACAGTGAATGCTACACCATGGTATTTGCTAGGAAAACATTTAAGAATGCAATCATGGATAAGCACTGGCTTAAGGCTATCATATTGGGCCAGAGTCAGAGCTATTCCTAATGTAATAATGAATAGGTGATTTATTCTAGTCAGATCAGTATTTGTAAAAGTTGATTATGACAGAATACCATTCTTAATGCTACAGCAAAGGTAAATTCCCCATTTCATTCCAATTCTATGTAATGTAAAAATGACTTGAGCTGTCACTATGAAATTTCATTATCTGAAAAAGAAAGAAAGTTAACAAGCCCTTCCTCAATTTTTGTGTGCTTTTTAAAAGTTAAGCTGTACTGATTAGCATCTGAATTTCTAATTGCTTTCCACAGTAAGTATTATATGGTCAACTTGCAGAACTGCCTAGTAGAGACATGCACTAAGAAACTTTATTTTTTTAATGTGATATGAGAACAATTTTAGTTTTAACAGTGTCTTTAAGCCCAGAAACTCTATATCTTTCATATCAATAGGAGATCATGGTAACATTGTAAAATAGTGTTCTTTATATTATGTCTCTGAGGACATTTTAGAGGTTATTTTGCTTAATTCTAAAGATTTCCGGGAAGAGACCTCAGATATTATCACTCTTAACCAGAAAAAGCATAGAAAAATCTGGGCATCAGACAGGGTGAGTAGCAGGCTTAAGAGGATAGCAGCAAGATTTCTTAACTATGAAGTAATCTAATACATATATAATCTAATCTAATAGATTAGTTCTAATATAATCTAATTATAATATTATCTAAAATGTGTTTATGAATCTATAAATATAGTTATATTTTACTTATTAAAGACATTAAATACTATAGGCTTGAAAAAACTTCAATCTTTTTTTCTGCTACTAAAATTTAGTCTTCTATTTTGTTAGGTCTATTGCAAAAAGGAGGTAGACAAAGATCATATATTTTTTTAAAGTCTTCAAAATTCTCTGGCTAAAATAGACTTCTGTTTCTGGCTATGATGGTAACTAGTAATAGCTCTCCCAATATAAACAATTAAAAGAAATTAAACAAATTTTTTGAGGAAACTTTTTTCAGGTATTGCCAACTAGATAACTGTGATAATTAGAGGTGCTAAGCATATAACTGAGTTCCAGGACATCCCCATTCATTGACTGGAGCAATTTTTCAAAAACAGTGCAGTGAACTGAGGTGTAAGCAAAACATGAGCTAGTCTTGCTCATGTATCTAATCTCAGGATACAGAGATTCGAATTTTGGGCAGCTGAAATTTCTGGATTCTGCAGGTCAGGCAACAAGAAAGGAGAAAGATGTGCAAAGGAAGGTCCCTGAAGTCTGTGTGGCAATGTTCCATAAGTGCTACTTGGCAATGTGAAGTGGGAAGTTGGAAATGGGGAAGTGTAAAATGTCTGCTGTTAAATAAAAAGTGGGAAGTATGAAATAGTAACCATGAAAGCGAAGGTATAAAATATGACGTATGATGTTGAGATCCATATATATGTGTGTATATATATATATACGTATATATGTGTATATATACGTATATATGTATATGTGTATATATATGTGTATATATATATAGAGAGAGAGAGAGAGAAAGAAAGAAAGAGACAGAGAGATGGAGTCTCGCTCCGTCACCAAGCTGGAGTGCAGTGGCACAATCTTGGCTCACTGCAACCTCCGCTTCCCCAGTTCAAGCAATTCTCAGCCTCCCAAGTAGCTGGGACTACAGGCACACACCAACAAGCTCAGTTAATTTTTGTATTTTTAGGAGAGACAGGGTTTCACCATGTTGGCCGGGATGATCTCGATCTCTTGACCTCATGATCTGCCCACCTCGGCCTCCCAAAGTGCTGGGATTACAGGTGTGAGCCACCATGCCTGGCTGGTGTTGCAATATTGATTAGACTTTGATAGATTAAGATAACATATAATTAATCCTAGTAAAGTCACTAAAGAAATTAAAAGAGGTATATCCATGAAGACAATGTACAAAATAAAACGGAATGTAAAAAATTTAATTCAAGCAAAAGATGAGAAGAAAAGAGCAATAGAGGAGCAAATCAAAAAGAGATGTGCAAAGTGGAAAAATATACCAGAATCACAGAATAAAATCCAATGATTTCAACAATCCCATTTAAAGTAAATTGATTAAACACTTTAATTAGAATGCAGAGATTTTCAGATTTGATAAAAAATTAAGACCTAATAAGAAATTACTTATAGGAAACAAAAGAGACATTAAAGACAGAAGTAGATTGAAATTAAATCCACATGAATATTTCAACAGAGACAGAAAAGGCTTTCAATAAAATTTAACATCCCTTCATGTTAAAACTCTCACTAAAGTAGGTATTGAAAGAACATACCTCAGAATAATAACAGCCATGTATGTCAGTCCCACAGCCAACATCCTACTGAATGGGCAAAAGCTAGATGCATTCTCCTTGAAAACCCACAAAAGACAAAGATGTCCTTTCTCACCACTCCTATTCAACATCATGTTGGAAGTACTTGGCCAGGGCAGTCAGGCAAGAGAAAGACATAAAGCGCATCCAAATAGGAAGAGAGGAAGTAAAACTATTCCTGTTTGCAGATGATATGATTCTATACCTAGAAAACCCCATAGTCTCACCCCAAAAGCTCCTTAAGCTGACAAGCAATGGCTCAGGATATGAAATCAATGTACAAAAATCATGATCATTCTTATACACCAATAATGGCCAAGATGAGAGCCAAATGAAGAACACAATCTCATTTGCAATTGCCACTGAAAGAATAAAATACCTTGGAATACAGCTAACTGGAAAGGTGAAAGATTTCTACAAGCAGAACTACAAACCACTGCACAAAGAAAAAAAAAAAGCAGATGACACAAACAGATGGAAAAAAACATTTCATGCTCATGGATGGGAAGAATCAATATCTTTAAAATGGCCATACTGCGCAAAGCAATTTACAGATTCAACGCTATTCCTGCAAAACTATCAAAGACGTTCTTCACAGAACTAGGAAAAACTATTTAAAAATCCATTTGGAATCAAAAGAGAGCCAAAATAGCCAAGGCAATCCTAAGCAAAAGGAAAAAAACCTGGAGGCATCACACTACCTGACTTCAAACTATACCACAGGGCTATAGCAACCAAAAGACCATGGTATTTGTACAAACACAGACACATAGACCAATGGAACAGAATAGAGAGTCCAGAAATAAGGCCATACACCTACAGCTAGCTGATCTTGGACAAAGTTGACAAAAACAAGCAATGGTGAAAGGACTCTCTATTCTATAAATGGTGCTGGGTAACTGCCTAGTCATATGCAGAAGATTGAAATTGGGCACCTTCTTTACACCATATACAAAAATTAACTCAAGATGGATTAGAGACTAGAATGTAAAACCCAAAACTATAAAAACCCTGGAAAACAACCTAGGCAATACCATTCTGGACATAGGAATGGACAAAAATTTCATGACACAGATGCCAAAAGCAATTGCAACGAAAGCAAAAATTAACAAGCAGGATCAAATTAAACTAAACAGTTTCTGCACAGAAAAGTAAACTATCAACAGAATAAACAGACAACCTATAAAATGGGAGAAAATTTGTGCAAACTATGCATCTGAAAAAGGTCTAATATCCAGCATCTATAAGGAACTTAAACAAATGTATGAGAAAAAAAACAACAACCCTATTAATCAGTGGGCAAAAGACATGAACAGACACTTCCCAAAAGAAGACATACATGTGACCAACAAGCACATGAAAAACAAAGCTCAACATCACCGATCATTACAGAAATGCAAATCAAAACCATGATGAGATACCATCTCATGCCAGTCAGAATGGCTATGATTAAAAAGTCAAAACGTATCATATGCTGGGATGGTTTCAGAGAAAATGGAATGCTTGTGCAATGTTGGTGGGACTGTAAATTAGTTCAATCATTGGGGAAAACAGTGCGGCAATTCCTCAAAGACCTAAAAACACGACAACCACGTGACCTAGCAATTCTGTTACTAAGTATATACCCAAAGGAATATAAGTCATTCTATCAGAAAGACATATGCATACTAATGTTCACTGAAGCACTATTCATGGAATCAACCTAAATGCCAATAAATGGTAGACTGTATAAAGACGATGTGGTACACATGCACTTATGGAATACTATGCAGCCACAAAAAGAATGAGATGATGGATGGAGCTTGGGGTCATTATCCTTAGCAAACTAAAGTAGGAACAGAAAATCAAATACCACATGTTCTCACTTATAAGTGGGAGCTAAGTAATAAGAACACATGGACACACAGAGAGGTGCAAGAGACATTGGGACCTATTGGAGGGTATAGGGTGGGAGGAGGAAGAGGATCAGGAAAAATAACTAATGGGTACTAGGTTTAACACCTGGGTGATGAAATAATCTGTACAACAAAGCCCCATGACATGAGTTTACCTGTATAACAAGCCTGCACATGTACCCCTAAACTTAAAATAAAAGTTAAAAAAGGAAAATAAAATGGAATACGTACTGTGTACACAGTAAGAGTAAGAAAGCTGGAGAGGTTATGTTAAAATCTGAAAAATTAAAACAGTGTTTTACGAGATACAGAGAAAGATTTCATAGTGCTAAAATGAACAGTTCATCAGGAAGTAATAAGTCATAAACATGTATATATCTAGTAACAGAGAATTAAACTTTATAAAGCAAAAGCCGACCAAGTTAGAAGTATCAACAGTTACAATTTTGGCTAGGGATTTTTGCACCTTTCTCTCAGTAATTGATAAAAGTAGACAAAAATCAGTAACAATATGGGAGACCTGAATAACACAGTCAAGCAAATTTAAATCAACTTTAAACTAATCAATGTTTACAGAATCCTATGTGCAATAAATGTAAACATATTCTTTCCAATTGCCCATGATACAGTCACCAAGATAGCCCATATGCTGGGCCATGAAATAACCCCAAACAATTGACATAGTATGTAAAATAAAGAAAATTTACAAAGGCAAAAATGGGCTCTTTGCAAAATTGCTAACCTCTTTGTAAGACTAATCAAGAAAACAAGACAAATTACAAATATCAGGAGTTAAATTATCACACATATCCTACAAACATTAAAATACTTTTAATTTGAAGATGTTCCAGATTGCCAGAGTCTTGTATGAGCAACCTAGAAAATAAACTCATCTTCAGAAAACAGTGCATATTTTGAGGACAGCAAGGCCAGACCCATTTTGTATGAGCATGCCATGGCCTGCAGCTTTTCCAGGGCCTGTAGCATCAGAATCCTATCTATAGGAACCCTTTCTGTGTTCTTGGGCCAGGTTTCAAAAATGGAAATCTGTATTTTTCATGCTACTCACTCTTGCTGAGTGAATATCCTGTTTTTTATCCCACAATCTCAGTTGCCTGCCAGAGTTAACCAAGTGATTGTATTTGCTACATTGTATCATGCAGCACATTTCTGGCACTATAATTTTGGAGAAAGAAAAAAAAGCACTAATGAGATCTGAACAGATCCTCAACAGGCTGAAAACAAATACAAAACACGATGTATTTACTAAGAAGCTAACAGCTGTGAAATAGGTAGTGTGACCAGCATCTTTACTACTACTATTGACATAGAAACTGACGATATTCCTGAAAAACAGATGGGCTTTGTATCACTCAGGGGAGGAAGCTACACCCTAAAGGCCTTTCTAATACTGCTCCATATAGAAAATCCCCTAGAGGAGGCTTTTAGAAGGAGGAAGTGAGAATAAACTATGGCAATAGATCCCCTGCAATACAGTTCTAGAAGACTTAAAAAAATCCATTTGTATGACCTAGCCTATAGTAAAGCCATGCTAGAGAATATGGTGTAGCACAATCTAATTTCAATGAATTCTTGTAAAAGCATGGATGTCCTCTATAAACCCTCTTGATGATGAAAACAGCGTTATATATGAAGATAAGCAAAAGACTTCTATGCTGCTGGAGCAGTATCTTGAAGTTGTCAATTACAGAGATCTTAAAGTCAGGCTTTGTCATGGAGATGAACTTGGGTAAAGAAAAGAAGAGTGCTATTCTCAAAGTCCTGTCACTTCCAGATAAAGTAAAAAAAAGGAAAAGCCAGAGATGAGGGCCAGGTGATTAAGAGCCAAAATACTCTGAAGTCAAAAGTATCCAAGTCTACTGAAGTTGTGAACTAGCTCCATCAGGAGAGGCCATTCTGCTCCAGCATGGAAGCTGTTAACCTGAGTTTGAAATCCAAAGTCCAGAACCCTCTCAGTGATGGGAAAAGAAAGCCAGATACCATTATTGAGTGCTATGGCTTCCCTGAGAAATGCCTTTCTTTGCCTCCCCTGTACAACTGCATTTTTGAAGGGGTCTCTTGTAATTATTAATATGAATTTGTTCCAGAAAAAGTCCCAGGATGACATCTGAGAAAATGTCTTTGAGAGATAAAGAGTCATTGCTAGACAGCAGTGTATCTGGAAAACTCAGAAGAGTACAAAGGGCTCAGAAGAAGAGGCAATCAAGAACTGAAAATATTACTCAGATAAAGAGGAAATGATCATGAAAGATGAGGTTGGGGACCATAATTATTAGAGCTTTAAAAACTGTTCAAAGATTTAAAACACTGTAAAAGTGAGGAATGTGGAAGCCCTTAATAATTCTTCAAATAGAAAGACAACCTATTTGTTGAAGAAAGTTACTGCCTTGTACAACTTGCTCCCTGAGGATTCAAAAGACTGGGAGGTAGAAGAGGAAGCTGAAGGAAAACAAGATGATGTTTATATAACACTATGTATGAGGTATTAATAAAATGCCTCTTTCAGGAAATTGGTCTACAGGGCCCTCTGACTCCTTCCAAAAGCAGATTTCACTGAGAAGTTGGCAGGAAGATAATCTGGAAGACCCAAGAGCTCCCTCCCTCCCCACTTCATCATCTGGCCCATGAAAAATAAATACAAGTAGAAGCTTAATGTACATGAAATCATCCCTGTGATTTACTCAGTGAAGTTACAGGGAGGCAATTAAACTACTTATGGCAAACTCTAGAAGAAACATACCATGGCCAAGCAGGAGAGATTAGTCTAAGACACCCTTTCTCAGGTCACTGGAACATACCTCTGAAAGATAAAAAATCAAGGTGCCTCATAAGCTAACAAGAAATTCCAGGCAGTTACTGTGGAAGTTTAGAAAAATCCCAGCTGATACATAGGAAACAAACTGATGAGTTCCACATACAAAGAAGAGCTTAATATTGCATAAGCAAAATAGGAAAGAGCAGGTGATCTCTTTCTAAGTTGGAAATAATAAAATTCTGGTATACCAAAAAACAAGTTCATAAAAGATAAATGTTAAGCTTTTAAAATGTAAGTTTTAAAACAGTAAATAAATGGAATTGGATATAAAAATAATAAGTCAACATTATATGAATGTTATATCATACATTTCATTATTTAGTTGAAATTGGTCATTTTCTTTTAAATCACAGTTAAATCACATGAAATGAAAATAAACTTCTGAAACCTGATAAAGAATATTAATGAAAAACATATAGTTCCCATAATCGCTAATAGTCAATGACTGACTGTTTTCTCCCTAAGATCAGTGACTAAGCCAAGAGGTCACTCTATTTACCTTCACTCTTTTACTGGTAATAGTAGCTAGTTTAATAAGGCAAGACAAAGGGCATAATGTGTGAATGTAAATAATTATATGGTTTCTATTTCCAGAATATGTGATTTCCTATGTAGAAAATGAAAAATACCAGAATTGAAAATGATTTTGGAAGGCCAGACGATGCAAGTTAAATATATAAAAAGTGATTAAATTCCCATACATAAGTGATAAAAGATTCAAATAGATTTAAAAAATACAATGTATGATAGCATCAAAAATAATTAACCAAATATGAGCACTATCAGTAAACTGAAAACTACAATGTTGCTGAAGATAGTTAATGAATACTTAAAATAACTGTCAGGCATATACTATGCTGATAGATTGCAAGAGTCAATATTATTAAGGTGAAGTATTTTGTATATTGTCAATGCAATTCCAATAAAAAATCAAGCAACCTGATTCTAAAATCTATATAGAAATAAAACGGATCTATGAGAGACAAAATTGTTTTGAAAGAGAACAAGTTAGAGCAGTTTACTCTCTTATATCAAGGATTACTCTAAAACAGTGTTTCTCAACTTCAGCACTAATTTATTGGGCCTAATAAATATTAATTGCGGGGTGGCCGTCCTGTGGAGGTTTACCAGAATCTCAGTTCTCTGCATTCTAGATATCAGTACTGCTGCCACCACACCCAGTTTTGAAAACCAAACGTTCCTGTAGACATTGCCAAATATCCCTTTGGAGAGCAAAATTGCTACTGGTTGAGAACCACTGCTCCAAAATTGTAGCAATCAATATAGTGTGGTATTGACATAAAGAAAAGCACAGAATCCAGTCGGGCGCAGTGGCTCACGCCTGTAATCCCTGCACTTTGGGAGGCCGAGGCAGGCGGATCACGAGGTCAGGAGATCGAGACCATCCTGGCTAACACGGTGAAACCCCGTCTCTACTAAAAATTACAAAAAATTAGCCGGGCGTGGTGGCAAGCGCCTGTAGTCCCAGCTACTCTGGAGGCTGAGGCAGGAGAATGGCGTGAACACGGGAGGCCGAGCTTGCAGTGAGCCGAGATTACGCCACTGCACTCCAGCCTGGGCGACAGAGCCAGACTCCATCTCAAAAAAAAAGAAAAAAGAAAAGCATAGAATCCAATGGAATAAGCCAGGTTTCAAATAGATTTCCGTGAGAGAATCTAATTGTTGATGCCCTAAGGAATCCATGTAATGAATTAACTTGTATTCTATGCCATTTTATATGATATTAACTCTGTATTATCCTTGAGAGAATCGAGAACAAAGTCATTCAAATAATTTTTTGCAGTTCTCACTTACCTTACAGAATCCTGGTTGGAAATATTAAAATAAAGTTCAGAAATAGTTCCACAGTTAGGTGGCCAATTGATTTTTGAAAAAGGAAGCTATATAATTTAGTGTAGAAGATACTATTTTCAGCAAATGGTTCTAGACTAATAAGCTATCCATACAAAATATAATCTGGGAACCTTGCTCACACCAGACATACACAGGCAAATGTACACACACACACACACACACACTCACATACATTTCATTCCAAGTGGGTCATAGACTTAAATGTAAAACCTAAAAGTAAAAAATCTCTAGGAGAAATGATAGAGAAAATTACTTATTACCTAGTATTAGGCAACAATTGTTCAGACAGCACATGAAAAGCATAAACTGTATGTGACAGTCAGACTCTAACGTGGTTCCTTAAGATCACCAACTCTGGATATTCACAGTTTCGTGGAATCCATTCTTTTTGAATGTGGGTAGGATTTGAGACTTGTTTATAGTCCAAGAATATGGCAACAATGATGGGATGTTATTCATTTTATTATATTTTATTATGTTAAACTTCATCTTGTTACTTGACTTGGTAAGGAACTGTGGGAGTCCTCCAGGAACTGCTGTCGGCCTTTAAGAACTGAGGGAAGATTTCTGATCACAGAAGAAAAAAAATCCCCCAAAGCCAGGGCCCTTTATCCTACAACTGCCAAAAAAAATTCTGCTAACAACCTGAGTGAGTTTGGAGGAAGATTTTTCACAGTTGAGACTCCAGACCACAGTCCTGGCTGACCCTTTGATGATAGTTTTATAAGACACTGAGTATAGGACCAAGCTGAGCCATATTCAGACTCCTGACCAACAGAAACTGTGAGGTAAAAAATGTGTGTTGTTTTAAGTCACTAAGTTTGTGGTAATTTCTTGTAAAGCAAAAAAAAAAAAAAAACCCAATATATCATAAACCAAAATAAAACACAGGAAACACAATAACTTGAACTTAAAACTAAAACTTATGCTCTTTAAAAAATATTGTTAAGAAAATAAAAAGGCAAGTCACAGACAGGAAGAAGCTCCTCAAAATACATGTTTGTCAGTCAAAAGACTTGTATCCAGAATATGTAAAGAACTTACAACTCAATAACTGGAAGTCAAACAACATGATTTTAAAAATAGGAAAAGATTTGAACATATAGGTCACAGAAGGAAATATAGGGAAGGCAAATAACGACATGTCTTAACATTATTATTCCTTAGGGAAATACTAATTAAAACGACAATCAGATACTGTCGCACAACATCTAAAATGGCTAAAATGTAAAAGACTAATAACACCAAGTTTTGATGAGGGATGTAGAACAACTGAAACTGTAATCCTTTGCTGGTGGTAGGGGCAAATTGTGCAACAACCTTGGCAAACAGCTTGACACATTCTAATAAAGTTAAACATACATTTATCCTATAATTCAGCAATTTCAATCCTTGGTATTTATCTTTGCAACGTAAAAGCATATATTTACACAAAAACTTGTATAAGAATGCATATAGCAGCTTTATTTAAATTAGGTGCTGCAAAAACCACAATTACTTTTGTGCCAACCTAATAACACCTCAAAACTGAAAAATACCTAACGTCTACCAATAGGTGTGTAGATAAACCAATTGTGATACGCACATACAATGTCATATGATTCAGTAATTTAGAAAAGAGAGTAAACTACTGATACTACAATGACATGGGTGAATTTAAAAAATGTATAGTGAGTAAACAAAGCTAGACATAAAAAGAATATATTGTATGATTTTATTTATATGAAGTTATAGCACCAACAAAAATAAGTTATAGATATAGACATCTGATCAGTGTTTGCCTGGGTGGGGGAAGGCAGTTGAATATAATAGGGCACAAAGAAACTTTCTGGGATGATGTGTCCCATTATTTGAATGAGGTCTGGATTACCCAATTGTATACATTTGTCAAAATTCATTAAAATGTACACTTAAAATGTGTGCATTTAATTTTACTTTCGTTACACTTTAATAAAATAAATGTGGTACATATACACCATGGAATGCTTCCCCCATCCCAGGTAAACACTGATCTGATGTCTATATCTATAGGGTAAAGTAATTTTATTGAAGTGTGGTGAACATAAGTAAATTTACTTCAATAAATAAATTATAGCCATTCTAGATGATATGAAAATCATATTCCAAAATATAATGCCATTGTATTTCTCAATTTAGTATCTGTAAATGGAGATTCTACTACCCACTGTCTCAATCCAGAGGCTAAAATAGAGGAGAAAGCATTTACTCCTGAAATCAGGGATTATTGCATTCAAATGTGAACTCGGAGATTCCTAGCTGCATAACCATATACAGGTGACCTTGCTGCTTTGAGGTTCAGCTACGTCATCTTCTTCAAAATAATGTTAAAAGCCATCTCAAAGGGTTGTTATGTGAATTAAATACAATGGCATGGAACTACTTTGAAACTTTTAACATACTGTTTGAATACAAATGTTACAATTGTTGCTAGTATTATACTGAGAGGGAAATACATCAAATCATATCTTGGGAGGAGGGGCTGAATTACAAATGAAGAAATGCCAGCAAGTTATAGAAAGTCCTGGTCATCCTGAGATTTTTGGCATACAGGAGCTTTTTTGATTCATTTTAAAGGAATCTGATTTCTAATTTGACCATGAAAATATACATTCATTCATAATTTATAGGAGAAACAAATACAGAAAATTCATTGCAATTATCTTGATTGTTGTGTTCTGAACCCTAAAAGAAAGAGGCTCTTACTTTTTAATATTTTCCTTTTGATAACAGATTTTCAACATTTTTTTCCCAACAACTGTCAGTCACAGTGTTTTCTGTTACCTCATTTCATACCTATAATATATAAGCTCAGCCATTTACCTGAAGCCTCTGCTCATTGGCATGCCCCCTGACATCTGTTTCCCCTGTCTTTCACTATTGGAAGTCTCAGAGCCTAGAAACAATTGGACACAGACATTTCCAATTCTCCTGCCTCTATTTCTATTCTTCGTTTTTCTTTGTCTTTTTCTTTTCTTCTCTTGGTCTGTCTGCATTCTCCATAATACCATGAATCTTCTCAAGTTTACAGAATCCAAATTCTTATCCCAGGACAAAAGTCACTGCTAAACCATCATTTATTAACCCTGAAATAGTTCCATTATGCCTATTTAGTGAAAATTGGGAATCGCTTGGTGAACATATAGAAAGCAGACACCAGGCCGGGCGCAGTGGCTTACACCTGTAATCCCAGCACTTTGGGAGGCCGAGGCGGGTGGATCACGAGGTCAGGAGATCCAGACCATCCTGGCTAACACGGTGAAACCCCGTCTCTACTAAAAATAGAAAAAATTTAGCCGGGCGTGGTGGCGGGCGCCTGTAGTCCCAGCTACTCGGGAGGCTGAGGCAGGAGAATGGCGTGAACCCGGGAGGCGGAGCTTGCAGTGAGCCGAGATCCCACCACTGCACTCCAGCCTGGGCGACACAGCGAGACTGCGTCTCAACAAAAAAAGAAAGAAAGAAACAAAGAAAGCAAGCAAGCAGACACCAGTAAAATCTGGTTACCTTTCATATTTTGAGGATGCTGATCCTTTCTTTTACCATCTGGTTCAGTAAGTATCAGTGTAGAATCAGTCTGTGTCAAGATCTTACTTGGGTTACTTGTAAAAATGTGCTACTAAACAGCAGCCAAGATTTGAGACCATTTTGAGCTTTAAGTCTGATGTAAATTGTCCTGCTTTCTCTTCCTTCTACCCCCGCTCAAGTTCCTGCTTCATCCCCAGTCTTGAAAGAGGTTAATTTCATCCAGAATGGACTCTGAACTATCCCCGCCCACCACCCACAGAGACATAACCTTGGTTGAGTGGACCAGCAATCTAGACTTGAATCTATGGGGAATGACTGCCTATCTCATTTTTTTATCTGTCCACCTTTAATGTATGCAGAATTGGTGATATTTTTTTCTTGGTTAAATGACAAGCCCCAAATCGCAAGACTTATCAAAAGATTTATTTTCAAAAGAACAAATAAATTAGCCAGGCGTGGTGGTGGGGGCCTGTAATCCCAGCTACTTGGGAGGCTGAGGCAGAATTGCTTGAACCCGGGAGGCGGAGGTTGCCATGAGCCGAGATCGCACCACTGCACTCCAGCCTGAAGACAGAGCAAGACTCAGTCTCAAAAAAAAAAAAAAAAAAAAAAAAAGGTTTATTTTCAATTACCCAAAGTGAGTTAATACAAGTCTTTAGGAAAATATTGCTTTAGACAGCAGCTCAGTGATATGAGCTGATAGAGTTTCCGCCATCCTATAGTCTCATCTAGAGAAGATGACCTCTTAGGTGGAAGCAGCAAGGAATAAGAGTGATTAGATAACTAATCATAGCTTTTTTATTGCTTGAATCCAGAGGAAACCATGCCCTTTCCGTGTGGCTAGAATTCGTCACGTGAATTTTTAAATTGCAAGGGAGATGATTGATGAAGTCTTCCACGTGCCAGGTGATCATAAGTAATGTTTTGTAAGTATTGTAAATACTCCAGTGTAATGATTTATGACAATTTATAATGTATTTCTTGCATTATTTTTATTGACTGTCATCAACAGTAAGGTATATAGTCAGGCAGGTTAATGACTCAGAATTGCCAAACTACCCTCCCAAATGATATCATTTATCAGTAAGGATCTATGCTACTTCATGCATATAATCTTTGAATTTGGGTGAAATTGCTCTCTGATTGGATGTTTTATTCCACTGTAATTCATTTTAGGTCTTCTAACCAGTGCCATAATGTATTGAATAATACCTTCTTCTTTTCTTTAGAAAATTGCTTCAAGGGATTTAATTTTACAGGTGAAAAGTGGGTTTATATCAGTATATGCAAACCTAGCAACCATCTGAATATCCCTGCTTTTTGGATAGCCTTCAGAGAGGACGATAATAAATGAATTGGACACTCACAATTATTCACTAACTAGAAAACTCGTGGAGATATCTGAACCGAAAATAATACCAATTGGCTTCCTGTCCCACTGAGAAACCTGAGTACCTATCCCTAAGCCACTTTACAAAGTCCTGTGTCTTTGGTAGAAAAAGTAACTAACAGTAGTGATTACCAAATATGAAAGTAAAATGTTGACTGACACTATATTCCTGAGTTTAAAGCCCACATTCAGAAATCAAGTTCAAACTGTCACTTTCTAAATGCATGCAGATTGTATCATCTCTGCCGATCTGGCTTATATAATAAACACTGCAACCACCTCCGAGGAGTATGAAACAACTATATGCCCTAAAATACAACCATCTGCATCAGTGTCTGTCTTGGATTATTAAAGTGAAAGCAGGGTCCTTCAGGTTTTATTTGAAACCTACCTGCATCTGAACCATTTTAAGATTGCTTTGTATGAATTCATTACAATTTCAAATATTTCTATACATTTACATTGCTGATGTTACTTCCATTTGTGTCAACGGTGGTATCCTGAATGTTTTATGCAGGTATGCTGGTATACACATATACTAATATGAGGTGCAGAAGCTCACCCAAGGCAATGCCCGATTTCTCAATGAGTAGATAATGATGAAAAAAATACGTATGTCAAACTTCTCATCTTTGAGACCTAAAAAGTCATTCCAAAACCATCTGGAAACAAGTATTACTTAAATGTCAACTTTAGATTAAATTTTGCAGCCATCTTTGAAGAATGTTTAATGTCTAAAAGCACTTCTTTGAAAGATGGTGGCTCCAAAGTTTTTAATCCTACTTATTTCTAAGTTTCCAAAGAACTCTGCAACAGATTACTTCAAGAACTGGCAAAGATTGTTACAACACCTGGATTTAATTTGTTCTAGGCGGCATCTTGCTTTGGGTTAGAGGGTGGGAGGAATTAACACAGGTTTGACTTTTGAGATCTGAGTTACAAGGCCAGTGGGATAAGAAAGTGGAGATAGAAGCATTCCATCATTCTGACCTCTCTGAGCAAACGAAAGATTATCGAAAATGACTTACAGAAAAAGTGCTTTCCTGTTCAACTAAATGAAATTCAGACCTTATCATCTGGGATACAATGTATTGTATCAATAACCTGCACGGCTATCTGGTTATACTCACTCTGAAGGATTTACTGAGTTATTTGAAAATGTGTTTATGTACAGACACACACACACACGCACACAACGTAAGATTACATTGTGCTATGTAAACACAAAGACAAGTGATAGAACAGCATTTTCACACAGCAGCTGGAAAGGAGTACCATGGAGATTTGCAATAGAAGAGTTTTTTGATAAGCACAATGTAATACAACGGGATACTGTTTTTAATTCTGTTTCTGAAAAGTCACCTTGGAACTACATGATCTTGATAAGTGGACCCTCCTATTTACAATATAGGCTGTGTAATTAAAGATGCAAGTAGAGGGCCTCAGTCGAATAATTTCTCTAGTGAACTTATTGTCTCTTTTGAAGTCAAAAATCTACGAATGTTCAAGTGTAGTTTGTATTAAGCATAAGAGTGTTTCTCCTGCCCCATTCTTGTTTATCAAAAAGTACTGTTATCTTGCTTCTTCCTCATGCCTTTCTGTTGAGTATAAAACTATCATCTCCATTTCATCCTCATTTTTTTTTTGAGTTTGGAAACCAAGACTTAGAGAGGTTAAGTATCTTGTTCACTTCACACAGCTATAAAAAACAACAATAGGACTCATATACAAATATGTCTAACTCCAAGCAATTATTATATTTACACTCTTCTTTTGTGGCATGGCAATCAATGTAAACAATGGCAAAATTTCCATTTAAAAAGGAGCTCAAAGATTATCTAATACAACATCATCACCTGATAATTTGATCTCTATAGCGCACCCATATTTGGTTACCTGTAATTTTTATATTTGGTGGATAATGTGGAAGATGTAGGAGAATTCAGTTCTCTGTGTCTGAGTTGAGTGGATCTTTTCAGTGCCCTAGTTCTTCTGCTTCCACCCAGCTATTGGAGCTCTCTCCTGATACTTGGGCCCTGCAGATGGTCTTGGACTCTAGCTCTCCATGTTCCCCCATCTGCAAGGCTAAATGAGGGATTCAGTATGTCCAAAAGGAAGACGTACTTTTTGAATAACAGCATTTAAGGCACTTGGTGGGTTGATTGGGAAACTGGCTTTGAAGCTGGGTGGACGGTGGTTGAGTGTTTGTTCAAGATTATAGTTGAGAAAACCGTGGTTAACGATTTTAGTTCCCTGGGGCCTTGTCACCCTCACCGTTTTACCAGCCATCACAGCTACAGCATTGTGTCCTGTCCTGCACAAAAACTGGCCTTGATAATGCCCCACACTGTCTAGTGCAAAGTTTTCTTGTTCATGAAACTTGCTAAACTGCAGGATCCACGTGACTTATATTGCATTCCACAGTAGTCTTCGTCCCTCCTTCTCTTCCTCGCTCCTTCCCTTCTCTCTCTCTCTCTCTCAAATAGATTATTGCCACATTCACAGGCTTGTTTGATATTTATAAAATAAGGCAGATTTTTTTTAACAGAGAAAATTACTGTATTTCAGTTAATGTTAGGTTTGGTAAGGGGATTTCATATATTACACTATTGGGTCCTGTTGAATTCTCTATTCACGTAATTCCTGAGAGGTTTCTTTTTTTTCCCCCAATACATGTTGTTACTGCTTCATTTCTCCTTCATCCTCCAGCTATAAAGTTGAAGTTTTTGATTCCAAGTACCAAGCCTTTTCATATTAGATTTATATCTACCATATCAGGGCCTATTACATTAGATTCATTATACTCCATTTAGTCCATTGTTCCATGGTTATTTTTTAAGTAATTTAGTAGTCAATATTTTTCATGTTTTTTAAAAAAATATTTAGGAACTGGTGGAGGAATTGCATTTTTTTATGATTATGAAGCTAAGTAATTTTGTATTTGTATTTTTTGGATGAATTTCTCTTCATATGCTTTGACCATTTTTCTGTGGCATATTCTTATTTTTTCTTTGTATTTTTTTTTTAAACTTTTATTTTAGGTTCGGGGTACATGTGCAGTTTTGTTATTTTGGCAAACTCATGTCGCGGGGGTTGTTGTGTAGATTATATTGTCATCAAGGTACTAAGCCTAGTATCCAATAATTATTTTTTGTGATTCTCTCCCTCCACCCACCCTCCACCCTCAGGTAGTCCCCAGTGTCTTTTATTTCCCTCTTTGAGTTAGCTGTATTGAAGGGGGCCAGCCCCTCCACACCTGTGGGTGTTTCTTTTCAGGTGCGACGAGAGACTGAGAAAAGAAATAAGACACAGAGACAAAGTATAGAGAAAGTGTATTCCTTGATATTTTATTCTTTTTGTAGCAACTGTGAATGGTATTACATTCCTGTTTTGGCTTGTTGCTTGAAGGTTGTTGGTGTATAGGAATGCTAGTGACTTTTGTATGATAATTTTGTATCCTAAAACTTTGCTGAATTTTTCATCAGGTGAAGGAGCTTTTGGCTGAGACTATGGGGTTTTCTGGATACAGGATTATGTCATCTGCAAACAGGGATAATTTGACTTCCTCTCTTCTTATTTGGATCCCATTTATTTCATTCTCTTGCCTGATTGTTCTGGCTAGGACTTAGAATACTATGTTGAATATGAATAGTGAGAGAGCATCCTTGTGTTTTTCAGGTTTTCAAGGAGAATGCTTCTAGCTTTTGCCCATGCAGTATGATGCTGGCTGTGGGTCTGCCATAGATGGCTCTTATTATTTTGAATTATGTTTCTTCAATAATTATTTTGTTGAGCATTTCTAACATAAACAGGATAAATTTTATCAAAAGCCTTTTTAGTATCTATTGAGATGATCATGTGGTTTTTGTCACTAGTTCTGTTTGTTTGATGAATCACATTTATTGATTTGCATATGTTGAACCAACCTTGCGTCCCAGGGACAAAGCCTACGTTATGGTGGTGGATTAGCATTTTGATGTGCTGCTGAATTTGATTTGCTAGTATTTTGTTGAGGATTTTTGCATCAATGCTTATAAGAGATAGTGGCCTCAATTTTTTTTTTATTGTGCGTGTGCCAGGTTTTGGTATCAGTATGATGCTGGCCTCATAGATTGAGTTGGAGAGGAGTCCTTCCTCCTCAATTTTTTGGAATATTTTCAGTAAGAATGGTACCAGCTCTTCTCTGTACATCTAGTAGAATTTGTCTGTATATCTGTTTGGTCCTGGGCTTTTTTATTTTTTTATTTTTTTATTTTTGGTTTGTAGGCTGTTTATTGCTGATTCAATTTCAGAGCTCATTATGGGTCGGTTCAGGTTTGCAATTTCTTCCTGGTTCAGTCTTGGGAGGGTGTATGTGTCCAGGAATATATCCAGCTCTTCTAGCTTTTCTAGTTTGTGTACATAGAGGTGTTCATGGTTTTTGTCTCAGATGGTTATTTGTATTTCTGTGGGATCAGTGGTGACAACCCCTTTGTTATTTCTAATTGTATTTATTTGAATCTTCTCTTTTTTCTTTATTAGCATAGCTAGTGGTCTATCTTATTTAGTTTTTCTTTTTTTTTTTTTCAAAAGATCAAGAAATCCAGGAGCTGTTTACAAAAAAAAAAAAAAAAAAAAAAAAAAACAGCTCCTGGATTTCTTGATCTTTTGAATGCTTTTTCCTGTCTCAGTCTCTTTTAGTTCAGTTCTAATTCTTCTTGTCTTCTGCTAGCTTTGTGTTTCGTTTGCTCTTGCTTCTCTAGTTCATTTATGTGTGACATTAGGTTGCTAATTTGAGATCTTTCTACCTTTTGAGTGTGGGCATTTATTTAGTGCTATAAATTTTCCTGTTAACACTGCCTCAGCCATGTCCCAGAGATTCTCGTGTGCTGTATCTTTGTTCTCATTAGTTTCAAAGAACTTCTTGATTTCTATGTTAATTTCATTGTTTATCCAAAAGTCGTTTAATAGCAGGTTATTTCATTTTCATGTACTTGTATGTTTTTTAAATCAATTTTCTTAGTCTTGATTTCTATTTTTATTCCACTATGGTCCAAGAGAGTAGGTGATATAATAGCTCTTTTACATTTGCTGAAGATTATTTTATGTCTGACTGTGTGGTCAATTTCAGAATACATGCCATGTGGTGACGAGAAGAATGTATATTCTGGTTTTGGGGGGGTAGCGAGTTCTGTAGATGTCTATCAGGCCCATTTGGTCCAGTGTTGAGTTCAAGTCCTGAATATCTTTGTAAATTTTCTGCCTCAGTGATCTGTCTAATACTGTCAGTGGGGTATTGAAGACCCCCACTATTATTGTATAGGAGTCCAAGTCTCTTTGACGGTCTCTGAGAGCTTGCTTTGTGAACCTGTGTGCTCCTGTGTTGAGTGCATATATATTTAGGGTAATTAGGTCTTCTTGTTGAATTGAACCCTTCACCATTATGTAATGCCCTTCTTTGTCTTTTTTGATCTTTGTTTATTTAAGGTCTGTTTTGTATAAAATTATGATTGCAACCCCTGCTTTTTTCTGTTTCCATTTTCTTGGTAAGTTTTTCTCCATCCCTTTATTTTGAGCCTATGTGTGTCACTGCATGTGAGATGGGTCTCTTGGAAACAACATTTCATTGGGTCTTGCTTCTTTATCCAGCTTGCTACTCTGTGCTGTTTAATTGGGACATTTATCCTGTTTACACTGATGGTTAGTATTGGTATGTGTGGATTCGATCCTGTAATCATGCTGTTAGCTGGTTATTATGCAGAGTTGTTTGTGTGGTTGCTTTATAGTGTCAGTGGTCTGTGTACTTCAGTCTGTTTATGTAGTGGCTAGTAATGTTCTTTCCTTTCCATATTTAGTGCTTCTTTCAGGAGTTCTTTTAGGGCAGGTCTGGTGGTAACAATTTTCCTCAGCATTTTCTGGTCTGAAAAGGATCTTTTTTCTCCTTCGCTTATGAAGCTCAGTTTGGCCAGATAGGAAATTCTTGGTTGCAATTTCTTTTCTTTATGAATGTTGAATATAGGCCCCCAATCTCTTCTGTCTTGTAGGGTTTCTGTTGAGAGGTCCTCTGTTAGTCTGGTGAGCTTCCCTTTGTAGATGGCCTGTCCTTCCTCTCTGGCTGCCTTTAATATTTTTTCTTTCATTTTGATCTTGGAGAATATGATGATTATGTGTCATGGGGATTATCTTCTTGTGAAGCATCTTGAGGAAGTTCTCTCCATTTTCGGAATTTGGATGTTGGCTTCTCTTACTAGGTTGGGGAAATTCTCCTGGATAAAATATTGAAATATAGTTTCCAAGTTGCTTCTATTCTCCCCATTTTTTTCAGGGAAGCCAATGAGTTGTAGATTTGGTCTCTACAGAATTCCATATTTCTCAGAGGTTTTATTCATTCCTTTATATTCTTCTGTCTTTACTTTTGTCTGACTGTCTTATTTCAGAAAGCCAGTCTTCAAGCTCTGAAATTTTTTTCTCAGCTTAGACTTTGCAGCTATTAATTTTTACCATTGCGGTATAAAATTGTTGTAGTGTTTATCATTCAGCTCTATCAGATCAGTTACATTCTTTTGTATACTGGCTATTTTGTCTGTCAGCTCCTGTACCATTTTACTGTAATTCATAGCTTCCTTAGACTGGGTTTCAATGTTCTCCTGAATCTTGATGATCTATATTCCTATTCATATTCTGATTTATACTTCTGTCCTTTCAGCCATCTTATCTCAGTTTTGAACCCTTGATGGAGGACTAGTGCAATGGTTTAGAGGAAAAAAGGCACTCTTGTTTTTTGAGTTGTCAGAGTGCTTCTGTTGATTCTTTGTCATCTTTGTGGGTTGATGTCCATTCAACCTTTGAAGTTGCTGTTCTTTGAAATTTGTTTTCTTTTATCCTGTGTGATTACCTTGGGGATTTGATTATGGTATAATGTGGGTTCAGGCAACTGGCTTCATTTCTGGAAGATTTTAGTGGGCCAAGGCTCAGCTCAAGACTCCTGGACTGCATTCTCTAACTTCGGGGGACTGGCATTGGGCCCTGGCTTTGTTCTCTCACGCCTTGAAATTGGAAACCTGCTTTACTGGAGGGACTGAGGTGCTCATGGACCACTGGTCACAACACTCTGATGGATTGGGCCAGCCAAAGCACTTTGTAGGGCAATGTCACTGGGATTCTGTTCTCGATTGCATGTGCCAAGAGCAGCAGCAGTGGCAGCATGGCAGGGTACAAGCTCTTCAGCTACAGCAGGGTGCTAGCTGTTGCTGGGGTACTGGCTTCTGTGTGGTCATTCGTAGCAGTGGCATTGGCAGCACAGCTTGGAGGTTTCTCTGCCAGTGACTGTGTGTATTAGTGTCAATGTTGGTATTAATACAGGGGGACGGTGCTGGTGGGTGTAGAACTGTGTGCATCTTCACGTGGGTGGCAGTAGCCAATCAGGGTGGGGCAATTGATCCGCTATTTTCCTTGCCTAGTTTCATGCTAGTGGCCATGTGGGCTCAGGAGCCAGGCACTGTCAGGGATGGGACTGGCAGACTCCATGGCCACCCATGCTCCCATGGCAATGGCACTGGGGTAGGAAGTAGGGGCGGCGGTGCACTCATCCTGGCAGAAGCATCATGCCAGGGTGCATCTGCACACCTGCCCTGTCAGAGAAAGGAAGACAAGGTCAGCCTGTGCAAACGTGTGCTGACAAAACAATGTAGGGGGTGACTGTGGGCAAGTGCCTGGAGGCAGAGCAGCATGGGGAGGTGGAAGTTTCAGGGGTACAGGCAGACCGGTGCGTGTCCATGGTGGCCATTCTGCTGGAGCTCTCTGCCAGTGAGGTGCAGTCCACCAACCCAAGAGCTATGAAGCGGGCTCCTAGAAGGTATTACCCCTGGATACTTGAGGTTGTACTGCAAGCAGGCGCAGCCAGGCTTGGGCCCCAGGAGAGGCCAGCATACGAAGGTGGTCAGGTCTGACTGACCCTGTCTCGTGGACAAGACCACTCTGCAGAGTTCAGGTCTGGCGGTTCCTCTAG